>NC_000007.14:133756779-134381779 GCF_000001405.40 Homo sapiens | reverse complement strand
GAAATAAGAATTCAATGAGGAGAGAGATAGTTGGCTGATGACAGAAAGCCTTCATGAAGAAAGTATAGCCATGCGCGGTGGTTCACACCTGTAATCCCAGTACTTTGGGAGGCTGAGGCGGGATGATCACTTGAATCCAGGAGTTCGAGACCAGCCTGGGCACCATAGTGAGTCACCACCTCTACAAACAGTGAAAGTTAGCTGGGCGTGGTAGTGTGTGCCTGTAGTCCCAGCTACTTGGGAGGCTGAGGCGGGAGGATGGCTTGAGCCTGGGAGGTTGAGGCTGCAGTGACCTGAGATCACGCCAATGCACTCCAGTCTGGGCAACAGAGTGAGATCCTGTTTCAAAAAAAAAAAAAAAAGCAGCAGCAGAAGAAGAAAGTGCGTTTGAAGTGAATGTCTAATAAAGGGAAGGGTTTGGCCTGCAGAGAAGATGGAGTAAGAGACACAAGATGAGAGAAACAACAGGAATTAATGTGTTGGGTGTGGGAGGCAGTATGGCGAGCCATTTATAGAGTGTGGGCTGCATATTGGTGAAGGATCAGGTCAATGTGAAAAAACTGCGTCTAGAAAAACGTGCAGAACCTAAAGTCAAAGTTAAGAGGGACATATTTAATTTCAGCTGTGTTGGCTCATGCCCATAATCCCAGCACTTTGGGAGGCCAAGCTTGGGGGATCACTTAAGGCCAAGAGTTAGAGACCAGACTGGCCAACATGGCAAAACACTGTCTTTACTAAAAATACAAAAATTAGCTGGGCATGGTGGCAGGCACCTGTAATCCCAGCTACTTGGGAGGCTGGCATGAGAATCACTTGAACCCAGGAGGCAGAAGTTGTGGTGAGCAGAGATAATGCCACTGCACTCCAGCCTGGGCGATGAAGTGAGACTCTATCTCAAAAAGAGGAAAAAAAAGACATATTTAAGATAATTGGATAGGGATGTGACCACATGAGAAGAAGGTTTTAAGAACCTTTGTCTGGAAAGGTTTACACAGTGGACTGGAAAAAAACAGCAAGAACCAGAGCAGGCAGATGAGAAGTTTTTACAAAATCTAGGAATAAGTGTGTGAGGAGCTTGACTACAGACAATGGAAATAGGAATAAAGTCCAGGATAGACTCCACAGCATCCATGCCACCCAAATGCTCATCGTCTTACACCTGTGCTAATGGTTCTGAACCAATCACAGCCATTTAATCTTTCTCAACACAGATCACTTTGGGATTGGGCAGGTGACCCTTTCTGGCCATGACAAATGCTTCTGAGAAAGGCTTCCTTTCCTTAAGTGAGAAACCGAAGATGAGACAGCCTCTCTTCTTCTTCTGGACCTTATTCCATCTGGATGTGACATGTGGAACTGCTGCACCATGTCACTATCAGCCTGGAAGATAATCTGAGATGAGCCAACCTTGAGCCTCACAGGCCCTCCAGACTTTAAGTAATGTGAGATAATTCCATTTTATTTTTCAAACTACTTTGGGTTGTGGAGTTTTGCTACTTGCAGCCAATACATCCCAACTGATCCGCAGTCCCACCTTCTTGAGTTGGGGATAGAAGACCCTTGTAACACACTATACACTGAGAAGGTGGAAGAAACAGAAGGGGGAGGAATGATTCAAAAATTACCGCATGCTTTCACTTAAGACTTATAGTCTTTTAAAATCTTATTTCATTAGCCTATTGCTAAACAAAACAAAACTTTTTTTTCATTTGTTTTGTTCTTTTCTTTATTTTTTGAGATAGAATTTCGCTCTATCACCCAGGCTGCAGTGCAGTGGTGCCTCCCGGGTACAGGCGGGCACCACCACACCTGGCTAATTTTTGTAATTTTAGTAGAGACAGGGTTTCACCATGTTGGCCATGCTGGTCTTGAACTTCTGACCTCAAGTGATCTGCCCACCTCGGCCTCCCAAAGTGTTGGGATTACAGGCGTGAGCCACTGCATGCCCGGCCATAAAATATTTAATTTATGGCACAATGAAATGAGGTTGTTTATTCCTCAGATTTGCTGAAATCAGTATTTTCTTTTATTTCCACCAACAGAGATGCCACTAATTCAAATGGGAATTCATGTCTTCCTCTCTGCCTTGTCTGAATAGTTATGAATGATGGTAATAGATACTTTGGTTATTCCTTGAGAATGCTGTGAGACGATGGCTGAGCTTTTAACTTCTGTGATTTAGTGTGATTCTAGATCATTGTTAGAATTGACAGTAGATATAGCAAACTAAATGCACACACCGGACCTGCTAGGATAAGCTAGAAGATGCTGCAGTAACAGCATGAGTGAGTCAGAGGCTTAACAGCAAACATTTACCTCTCACTTATACGAAGTCCACCCTGAATGTTCCAGGTAGCTCTCCTCCATATGGTGACTCAGTGGTCCCAGATACTTTGCTCTGTGGCTCTCTCAACACAGGCTTCCATGAACACTATGACAAGAGAAGAGAGGGTTGGAGCTTCTCACCCCAGTGACATATCAGGAGTGTCATTCCTGTTATGTCATTCCTGATATTCCATTGGCCAGCACTAATCACATGATCTGCCTAACTGCAAAGTGAGCAGGGATGTGTCATTGAGGCAGGAGAATAGGGTCTGGAGGCAGGGAACCTAAGGCCATCTCACACTAACTTCATAGAACTAAATTGAAAGGAAAACCCTAACTTTCCATGTCTAAGTAACAAAAGGATCAGAGGCTACAACCTTTGCAAACCCCCACCTTTTCTGCATGGCAGATGGGAAATTGAAAGTACCTCTAATTGGTTGCAAAAAGCAACCAATCAGACGTTTGGATAGGAGCATACCTTTGTAACTTCACTTCACCCTCTGATGGTGGCTGCCCACAACCAATCAGACTGATTGAGAGGCAAGTCTTCGTTTGCATAGAATGACAACTTTGAAACTTCACTTTAGCCTCTGATTGGTTGCTTCCCACAACCAATCAGATGTTTGCATAGGAGTGTGACCTTTGTAATTTCACTTCAGCCTCTGATTGGTTCTGCAACCAATCAGACTGATTGCGGGCCGCCACTTCATTTACATGGGGTGAACACCAGGTGGCCAATAGGAAACCTCTAGGGGGCATTTGGACCCGAGAAGATCCTGTATGGCGGCCATTGAGCCCCTATGCTCGGCTAGCTCCCACACTGTGGAGTGCACTTTCATTTTCAATAAATCTCGGCTTTTGTTGCTTAATTCTTTCCTTGCTTTGTTGGTGTGTTTTGTCCAATTCTTTGTTCAACATGCCAAGAACCTGGACACCCTCCACCAGTAACATCATCACCCATGTGTCCTAACAGAGAGGAGGACTGGGTGCTTAAGTGGCAAAGTTTTGAAGGGCATTACCTGCCCTGCTGGGTAGAGGGTGAAGAGAACTATAAGGCCTTTCGTAACATGAATAGGAATTGGGAATTAGAATTACTTAATTATGGCTCTTGTCTTGGTGGATTTGAAATGAGCTGCCTTTCGCTTATTGTTAAGTCTCCCAGCTTGGACAAATGTCCATCTTGACCATTGTCTTCCCTGTGACTCTTTTTTTTTTGAGACGGAGTCTAGCTCTGTCACCCAGGCTGGAGTGCAGTGGCGTGATCTGGGCTCACTACAACATCTGCCTCCCGGATTCAAGTGATTCTCCTGCCTCAGGCTTCTGAGTAGCTGGGATTACAGGTGCACGCCACCATGCCTGGCTAATTTTTGTATTTTTAGTAGTGACGTGGTTTTCACCATGTTGGTCAGGCTGGTCTCAAACTCCTGACCTCGTGATCCGCCCACCTCAGCCTCCCAAATTGCTAGGATTACAGGCGTGAGCTACCACACCTGGCCTTCCCTGTGACTCTTAATTCTCTGAGCTCAGTACCTTTCAAGGAAGATAAAACTAGGGAAACAGTTCAGATCGGATGGAATTGGATCTAGCGTGAGTGAGAGGGATGTTGGGAATAACATACCCAAGGAAATCTGGTGTTTCAGACTTGAAAAAGCTGCACTATATGGGAAGTTTCTCAGACAAGTCCTAGATAGGCAGGCACTGCTCTGGGTCCTCTTACTGACAAACTCTGGAGTGCTGTAAGTTGTTTTGTGAATGGATGTCATATGATGTGGTGGATTTCCCAAATTTCTCAGTATTTTTTTCCTTTTTGGAACAGAAGGGCCATCAGGAAAAGTCACCCTCTTGTCCTGTGGGCTTCACACAAGTGAAAGAGCTTCTATAACCATTTTTTTCAGGCACAGCCTGAGAAAGATCCCTGAAAAGTATCATTTAGGTTCAATACTTATCAGCATCACATTTTACCAAAAGCTTTCAGTTACGCTGGAAATCTTTCTTTTAGGTTGTTAACACAAATATAAAATTATGTCTATTCTCTCACTGAGATTTGGGGAATTTCATTATTTATACTTCTCTGACAGTCCAAGGGAAACATTGCTCAGATATGAGTGTGTAAATGGGAAAGATGGGGGGATAACAGGGGGATACCTCTACCCCCCAACCACCACATTTCTACCTCTGCCCTCTTTTTGCTACTTTTACTAGCTCCTCCTCCCCAAGGATTGATTGATCAGACTACAGGACATTCATTAAGCCACAAAGTAGCAGAATTTAGGATACCTGCACCTGAGCCAGTAACCTGGACTCTACTGTCTCTCCTCATTCTTGGAGGGCTTAAACAACCATCAATAGAGTGAAAATCTGTGATAAAAGGGGTCAACCTTGATCACCTCTCACACTGCAAGTGGCTAGGATTGCCATACCTTCTACAGAACAGGAAACAGAGAACCCTAGAAACACACTACAAAAGGCATCAATTCTATATTTAAGGAAAGTCAATCTGCTAGATACATAGCAAGGTTCTCATATAGTGCCTGCCACTTAGATGCTCACTGAACAGTTTTTGAACAAATAGCTGAGTAGGATAATTTGGATTTATATCTGATTATTTTTTTCTCTCATAATCAAAATAAGCCTGATTTTTGAATCCTGGAAGCACTGCCAACTTTCTTTGTAGCCTCAGGCAAGTTTTCTAACCTCTCTGAGATTAGTTTTCTCATCTATAAAAAAGAGGCAATGATGATAATAATAATATCCCACAGTGTTGTTGGGGAGATCAAATGAGAAAATCATGCAAAAGCTCCTGATAAATAATCATGGTAATAATGTTAAGAAACCTTCATATCTCTCCCCACCCTATTTGCGTAGTTAGTGAACTTGACTGGAGCACTTTTTGATTCCTTGTTTCAAAGTTCCTAATAACAGCAGAGCACTAGAGTCATTAGAGCATATAGACATCCGGCAATTGTGAATTTCCCCAAGCCCTTTGTTACTAGAATTTTAGTTCTGCCACCAGCCATCTGGTAAACCAAGTCTGCTTCTCTCTCCCAGCTATGTTTTCCCATTTTCATTTGGTGAAAGAATCAGGAACTGGACTATTTTTTTTATTATTGTTATTATTATTACTATTATTATTGAGTAGGCAATACATTGGCTCAAATATCAAAATGAATAAAAAGCCATGCATTGAACAGGCACACTCTCATCTCTGACATTGCTCACCCCACTTCTCAGCTTTCAACCCTTACTGGTAATCATTTTTATTATTTTCTCCTATATTCAGTTTTTTTCCTTACCATATACAAAAGGTAGCATACGGTTTATAGTGGTCTACATCTTACTTTATCATCTAGCAATATAAACTAGAGCTCTTTCTGTATTAGAACATACAGGGGTTTGGGATGTGTTTTTTGTAACAACTGCATGGGATTCTGCTGTGTGGATGTACCATGGTTTATTTAACAAATACCCTATTGTAAACACTCAGGCTCTTTCCAGTCTCCCACTATTACAAACAATACTGCAATAAATAATTTTGTACTTAAGTATCTCATGTGTGTGCAGATAATCAGGAAAAATAAATTGTCAGAAGTGGTTTTGCTGGCCCACAGGATAAATGCACTTATCATATTGATAGATATTGCCAACTTGGTCTTCATATGAATTCTACCATATTCTACTCCCAGCAGCGAAGTCTAAGAGCTTGAAACAAGCATGTTTAAAGCAATTTAACAGAAGACAAATGAGAAAAATTAATGAAAGTTAGCAGAACCAGGGGCAAGGAGCATTGATACATTGTAGGTTAAAATTGCATTACGTATTAGAAATGGAAAAGTTAGGTACTGGTTGTACTGAAGGAAAGGATATGAGATTTTTACAGCCCAAGCAGCCCTTACACTACAGTCTCTAACAACAACAGCAACTCACCTGTGTGTAGCGGGTCACACTACAAAGCCCTTTGTGTACATTAGCTCAGTTGGTCTTCACAACATCATGTGACGTATGTGAGAGAAACAGAATTAGTTGTCCTAGGTGAAACAGATGGATCCCCGCAGTGCTGGGACTTGAGCCAATCTTCTGACTCAAGATTCTGGGCTTTTTTTGGAAGAAAACCTAGGTGGAGGCAAAAGATTCCTACCACTCATCACAGTCCATCCTCCCCAGCCACCCGCATGCATCTCATTCATCCAGTCGCTCACTGTCATTCCCACTTTCCATGTCATTTTTGACCCCAACTGTCTTAAGGGTGGTGAAGCGGTTCTCTTGCCCTGCCTTCAGCCCACCTCTGATTTCAGTGCAGCTGTGCTGGGCCATTCTGATATATACTGGCTGGACACTCGCCCCATGCCTTCACTTTCTTGCTTAGGGGCAACTTCTGAAGTTCGTGGATCTTACTCAGTCTGGAAGTGTGGGAGGGGCAGTATTGAAGCTTATGTGGGCGATCTTCAACCAGTGGGGGACAGGAGTTAGAGGGTAAATGCCCAGCTGGCGAGGTAATCTAAGAAGCATCCTACAGGGTTCCTCAGAGAGGAGCCTGGTGAGACCAAGCCCCAGCTACCACAGCTGTAATGAGCTCCATGACATCCCATTGCTTTTCTTCCCTCTGCATCTCACTCTCTCTTCACTCCCTCACTCCTGCTTCTTGGGATTTCCTCCCAAAAGGCCATCTACACTGAAGTCCTCGTCCAGGCTCTGCTTCCAGGGCAATTCTAACCAAGGAAGGTGGGTTTATGTTTCAGGACATGTCAGTATGTATGGGTAAATAATCAGGTAAGTTTCTGGGGTGGGAGATTTGAGAAGGGGATGCAGAAGCTGTATGCCATCTTGAGGCAGTGGAGAAGCATGAATGGGAGGGAGTCAGGTAGATTGAACTATTCTTGGCTTTGCCTCTAAGCTGTCATGTGATCCTGGGCAAATCATTTACCCTCTCTGGACTTTAGTTTCCTCATAGTAGAATGGAGATAGTAAACAGTCCTTGCTGCCTCATAGGGCTGTTAAGAGTGTGTCCCATTCAACCTCTATCGGGTGCTCAAGGTTTTTTCTTTCCAACACCCACTCCACCCACTGTTTGGGGAGAATAACTGATTGGGTCAAAAGCTGGACTCTGACTTACAGGAAGAAGTTCTTAGGAGGAGGATTAAAAAGATTTAAATTCCTATTTTCTAAGTGGAGTAACTTCTCCTTAGTGTGGTCTTGTCTTAGAGCTATTCCTACCTTGGATTTTGGGGGGTTTTCTTTTTTAAGATGGCCTTATTCTCTTCTCCTCTTCATATGCCTGGTGCCATAAGATCTGGAGCTACCCCTCCTAGAAGGACCCTGCCTTTGGGAGCATTCAAGGACCAGGCCAGTGCCCTGTGTAGGAGATGCATCAAGTGTGTAGCTGGGACCAGATCTGCTTCAGTCCCTCAGAAGAAAGGTTCTGAGTGCTACTACTCAGATGGCCAAGACCATGGTGTGTGCCTTAGGGAAAGGGGACAGTGACACCCTTCCCCTGGCTCCAAACAAGGCCTACAGCTTGTGAAAGGTAAATTAATCTTGGGGTGCCAAATTCACTAAGCTAAAGGGTAAAGTGAAGCTGGGAACTGCTTAAGGCTAACCTGCCTCCCATTTTATTCAAAGTCACCCCTCTGCTCACTGGGATAAATGCTTGTGATTGCCTCCTTTGGAGAGGCTAATCAGAAACTCAAAAGAATGCAGCCATTTGTCTCTTATCTACCTATGACCTGGAAGCCCCTTCCCCGCTTAGAGTTGTCCTGCCTTTGCTTCGAGTTGTCTCGCCTTTTCCAGATGGAACCAGTGTTCAGCTTATATGTATTGATTGATGTCTCATGTCTCCCTAAAACGTATAAAACCAAACTGTGCTCTGAGCACCTTGGGCACATGTCGTCAGGACCTCCTGAGGCTGTGTCATGGGCACGCGTCCTCAACCTTGGCAAAATAAACTTTCTAAATTAAACAAGACTTGTCTCCAATTTTGGGGATTTACAAGCTCAGGGTACAAATGAAATAATTGACAGGTGTCCTGGCCCAGCCAGCTTGCCAGGGATAAAAACCACATAGGGGTGGAGTTGGGGAGTAAAGCAGCCAAGTGCCTGTATCACAGGCAGGCACCCCTGCAAGGGAGCCCCCAAGAGTGGTGGTGCCCTTGGGGACTTGGGATCCAATTCCTTCTCCTTCTCTAAGAAACACAACCACCAGTGAGAATCAATGACATAAAGTGTAACGGGGTCTGGAAAGTGGTGTAAATATTACTATGGGACAAAAACTAGGCGTCAAGAAGGAGCAGTGCCTCAGGCCCTTTCTCCTTTCTCTCCTAGGGCTCTGCTCAAGTCCCTGCACCAATGCAACCTGCCAAGGGAAAGCGCTCACCATGGTTCTGTCTTGACCTGCCAGTTTGTGAGTGATTCACACATTTTAATACCCAAATGTGCAGTCTCTGTTGCACATCGCTGTTACTTCTAGAGTGGGAAAGAACTGGGGATGTTTCAGCCTGAGGGCCAGGAACTGTGCATAACCCCAGCCCAGCTTCCCCAGCCTCCACTTACACTGAGCAGCCTGGCAAGGGACTATCAGACTTGTGGGCAACCAGGGCTAGCCTGGGGCTTCACTTGACCAAAGGATTTGGGGCAGTTTCTTCAAAATTTGAGTCTGCCCATGAGACTGTTGAATATGTAAATGTCATTCATCATGTCTATTATGGTGGGAAAAAAAAAGACATTGAGAATCATTGGCTTGGGAATGGCTCTTTGACATGGAGTCCCTCCTATTTGGCTGGGCTGAGCACCAGTGCCGTAGTACTGTTTGGGTACAACAGAGGCTACTCCAACAAGAAACTGAATGTGCAGCTGCCTTCAGTTGGAGAGTTTGTTTCTTTCTCAGTACCAGGTCCAAGGTGGGCTGTCCAGGTGGGAGGGGCAGCTCTGTTCCTTCCACCTTGTTGCTCCATGATTTCTTAGGGCATTGGGTGTGGATGGCTGAAGTTGAGTTGCTGCCATGCCCATATTCCAGCTTGCAGAAATTTAGGAATTTAGTAAATGTCATGAATTTGGGGAGACAACTTGCAGTCTGCAGTTCCACCCCAGCCAATTATTCCCCACTCCCTTCTATTTAGTCATTTCATGTAGGACCAATGCTACTGATTCAGGAATACCAGAAAGCCAGAGTACCCAGGGTAGATATATTACCGAGAATGCAGAGTGTAGCATGCATGGTACCCAGCTGTGCTCAGTGTGTCAGTGAGAACAGAATATAAAACACGGACTTAAAATTCAGGACAGAGATACACAATTGATGTAAGAAGGGACTGTCCTATTGGAGAGGTGAAAACATGCAAGCTGGGATATTGAAAAAGACTGGAACCATCCTTCCCGCGGGCTCCTTCAGAACATCATTGCTACTGATCACTTCTGCCTGAAAACCAGAAGCTGAGCAAGGTGACCCCTTGAGCTCCTTCCGGATTTATGATTTTTATTATTCCAGTCCCTAACAGGCTTGTCATCCCCCCAGACCAAAACAAAAAAAAATCCACTTAAAAAATAATCTATGTAAAAAGAAATGCTGAGGGGGAAAAATCAATTCCTACCTAATTCTACTTTCATGTTAAGAGATTTTCTTCTTTTCATTTTTCTGACTTAGACTATTTGCATAGAGACAGAATCGCAGTTCATCCGCTCATGCCACTTCTCTTTGTGTTTGTATTCTTGTCTGCACTAGGCCATGACAATCAGTTGCCGTGGTGATAACTGCATGCGTCAAGAATAGAGAATTTCATAATTTCAGGTGTAGGATGACTTACTCCATCCTTGCTTGATGGTTTCTGTGATAGTTTGGGCTCTTTTGCTGCTCTTGTAAGAGCAAGAAAGATCTCCTGTTGAAAGGAATTATTCCAATTAATATTTTTAAAGCTTCTTTCTTATTTTCTTATCCTCAATTTATAGAGATACCCATCTAAAGTCACTGTCGCTTACAGTTGTGGCAATTCTGAATGTCGACAGGAGAATGTCTCCCGGATTTCAGCCTTTTAGAAGATAAAATGGTCCTATGTGTTCATGAACAAAACCCACCAGTTTCCCCAGGGCAGTGAGTTACCTGACATCTGGCAGATTCCTGGAAGGTAACTGTGATTCCAAACTTCTGGGTTGGTCTCTGTCTCCCCCAAAACCTATTTCTCAATCAGCTGAAATTCCATAATTAAACATCCCTTGCTTGGTCACCTGGTATACAGCAAAAGCTTCCTTTGAGCCCTCACCCTGACCCAATTACTTGGAAAGATACAGGGATCAGGGGTTCTGGTGGGTGGGATGGGAAGGGAAACACATGAGCACAGAAGCAGGGAGAAAGGGGCCACTGGGGATACCAGAACCAATGTTTTCTTCTTAGACATTTCCTTGGATGCAGGAAGAACGCATGGCGGAAGGTTGATGGTGGCCCACCCGTATCTCCTCTGCCCACCTGGAGGTCACCTGCAGCTTGGCCGACATTTCCCATAGAGGGTGATGGTAGTCACCTCCAGCACCTGTTTCCCTCTGCCCCATACCAGGTTTCCTCTGGCCCCATACTGGGATCCATTCCTGGGACAACTAGAAGTGCCAGGGAGTTAAAGCCCCAAGAGCGACCTTCAAGCCAATAAGAGATGGAGTTGGAATGAAAACCTCAGCTTCCTCATACCTCAGTGGGACAATCCTGAGATGTGTTCCTCAAGTCTCTCCAAGGACCTGATGGGACTGAGTCCTGGTTGCTCATGGTAATAATCCTCATATCCACTCACCCTTCCTTGGCTTTCCCACCTCCCATCTCACTCTCCCACTTGCTTCTCATCCTTCCTGGAATCACCTCTCCCCACTCCTGCCCATTCCCCAGCCCCAGTAAACTACTCGGACCTAATTCCTCACTCAAGGTTTGCTTTTGAGGGAGCTGAACCCAAGACTGCATGTTTTCTCAAAGCAATAACAACTCGTTGGTACCCCACCATGTCACCTACCACCCTAAATCAATTTCCCCCAAGTCCCTACAGAGAAACCTCTGCTTGAGTCACACTATTTCCCTAGGTGTTTCCTGATGCACACCTCCATGTCTTTCATAACAGTCCCTGGAAAATTTCCTAGTCTCTTTTCCTGCCTAAATCCTTCAAGACTCATGACGCCAGTCCTTGACATTTCTGACAAAGTGATCTGCCAACATTGTAGACTCCTGATGGAGGCGTATCATCTACTTTTCCTCATGGCCATTTTCTCTGTTTAATTGCCTCATTAAATACAAATGAGAGCCAATGTTCTTATCAGAAGACGCAAAAATAAAATTCACCCTTGAGTTAACCTGATGACCAATGACTTCTCATATACCTCAAATGACAAATGTTAGTAACAAAAACACCTGCACAGATATAGCATGATTGAAACAAGGAGGACCATGGGGCGGGGAGGGCGCATGATTCTCTTGGATGAAGCAGTGGTGCGTTCTTATTTTCTATCTTAATGAAAAATTGCAAATTCTACACTCTTGTAGAACAAATAGCATTGTGACTTATGCTTCACAATTTATGTAATTGATTTCTTGGGTTTCTGACAGTTCTATCATGTTTCCAATAAATATATTTTCCCTCCCTAGGAAGTTGGTCATACAATGTTGGGAGCGGGTGGTTAGGGGAGCCCTAATTATTTTCATTTCTTTCAATTCCAAGGCAATTACCCCCTAAATCATTTATTTGGCACTTATCAGAAGCCAACTTGCATTTTTAATTCCTTTTTCTTCCTACAAAAGCCCAGCTTCCCCAGGCAGGCATCTTGCCTTGTCCTTCTCCCAGGATCTGATAATTGCCAGTCATCTAAAAATAGAAAAATAATTTTTCCTTGATATTGATGAGAATGTTGACACCTTTCTGAAACACATTATAAAATTCTCTGCTTTCTTCCAGAGAGAAACCAGCAGGACTGGATGTCAGTGATTGCACCATGCAGGATTACAGATTGTGCTGAGTTTAGATTTTCTGCCTTCCTCCTCAGTTGTCAGGCTGCTAGCCAGCTCTTCTGCTCCCATGACACCTGCATCGAATGCCTGCCCTTTCCTTACTACAAGACCCTTTCCAGTTCCCAGATTAGAATCTGCCACAGGCTAGGAATCCCACATCCCAGTAGTGATTTGGCTCCAAGTGCAAAGGCACCTAGTGTCTGCCTTTTGTTCAGCAGCTTGGTGATGGACATATCCAGGACTCAGAGACCCCTTTCCCTCAGCTCTCTGAGTTGGAAGCTGTCAGGTGCAGAAGGGCAACATCTTACATACACAGGGTTTGGGCAGGTCTGGGCAGTGCCTGGTTAATGTTAAATAATGCAGATAAAGGAATTGTTGACATCTGAAAGTCAATATGAAAATTGTATGCACTGCTGTGACTCATGCAACTTCACTCCCAGCCCTGGTTCTCATGATTCCAGAAGTGGAAAAAATAAGGCAACTCTTTTCCTCACAATTCAAAAAAATACCTATTGAGCAACATCAGCTTGGCCCACACAAGACAATTTTTATCCCTTCCGTTAGTTAACTTTGCTTTGGCCAAAGGCCAGAAAAACCTCATTCTTTACAGGCAACCTCAGACCACCATCCTGGATCCACTTCAAAAACTAACTGCAGACCTGTGTCTTACTAGAGGTGATTTGGTAGCATTGAAGATCAAATCCCGATTTAAAAAATTAAAAAAAAAATGAACATAAAATGCATTTTTAACAATGTTTGCAGTGTTTTTCTTGTCTGCAAATTAATTATATAGGTTAATACAGGAAACTTCCCATTGCACACACACAAAAGAGCTCTGTCTAACTGAACAACCAATCTTGTTGGTAATACAAGATCTTGGGGAATTTGAGCTAGATCATCAGTGAGCACTGGAATTCTCTGTTTTAATGGATTCAGTCATCACAACACTTCATGCACACATCGCCTCCTGCAGTATCACAACCCCACCAGAAAATCTTGCTCTGGCTGAAAGAAAACTAAGAAGTAGCTTTGGTTTTACTTTGATGGAAAACTCTCAGGAAAGTTCTGTTTTCATGGATATTTACGTGTTTCACACGCCCAGTCAGAAACCACCTGAGAAGTTCACACAGTAGGTGTGCTGGTGGTGAGTATTGATGGAAAGTTTCTGCACCTGAGTTGAGTCAACAAATAAATGCTCCATGTCAACAATGGCCCAGCCCAGGAGAACCATTGAAAGCAATGATGAAACCAGCAATTCTTAGAGAAATACTCAACAGCTTTTTGGTAGCCTGAAAGACTAGGCAGACATAACAGATACTTGGTGAATTCAGTGTTGGGAAAGGGTTTTTTGGAGATCCCATGACTACAAGACTAACCACCAATGAAGTATGTGGTACCTCTGATACACTGTGAAGAAAGATGAGGTCATCGAGTGCTCATTAGGGCCAGAGCTTTTACCTACATGCATTTATTCTCACAACCACCCTACACTAGTTCTGGGGTTATTGTCGTTCCATAAATAAGTCTCAGAAGGATTAAAACCATCTGCCCAAGGTCACCCAGCAGGTAAGAAGCAGGACTGGCATTAGAACCCATGCCTTTCCTGCCGAAACTACATACACATTCTTAGGAAGATGCTGCTTTGGAAATGAAGCTTCTCGTAATACAAATTCCTCTCCAGGGGTGATATTCAAAATATTTAGCCACAGTATGACAGGGTATTGACCAATCAGAAGGGAAGCAGAAGTAAACAGTATGGACAACTATACCAGCCCTTTTCTACTGAATATCTATCTGCTCCTCCTCTTCAGCCCATCAATGTGATTTAGAACTGAGTGATTGTAAAGAAGTTCATGATGGTCATTGTTATCAAAATATTTTTTACTCCAATGAATATATATTTTTATTTTATTTTAGAGATGAGGTCTTGCTCTTTCACCCAGGTTGGAGTACAGTGGCACAATCATAGCTCACTGCAGCCTTGAACTCCTGGGCTCGAGTGATACTCCCACCTCAGCCTCCCAAGTAGCCGGGACATGTGCCATCACACCCATCTAGTTTTTTTTATGATAAAAGAAATTTATCTTCATGGTATAAAATTACAAAATATTTTAAAATGTAAAATAAAAGCTAGAATGTAATTCAAACACACACATACACACACACACACACACTTCCCCCATAGGTAAGATCGTGACTTTTTCATTTATATAATAAACATCTTGCCTTGTCTTTAAAAAAGTCTGATGACTCTATGTCAATGGCTACTTAGTATTTCATTTTAGGCATGTAATATCATTGATTTACTCTTCCTTTTCTTATTGCAAATTTTGAATATTCCCACATTTTTGTTTATATAAATAATGTTTTCATTAATATCTTTGTGCCTGAAGTTCTGTTTGCCTTTTCTCTTTAGGACAATTCCCAGAATGGTTACTAGTGAAAATGATCACAGACTCCAATACTGTTATAAACCTAGAAGCTGGCCTTTTTTGTCTCAGTTCACCTCCTCAATCAGGGACATTTTCCTTCCACACATTACAGTTACCACCAATACTAATAATTATCATAATCATCATTATGGTTATTACCTTCATGTGACATCTCACCTGGGACCTTGGTGACATCACATCACACCCATGCCAACACCTCCACTGATTTCCCCCACTGTCATTGAGATAAAGTTAAATCTCCTTCATGTGGTTTGCAAGGCTATGTGTGAGCTTGCCTCATCTTACTGACTCTGCCTCATAGTTTGCTATTCTGCCCTTGAACTTCATGGCCTAGCAACATCACACAACTTTGTTGGCATTGCGTAATGAGTATTCAGGATGGTCTCCAGGACTTTGTACATGCAGTTTCCCCTGCCTGGACTGATTTCTTTTGGCAAGTATGACCACTGCACTGCACCCATCCTAAGAGTGGGCCACCTTCCCCTCCTAATGCCCCCATAGCATTCTGGAATGCCCACCTTAACATTCATCACACTGTAGTGTAATTGGCAGTCTTTCCCCCAGGTACTAAGCTCCTTGAGGGCAGGAACTGTGTCACCCTAACTATATCCTCCATGCCTTTTGCAGGTCTGGCATATGGTACACAAGGAATGCATGTCTGTTGAGTGAACAGAACACAATCTATGTTTACAGTATGTTTCTGCTGCTCAGGTCTGCATGAACCACAGAAGAGCTGAGGTATTGTGGGTCTCTGAGGAGCTGTCATTTTCTTGAAAAAATTTTCCTGATTAGAAAGCAATAGACCTCAGCAAAAATGGCAAGAAAGCCAAAGCCAAATGCTTAAGGCTCTGGTTAGCAGCAGGAAAACATGGAGAGAGGAAGGAAATGCATCCCTCATAAAGCAGTTAAGTTCAAACAGTAGATCTAAACACTAACTTCAGGTAGGGAATTCCCATTGCCAGGGATCAGCATTGCAAGAAGAAGTGAATTCTTTCTGCTTTTAAGGGCCCAGCCACAATATAGAGACCAGAATCCCATCATAGCCTGGGGAGCAAAAGGAACCAAGTTCAGGGAGCTGACATCTCAGACCTGCCATCCCTGCTTTCCAGATACAAAAGGGAAATGTCTTCAGATGTTTATCTAGCACATATGAATCAGTTCTGTACCTTGCCTTGTCATCTTTCCTAAGGTTGAGCTATCAGATCCGAGAACGTTCTGGAGTCTTCCGAGGAGTCTAGCTCATGGTGACTCATCCCTCCATGACCCAACCATCTCTCTACTTACCCTTTGAGTTTATGTGTGGGGACAAATATCTCAGGGTCAGCCAGCTTCCAAGCCATCAGAAGGCTTTATAGTGCCGTGGAATAATACAAAATTGGACATCAAACGACCTGGGTTCTAGTGCAACTTTCATAATTAACTTGGTTGTGTCTATTTCTTTCTGGATCAGCATTCTCACCCGGAAACTGAGGTGTTTGGGGCCAGGCCACTGATGAAATCCCTTCCAACTCTCACATTTTTCTAATTCTACTCATATGTAGAATTACAACATCCTAAGCTTGGCATTGTTGGGAATTCTTTAAACATAAAACATGATTTCAGTCCAAAGGCAAATTTGTGGGGAAGAAAAGACAACCTAGAGTGACTCTCTCTTTCTTCCTATGTCTAAATGCTATGTAAAAGTTACTACCCCATCCAGTCAGAGATAAGGGAAAAACTTCACAGGAGAATTGAGACTTCAGCTGGTCTTTGAAGTAAAAGATCTAGCAAAAGCCCCTGGCAAGAAATAGTGCCTGCAACAAGCCATAGCCAAAGTACAGACTTTGTGTAGTAAAGCTGACACCTCCACCAGAGTCCTAGAGGCTCCCTAAGAGGGGTGAGGGCTCAGCCAAGCTTGTGACATGAAATAAAATGGGACTGGATATCCCATCTCATTGGGCTAACCCATCTTACTGGACTGGATGTTCAATCTACCTTTTACTGCCAGACTTGGCTGTCATTCCTTATTCAAAGTCTATTAGCATTTTTGTGCTATGTCACTATGAATAATATTTATTAAAATCACTTCAAGTCACCATTAGTGTGGCACACCTATATTTGCAAAAGGTGTTGCCATTAGTTCATGAAAATGGAGTCTTAATCTCTGACCCTTCACCTTGGGGATAAGAGAGAGAGTGCAGTCAAGCCAGTTGGGCACTGAGTCAGAATTAGACCTACAGTCTCCCTGGAACTTGTGCATCCCCCACCCTTCTCCCTGTCTTGGCTTCCTGTTGTCCACATGAGTCACCAGCTGCTGCCATCCTCTGGAAGGTTAGCTGCCCAATGAACTATTGGGCTTTAATGGCTAAGAAATTTTCCAGTGGTTCACCATGTTTGCCTTTCACATAAGATCATGCCTTCTCCTCTTGTGTTTACCTTTGGATTTCAGAAGGGAAAAGAAAAAGTGGAGCACAGAAATGAAAGAAAGGATAAAAGGAAAAGAAAGGGAAGGAGAGGTGTTCTGGAAGTGCCTACCTGGTTCAGAAGGAGACAGCTGAAATCAAGCCAATGGAGGTATGTCTGTGTGCCACGCCCACTGACCCCCATGCCCAATCTCAGGCTTAACATCTCCATTATGCACATGGCTGCCTGGAGCAGTAATAGGATAATCTGTAAATCACATAATATGGATTTACTTTCTTAATTGTATTTTTATGCTATTAAAATGAATTTAGTCTTGGCCTTATTAAACAACAAGGGACCATTACAGATTCCTAGGAGAGAGGACAATTTGAACACAGCAGCTTCTATTTTCTATCAACCAGAATCATGGCAAGAAACAGACACATTCCAAAGGGATGTTCAAAGACAATTCATTACAGGGACTATGTACAGTGGTGTGGGCAGAGTATAGGGAGCCAGCAAGGGATGGAGCAGGACCTCAGAACTAGCAACGGTGGGAGCCATTATTGCCTGAGACCTGAAGCGGTTCCTAAAACCTAGATGGAGATCTAGCTCTAGCTCCAGGGGACAGACAGGTCTGGCCAGAAGCTGTGGTCTTGGGTAGAGGAACATGGTATGGCAGGAAGGGATGAACCAGGGAAATAAGCCTGACCTCTTTCCTCTCACCCTCCATTCTCCTGTGGAAACCTCCCACTGGCTGAACCCACCCAGAAGTGAGAGGATGAGAGAACCCCTGGAGGCTGTTCACTCACACCAGCTTCCCAGGGTCAGAGCAGGGCCCAGAAGTGAGGCACTGGGTCTCCAGGGGCAAACAGAGAAGATCTAGTCTCTATCTGTGCAGCATATTATGATATCCAGAGAATAGATATTTATCTCTATAGGTAGAGATAGATGCAGGTGTATAGGTTCAGATAGATTTTTTTAAATCTCATTTGATCATCACAATGACCCCGCAGGATTTTCATGTTTTTCAAATGCAGTAAATGGGGTTCTCAGAGGTCAAATCATTGACCCCACTAGAAGAGGTGGCAGAGTGAGGACATCAATCCAGGATTTTGACCCTTACAGACAGCACTCTCTGCCTCTGCCCCTTCTCATACCTGCCTACCACTTCCTTTCTCCTCACCTACCCAGGGTTGACCTGTCCTTCAAGACTAGGTCAAACCTGTATGAATGAAGTAACTCCATCGATCCCATACCTTTTGACTGCCTAGAGCCATTGGTGGTATTCAACACAGCACAACTTAGCAACTATTTATTCACTTATTGACTTTGTATTGTTCTGTGGGTGTTGTCCCTGAATGTCAGAGTCTATTTTCCTGAGACAAGATCAATACAGAGTCTTTTGGATGTCAACTCCCGGCAGCACTTAGCCTATTCTACCCCTCAGATCAATAACTAATTCCCAAATTTGAATAAGCAGCATGAGAAGGGAGATTGGGCCATGTTAGGATGTGTGTATGTGTGTGTGAGCAAACAGTATTGCGTCAGCCAGGGGCTGATGCAAGAAATAGAAGGACTCTAGCTGAAAGTGATTGAAGATAGGGAATCAGGCACCCCTATAATCACTGGGCAAGCAGAAGCAAAGCGGTCACCTTTGGATGATTGGTTTCTAGATCAAATTACCCTAGCTGTGATCCATAACTCAGGGAACTGTTATTACATCACACAATCGTGTGAGGCACCACGCAATTGCCTCACACCACTGAAGTGAGGACCAGACACCTAGACATGGAGTTGAGCCACCACAAACATTCGTCACTGACTGACCTTGCTTCCAACAGCCACAGTGTAGGCAGATGGCCTCTGCCTGCTTCTCTATTGCTCCAGCAAATTCAGCTCAATGGCACCATCTCAACTGTACCAGGATCCCGACTCTAAGAAATATGGGAGGGCAGTTTGGGGCTTCTCCTCTCTTGCAATGTTGAGGGGAGATCAGCAGGAGGTGGAAATGGATCCTGATTGTCAGTAAAGCACATGGCTGCAGACAGATGTGGAACATCTGGTGCTACCGTCCTTCGAAATCAGACAGTGTGGTCGGGGCTGTATATCTAGGAGGTCTGTAGACTTGGTAGGGTTGAGGGAAAATGCTCCTGAGGTATTTTAGATTGAGCATTTCTATTCCATTGGTGAAATTTCACTGTGGGCTTCAAGATCAGCCTTGAAGGGAGGCAGATGTCACAGAAAGACAGCCTGTACCATGAAAAGAGTGTGGTTGATGCCAGTATGGGGAGCATGGATGGGGTGAGGCTGGTGTTGGATTATCAGTAGTTTTAAGGTATAAGAACCTGAGTGTTTTGAGCACCAACTGCTCATTTAAAGCTTCCCCTCTCAAGCCCGCAAACACACACACACACACACACACACATACATGTACACATACACACCCCTTCCATCTTGAGCCTTTCTTGATCAACAGTGCCCCCCTACTGGTACTGCACAAACATTTACTCCAGTCTTCTGTGCCCTGGCAACAAATTAGCTCTATTTGAACTCAACTTTTAGATGATGGAGGGAAGACACTAAACTAAACTGAGATGCTGAGGAAATTGGAACTGGAGCACATAAAGCTTAGCTCCCGGGATCTGGGACAGCCCCTTCCTCTTGATATGCTGAGCTGACTCTAGCTAGTCAGGACTTAGAACAGTGGTCCTCAGCTGGGGGCTGGTATGGCATTTGGCAATGTCTGGAGACACGTTTGATTATCATGACTGGGCAGGTGTGCATCTGGTGTGTAGAGGCCAGTGATGCTGCTAAACATCTTACAGTGCAGGGGTCCTCAGGTACCATGGTACCTAACAGGCTATGGACCAGAACTGGGCCACATAGCAGGAGGTGAGCAGTGGGCGAGGCTGCGAAGCTTCATCTGTATTTGCAGCCACTCCCCATCACTTGCATTACTGCCTGAGCTCCATCTCCTATCAGATCAGCCGTGGCATTAGATTCTCATATTCTCACAGGATCATGAACGCGGTTATGAACTGCACATGCAAGGGATCTAGGCTGCACGCTCCTTATGAGACTCTAATGCCTGATGATCTATCACCGTCTCCCAATCACCCCCGGATGGGACCATCTAGTTGCAGGAAAACAAGCTTAGGGCTCCCACTGATTCTACATTGTGGTGAGTTGTATAATTATTTCATTATACATGACAATGTAATAACAATACAAAGAAAGTGTACAATAAATGCAGTGCGCTTGAATCATCCCAAAACCATCCCGCCCCACTGGTCCACGGAAAAATTGTCTTCCCCAAAACTGATCCCTGGTGCCAAAAAGGTTGGGGACCGCTGCTACAGTGCACAGGACGAGAAAGAAGTACCTGGTCCAAAATGTCAGTAGTTCCACCGTTGAGAAATTCCGCCTTAGAAAAAGATGGTTTCCCCCTGGGGATGATTCTCAGGATGACAGGGTCTCCACTTTCACCGGGACTCAAACCCCCTGCATGGGTCACAGTTCTCCTGAAATCTGAGACACTGAGAAAGAGACAAGGGGGAAAGAATAAAAACCCACAAACCTCACACACTTAGGACAGTTATTAGAAAAACAACAACAGAAAATAAATGTTGGCAAGGATGTAGAGAAATTGAAATCCTCATATATTGCTTGTGAGAATGTAAAATGTTGCAGCCTCTGCAGATGGAAAACACTGTATCCGTTTCTCAAAAAAGTGAGACCTAAAATTACCATATGATCAAGCAGTCCTGTATGGACCCCAAAGAATTGAAAGCAGGGGATCAAATAGATACTTGTACAGCGTTATTCACATTAGCTAAAAGGTGGGAAAAAACCAAATGTCCATTAATAGAAGAATGGATAAACAAAATGTGATATATACAAACAATGGAAGAGGATTCAGCCTCAGTAAGTAATGACATTCTGACACATGCTACAACATGGATGAAACTTGAAGATGTTATGCTAAATGAAATAAGCCAATCACAAACAGACAAATATTGCATGATACCATTCATATGGCATCCTCAGAATAGGCAAACCCTTAAGAGACAGAAAGTACAATGGAGTTTCCCGGGGTTGTGGGGAAGCAGGAATGAGGGGAGTTTCTGCTTAATAGGAGCAGAATTTCAGTTTGAGAAGATGAAAATAGCTCTGGAAATGGATAGTGATGATAACTGCACAGCATTGTGAATGTACCTAATGCTACTAAATTGTATGCTGAAAATGGCTAAAATGGTGAATTTTATGTTATATATATTTTACCACAATAAAGGAAAAAAACCTACAAGCCTGGGGCTCTCAGCTCTCTTAGACCAAACAGCGGCCAAGGTCAGCAGAGGCCCCAGCTCGCCAAGACCCTCTGCCAGTGACCCACACAGGCCCAAAGGTCTGTTTGCCAGGACTATGCCAGGTCACGACATATTAGCTGAGGTTTTGTTGCACGTGGCCTTGATCACCCCAGGCTCAGACTGGATTTACTAGGACCAGAGACAGCTGGCAGCACATGTGGCCACCTCTTTAGCTCACCAAGAAGGCATCATTTAAAAGTCTGAAATGTTCTGGGCAGGAGGGACCTCCTCTGAAGCCCTCTTGGCTTTCTGTGGAAAAAAGATAAGAGAAAGGGGCTGCACCTTGGAGGAGGGATAAGAAGATTGCCAAGTCCTTCTGGCTGTCCCTGCTTATCCGCCATGCCTAGAACCTGCCAGCTGTGCTAAGTTCAAACAAAGCTACTTTACTTATCTTAGTCCATTTATCTGTGGCTTTCCAAGGTCTCTTTGTGTGCATGTGTACAGGTGGGTGCACACATGCATGAGTGCATTTATTTAACATTTCCCTCTAAGTGAGTGATCTCATGTCTTTAGAACACAGGGTGATGAGTCCAAGGTTGGGGTTAGTTCCAGTTATGAACAGCAAGCATCACACAGCAATAACTGTTTAGGTCACATTGCCTCAGCTAGCCTGCTGGCACAGGGGAGACAGTAAAGGAAAACCATCCACCCTAGCCATGCCCAATGTCTCTGGGAAGCAGAAGTCTTTGCAAAGCAGTGAGCAATGCACAAGGACCTTTAGTGCATGGTGTATGGTGCATGCTGTCTTTTACTCAGAGAATGCTGCAGAGCCCAGAACTACCCTGTAGGTGATATTAGTCACTTTCCGTCAATCAAACCCTCAAGCGGCATGAATTCATGATTCTGTTTGAAGTTACGGGATATCCACTGTGTATACCCCAGGATTTTCCCAATGACCCCTTTGGGTTTCCACTGAGGGGAATCAGGAACCATCCGGTTGGTCCCTGACCAACCAGTGAAGACAGGAGTAGACAAATATAGTTGCTCAGTTATCAGGACTGGAGATATCTATACTCCCAGTGCAGCTCCTGCAGAATCCACAGACCATCAGCCCACCCCCCACCCTTAGTGGAGGCCTTGACAACCATTTCTAGAATGACTATAGCATTCTCCTTGGGCAACCACAAAAAAAAGCACTTTTCTGTGTAACTGGAAAAGCTAAGGATTTCTAAAGCCTAGATATAGGGGTCATGTCGTACAAGGCCACACCCTTGGGTCAGGCAGTGTCCCTGTACATTGTCTACTTGTGCAGAATTTATGAGAACGTGAGAAACGCCAAATCTCCTCTTGTCTCCTTACTGTACACCTCCAACCTGAAATTCAGCATAATAGTTCCAATCTCTGTGTTTTTGATCACGCTACTCTCCCTGAGTAGAATCCCTCCCCGTCCTTGCCTCTTTATCCAATTTCCCCAGTTTGTATCCATCTTTATACTTGCTGTTTTTTTGTTTTGTTTTGTTTTGTTTTGTTTTTTGTTTTGAGATGGCGTCTTGCTCTGTTGCCTAGGCTGGAGTGCAGTGGTGTGATCTAGGCTCACTGCAACCTCCGCCTCCTGGGTTCAAGCGATTCTTCTGCCTCTGCCTCCCGAGTAGCTGGGACTACAGGCACCCGCCACCACGCCCGGCTAATTTTTGTATTTTTAGTAGAGACGGGGTTTCACTATATTGGCCAGGCTGGGCTCGAACTTCTGACCTGGTGATCCGCCCGCCTCAGCCTCCCAAAGTGCTGGGATTACAGGCATGAGCCACCGCGCCCGGCCTACTTGCTGTTATTTAATCAAGTTGAATGTAGAAGGCAAGCCATCTTAAAACTGCTTTCTTCTGGAGACTTTTGTTTGCAATTCCAAATCTTGCCACCAGGTGGTGGTGGCATGTTATTCTAGTTTCCAAGAGAACTAACTTCCTACCACGTGTCAGGCTGCACTGGGAGCCATCCCCACCTGATCTCATTTGATCCCACAGTGACCCTAATATTACCATCCCCATTTTACAGATGAGAAGATGGAAGCTCCAGAGTCCCGCCCAAGATCACACCACTCGTAAGAAGCATTAACTAGAGTTGTGAACCCAGGTCTGGCTTTAAAATCCCACGTTGTTCCCATTGAGCTCTGCTGTTGGAGGAGTTTCCTGAAAAGCCCCCTTACAATCTGCCACCTTTTCGTTTAATTGAGTGTGCCACACAGTTTGCCCTCCAATCAAGACTCTGTCTTGTTCCTGGCTAATCATATGGTTGGTCTTTCTGGCAAGGCTAACTCTCCCAGAGTCAAATGGTTAGCATAAACAATCAGATGTGGTCCTGGGGGTCTACCATGAATGACTAAGACACTCGGATCACTTGAGGAATTCCAAAGGTTTAGAGGCTCCCTTCCAGGAGCTGGGATAAGTCTGGATCTATGTTGGGATAAAGTTAATTCTTCACCGTACACACCTCTATGGCAAAATACAGTCTCCTGGGGCTCCTGTTCTCCACAATGTCTCAGAGTTCAGAAAAATCCTAACACCGAGCATAGTCCAAAATAATGGGGCCAAAATGTGAGGCTGTTTTGATCTGCCTCAAGCCAGGGGTAAATTTAGAGTACTTAATGAGCTATCTCTGATGCATACACTAGGGGCAAACTTCCATAAGTATAGTCTTTCTCTCAGCTAAGTTTTTGAGAGCTATTGAGTCAGTTTACACACCCTGATAACCATTGGAGAACAAGTATTTGATGCTATGGTTAAGCATCAAACTGTGTGCCTGAAGAGTCAAACCAAGTGGGAGGTAGGAGAATCGCTTGAACCTGGGAGGCGGAAGTTGCAGTGAGCCAAGGTTGTGCCATTGCACTCCAGCCTGGGCAACAAGAGCGCAACTCCGTCTCGGGGAAAAAAGAAATGTCAAATCAGCTGGGGTGAGACCACCGTCCTCTGATGAATGAGGACACTGACCTATAGGGATTGTCCTTACTTCAAACATGTGCAGGCTTGGAGTACCCCTGGCACCTAAATGGATTAAAAATACATTTGTCTCTCAAAAATGTATGGGCATATGTCAAATTAGCAGCATTCTTACTGCCAAGCAAATTTGCTAGGTCTATTTTTGAGTTGTAACACTTTGGCAATTAAAGTTATTCAGAACTCTTTTAAACTCTGGGAAACCTTGAAACTGTAAATGAAATGTTGTACGCATTGTTGTTTTTTAAGTTTCAACTATCAAAACTCAACAAACTTTAATGAATTTCTGAAAGCATCGCTATGAAGGTGAGAATGGGGAGACACCATTACCACTGGATCCATTTTGTACAAGTGGGTCTATTCCCAGCTGTGTATGATCGTTATGTAATTGGCATCCGTTGAGTGTGTGCAGTCCAGATGGGCCTGTGGAAAATAGTGTGCAAGCACCTGTCACTAGTCATCATAGGCAGGCTCTGTTAAGCTCAGATCTGAAGGCATTGGTCTGTCTCACCAGGTCTACGCTCTGCTATTCAAAGAAGCTTATAGCAGCTTCAGTGATTATATCAACTTCCCGTTTAATGTAGGAAGAGAGTAGATCCACCTAGTCTTATCACTTCCAAGGGTAAATATTACGTTGTTGGTGACAATAAAATTGGCAAAATGAATGTCCTCTTAGATGGCAGATGTTATCAAGATAGCTAGCTGCCCAGGGCTGGGCGTGGTGACTCACACCTGTAATCCCAGCACTTTGGGAGACTGAGGCGGGTGGATCACTTGAGGCCAGGAGCTCTAGACCAGTCTGGCCAACATGGCGAAACCCCATCTCTATAAAACATACAAAAATTAGCACAGCGTGGTGGTGCACACCTGTAATACCAGCTACCTGGGAGGCTGAGGCAGGAGAATCACTTGAACCCGGGAGGCGGAGGTTGCAGTGAGGTGAGATTGTGCCACTGCACTCCAGCCTGGGGGACATAGTAAGACTCCATCTAAAAAAAAAAAAAAAAAGCTGCTCAGTCACTCCCGTAAAAGCTGCCAGCCAGGATTCCTGCTCCCCTTCTCTTCTGTGCCAACAGCTTCATCGGGAAGTTGGCCACAGGGCCCTCTTCACAGCCTGTCTTATCCTAAGAGTGCAGCTTGGCCCAGGGCTCATTGTCTGCCAGATTTACTTTGCCCTCAACTTCCTACAGTCAAAAAAGAACTGCTCGGGCCAAACTGCTTCCTGGCAAATAAAGAAGCAAAGTCCACACGAGGAGTCTTTCTGGACCTTGTGACGTTTTTGTGTTTTGTGTTTTTGTGGTAATGTGGCATTGGAATGTTTAGCAATATGCCATTGTGCAACCTTCCAAACCCCACTGGGCATATGATCAGCAAAACACCAAAATTATTTTAATGCATAATCCTTGGTTCACTCTGTTGATTATTTAACTTTACCTGGGGTTGTTTGTTAACTTGGAAGAGGGTAATTACATGCATTCTACATTCCAGGGAACTGAACACTGTACCTTACCCAATACACAACAGGTGCATAATATAAGTTACATTAAATTCCCGTTGGGTTTTAAGTCAGCACATACTACATTAATGAATGTGAGTTGATTATACAATCCCCCCATGGGGTGGGCACCCTGAGAATGTTTCTTGTGATGTTAGAGTTTGGATATAAACAAAATCTTACTGATGTATTGTCCTTGAATGAACAGCCTCCATTTAAGCATGCGGGAGGGAGTTTGAAGGTGATCAGCAGAGATTCATATTGATGAAAGAAAGGAAATCATTTGAATTTAACATGGCAATTCCGGAAAAGTATTCCCATGTATGTGGGGCTGTCCTGGTCCTAGCATACCCTGGAACAAGTAGCTTCAGGGTGCATCCAGAGAAACCATAGAGCAGCTATAGCATCGAGCACATAAACCTTGAATATCATCTACCTGTACACTGCAAGAGGCAGCAGCTCAGGGAGCAGAGACCTCTGAGGCCCCCCGTGGTCATTCCTGTGATCGACACAAAGATGTGCCACAAGGTCAAGGAAGGACTTGTAGCCCAGCCCTGGGAAGTGTGGTCAGCAGACAGCCTCTAGCTGTCCGCAACTTCAAGGTCAGCCTCAGCTGTAGAGAGCTGCTCCCTCGCTGGAGGTCACAATTTCCCAGGGCAGCTGTGCCTGGTGGCTGAGCAGGGCCAGGATACAAGGCCAGCTATCATGGTGCAGCCCTAGCTCCATGGCTCTCCCGAGTGGCCTGGGTTTTCTGAGGCCAGCATCATCTAGGTTCAGCTCCTTCCTCTGCCCAGTACCCCTCCTTCTTTTTACGGAGGTTAATTCCTAATACACATTTGAAGCCCAGACTCTTATCTCAGCCACTGCTTCCAGAGAAGCCAGCCTGGGCAGTTGCACTCCCTGCCAGCAGCACCTCCCCTTGACAGCATTCTAGGGGGCATGAAGTTTTCACTGCTGAGAGGTAAAGAGAATACAGACTTGAGGCGCACACGGAAGCGCATTTGGATAGTCCCATTTTGGCACTGTCCCCAATTTTCTGTGGTTGGACCCTGATGTGAAAAACAAAAAAAAAGACACAGACCTAAAATTTTTTTATTATTATTTATTTATTATTGGGACAGGGTTTTACTGCAGTCACCCAGACTGGGTGCAATGGCACTATCTCTGCTCACTGCAACCTCTGCCTCCTGGGCTCAAGTGATTCTTATGCCTCGGACTCTCAAGTAGGTGAGGCTACAGGCTACAGGTGTGTGCCATCAAGCCCGGCTAATTTTCTTTTCTTTTTTTTTTTTTGAGATAAGGTTTCACCATGTTGCCCAGGCTGGTCTCAAACTCCTTGGCTTAAGTGATCTATCCGCCTTGGCCTCCCAGGCCTGAATTTTTAAAATCATCACACTATTTCATTTAGAAGAAACTGCATTGCAGATAGGAAAGTGGGGGGCTCACTATCAGAGGAAAGGGACCATTCACACCAATTCTTTTTTTTTTTTTTTTTTTTTTTGAGACGGAGTCGCACTCTATGGCCCAGGCTGGAGTGCAGTGGCACGATCTCAGCTCACTGCAACCTCTGCTTCCCAGGTTCAAGTGATTCTTCTGCCTCAGCCTCTGTTCACACCAATTCTTTACATAAAAATGACCGATTTTCAAGAAGCTCAACCTAAGATCCCCTCCAGGGCTATCCTGTGGAGGGCAGGGAGAGGAGCTCCCCAAGCTCTGATAGGAAGGGGCTAGGACCATTCTAGGTGAATCTTTCTAGCAAATTTCACAGAAGCTATTTGAAAACAGTATTGATTACATATACTAGAAAATAGTCATATCTGTTCAGAAAAATATTTGCAGGGAGTTAAACATGAAGAGTCTCTTCATCAGCTGATATTTTAAACTCCTTTCTCAAACTACTGACATAAGTATTGAGTCGTTATGGAGGGACTGGTGTATTTCTGGATTTAGTCAGGAGATTGAGATCAAAGATCCTGCTCTGTGTCATTTCAGATTCAGAGCCCATTTAGCATTTTTTTCATCTTGTCTTGACTCATAATTTGTTGCTTATATATTCACCTCCTCTGCTAGACCATAAAGCCCTTGAGGATAGAGATATTTTGACTTATTTTTGCACCCACCTCACTCCTCCATACCCGACTCCATGCACAGTGGAGTGCCCATGAGGTTGGCAATCATTAAACGAAAAGGTAACAAAGTTCAAGGAAAAGTGGCAAAACATTGCAGCTGTGCTTCATGCCAAGCCTGAAACGAGTGACAGAAAGTTCTACCGAAGGGGCCACAGCCATCCAGTTGGGCCAGTCTCTTTCCTGGCAGTATAACTTAGCAGGATGTTGAGATTTTCAACAGGTCTCAACAGGTCTGAAGATGGTCCTGCCATACATTCATTTGAAACCCACAAGAAGAACCTGCTCACTTGTTCATTGAGTTCACATGGTCCCAAGTGGCTCTGGGACACCTGGAACGGTCTGTGGTCCGGGCAGAGGGAGAAGGCGCTGGGGGCAGGGGTTTAGGGGCGCATATTGTAGGCAATATCCATGTTTTCCTAACTGGGACTTTGGTTGGTCAGGGGGATGTGTATGGATTTCCAGGTACCTAGGGACTAGAGATTCCTTAGGTCTCTTTCTCCCATGAAGCCTCTTCCTTCAGCCTTCCAAGCTGCCAGTATCCTCCTATCCTTCTGTGACCACCAAGTTTTCTAAGGCAGAGAAAATTACATTCTTTTTTAAACAATGAGTGCATCTAAATTCCAAACCACACTCTCCACATTTATATACATTACGTATATATATTACGTATATATACATTACGTATATATACACACACATATAATGTTATGTAAAATATATATAATATGTATTTCATTAGTGATACACATTATTCTAGAAAAGAGCACATTTTTATATGAATTGTTTCAGACATCTTTCAATACAAATGTTAATTAACATTGTTTTATTTTAGAAAAATATACTTTTTACTTAATGTATTTAGATCAACTTTTTAACTTAATGTATTATACTTATATAATATATATTATATATTTATAATTTACTTTTTTACTTTATAATGTACTTGGATGAACTGTCCATGTCAATAGATAAACGTTGCTGTCTTTTTTAATGCCTGCAGATAATTCTATCCTATGGATGTAGCATAATTTGCTTAGCAAACCTTATTGCTGCTATTTAGACCATTATCTATTGTTCATTGTTTTTTGTTTTTGTTTTTTGAGACAGAGTCTCGCTCTGTCATCTAGGCTGGAGTGCAGTGGCATGATCTCAGCTCACTGCAACCTCCACCTCCCAGGTTCAAGCAATTCTCCTGCCTCAGCCTCCCGAGTAGCTGGGATTACAGGCACGCACCACCACTCTGTTGTGCTGTCCTTCTGAGTGAGCCTTTTTTTTCTTGCAGCACATACCCCACCCTGGCTCACCCAGCATCCTTGCTCATGGCTGCCTTCCTCCTAACCTCTGCCACCACTAGAAAATTAGCCTGGCTAATTTTGTATTTTTTTAGTAAAGATGGGGTTTCACCATGTTGGCCAGGCTGGTCTCAAACTCCTGACCTCAGGTGATCTGCCCACCTCAGCCTCCTAAACTGTAGGGATTACAGGCGTGAGCCATTGCTGAAAATAGTTCCTAGTAGCTTGGAGGAGAAATAATAATATCTTCATGGTTCACAGTTTGTGAAACACTTTCATATGTATTGTATCATCAAATGCTTCTACCAACCAGGTGAAGTAGATATTTCAGAAAAAGGAGGCTTAGAAATGTTGCAACTTGCCCAAGCTGGGTGGGAAAATTGTGTCTCAAAGCCAGGATTTCTACCTCTAAGAAAATGACCTAAATGGATCAAAAGGACAATGTGGATGCAAATGTCATTTGATTGAAAATTATTGTCTTGCTCATTCACAATTTTAGCCCATTGTGGGGTTATTTTGTAACCTTTATTGCATTTTTAGGAAATTCTGTCAAATTTCAGAGTTCTTTGGAGGCAGCTTCAACCCTTTACTTACAATTCATTCCCAACCAACGATTCCTGGCCTGCCGTATTTATAGTTGGAAATTATTGAAACAAACAAAATGTCCAAACACAGAGGGTGTTTTAGGTGAACCTAAATATCCTGGCTTGCTGCTGGAGTATGGAGAATTTCCCTGTCCTGTGTTCACTCGCTTGAGCAGTCTGAATGGGAATTCCCCAGCAGCACCCGTCTCAGCCTCACTCATCCAGGGGCGGGGGGGTCCATGGGCCACGTGACCATGGCAATGACAGACTCCCTGCTCAGAACTGCCTGTCCTCATTGATGGGGGAGCAGCCATTTGGTCACATGTGTCACTAACACCGGGTATTATGTGATGTGCTAAGAATAAAAAATTAAGTTGTAAAATAACAAAAACATCCACCGCCTTCCCTTTTCCTAATTTGAGCTGGAGACCAAGGCAATCTTTTTATCCTAAGCAAGATTTAATATACTTTTCCTTTCTCCTCTCCTATTCCCACCCTGTTGCATTGCATGTTGTATGCACACACATGTGCACACACACATTTGTGAGCCCCAGTCCTTACTTGACAGAAAGGATTTAAAATGAAAAAAGATGTGGGAGGGAAAATATAAAGAAAAAGAAACAAACTGGCTAGATGGACTTGCCTCCAAATCTCAAGGGTACTGGCTAATGTTAGTGTAGCTTGGAGACCACCTAATCATTTAATAAAACACAGAGAAGAGAGAGATGCATTTGCTAGTCTAAAAAGCCACAAGTCAGTGAATGCAAATGTGCCCTATTCAGAAAACCAAATTAAAGAAACTACTGGGAATTCTCTGCATAGTTAAGCAGAACAAATTTTCCCCTTTTAAGGCCATGTTTACCCTTCAGAAATCACATACCCTTAAGCCAGAAACCTAGAAACACATCATTTTCAGGAAGGATGTGTCACATTAGCCGGGCCCTGTCCTTCAAAGGAAGAAACTTGAAATTCATCATTGCCCTGGACAGTTTCTGCATGTGCTGCAGCTGCAAAGACAGAAAGCATGTTCCAGGGCTTATATTTAACTCTGCTGTTAAATGACAGGTGTCTGAGCCAGTCAGAGCCTTGGCCTTGCTCTGACCCACAGCCACAATCCAACATGAAGATGGTTCAAGAGACCTTAGACCAGGGAAGTGCCTTCCAAAGCCAAATACAGGTAACAGGCAAATGAAGTCATGGGGAAGATTCATGGCCCAGCTCCTGAAATTTGCCACTGGGTCAGTTCCAAGCATTGATTCAAGGTGTATATTCTTTGCTTAATTGCTAGAGTGCCTTTCTTCCCATTGTCTGTCTCTGTCTCCAACCAGGCCAATGACGGATTTCCATTTCAGGTAATGGAAATGCCCTCAGCCTAGCCCAGGCTAAAAGGGGATTTGTGTGAGCATCCTGAGACCTCATAAGGAAAAATCCCAAGGCAGGCAGGAGAATGTCTGCCTCTCTCTGAGTCTCCATCTAGGTGTGTGCCTCTCGCTCTGTCTCTCCATTTCTGGATCTGTGTCTCTTTCCACGTGGGTTTCTCAGCTTGCTTTCTCCACGTCTTCCTGTCATGCAGGAAACTCATTCCCAGAGCTCCACGTGGACTTGTCTTCCATGGCGCTGTGATTGGCTGAGGCTGATTCATTCTGATTCTCAATCCCAGATTCCTAGAAGACAGAAGCTTGTAAACAAAAACAACACACCTTTTTTTTGGGGGGGTGTGAATTTTTTTTTATTATACTTTAAGTTTTAGGGTACATGTGCACAATGTGCAGGTTTGTTACATATGTATACATGTGCCATGTTGGTGTGCTGCACCCATCAACTAGTCTTTTAACATTAGGTATATCTCCTAATGCTATACCTGCCCCCTCCCCCCACCCCACAACACGCCCCGGTGTGTGATGTTCCCCTTCCTGTGTCCATGTGTTCTCATTGTTCAATTCCCACCTATGAGTGAGAACATGTGGTGTTTGGTTTTTTTGTCCTTGCGATAGTTTGCTGAGAATGATGGTTTCCAGCTTCATCCATGTCCCTAAAAAGGACATGAACTCAATATTTTTTATGGCTGCATAGTATTCCATGGTGTATACGTGCCACATTTTCTTAATCCAGTCTATCATTGTTGGACATTTGTGTTGGTTCCAAGTCTCTGCTATTGTGAATAGTGCCGCAATAAACATACGTGTGCATGTGTCTTTATAGCAGCATGATTTATAATCCTTTGGTTATATACCCAGTAATGGGATGGCTGGGTCAAATGGTATTTCTAGTTCTAGATCTCTGAGGAATCGCCACACTGACTTCCACAATGGTTGAACTAGTTTACAGTCCCACCAACAGTGTAAAAGAAAAACAACACACCTTCTGTCTTCATGGAATAATTTAGTAGAGAGAAAAACACACCACCAGAAATAGGCACATACATAGATAAACACAATGTAAGAGGAGGTAGTATGCAAAAATACAGATGGCTACAGGACAGAACCACAGAATGATGGTGTGATGGCGGACATCTGGGATGTGATTATGTAGATTGGGGGTGCCAGGAATTGCAGTCCTCAGGGCGTGACATTTAAGCCAAATGTAAAAAAAAAAAAATAGGAATTAGCCATTCAATGAGAAGGAAAAATAACATTCTGGGCCAGGGAACCACAGGACCAAAGCCCTGCAGTGGAGAAGAGCTGAGCTTACTTAATAACATTACATGCCCATGTGGCCAGAGTGTGGTAAATGGAGCAGAAGGTGAACTGGGATGAGCTGGAGAGGTTCTCCAGGGCCAGAGATGTTGGGTCTCGTAGGCCAGGTTAAGGGTTTGGGATTTTGTTGAAAGCGCCATGGGAAGCCATGAAAGGATTTTAAGCAGGTGCATTATTTTGTTTGTTTTAAAGGATCATTCTGCCTACAGTGTGAACCAATATAACTGGGAAACAACCATGGAGGCAGGGAGACCAGTTCTGAGCCCATTTCAGGAGTACAGAGGAGAAACTATGCTGGCTTCTTAGTCCAGGGCTACAGGTCATGGCAGTGGCCAATTCATGGTCATCTGAGGTTCACAGTTCCCCAGGTTTCGGCCCTGAGCAACTGGGTGGATGCAGGTGCCAGCACTGAGATGGGAAACCCTGGAGTGGATGCAGATGCGGCAGGACACATTAGGCTTCAGCTGCCTCTGAGACATCAAAGTAGTATAGAAGACCAGGTAATTGTATATAAGAATCTAGCACTCCAGGCCAGGCGCGGTGGCTCATGTCTGTAATCCCAGCACTTTGGGAGGCCAAGGTGGGTGGATCACCTGTTGTCAGGAGTTTGAGACCAGCCTGGCCAATACCCCGTCTCTACTGAAAAAACAAAAATTAGCCAAGTGTGGTGGCAGGTGCCTGTAATCCCAGCTACTCAGGAGGCTGAGGCAGGAGAATCGCTTGAACCTGGGAGGTGGAGGTTACAGTGAGCCGAGATTGTGTCACTGCACTCCAGCCTGAATGATACAGGCAGACTCTCTCTCAAAAAAAAAAAAAAAAAAAAAAAAAAAGGAATCTAGCATGGTCTAGCTGAGAATGATAAAGTTGAGGGCCATCAAGATAAATAGAGTTTTTTTTTAAATCATGGGAGAAGTGTAGAGTGAAATGGGAACAGAGACTAGGATTGAGCTGGAGACTCCCACATTGATTGCTGAGGTAGAGGAAAATCAACCATGAACTCTGAGAGAGACTAGCTGGAGAGGAATAAGGAAAATGGGCAAGCAGGCTGTCTCATAGCAAGTACAGAGATGGAGTAGGCAGCTGGGCAAAGCCACTGAGAGATTTAGCTGCTTAAACCAACACTGACCCAAGGCCTGCATGTAGAGGTGTGCATTGGTCACTGTCCCAGAAGGTGTCAATTAGACATAGCTAATGATGGCACTATTTCTATTTTCCTTCCAACTCCTTCATGTTTTATAACTATTCCAGGTAGACATTTTACTATAAACATCCACCTATCTACTCACCCACCTATCCACCCATCCATCCATCCATCCACCCACCCATCCATCCATGTATCCATCCATCTATCCACCCATCCTCCCATCCATCCGTCCATCCATCCATCCGTCCATCCATCCATCCACCCATCCATGTCCCAGACTTCCCACTAAGCTGCAGGACACACAAGAATGCACAAGGAGGAGCCCTCAGTCTTCTTGCCTTCCACGTTTCCTTTTCCTTTCCCTTCTCTTCTGGTTTTTGTTTTCCGGCCCTGAAGAAATTGTGCAGGATGTGCTTCACGTATGTATAAGAATATGCATTCTGGTATTTGGTCTTGGTAAAGCACCTCACATCCCACTTTAATTATGTTGAGTTAGTACTCATAATAATAGCAATAATAGTAACACTATGATTGAAACAATCTGCCTTTTAATGAAGAGAAGGAATATTTCTAGCCTTCCAAATTACCTGCACTGTGTTTCCTCAGTCTAGATTGCCTCTAACCCATTTAAGACGACTTTCCCCCAGTTAACTCAGTTTCTTTTCAACATTTGCATTTTCTTTCAGCCTGTCAGCATGAAAAACTCTTATGTAGTGATGCCTTAAAGGTCAGTGTAGTACCGTCACAAAGACTGATGAGACTATTTTCTCAAAAGACAAATCTGTTGTGCTATCCTTCAGAGTGAGCACTTTTTTTCTTGCAGCACACGCCTCACCCTGGCTCACCCAGCATCCTTGCTCATGGCTGACTTCCTGTCTAACCTCTGCCTCCACTAGAACCATAAGTTCTCCTTTCCTGGGTAGGTCCCTTCTCTTGCTACCATCTGCCATATCTATATCATTTATTCATTGAGCTTGGTAATGATGGTAGATTTCACAAGAGCTTCCCCACATAGATTCACATATTCCTTAATGACTCTCTGTGGCACAGATTACAAAATAAGGCACTACCAGTCCTTCTTCAAATGTTCTATTGTGTCAGAATTTACCTATCACCAGTTTTTTTCTCTATGTCTAGACTGTTGCAAAGCAACCTCACAGCGGTTCATTTATGGTGCGCCAGCCACAACCTCTCAGTCTCTCTACTCTCTGCTACTTACCTCATTCCAGTATAACCAGTGCAGCCCAGAGTTTCACAACCTGAGGCCATCCTTTATCTTTCTTTAGGGCAGCATATTTCACACCACTCAGTTTTTTGTTTTTGTTAATTTTTTTTCTTTTTTGCATTCTCTTTTCTCTAAATTCTGAGCCCACTCCAACAGCAGATTGCCTCACAGCCATTTTGGAAGCAGGTAGTGTATCCTCATTGGATACACTTTAAAGTGGATGGAAGACATAAATCCTCAGTAAATAGATAGACTCCATCAGCTTGTGTTTGCTGTGGCAGGTGATGAATTAGGGGGATTCACCTTCTGACGTGTGAGAGTTGTTAACCCTGCAATGCCTCTACCAAAAAAAGAGGTTGCCGAGTGTCTTTCCCTGGGGGCCTTTCAAAATAAAAATGAACCTGCCTCAGATGATTTAGGGGGACAGATTAGATGACTTTTCAAAACTCCTTCCAGTGCTGAGTTTCTACAGTTCATCTCTCCCCAACTCTGCCCTCTGATTTCAGGAGCATGAGAGAAGCTGTGTCGTGATGGACCGCACCCATCCTTCCCACTCTGTGTTCTCTTTGTCCTGACTTTATTGATGGGGTGAGGTGGACTTCTTGTAAATCCATCAGAAAGATATCTGAAGCATACCTCGGGGTATATATTAAATCTAAGAACCTGATGTCCTTTTACTGCTGCCCCTGAATAAAAATTATGCATCTGTTTCCGCACTTGACCATGTCTCAGATTTGCTGATTTTCTTTGCTTATGCTCATCTTGCCAAGTTTTGAGGGAATGGGCACTTCTCCGAGGCAGTGAAAGTCTCCTGAGAAATAATTAATCCATGAATTGTTCACTTGAGAGAGTAACTGTGAACCCAGCAGCATGCTCTTATGCAGCCTCCTGAATTTAAAAGCCTGTGCTTAGCACAGGTGCATCGTGTGGCTTCATGTGATGTGTGCTACTCAGGGAACTCACTTGCTCTACAAACATTACCAAGCACCCACTATGTGAAAGCTCGGTGCTTGGGAGGTGCTAGGGAGACTCCCAAAGCCAGAGCACAGAGTTGGTGGCATAGCAGTAAGGACAGCTGCTGTCCAAAGACACAGCATGCTCCATAACAAAGGAGGAAGAGGGTTTCGGGAAGATGAGCAACAGCCTGGACTCTGGAGCCAGACAGACCCGGGCTTTTACCCACCACCAGCTTCGCCACTGCACAGCCAGGGATTTTACACATTACCAAGCCCCCGCTAAGCCTTGCTTTCTTCCTCTCTGAAATGGAGAGAAATGCAAGACTGTTGCAAAGTTTAAGTGAGCAAATGAAAGCGAAGTGTTCCACCAGTGTCCAATGTATTAAATGAATAATGACTACTCCCAGCACCTGAATTTAGCTGGGCTATTTTATTTAAGGTATGTCTCAGTGCATGGCTGTATTAAAAAAAAAACAGTTTCTCCCACAGAAAGCTTTGGAACAAATGTCTTGTCTGAATGTGCCGTAAGGAGGTGAAGAGATTGCATTCTACAATTAAGAGCAAGCAGGGCTCCCCAACCATTCTCTTTACTCCTCTCCCTCCCGCAAATCCCACACCTCATGCAATGACCCCACCTCTCTACTTTTCATAAGTCCTCCTCCAACTCCTCACCTGACTCTCCCACTCTTCTCCTCACTCCCAAACCACCTCCAGCACACCCATCCCACCTTCCTGAAACCAAGAAGCCTTCTACAGAAGCAGTGTCCTGAGTTGTTTTAAAACCATGCAGGGCATTTATCAGTATTTCTAAGGATTGTGGAGGCTATTCACTTGAGGGAAGTGATTTTTCCCACTTGTGTTAAAAAATAAAAACAAAACCTTGAGTTCAAAAGGAAAATCCATGGGAGAATCTGAAAGGATGGAGAAGGAAGCAGAAGAACGTGGAAGTGGAAGGTTTCCCCCTTATTTGCAAGAGATAACAAGCGCTTGTCCTTCCAAAGCAGGGAGGGCATAACTGCTCAGTATACTGGCCCTGGAAGGAAAGCTGGGACGCTAATTGCACACATTTCAGTGGTCTACAAAGTCTACGGTTCCTTTTCACCATCAATGTGAGAGCAGGGCTTTCTGCAGTAGTTCTGCAGTTCCAAGAATGTAGTGAATCACCCTGCACCTTCCTCTAGCTGAAAACACAGAAGGAGGCACACATCCCCTGCCCAGGCAGAAAATGCAAAAATGCACTCTCAGGCCAGGCTGACTTTCCCGGAGTCACACCACATCTCTGAAGAGGAACAAAGCATGAAAAGACCGGAATTCAAAATGAAGCTGGTGGCCAGGTGTGGTGGCTCACTCCTGTAATCCCAGCACTTTGGGAGGCCGAAGCAGGCAGATCACCTGAGGTCAGGAATTCGAGACCAGCCTGGCCAATGTGGTGAAACCCCATCTCTACTAAAAATACAAAAATTAGCTGGGCATGATGGCGGGTGCCTGTAATCCCAACTACTCAGGAGGCTGAGACAGGAGAATCGCTTGAGCCCAGGAGGCAGAGATTGCAGTGAGCTGAGATTGCACCACTGCACTCCAGCCTGGGTGACAGAGTAAGACTCTGTCTCAGAAAAATAAAAAAATTAAATAAAAATAAAAAATAAAGCTGGCATGCAATGCGCAGCTGCCCAAGACCTCCCGTGGAGTCTACAAAAGGCTCGCATGACTATCGGTTTGTCTGGCCCTTGTGAGAAGGGGTTTCTGGAGGTACAGACAGCAACAGCTCTTGGGTACATCAAACAGGGCCTCCTGCATAAACCTTGGCTGTGTGTTCATCGGATACACTTTAAAGTGGACAGAGCGTGGGTGGAAGGAGACTGAAGTCAGTTGAGTGCATTCCAAATGCCAGGAGGCTTACATCTGTCATTTTACTGAATTCTCTAATGCTGAATTAAGTAGGTGTTATTATTCTCTTTTTATGGATGAAGAAACTGAAGCTGAAGTTTTTAAAAACAACTTGCATAGATCTCAACAGCTAAGAAGAAGAAGCAGAGTCAGAATTTAAAGGAAGATCCATCTGATTCCAAAATATCTACTTTTCCCATAATTCTACATAATCTTTCCCATCTTCAGGGTTTTACATTAAAATTAAAACCTCATGTATCTTATAGACAAACTCTACACATTCCTAAATTAAGGTTTAATAGAGAGACCCTGCAAATCATTTTCAATTGACATATATGTGAGGTGATAGATATGTTAATTAGCTTGATTTAATCATTCCACAATGTAAACATATACCAAAACGTCACATTGTAGCCATGATATATACCATTATTTCTTGTGAATTAAAACTATAATAAAATTTTAAAAAATCATTTTCACAGAAAAAAATCATGCAAACCCAACTTAATTAAAATCATTAATCCACCCTTTGCTCAAAAAACTGCACACACTCTGCTATTTTCAGTCTCTGGCATTATTTCCTGGGCATGTTCAGAATGGACAAATGACTGTGACATCTGGTGTACATGTCAAATATAATTTTGCTGCAAATGGAGGAGGAAACTCTTTTGGAGATTATGGTGGCCCCAGTCTCACTTCTGCACAGGCTCAGAGCAGTTTAAGACCATTCACTGAGGCAGGCACAATGCCCTAAAATTATACTGAACAATGGTGCATTCAAATGCTGTCATTCACCATTTCAGAAGCCAAAATACAGCTATCTGTACAACTGTTTTCACAAAATGTAGAATCACAGCAAATGAACATTACTCCCTCCCTTCTAAAGCACGTTGCTCAAATGTGTTCCCTTTGTTCACCAAGTTAATGAACTCTCCTCACTGCCAGGTGAAGGACTAAAAAGAAAGAAAAAAATCTTTGATTAAGAAGAAAGAAGAAGGGAGACTTAATCATTACCGATTTACACTGGGAAGTCTGCATAGGTGAGTTTTCTTTGAAGAAAGGGACTTCTTAACTGGCACCTGCCTTTTTTTCTTCTTGTATTTCTAATTTGACCTTCTCAAATGGCATCTGGATCTATAAGGAGATAAGGGGGCTGGTCTCAAAGAGAAGGAATTATTGTAAATTGAGGGAAGCCAATGGCCTCCAGAATCTTTGTTCTTTTATCATTTCTTCTGCAATTCATAGAAGTAGGACTAAGAAGGCTGGCCTTACTCACTGAGCTGTTGCACAGAGTAAAGCCACCTGCAAAAACAAAGCAAAGCATCCACTCTCTAATATGCAACGCAGTGTTCTTTATGGGTGATATGGTTTGGTTGTGTCCCCAACCAAATCTCAACTTGAACTGTAATAATCCCCATGTATCAAGGGTGGGGCCAGGTGGAGATAACCTAATCATGGGTGCGGTTTCCCCCATACTGTTCTCATGGTAGTGAATAAGTCTCATGAGATCTGATGGTTTTATAAATGGGAGTTCCTCTGCACAATCTCTCTTGCCTGCCTCCATGTAAGACGTGACTTTGCTTCTCCTTTGCTTTCTGCCATGATTGTGAGGTCTCCTCTGCCATGTGGAACTGTGAGTCCATTAAACCTCTTTCCTTTATAAATTACCCAGTCTCAGGTATATCTTTATGAGCACCGTGAAAATGGACTAATACAATGGGAGAGGAAAAGTCAGCCCCAAATGTTCTCTCCATCGTGCTGGCCTCACGATGTCTCTGGAGGTTTTTTTCCTTGTGGCTGGTTCATCCTGGATTCCCCTTGGCCAGAGAATCAACCCCCATCTCCCTGCTGATAAAAAAACTGGTTTCAAAGGCTCCTCATACAGTAACTAGCACATCACAACCTCATTTCCTAGGACAACAATAGTCGTTGAGAGTGATCCAGCTTCTCAAATCTCCTGCTAAAACTCTCTCCTGAGGACTCCAGCCAAGAACTATGACTACCTCCTCCAGGTCCCCATATTGCTACCTGGCATATTGTTGACTCAGTATTAATGACAAAAATTAAAATGATGCTGATACTAGCCAATAAAGGAACTAGAGAGGGAAACCTCTGAATCCTCCTGATGCCTCAGCAAGTATTAAGTTAAAGACAATCACTGGAAACTTAGGTCAGAAAACACATTATCAGCCCTGTATATGGCCATTAAGAATCTTAGCCAGATGGAAGGCAGAAAAAGCACAGCAGCAAAGCACCTCTTTCACTTTCTCAGCTACTTGGAACAGCAAAGCACTGTGTATGTACATATAGAACAACCAGCTGAAGTATATATTGTGCAAACAACCTGTGCCAGAGACTTCAGGTACCTATAATTAACAACCAAGGGGAGTTGGCCCAGCTTTATAGATTTTCCTATAACGAGATCATTACTTTATACACTTAGCCAATTCTTCATGAAGAGTTTCTTTATAATCCCTTTACAACTATGTGGGGGTTTTTTGTTTGTTTTGTTTTTGTTTTTGTTTTTGTTTCTGAGACAGGGTCTCACTCTGGCATCCAGGCTGGAGTGCATGATCTTGGCACACTGCAGCCTCAACCTCCCAGGCTCAAGCAGTAATCCTCCTACCTCAGCCTCCTGAATAGCTGGGACTACAGGCACATGCCACCATGCCCAGCTAATTTTTGTATTTTTTTTTCAGAGATGGGGTTTCACCACGTTGTCCAGGCTGGTTTCAAACTCCTGGGCTCAAGCGATCAACCCACCTTGGCTTCCCAAAGTGTTGGGCTTACAGACGTGAGCCACCACGTCTGGTGCCTTTATGATTTTCTACAAGTTCGTGCAATGTAGGAGGCAAGGAGCATAAAGATATAAAATTTGGACTCTGGGAGGAGATGCCTAAGAACCAAAGAAAGCTCTGAGGACGTGGGAGCTCTGGGTTTAAATCTAGTTCCTGCCATGTATATTTGTCTCAAGTTTTAAACATCTGCCTCAGTTTTTCTCTCTGTAAATTGGAGAGAAGAGCACTACCATATACCACAGGACTACTGAAAGGATGAGAATTTTAAGAGGTTAAAAACATGCTGCAGACATAAACTACACATGCAATTTCTTTATCTGAGAAACCCAAGGTACATCAAGTCCATTCACGTTGTTAATATATGCTGAGCATATGCTATAAGTGGCCAGAAAGTAATATAGGTGCTGGTTGCAGCAATGGACAGAACAAAGTCCCTGTCCTTAAGGAGCTTACATTCAAGTCGGGGAGACGGGAAACAATAGTTATATGATATGGATAATACAATAATTTGTGGTGTTGATAAGTAAGAAGGTTGTCAGAATCAAAATGAGGTCACTAAGTTCAAAAAAAATGAAAGAAAAATCTGACAAATAGAGCTGAGGAAGGCCATGAAGAGAGGTCTCACACTTGTATTCATGAAAACAAAAACTATCACAAAAGACTGCTGATATGGTTTGGTTGTGTCCCTACCTAATTCTCATCTTGAATTGTAGCTCCCAAAATTCCCACGTGTTATGGCAGGGACCGGTGGGAGGTAATTGAATCATGGGGGTGGGTCTTTCCCATGTTGTTCTCATGATAGTGAGTAAGTCTCATGAGATCTGATGATTTTATAAAGGGGAGTTCCCTTACACAAACTCTCTTGCCTGCTGCCATGTAAGATGTGACTTTTCTCCTCCTTTGCCTTTCACCATGATTGTGAGGCCTCCCCAGCCATGTGGAACTCTGAGCCCATTAAACCTCTTTCCAGCCAGGCATGGTAGCTCACGCCTGTAATCCCAGCACTTTGGGAGGCTGAGGCAGGCAAATCACCTGAGGTCAGGAGTTCGAGACCAGTCTGGCCACCATGGAGAAACCCTGTCTCTACTAAAAATACAAAAAAATTAGCTGGGCATGGTGGCAGGTGCCTGTAATCCCAGCTACTGGGGAGGCTGAGGCAGGAGAATTGCTTGAACCCAGGAGGCGGAGGTTGCAGATAGCCGAGACCGCCCCATTGTCCTCCAGCCTGGGCAACAAGAGTGAAACTCCTTCTCAAAAAAAAAAAAAAAAAAAGAAAAAGAAAAACTCTTTCCTTTATAAACTACCCAGTCTCCGGTATGTCTTTATTAGCAGTGTGAGAATAGACTAATAAAACTGCAAAAACCACAACTTTGCCCAAAAGCCGTCAAAGCCTTACACAAAAAAACACTTTTGCAAGGACATCTGCCCGGCACCTGCTTGTGTAACCTTGGGCTGGCGTCAGCCTTGTTATTGATCTGTGTAGGCAAGGATAATTATTTCAAAACAATTATGTAATCCTCCTCATTTTTCCTTTAAAAACTTTTGTCTCCCTTTACCTCCCTGAATACACACATAGTTCACTATGGCACACATTTTACCATTGTAATGTCCTATTTCCAAATAAATACCTTTTCTTTTAGAAAACTTCTCTGTTATTTAGGTTGATATAAGTATGCTTAAAAAAAATAAGAGTAGGGATATGGATGAAGTTGGAAACCATCATTCTGAGCAAACTATTGCAAGGACAGAAAACCAAACACTGCATGTTCTCACTTATAGGTGGGAATTGAACAATGAGAACACTTGGACACAGGGTGGGGAACATCACACACCGGGGCTTGTCATGGGGTGAGGGGAGCGGGGAGGGATAGCATTAGGAGATATACCTAATGTAAATGATGAGTTAATGGGCGCAGCACACCAACATGGCCCATGTATACATATGTAACAAACCTGCACGTTGTGCACATGTACCCTAGAACTTAAAGTACAATTAAAAAAAAGAAAGAAAGCTAAAGCCAAAAAGTAAAAAATAAAAATAAAATAAAGAAGAGTAAGTTACTGGAGAATGATGAACGGGGAAAAGTCCTGCTATCTTAGGCAGGATGACCAGGTACAGTCTCTCTAATGAGTTCATTTGAGCAGAATCTGAATGAAGTGAGGAAGTGGGTGATGTGGATATTTGAGGACGAAGCAATCCAAGCAGAGAGAGCAGCAAAATGCAAAGGCTCACCCATCCCTCAATATTCCAATCAGAAAAGGGACAAAGGTTTGCTTCCTCAGACAGAGGCTGAGGATGCTGAGGTTCAGAGAAGGGGAGACGTGGTCAAATCCACACCATTTCACAGTCTGGACAGAAGCAAGGCAAAAAAAAAAAAAAAGTTGCAGTTCCGGCTACAGTCCCACCTACTCCATCAGTGCTCTGGTTCTAAATTTTGGTGTGTCTCCAAAATTCATATGTTGGAAATCTAACTCCCAAGGTGATGGTAATAGGAAGTGGGGCCTTTGGGAGGTAAGTAGGTCACAAGGGCTAGGCCCTCATGAATGAGATTAGCACCCTTATAAATCAGGCCCCAGGGAGCTCCTATGCCTCTTCTGCCATGTGGGACACAACAGGAGGACACCATCTGTGAATCCGTCTATGAACCCAATCTGCTGGCACCTTGATCTTGGACTTCCCAGCCTCCAGAACCGTAAGAAATAAATTTCTGTTGTTTATAAGCCACCCAGTCCATGGTATTTTGTTACAGCTGCCTGAATGGACTGACGCCATCGCCTAGTGTTAAGAACTAAGCTGTAGCAGACTTCCACTGTTTTTTCAGACCTGCAATTCTCTGACAGTGAAGATCCTTCTACTTTTTTCTATACAGTGGGGTTTGGATTCTGTGCCTCTCTGAAAATGGCAGCAGGAAACTTTGAAAGTGGTCTTGTTTATGCAAAGCAACACCATTCTCCACCTACACTGTCTTTGAGTGGGCAGCAGGCAAAACAAAGCCAAGGCCCTGTGCTTTACACACAAAGTGCCCATTACCCTCCCACTAAATTTTTTTTTGAAAAGGCTTTAGCTAAATTACAAGCCACTTTACAGTCTGAGTATGCCTCATTGTAGTATGTATATTATACTTAGCCATAAAATGTCTTAAGGTTCCTTGGGTTGGAAATAGGTATAACATTACAGTCCATTATTATTATAAATTTCTCTTCATTACTCTTTGTTATATTTCTTAGCTCTAACCGAAATAATTCTTACTTGCTGACTGTTTACAACTTTCAGCTATAAGTGAATGGTCCCAGAGTTCCTCCAGATCATCATTTACTGAGCTCTACCTATTCAGCTCTTTAAATCTTTCTTCATAAATCAAGTTGTCCTTCTCCATCATTCTTGTTGAGTTTCCCCTCACGCTCACCCCATTTGTCTGTACCTGGCTGGTAATTAGGTACTCAGAGCTGAGCACAGCCTTCCAGGTGGGGTCTCAGCAGAGTCATCTGTTTCTCCAAGTGTTGCTTAGCAGATCCATTTCCATTTCCTCCTGGGCCCCACATTTCACTCTAGACAGAGCTGAGCTGAAGAGAGCACAAAAGAGAACAACACAAACATTACCCAGACCCAGAAAATGGGTCCTGGGAGGAAGATACAAAGCTAGGCCATGTTCTATTTAGGGCCCAAAAGCAGTCACAGGAAGAGATGCTATGAAGAGGGCAGGGATCAATTTTTTACTCCATCTTGAGTGACAACAAGAGAACAGGTGTTATGTGGCAGCAGAGACATTTTGTCTTAAATGTTATGAAAACCTGCATGGGGCTAAGCTTTCTAGGATTTCTTTCCTTCCAGAAGTCACTAAAAAGCCTCCTCTACAGTAAGGTGACAGACAAGGTGGAACCTCCTATTCCAGGAGGATGCTGAAGGCACGACCCAGCAACTTGCTCTTTCCTGCCCACATTCCCTCACTCTGACAGGCTCCTTCTCTCTCCCAAGTCACAGAAAGGGGCACTTGCCTAGCTCTTACCCACAGTGACCCAGAATTAATTCATTTTCTCATCAGCAGGTTTATGGAAGAGGAGAAAACCACAAAAGCAGATAGCTTGTATGGGTTCTTATGAATCAGCCACACCTCTCCGGCAATTTTGTTATAAGCTCAGTTTTTGCTCTTCTCGTATGCCTACTCCATCCTCGAACATAACATTCTCCTAGAGCAGGCATCTGACAGACACTTGGGAGATGGCCCCAAACAGTAGATTCTCATGTTTTTAAGCCAGAAAGCCCTGGGCTTGTTGTCTGGCGCTCCCATCGACTGGGTGATTTGGGGTGGGTAATTTAACCATTCTGGGCCTCAGTTTCCTCATATATATGATGTCTCATTGGGGTTTTTGTTCACTGTGAGTGAGAAGGCATAAGCAGAGCCCCTGATACATAACACGCATTTAGATAATGTTATTTTTTTTTTCTTTTTTTTTTTTTTGAGACGGAGTCTTGCTGTCTCACTCTGTTGCCCAGGCTGGAGTGCAGTGGTGCAATCTTGGCTCACTGTAACCTCCAACTCCTTCGTTCAAGCAATTCTCCTGCCTCAGCCTCCTGAGTAGCTGGGATTACAGGCATGCACCACCACGCCCGGCTAATTTTTGTATTTTTAATAGAGACGGGTTTCACCACGTTGGCCAGGATGGTCTTGATCTCCAGACCTCACGATCTGCCCACCTCGGCCTCCCAAAGTGCTGAGATTACAGGTGTGAGAGCCACCGCAACCAGCCTAGACAATGTTAATTTTTCTCCCCTGGAGGGAAAAGCCATAATAGTGGCTGGCTGTAGTAGATCACACAATCACTCATGCTTACAAAATGTCTGTAATCATTTCTACTTAGGGAAAGTTAGCATTTTGAGAGAAAAATTCAAATAATGCAGTTTGTCTAATCCATTAGCAAGACAGCATACAAGTTCCTAACCTAGCTTTGATCTGCAATTTGGAGGAAAGAGTTTCCAAATACTTGAGGGATCGTTTCTTCCCCTTAACGTGATGCTGGAATTTAACTCCCATTAACCATAACAGGCATAATGAGTCGGCAGCCACGGGAAAATACCCTCTAGTGCTTAATGAACACAAAATAAAACATTGCCTTTTATCTTCAACATGTACCAGGGTAATTTGAATAATGATATTCATATTCATGATGCATACGACCCTTCCATCAGCTCAGCATTGTCACTAAGGCTCCCATGGAATGCCAATAAGTAAGTGGAGATCTTTCTGATGATGTGGTAGTATGGAATACGCTACTGCAGATGAATCATGGCATCGCAGCCCAATGAGGCAGATAAAAGGCAAAGGACATTGCACACTAGCTGCATCTTTCCATCCGAACCCATGGAATTGGGTGGCCTTGAAGTGATAACCTCCAAGTAGATCACAAATCACCTTTAACAGAGCAGAGATACTACCACCTGATGGATGAAAATGGGGCAGTGGCTATAATGAAGACTGTGTTAGTCTATTCTTGCATTGCTATAAAGAAATACATGAGGCTGGGTAATTTATAAAGAAAAGAGGTTTCTGGCCAGGCACAGTGGCTCACGCCTATAATCCCAGCACTTTGGTAGGCTGAGGCAGGTGGATCACTTGAGGTCAGGAGTTAGAGACCAGCCTGGCCAACATATTGAAACTTCATCTGAACTAAAAATATAAAACATTAGCTGGGCATGGTGGCATATGCCTGTAAGTCCAGCTACCGAGGAGGCTGAAGCACGAGAATTGCTTGAACTCAGAAGGCAGAGGTTGCAGTAAGCTGAGATTGTGCCACTGCACTCTAGCCTGGGTGACAAAGTGAGACTCTGTCTCAAAACAAAACAAAACAAAACAAAAAAAGGTTTAATTGGCTCATAGTTCTGCAGGCTGTACAAGAAGCATGGCGCTGGCATCTGCTTGGCTTCTGGTGAGGCCTCAGGGAGCTTGTACTCATGGTGGAAGGTGAAGGCAGATCAGGCATGCATATAGTGAAAGCGGCAGCAAGAGAAGGGTAGGTGCTACACTCTTTTAATCAACAAGATCACACATGAACTCAGAGTGAGAACCTGCTCATTATCACAAGGACACCACCAAGCTATTCATGAGGGATCTGACTCCATGACCCAAACAGCTCCCACCAGGCCCCACCGCCAACACTGGGAGTTACATTTCGACATGAGATTTGCAGAGGACAAACATCCAAACCATATCAGAGACCATTCCACCAAACGTGAGGTTCTGCAATTTGCCCAACTGGGACTAGACAGGACAGACTTAGGAGTTTGAAAAGGGGTGGGGATGGGCAGGGGGAGGTGGGTGGAAGGGTTCAGGCTACATTACAGTCCCAAACTGGACATGAGAAAATCTCTATAGGGAAGCCATCTTTATCTTTTATTATATCTATGAGCTCCTTGAGGCAAAAGACTATGTCCTATGTATTACACATTTCTATTTCCACCTCTTAGCACAGGGCTTGCTTGGTGCATAGAGGGCTAGCAATTTCAAAGCATTCGTTATGCGCCAGGCCCTGGGTTAAGCATTTTACTTCACACCATCTTACTCATTTCTCACTATGAGTCTATGAGGGAGGGAGGTGGTATTATGTCCTTTTTACAGATTAAGAACTTGAGTTTGGTTTAGAGAATTCTAAAAACTTGCCCAAGGTCTGCTAGTAAATGTTAGAACTGAGACTTGAACCAAGGTCTGTCTGGCGCCATAACCTATGATCTGATGTACCATAAAACGCTGACTTCACAGCACTGGCGTCAAGGGTGGGGTCAGCACAGGCAAAGGATGTGTGACTTTTCTACACGAGTCTGTGGGCACAGACTGCAATACAATGATGAATTTAGTCCGGAGGAGGCTTGCGTGGTTTTACAGCAGGGGTTGGAAAACTGCTTCCGTAAAAGGCCGGATAGCAAAGATTTTAGGCTTTCTCACAACTTCTCAACTCAGCTGTTGCAGCACGAACGCCAGCCATAGAAAATATGTAAATCAGTGGGTGTGGCTGAGGTCTGATAAAACTTTATTTACAAAAACAGACAGCGGGTGGATTCGTGCTGTCCGCCTCCGTGGTTCTCCAGTCCCTGCTCTGTAGCATCTTGCCCACAAATATCAATGTCTACGTTAAGTCGGGGGAGAGGTAGACCCCCAAAGAAGACAGTGTGTAATTTGCCACTCTATCAGTCAGGGTCCCAAAAGGAAACAGATGACGTATTCAAAAGATTAATTAGACAAAGTTGTATGAAGGGGCTGGCTATGGAAATGTGCATGGGGTTAAGAACAAAGCATAGTTAAACCTCCAGGGGCTAGCAACAGTACAACCCTAGGCCTGAAGGGACAAAGAGAGGGAACATTATTATTGGAACCTGGCAAGAGTTATATTCATGGGAGAGGATTTCTCTATCAGGAATTATAGTCCTAGGTAGAAAGATGCTGCCATTGCCAGAACCACAGCCCATGGGGACAAGTAGCAGGGGGAAGAAAGACCCTAAGTTATCTCTCTTCCTGCCCTCTGATCTCCTGGCTGGTACCTTCTATTTACCAAACTTAATGAGAATCCGGAGAGCAAGAGAGCCTGGGTGGCATGTTCCATAGAGATGGGGCACTCAGGGCTCAAAACAGGACAGAAGAGGGTGGAAAATGAATCTGGAGGGACAATGGAGAATAACCTGTATAGTTTTCTATGACAAAGTTAAGCATTGCTATTTTGTTGAGCTGCTGAATAGTTTTTATGAATCAACCAAAGTTCTTCTGAACCTTCTTTTCACCACGTTTTTGGGCCAAGACACTAGAGAAGGGCCATTTGCTGGACAAACTAGTAGCAGCCCTTCAGAGAGTAGCTCTTTTCAGAGAATAACCTCACAGTTCCCTATCCAGCTTTGTTGGAAAGATTCCTCATGCACAGCTGCCCAACTGTCCCTTGTCCCATCTGCTGAGTGCAACTTTCAGCTATGTCAAACCATGTAAAAACTAAAAAATCTATACTGATTTAGTGAATACTGACAGAGTTAATAGTTAAAATAATAATGTTAATAAAATAATAATGCTAATAAAAATGCTAATAAAAGTTAATAATGCTAATAAAATAATGCTGGAAAATCATCATCTCTCACTGTTGGGATGATGGATGATTTTTATGTCTTTTCTGGATATTTTTATGTATTTCCCTTTTATTCTATGGTAAACAGCAGAAAACATCCAAAAATGTGAAGAAGAAGGAGAGGAGGAGGAGAGGCGGGGAGGGGAGAGCCAAATGTTCTAATAGCACACTCTGTTGTTCTAGTGGATATCAATGTTTGCACCTCCAGGCTCTCCCAAGGATATCTTGCTGCTGACCCATGCAGAGTCATTCATTCATTTAGCAAGTTTCTATTGAGCATCTATTATGAAACAATATTATTCTAGGCACTAGGTTTCCAGTGCTGAAAAAATAGCTCAACCCTGGCTATATGGAGCCAACAGAGCACGAAATAGATGAATAAGGCCCAGGGTCCTTGTTTGCCCTTATGGCCTCTCCAATTGAGATACGCTGAATACCCAAGAGGATATGTGCTGTGAGAGAGATAGGAAAAGGGAGCTGTAAGAACACAGAGAGGGTCTCCTAGCCCAGTCAGGATTCATGGAAAGGTTCTTGGAGGATGCAATGCCTGAACTTATATTGGGAGATATGTAAAATTGATCCAGGAGGGCAAGAGTAGAAAGAGAAGTCCAGGCAGAGGAAACAGCACAAACAGAGGCACAGAGGCACAAGTTTTAATCTATCAGTGTCAAAAGTGATGCAAGAAGTGGAGGAAGACGGCTCCAGAGCAGCACTGTCCGGTAGAACTTTCTGCAATGATGGACACGTTCTGTAAATCAGCGCTGCCAAAGGAGAACGTATGTAGAATGAACAAGTCTAGATATCTAATGTACAACATGAGGACTATAGGTAATAAAATTTACTGTATGTGGGATTCGTGATAAATGAGTAGATTTTAGCTGCTCTTGCCACAAAAACAAAAAAGCACAGGTAACTATCTGAGATGATGGGTATGTTAAGTTGCTTCACTATCACAACCTTTTAACTATCTAAATATGCCCCGTAACATCACGTTTTATAATTTAAATCTACACAGTAAAATGCACTAATATGGTAGCCACTAGCCACGTGTGACTATTGAGTACTTAAAATGTGGCTAATTTGACTAAAAAATTGAATTTTTTTAGTCAAAATTTCTTTCATTTTCTTTCATTTTCAAATATTTCATTTTCAAATATTTTAAATGTAAATAGCCGGATGGGGCTAGTGGCTACCAAACCGGACGATGCAATTTGAGAAGAAAAGGTTGGGGAGGAGACTTCACATCAAGAGGGTTGAGTATCGGATGCCGCGCTTCCATTCAGAATTTGGCCTTGGATTCTCTGGACCATGGGAAGCCACTGAAGAGTGTGAGTCTGGAAGTGACAGTCAGATTTGGGTTTGTAGCGAATTGCAGCATCGTGGAAGATACACAAAGCACAGGGTGCTATCAAAGCTCATAAGAGGGAACCCTAACTCAGGATGAGCTTGGAAGACTTCCTGGAGGAGGAGGACACACCTGGGCAGAATTTGGAAAAATGAGCTGACATTTGTCAGGTGGCCCTACAGAGAGGGCATTGGAGATAGAGACAAGAACAGGTGCAAAGCATCAGAGCAGGACCACGCGGCCATGCTCAGGGATATCCAATGCAGGAGGTAGAGGGCTGTGGAATGAGGCTGGAAAGTTAGGGTGTGAAGGGCCCTGGACACAAGTTTGGAGTTTCTTTTTCTGTAAAGATATAAGAGATTCATGAAGGCTTTTAAACAGAAAAGTGTATCTTACGTGTGTGACCTTGGGTTAACTATTAACCTCTCTGAGCTTCTCTTTCATTTTTTTGAAAATTGCGAATTGTGGATAATGACACCAGCTTTGGGGATCTGTGTAAGGGCCAGTATGTTGCCTGCAGCAGAGTAATTGCAGGATAAAGGTTAGTTCCCTAGAGTTCTACTGGCTGCCTTGTAAAAACTTAGCACCCTGGGGGCGGGTATGCCAACCCTTCCCTTTCCTAGCTGTCACCACTATAGGCTTGATGACTCCAAATTCGTCTTTTTCAACTTCCTCTCCCCACTCTCCTCTGTAGCACCCCCAATGCTGTTTCATGAAATTATGGGTGTTTAGGGCATGATCCTGCAACAACAACAAAAGGTTTGTTAATAAAGAAACTCCAAAACTTTTATTTTTAACAAAAACCCAGACTGCCATTTTGGTGCCTCGTGAGAAACAGAGTTGATATTAATCCTGAGTTGTTTTCAGTTTACATGAAAGAACCACCTTCCTTCACCCTCGCCCCCAAGAACAAGCAAAAGTGAATGGGTTGGGTTTATCCAAGTGCCTTCCAGGTTCCACATTCTGAGTAGGATTATTCTACCGAAGGGGATCAGGGACTGACTCTCCACCTTCAGAAGACATGATGTAATTTCCAACGATCACAGCAGTGTAAGGAAAGCAGGCTGCAAACACTGCACTTGGGCTAGGCACAGTGGCTCACGCCTATAATCCCAGCACTTTGGGAGGCTGAGACAAGCAGATTACTTGAGGTCAGGAGTTCGAGACCAGCCTGGCCAACATGGTGAAACCCCGTCTCTACAAAAATTAGCCAGGCATGGTGGTGGGCATCTGTAATCCCAGCTACTTGGGAGGCTGAGGCAGGAGAATGGCTTGAACCCGGGAGGCAGAGGTTGCAGTGAGCTGAGATCGTACCATTGCACTCCAACCTGGGCAATAGAGTGAGACTCTGTCTAAAACAAACAAATAAACAAACTGCACGTGTACAAAACCCATTGCCACATCATCAGAAACTTTGGGAGACATTCTTTCCAGGAAACAAGTTTTCCTTATGTCAGTGGGGTGGGCAGGAACATAAAGCCTTCTTTGCTTTGGCATTCCTCCGACCACTCCTCATTACCACTCACATAAGCCATCTGTCATGGTTGAAAAGTAAAGAGATCTGAAGAATCCCGGGAGAAATCTGATCCTGGACAAGCAGCTTTCCTGTGTCCTGACCTTTGTGAGGTTGTGTTGTGGACATTAGACTGGAGCTTGAAAAGCCTGTAATTCAGTTTTCTTCTCTATCCTGTTAGAACTTGTTGAAATACCATGAGGGCAAAATGGAAGGGAAACTACTTGCCACTAAAAGCTTTGGAGATGTAGACTTTAGCACTGCAAGAAAAATAAGCCTGAAAGAATGAACTCCCAGGACAAACTCACAGTGGAAAAGAGCATGGACTCCAAGTCAGACTCTGTGGTCCAGATCCTGCTCAGCCACCAGCTGCCTGGAGCCTGTTCTTTAACCTCTCTGAACTCGATTTCCTTATCTGTGTCTGTAAAATGAAAATAAAATAATACACCTCTCCCATAGGGCTGTGGCAAAGTAATATATGAGATACTATAATGAAAAACATCTGGCAAAATATCAGGCATGGGATTGCTGTTCAATATATGTCAGTTATCTTAAAGAACATTGACATATATAGTAAAGGTGTTTGTTCATTTGACAAGTATATATTGAGTGCTACTATGTACCAGGCACTGTTCTAGGTGCTGGAGGTTCACACAAAGTCTCTGGCTTCCCAGAGTTTACCACTGAGTGGAAGAGTTAGGCAATAAAAACGAAAATATAGAAAGATAATTAATATCCTGTTAAGTAATGGTAAAATAAAGAAAATAAAGCAGAGTAAGTTAAAATATAGTGTCAGGGGATGCCATTTTAGATAAGGTGGTCAAAAAAGATCTCTGTGAGAAAGTAACATGTAAGTACAGAACTAAATGAAAGGAAGGAGAAAGCCATGGATACACCTTGGGAGAGAGTGTTCCAGGCTGAGGGAATGGCCAGGGCAGAGACGCTGGGGCAGGAATGAGCTCAGCATGCTGCAAGGGGCTCAGCATGGCTGGAGGGCAGGTTGCACAGGCAAGAGTGGGCAGATGAGTAGGAGAAAAGTACCGGGGGCCAGGTCACAAGCTGGAGTATTTTGAGAAGTCTTAGTAGTTTCATCCATGCTTATCTTGTCTCTCTGATGAAACTGAAAGCCTCTAGGATGAGTGAAGTAGAGTAGACTATGGTTTTGAGAATCAGACAGATCTGGGTGTTAGCCAAACTCCCAACTTAATAGCACCTTGGAAAGGCTCTTAATCTCTCTAAGCCTCAATTTCCTTATCTATGAAATGAATATTATAATAGTGTCCATCTCACTAGATTTTTATGAAGACTAAATGAGATAACTTGAATAAAATGCCTGGCATTGTGTAATTGCTCCATACGTCAGACATTACTGAGGGCAATGGGAACATGCTCTGAGCTTTTCTTTTGCCTATCAATAAATACATAGCAATCTCTTACCATGTGCAAGCACTGTGATGGATAATCCCATACTTCCTAGTGTCGTGTTGGCCACATAACTAGGCCCTTCACAAATTTTTTGTAGACTTACAAAACAGCAGTAACTTTTAAATCTAGCAATCAGTTGACTGACGACTCCATTCAGAACACAAGAGCCAGGAGGAAAACAAAATATGTCTTGGAATTCCCAAAACACCTCTCAGAAAGATTATGCGCTAAAGCTACAAACTTGGATCATGGAGAGGCCTCCATTCCCTACTCATTTTTAAACCCAATCTTAATGGCGCAGTTGGGTTTCTCAAGCTGCAGAGAGTTAGAGCGGGACAGTGGTGAAGGGCAGCATGCTGAATTTAAAAGGAGCAACAGTGTGAAAGAAGACGAAAATAAAAGCTATAAAAAGCAGAGAGAAAGACTCAAAGAAGGAATATAGGAATCTATTTATTCCTTTGTTCCTTTAATCATTCATTCACTCAATGCGTATTTATGGGTGACTATTGTAGGCTAGGCACTATCCTTAATAGTTGGGTACATAGAAGTGACAAGAACATACCCTTGCCTTCACAGAGGCACGCTGGCTCATACACAAGGGTGTGGTGGGGGCAGACGAGCAAGAAATGATTTCAATACAATGTGTTAAGAGGCCAAGGGGGAGTACAGGACACTAGGGGGCACTGGAGGAGCATTGATCAGTCTTAGGTAACAGACGACTTCCTGGAGGAAATGGGGGCTATTTCATATGAGGGCTCTTAGACCATGGTTCACCCAATGGCTCGGTAAGAATCAGCACATTGCAATAGGGGATGCTCAAAACCATGGCGTTGAGTACACAAACGAGGATAGCCAACATTCAATATATCATACTTGATAAAGCAGGGGATTGCATGAAGATTTCCATTCAAAATTGCTTTAGTACAAAAAATTTCAGTTCTAAAATCAACATGTTTTCTGGAAGTTCTTGGTTAGTTGGAATGAGTTATTTCCTAATGATACTGCATCTGTGGGGAATTACTGTAGGCTGTACTTTTCAGACAATATATAAAGTATACGATAATAACATTTTATATTGTACTTAAGTATTAAAATATCTGCTTTGGTGTTATTTGTATTTGAGGTTTGGATTTTGTTTAAACTATCTGGTTATAGGGAGATTTGGAAAGAAGAATCCTTGGCTGCAGGAGTTCTTTGAAAGCTTGTACTATCAATGCTACAGTTATGAATCTAAGGCATGTCAGTCAGTTAACCTAAGTTTCATAGCCAAGCAAGGGCCAGTTGTCCATGTGTTTAGTTTACTCAAAAGTATGTATCATGATATTCAATGCAGTGCTGCCTGTTAGAGCAAAAGATGGGAACCAACCTAAAGATTCAATAACAGGGAACCAGTTAAATAAAAGATAGTATAATAATAAATGGAATATTATACAGTCATTAAAAAGAACAACACACTACTAATATAAATATTCTCTAAGATCTATTTTTAAGGAAAAAACAGCATGTGAGTGAAAAAAACTACATATTTTGTAGAAAATGGAAGAATGTACAAAACACTGGTGACACTGGTTGCTTCAAAATGGGAGCAGTGGGTTATTGGGGCTCAGGAAAATTATTTTACACTAGTATCCTCTAGACCTTTTGAATTTTGTACCCTTTGTACATATTACAAATTAAAAGTGTCACCAATCCCAAAAGTAATTTGTCGGGGTAAGCTGGTGGAGTGAATGAGCTGGTATCAAATGAGGGTGTTAAAGAGCTGGCTCATCCTTTTCCTGGCTCTGTCACTTAGGACATTATCGGGGTCATAAGCCAGCAGCCTAGAGAAGAAATCTGGCTCAAAGATTGGTGTATGCCATGCCTTAACAATGTGAATTTGAAGGACTTAAATAGACATTTCTCCAAAGAAGATATACAAATGACCAATACCCACGTGGAAAGATGCTCAACATCACTAATCGTTAGGGAAATGCAAATCAAAACCAGAATGAGATGCCACCAAGCACTCACTAGAATGGCCACCATACAAAAAACAGAACATAGCGAGTACTAGCAAGGATATGGAGAAAATGGAACCCTGTGCACTGTTGGTAGAAATATAAAATGGTGCAGCCACTGTGGAAAACAGTGTGGAGGTTCCTCAAAAAATTAAACATGGAACTATCATACGATCCAGGAATTTCACTTCTAGGTATATCCCCAAAATAACTGAAAGAGTTTCAAAGAGACATTTGTATCCCCGTGTTCATAGCAGCATTATTCACAATAGCTAAAAGGTAGAAGCAACCCAAGGGTCTGTGGATGATGAATGGTTAGACAAAATGTGTGCTATGCATAGAGTGGAATATTATTTTAGTCTTAAAAAGGAAGGAGATTCTGACATACGCTATCACATGGATGAATCTTGAGGACATTATGCTAAATTAAATAAGTCACTAAAGGACAGATATTGTATAATTTCACTTATATGAAGTACCTAGAGGAGTCAGATTCATAGAGGTAGAAAGTAGAATGGAGGTTTCGAGGGGCTGGTGGGAGGCAGGAATGGGGAATTATTGTACAATGGGTGCAGAGTTTCAGTTTTGAAAGATGAAAAGAGTTCTGGAGCTGGATGGTGGGGATGGCAGCCCAACAGTGTGAGTGTATTTAATACCACAGAACCTTACACTCTAAAATAGTTAAGATGGTCAAAATGGTTATGTTATGTGTATGTTACCACAATGAAAAATAATGTTGAAAATGTAAATTCAAATGTATTCAGACAGAGCTTACACTTTTTAATTCCCCAGCAAAACTCCTATGATTTATGGCCAGTTTCACACATTTACCTTAGAAATCAGTTTTACCCACTTTACCTTACCTGCCCAGCCTCATGCATTCACACCAGTGAGCCTTGGAAAATACATTTAATCATATTTCTCCTAGAACTAATAATGCCTATCTGCTTCATATGATTCATGTAGGAGGTAGACTAGCTCTGTATGGGATCACTTTATAAGCTGAAACTGTCAGAAACTGAAATGTGCTGCATTTACTTCCTGGAACAGCAGATCAAAGCACATGCTTGGTACATGGGTTAGTAACATCTTCCCAGGCACCTAATGCCGGAATCAGAGGAGAAAGGTGGCAGTCAGAGTAGGAAAACTAAATGATCCCATAGGTTTGGTATTTTTTCCCTTAAGATATTATCAGTTGGCCAGGCACAGTGGCTCACCCTGTAATCCCATCACTTTGGGAGGCCGAGGCAGGTGGATCACGAGGTCAGGAGATCAAGACCATCCTGGCCAACACGGTAAAACCCCATCTCTACTAAAGATATAAAAATTAGCCAGGCATGGTGGTGTGCGCCTGTAGTCTACTACAGGTGCTACTTGGGAGGCTGAGGCAGGAGAATGGCTTGAACCCGGGAGGCAGAGGTTGCAGTGAGCCGAGATCATGCCATTGCACTCCAGCCTGGTTAACAGAGCAAGACTCCGTCTCAAAAAAAAAAAAAAAAAAAAAAGATATTATCAGCTATACAAGGCAAGGGGGTAGAGGCACAGTGGAAAAAAACTTGGAGACTTCTCACACTTGACATGAGTGAAGAACTGAGAAAACTTGATTATTCGACATGATTCTTTTTTTTTTTTTGAGACAGAGTTTCGCTCTTGTTGTCCAGGCTGGAGGGCAATGGCACCATCTAGGCCTACTGCAACCTCCGCCTCCCGGGTTCAAGCGATTCTCCTGCCTCAGCCTCCTGAGTAGCTGGGATTACAGGGGCAGGCTACCATGCCCGGCTAATTTTCTGTATTTTTAGTGGAGACGGGGTTTCACCATGGCCAGTCTGGTCTTGAACTCCTGACCTAAGGTGATCTGCCTGCCTTGGCCTCCCACAGTGCTGGGATTACAGGCATGAGCCACCGCGCCTAAAGGTGGTATAAACAGTCTCATTTCCTCAGTTAGATTTGCCACCTCAGTTCAATAATATAATTTAACAAACATCTTTTCAGCAACAATAAAGGGGAAAATGGTACGGTACTTAGATAAACGAGCTCTGGTACCTGCTGTTCAGGAGCTCACCCACAGTCATGGGCACTAAGGTTTGTTTCTTCGGGGAATTATTATTTTTTCTTTTTTAATTAAATTTTTTATTTTTATGGATTTAGGGGATACAATTGCAGTTTTGTCACATGGATATATTGCATAGTGGTGAAGTCTGGGCTTTTACTGTACCCATCACCTAAAGAGTATACATGGTACCCATCAGGTAATTTCTCATTCCTCACCTTTCTCCTACCCTCTCACCCTTTCCAGTCTCCAGTATCTATTATTCCACTCTCTGTGTCCCTGTGTACACATTATTTAGTTCCCACTTATAAGAGAGAACATTCAGTATTTGACTTTCTGTTTCTGAATCATTTCATTAAGGCAATGACTTCCAGTTCCATCCATGTTACTGCAAAAGACTTGATTTCATTCTTTTTTATGGCTGAGTAGTATTCCACTGTGTGTGTATCTATACCACATTTTCATTATCCAATCATCTGTTGATGGATACTTACGTTGATTCCATGTCTTTACTATTGTGAATAGTGCTGCAATAAGCATACTAGCGCAGGTATCTTTTTGATATAATTATTTCTTTTCTCTGGGGTAGATACCCAGTAGTGGAATTGCTTCAAGAAATCTCTCTATTGTTTCATAGGGGTTGTACTAATTTGCATTCCCACCAACAGTGTATAAGTGTTTCCTTTTCTCTGCATCCTCACCAACATCTGTTGTTTGTTGACTTTTTAATAGTCATTCTGACTGGTGTAATTATGTGATTAGTGATATTGAGCATTTTTTTTCACATGGTTATTGGCTGCTTGCATGTCATTTTTTGAAAAATGTCTGTTTATGTCTTTTGTCCAATTTTATAATGGTTTTTTTCTTGTTGAGTTGTTTGAGTTCTTTGTAAATTTTCTTCAGGTAATTATTCGTACTTACTTTCTCTCATAGCAGGTACCATTTTCAAACGCTCACCTGTTTTGTTTATGAGTCCCTTAAAGAGTAGCTGGTTTTTTGAAAGGTCCTCTTCCTTCCTTCCCTGCTTTTTCTTTCTTTCTTTCTCTTTCTTCTTTCTTTCTCTCTCTCCTTCTTTCTTTCTTTTTCTATTTCTTTCTTTCTCTCCTTCCTTCACTCCTTCCCTCCAGCTGTTACTTACTGAGCACCTACTATAAGCCAGATGTCATCCAGATATGGAGGATACTGTGGCTAATAAGACAAAGCCCTTGTCCTTGGGCCACTAATATTCTGATCAAGAAGGTTTTCTTCCTAGCCAAAATGTCATACTCCCAAATTATAGTAATCTGAAAAAATATGTCTTCAAATAATGCCCTTGAAAATATTAGCATTCATAAGTCTATTAATATACCAGGGCATTGCTTGAATCTGACCTATGAAACAAACAACAAGAATATTTTGACTCTATGAATAATATCTGAAGTATATTTATAGTGCACAGCTCTAAATATCTCAAGATTTACATAATGCAAAGATGAGAAAATAATCATCATATGATAGATATAGAAAAGATGTTTTAAAAAATCAAATGACAGATCTCTGTAGGATTGGCAATTTGAGACTTATCAGGCAGTATTCCATCAGAGGTATATTATTTAATTTTTTGTCAACAAGTTGTTTAAGTGAATTTTACAAATGATTCAAAATGTGTCTGAGTGTCTAGAACTAGAAACAAAAATGGCTTTTAGAACAAGCTTGACAGCTTTTCCCACTGACAACACTAGGTCAAAGACAATGAACATTCCCAAAGTGATAGATCCTTCTTTATAAGGTAAGAGGACTGTGAAGAGGTTTAAACATGTTGAGCACAGCTGGTGTCTAAGAAGTTGCTATTCATTCAAAAATGTTAGAATTCTGAACTCAGGGTAATAAAAGAAGAAAAAAAGATCTGTGAGATGAAATCATAGCTATACTTCATAACTTTGGTTTTATGATAAAACAAAATGTTGAAGTCGGCATGACCCCCAAAAAAACTCTTGGATGTTCTAGTTGTCAATTTATGGCCTCTCCACTCCAAATCCACCCTTCATGGCCTTGTTTGGGATGCTGGAGCTTGACCCTGTGGACGTTTCTCCTCTGATGGGGAGCACAGTGTGGAGCTTTGTCACAGAGGGGGCTGCAGGGACACTGAGGGAGGAGTTCTGGTTCTGGTGTGCTTTCTTCCATGTTGCTCATGCAGTGCTCAGCCAGCATGTAGGATACCCTGGGGAATTCACCCTGGTGGACTAACTAGTATCCTCACAGCTGGTATCCAGAAAATTCTGCCAGAGCTCCACCCAGCTTCCTAGCAAGTACAAAACTTCCACCAGCAGCTTCTCAATGAGCTGACCAGTGCCCTACCTGGACCCCAGAGGATGACCCTAGGTGAGTTTCATCAGCACCTCACTGAACTTCTCTGCTAGCCAGAGGACTGCAGCACTACCCCCTTCAATGAGGTCTGAATCTCCATTTGGGGAGGAGGGGAGAGGGCCCTTTTCCAAATATGTTCTTTTCTTGGGTAGTCTGACTCAGTCTTATGTAGTGGCTACTCCTTGTATCTGCTATTCCCATAATTTGGGGAGTTCTTTTAATCCTTTATAGTAGTTTATCTTCTAGTTAATACTACTAGTTAATAATTCTTTATATTAAGCTTTCTTTGTTCAAATTACTATACAATTTTTGCCTCCTGACTGGACCTTAATTGATACGCTGATATCCAATAGAAATGTACAAAAGATATGTACAAGATATTTCACAGTAGCACTATTAATAATAGCCAAATTGTCCATCACCAGAGAACAAATAAGTTGTCGTATATTCATACAAGGAAATGTTATGCAGCAGTAAGAATAAATGAGCTACAAATACACAAAGAAATGTAGCTGAACTGACAACATAATGTTGAGAAAAAAAAAAGAAGAAACAAAAGAAATATACTGCATGATTCCATTTATGTAAAGTGCAAAAGCAGACCAAACTTATCTTTGGTGCTAGAAAGTCAGAATAGTGCTTGCCCTTGGAGGGGGTTAGTGATTGGAATGGGGCACAGGAGCTGCTGGAATGCTGGTACTCATTTATTTCCTAACCTGAGTATTGGTTATACACCACTGTTCATGCAAATTCACTGAGCAGTACATTTTTGATGTTTACATTGTTAAAATTAGTCAAGCTGAAAAATATCATGTATTCATGAGGTGTGAATTATTTGACTACTTCAAGCTGATTCATTCAGTCATTGAATAGAAGGTATATGCACATATTATGTACCAGTCACCATGTAAGATGCTGAGGATCTAGAGATAAATTAGTTATTTGTGGATTCTGTTCATCAAAGGCTTAGTCTAGAGGGGGAGACCAACATGAAAACAGATAACTACAGTGCAACATGATTAATGGATTAGTGGGGGTATGGAGGAGTGCTGGAGGTATAGAGAAGGGAGCCATGAATGGTTCATTGAAAAGCAGCCAGGAGCAGTAGCTCATCCCTGTAATCCCTGCAATCCCTGCATTTTGGGAGGCTGAGGCAGGTGGATCACCTGAGGTCAGGAGTTCGAAACCAGCCTGGCCAACATGGTGAAACCCCGTATCTACTAAAAATACAGAATATATATATATTCTGTATATATATATATATATATATATATATATATATATATATATATATGCCAGGTGTGGTGGTGAGCACCTGTAATCCCAGCTACTCAGGAGGCCAAGGCAGGAGAATCGCTTGAACTCGGGAGGCAGAGGTTGCAGTGAGCCGAGATCGTGCCATTGCACTCCAGCCTGGGCAACAAGGGCAAAACTCCCCCTCCAAAAAAAAAAAAAAAAAGGAAAGAAAAGCTACACACAGAAAAGTGACATCTTAGCACAGCACCTTCCTCCTGCACAATATAGAGGTATCCACTGACTCTACTGTCCTCTCTGGCCACCGTAAAAAGATGAACAGGAGTTGGCTAAAGAGAAAAGGATATTCCAAGCAGACAGAACAGCGTATGCACAGATAAGAATTTTGAAAGTTACTGTAAACTCAGGGAAGAGAGTGAGTTTATGTGGGTGGAGCCCAGGTAACCCTAGGGAGAGTGACACAAGGTAAAACCAAAGAGGTAAACTAAGGCTTGATTGTGATGTTTATATGCCTTCTACTAAGCGTGGCTTTTACACAAGGAATCAAGAACATTGTATATAGCTAGACTTCAAAGACGTCCCTCCCACACAGACACAACTGATGATTTTGTTAGTTTTCTCCCACAGTGAATCAGGCTTGGTCCTATGGAATCAATAGAATGTGGTACAAGTGGCACTGTGTGACTTCAGAAGCCACGACGGCTTCTGACTTAATATCTTGGAATGCTTGTTCCAGGGGAAACAAGTTACCATTTAAGAATTCCAACTATCCTGAATCCACCATGTTGTGAGCAAGCACAGCCTAAGAGACACCATGTCAAGAGACTTGCTCCTGCCATCTCGGGGATCAACCCTTTCAAGCCTTCAGGGAACTCCAACCCCAGCCTACATCTGACTGCAACTGCATGAGAACCCCAAGAGGACAGAGCAGCTGTGTGCTGGGCACAGTCAGCACACAGAACCTGAGTGAGAAATACAGTGTGTGGGTTTTTTTATTTGTTTGTTTTGCTTTGAATCACTACAGTTTGGGGTGGTTTGTTATGTCGTACTACACAATTAGAAAAGACATCTTAGAATAGCAATGGGACATGAAGATTTTGGGTTTGTTTTTGGAATCAGCCTGGAGGCAGCAGGGAGGATGGGTTAAAGAACACAGAGGCTGAAGGCACCAAGATGTTAGGAGGCCTTTACGGGAGAAGAAGTGGATGTCAATGGGAATGGACAAGAAAGGCTGGAATCTAGAGATACTTGTGAGGTGGAACCGATGGGATATAAAGAGCAAATAAATGTGCAGTGGAAAAAAGAGGAAGACCGAAAACTTTCAGGTTTTTCCCAAAGAGAAGAAGTAGAGTACAATGTTCTTAATAGAAATAAAGGCCTATTAGGGAGGGTAGGTAATGAAATGTGTATGCCCTAATGGTGAGGGGTTTACAGGGAAACATTAGTGAACATTCCAAAGACACTGGAAATTTTGATTAAGGACACAAGGGAGATGGGGGCTGTACATAGACACACACGCAGGATCACTATTCCATATGGCAGTGGTGGAAGTTCCAGAGGTGAAATCGCCAAGAGAACATGTGCAGGGCAATGAGAGGAGGGAATAAATGATGGAACTCTGAAAGGAGAACCCAGTGGTCAGAGGAGGAGAGCCCATTAAGGAAACTGGAAAGCGTAAGTCAGAGAAGTCAAAAGAGAAACAGGAGACTCATGTCTTATAAACAGAGGGACAAGAGAATGTCAAGAAATATTGGGTTTTCATTGTAAAAAGCCACTGCCAGATCAAGTAAGGTGAGACTGTGTTATATGGTTTTCACAATTAAGAAGTCATCACGGCTCTCAACAGGACTGCTTTTAATACCCTGGCATTGATCAGAGTAGTTTAAGAAGCTGATTGGAGATTTAACAAGTAGAGACTACGAATGTAGATTACTCTTTAAAGAGAGTTGATGGTAAAATGAGGGAGGAAGAAAGATAAGTTAGTTTCTTTGAGCATGATTTTGGTCTGAGAACAGGTTTGCTAGCAAGAGTTCTCTGAGCAAATGAGAGGGGAGGATAGAGAGGTCTTCAGAGTTAATGATTTTACAGGCTTCTGCTCTCCAAGTGCAGTCAACAGGTCAGTAGCACCAGCATCACCTGGGAGCTACTTAGAAATGCAGAATCTCAGGCCATGCTGCAGGCCTAGTGAATCAGAATCTGCATTTTAACAAGATCCCCAAGTGATTAACATGCACATTAAATTAATACTCACTGCAGTAGGTGAAGACAGAAATGTGGAGGAAGGAAGAAAGATACAGAACTCTTGCAAATATTACAGTACTCAGGCCATTTTTTTCTTGTGCAATCACTTAGACATGCTTGGGTTTTTATCTGAGATGTAATGAGAAATGTTTAGAACATCCTTTAAGGGCTTCCAAATTAGTGGCATATATGGAAAATGAAGGTCTGTGTGAAGAGAAATCACCTCTAATGAAATCCAGATGAAAATCCAGACCAGCTTCCTGTTGGCAGGATTATTGATAGTGGAGGTGGAGATATTATCATTGCTTCAGCCTCACTCCCAGATAGTCCACTTTACTTGGTCTGAGGTAGAACTGGTACTATTATATACCTGTATATATACCAGTTATATATATATATATATGTGTGTGTGTATATATGTGTATATGAATATAACTGGTATATATACGTGTATATATGTATATATAATTCATTGTTTAATGTGCCAGCACTGTGCAAACTCAAGACGGGTGCTCATTAAATACTGAATTTCACAGGTAGTAGGCTTTCTATTTATGTTAGTTCTTCTTCCTACTCACCTTTTTAAGGCAGCAGTTCTCAAATTCTAGAATGCATTAGAATTAGAACGTGGAGTGCTTGTTAAAAATACAAGTTTCTAGAACCCATACACAAGGATTTTGACTTGGTAGGTCTAAAGCGAGACCCAATAATCTGCACTCGATAACGAGTACTTCAGATGATTCCAATGTGATCTCCCAGTCACGGACTGGGAAAAAAGCATTCCAAACTATTTTGTAGATCTCGAGAAAGACTTCAGAATGTTCGTGTCTCACAGGAAATAGCAAAAACAATATAGCATTCCAAAATCCTACCTAGCTTTGTACCGTGTACTTTGCTATTGCTGTTGGATTCAATTACAACGGAAATATTTGATGTGGTAAAATACTGAGCAGTGATGCTAACCTTTTATAGTAGACACTGGGAAGCAGAAAGGAAGTGTAAACACGTTTCCCTTAAAAACTAGTCTTGCTGGGTGGATAAAGTGTGCATACCTATTTTACAAATAAAGAATAGTGCCGCACTAGCTTATGTACGTAATATGTGCTTAACAAACATTTGTTCATTGAGTAAGTAAGAGTCAAGTCGAATGGCTCAGATTGTAAGTGCTATGAGAATTCCACTGTAAGAAGAGGGAAGTATGCCTTCTTTTCACCATTAAAGATCTGATTGCTGATATTGGCATTTTTGCCAGTAGAAGAGCCTGGACGTTGGCAGTTTTCAAAGCCCCCAGGTGATTTGACTGCGCAGCTAAGTTTGAGAACCACGGAGGTAAAGGAAGGGAGTACCTTAAAGAGCTAGGATTAGGGATAATATCAATAGATCACCTTTAAGGCTGCACCTCAGCCTAATTAAATCAGAATCGCTGGGGGTGGGACTTGGCTATCAGTCATCTTTAAAGCTCTCCAAGTGATTCCAATGTACAGACGTGGTTGAGAGCCATTGCTTTACTTGAATTCTCAGTGGTTCTTAATCCTGGCAGCATAATAGAGTCACCAAAGATACATATATATATATCAGTTCAGGAAGCAGAGTTGTTTCAGATGCTAGAACACCTCCAACGAGCAGTCACAGCTCTGTAGTTCTAGTGCCGCCGCTGCCAGCAAGTTTGTTGTGACCCTGGCGGCCGAGTTACTTTCAGCGCTCTGGGCGGTCTCGCAAGAAACACTGACGCTTTGGGACTTCATTTCCCAGCAAGACCCGCGGCCGCCTATCGCGCGAGTCATGCCGGGCACCTCGTCCCCCTGTCCTCTCTGGCGGAGCTGCCTGGCGGAAGCGGGAACGTCGCATCCTGAGGTAAAGGTGCACGGCATCCTGGGACATGTAGTCTGGCCGGGGCTCGGACGCCCCCTCGGATGAATGGGACCGAAGCTGACTGCGAACTACAGCTTCTTGGCAGCGTCGGTGTTGGCCGCGGGAGAAGGGGAGACCGCGGCGGCCCCCAGTGAGAGCGGCTTTCCAGGACGGTGCGATGTGCTGCGCAGCGAAGAGGCAGGAGGCCGGCTTCCTGGGGTAGCGGTACAGGCGGGCGCTTACTCTGTGCGCTTGCTTCCCCAACCCTGCACCGGCCATGCGCCCGGCCTTGGCGGTGGGCCTGGTGTTCGCAGGCTGCTGCAGTAACGTGATCTTCCTAGAGCTCCTGGCCCGGTGAGTGACCCGCTCGGGCCGCACCCGGTCTCCCGGGGCGGGGCGGAGGAAGCCAGAGGAGAGGTCCCCCCGGGACGCGCCCACGCCCTGTCCCCACCCCGCCGCCCACGGAGCCCGGGGCAGGACGGCCTGAGCCCCCCAGCAATCCGTCCTGTCTGGGCAGCCTGGGACCCCGCTGAGTCCGCTGCTTCCCAAAACTGCGCACCGGCGGCAGTCCCGCCTAACAGTTTCAAAGCATTCCTGCGAGGGGAAGACTCAGGGTGTTGCTGTCGTCACCCCTTTTCCACACTCGGGGGGTATTGAAGTCTGAAGAGTTTTTCACATGACCAGTCCAAGGTCGGCAGAGAGCTAGTGTCAGAACCAAGGTTCCTTCACCAAACCACTCTCTCTTCCTTCCCATCCAACTCTAGCTCTTTTTTCGATCCTGTTAAATGGCACAGGCTGGACTTGAGCAAAGGTTTTTGACTTGTAAAGCAGTCTGACTTTGTACATACTGCAAAGAAAGTTTTATTTTTATTACGGCATCCTGCAAAGCATTTGCTTTATTGGCCTTGGAAATGGTTATGAGTACTTTGCCCAAACATACATAAATGATGCGGTAGAACAGATTTTTATGTAGAAGATCAGTCCACGTGACCCGAGAGTGCTCTTTGAGGTGGCTTGCAAAAAGACAAAAAAAAAAGCAAGTAGAAGATTGGTCCAAGTGACCTGAGAGGGCTCTTTGAGGTCACTTTGAATGTGCAAAGTTCAGTGGATAGAAGCTATAACAGAAGAGACAACAGGTGGTGTGGAAAAGCCTCCAGGACTAAAAAGCTGGGTTGTGAATTTCACTCTTGGCTCCGTCGTCCACTGGCTGTGTAGCCCTTCAAGTCACTTAGCCTCTCTTGGGCTCCTTTTCCTGGCAGTAAAACAATACCTATAGTGTTCTCTAGCTCGTGTTTCTGAATCTATACATTACAAGTTGAGTATCCTTCATTTGAAATGCTTGGGAACGGGTGTTATTTGGTGTTTTTTGTTTTTTGTTTTTTTTTTGGATTTGGGAGTATTTGCATATACATAATGAGATATTTTACGGATGGTACCCAAATCTAAACACAAACTCATTTGTGTTTCTTATACACCTTATACACATAACCTTAGCTTGAAGGTAATTGTATACAATATTTTTAATAATTTGTACATGAATTAAAGTTTGTATACGTTGAACTATCAGAAAGCAAAGGTGTCAGGTGTGGAATTTTCACTTGTGGCATCATATCAGTGCTCAAAAAGTTTCATATTTTTTAGAGCATTTCAGAGTTCAGATTTTCAGATGAGAGATACTCAACTTGTATCTCTGTTGATCATCCGAACAATCCTGTGCAGAAGATTGGTCAAGAATTATAAACTGTTTTACTGAAGTGGAAATGGTCCAAAGAAGTTAGGTGACCCTTCACTACTTGTAAGTGGCAGAGCCAGAAATGGGACCCAAGATATCTAAGCTCCTAGTCCAATACCTTTTTCAACCTCCCTGCCAGTTTTGAACTTGAGCAGCCCATAGATTTTGGTCATCCAGTTCTTCATGTGGTGCCTACTAGAAGTTTATTTTATTTGATATCATTGATTAAATCATCCCAAAGCAACCAGTTTACTTAAGGTAAACTCTGTGTGGGGTTAAGTTTTGCTGTTACGGAGCTTGACATTTTATTGTACAGAAAGTGTTGATAAAGATCTGTTATTTGACTTGGGAATAGGTGATGAGGGATAAAAAATGAAAAAAAAATTGTATCCAACTGTAAATCTGATACACTTTTAAAGGAAGGCCACTTTGGCAACAATTGATTTGAAAATATAAAAAAGTTGGCCAGGCATGGTGGCTCACACCTGTAATCCCAGCACTTTGGGAGTCCGAGGTGGGTGGATCACGAGGTCAGGGGTTCAAGACCAGCCTGGCCAATATGGTAAGACCCCGTCTCTACTAAAGATACAAAAATTAGCTGGGCCTGGTGGTGGACACCTGTAATCCCAGCTACTCAGGAGGCTGAGGCAGGATAATCGTTAGAACCCGGGAGGTGGAGGTTGCAGTGAGCCGAGATAGCACCATTGCACTCCAGCCTGGGCAACAGTGCAAGACTACGTCTCAAAAAATAAAAAAAGAAAATATAAAAAAGTGATACCATCGGGCCAGCCATGGAAATGAAAGTCAGGGAATAATGGTAATATTTGTGTTGAATATGCCATTAAATTAAATCTTGCCAAAGGCTGTATGACATGAGAATATGCAAGCAACTGAATCCCCTCTTTACTAGTTTGTGAGCCCTTGACTGAATTACTTGATCTCCCTGAGTCTGACCCAACTGTAAAAGGGGGTGATGGTGATGATGGTTCTACCAGCTTCACAGAGTTTTGAAGGATGAAGTGAGATGCGCATGTGAAGCCTAAAGCACACTTGTAGGGCTTCCCATTCTGTCCAACAATTTGGTTTCAATACAGATATATTTCTTTAATATATAAAAGAAAGATATATTTCTTTTTTATATATTTATGGTCCTACAAAGTCGTGGACAAATCTAATTTTATAAAATATTTTCATGCATTATAGGAGCTCCTATTTAAAATATTTTGAATAATTTGTAAATAAATCATCACTTATCTTTTTTTTGTAAATCTGCATTTTTTGCATAAAACAATGGGTTTTCATAAAGTGGTGAGGAGGTGCATTTATTAAAATAATCAGTGGTGCACCAGACTGAATAGAGCCTTTTCCTAAGACAAGTCTCCACTTCTTGTGTTACAGATCAATAAAATAAGAGCTAGTTGAACCAGATGGCCTTAAGGTTCTTTCTAGATATGGCCTTGGAATTTGTGACTTTATCTTGGGACATCACAGTGGAAGCCCCATAAATTTTTATAGCCTAGGAACTGTGCTTTTTATATTGGCTGGCTTGGAGCCAGTAGGTGCCCTAATAAGTAGCAAGTATAACACTAAATATAAATGCTAAGTGACTTGCAGGAAGAAGAGGACATTTTTAACCATTTTCCCCAAATTGGAAAACAAACTCAGGCTTTTCTTTCTGATTTTTATCCCTATGATTGGGACCAATAATAAAACACAATGCAGTGGACAGAGCAGATAGGTAGTAATGGACGAGTGCCTTGATATTCCTCCTTAGGGAGCTTACATTCTACCTTGGAAACAAGATATACACACACCAGCTAACTAACTAGGCAAGATATTATTGCTTGCCTTACACCAGAAAAACAATCTGAAACATTTTTTTTCCTATTTTATTTTTCATTCAAGTGCCTGATCTTGAATTAAATAGTTTCCTAAATTCAGCAAAAGAAATGCAAACGGCATAAACGATCTGCCCAATTCATTCTCTTCAAAGTTGCATTCTTTTTTAAATAAAAATTGGAATTTTTGCCAAGAGAATTCAAAGTAAGAGAAACTGTTTGCAGTTAGTGATTACAATTCCTGAGGAAGAGAGCTCAAGAAAACAAGATTAAGGGATCCAAGTTTTTACTCTGAAGTTTTAAAATGAATTATTCAAGTTAAAATAAATAATTCCATTGGTAGCTATACAACAGTGTGTTTCGAAAAGGCTTCATAAGTTGAGCTTTCAAAAATTAAATTATTTGAGTACATTAGGGAGATTTTTAAATTCTATAGAAATAGAAACAAAAAGTAGAATAGGGTTATTGCTGGACTGGGAAAAGGAAGAAATGGAAAGTGACTCAAAATGGGAATAGAGTATCTCTTGGGAGTGTCCTAACATTAGATAGTGGCAATTATTGCACAACTAAAAACCCATACTTAACCCCACTGAATTGTAATAATCATAATGCTAAGGGTAACCGCAAATGCCATTTATTTGCCGTTGACCGCTGGGAGACTTACCTGACGCAGTGCAATGGGACCCTCAGCGTCTTTAGAAATGGAATGAAATGGGCATATCAATACCCACCTCCATAAAATAAAAAGTATTAAGATGCCCTTTTTAAAAATCCTATAGCGAATACACATGTCATGTGAATCATTTTTTAAATCTCTTTTTATCTTTTGTAGAAATTATAAGATTCTAGATCACATTGGAACCCTCACATTCATTCTCTTGCTTGAGTAAAGGTGGGTCACTGACCCGAAAGTGAGAGCAGAAAGGTAAATGGGACATGGTCTGTCCCATCACCATCCCTGCTAAGGCACTGGCTTCTGACGTCCTCCTTCGCATCTGGCTCTCCCATATTGTCATCTTCTTGGGCAGGGATCCAGTCCCATTCAAGTTGGGGGCTCCCTGGAAGCAGCCACCTAACTCTACACATAATTGAGTCTTGATAATTGTTCTTTAGTTGACTTGGCCTAAACTTGTTAAAGAGAACATAGAAGGAAACTTTGAAGCCTCTTTTGGATTACCTCTTGTGCTTGGCACTTACATGTATTTTCTCATTGAATACTCACTACGACAGTGAAATCAGTTTCATTTTAGAGATGAGAAAACTTAGTCAACTGGAATGTCTTTTAAAGGCTGAAGACCTTTCAGCCTGCAAGATCCTAAATACTGGTCATCATATTTGCCTTTTTCACTCTGTGGCAGGCGCTGTGTTAAGTGCTTTTCAGGGATGGCTCATTTACTCTACAATAAATCAGAGATAGGCACTCATATGGTTTCCATTTTAAAGATAAAAACACTAGACTTAGATAAATTAATTCACTTCTGTCACATAGCAAGTGACAGAGCAACATATCGCATGTCGGTGTGTACTTTTAAGCACAGTGGAGCATAGTGGTTCTCAACCTTGTGTCAGCACCTGAGAACTACCTGTGCATTCACATATACAGCGACACATGCACTCACATACACTCTCAGCCCTTTCCCTGCACCTTGACTGGTATTTCTCCAACCTGGCTGCATGTGACAATCAAGTGGAAAGCTTTTAAAAGTACAGATTCCAGGGTCCTACCCCAGACTAATCAAATTAGAAGTGGGAGAGTGAGCCTCTTTGGGTAAATAGGTTTTTTTGTTGTTGTTGTTTGTTTTTGAGACAAGAGTCTTGCTTTGTCACCCAGGCTGGAGGGCAGTGGCATGATCTCGGCTCACTGCAACCTCCACCTCCCAGGTTCAAGTGATTCTCCTGCCTCAGCCTCCCGAGTAGCTGGGATTACAGGCATGCACCACCACATCTGGCTAATTTTTGTATTTTTAGTAGAGATGGGTTTCACCATGTTGGCCAAGCTGGTCTCGAACTCCTGACCTCAGGTGATCCACCTGCCTTAGCCTCCCAAAGTGCTGGGATTATAGGTGTGAGCCAGCCACCGTGCCGACCATTTGGGAAACAGGTTTTTAAAAAGCAGAGTAGGCTGGCCCGAGTTCCAAAGCACCGTGCTAGGAACCATCTAGAGTTAAAGTTCCTTCTGTCACTCATATTTAGGCTAATGGTTTTAATTAGGTCCTTGAATGAGGTAAATGTCTTACATGATTATTTATGGATTCCTGCATTTAGCCTTGTCCTTTGAACATAAGAAGTGCTAAAAGAGAACTTGTTGAATTGAATAGAAAGCAGTTTTCAAGGAAACCTTCATAGGCAGCAGAGCTTAAAGAGTAGCAACATTTCTGTTTCAGTTAGTAAGCCTAGTTCTGTAGAAGAATGGCTCATGCCTGTATTGTCTTATTTTTGTGCCTAATGGGTATATTTAAGGACTTGTATATCTTGGCATTGCTGTATAATACTAATACCAATGGAGAATGGAGTCATTTCTGGTAAGTAGCAGTATATTAATATGTAATAATACAATTACATACCTCTCACCAGCTTCAGGTAAATGCCTTTGGTCAAGATGAAAATACAGAGGCCGGGTGTGGTGGCTCACGCCTGTAATCCCAGCACTTTGGGAGGCCGAGGCAGGTGGATCGCAAGGTCAGGAGGTGGAGACCATCCTGGCTAACACAGTGAAACGCTGTCTCTACTGAAAAAAAACAAAAAAATTAGCCGGGCCTGGTGGCGGGCACCTGTAGTCCCAGCTCCTCGGGAGGCTGAGGCAGGAGAATGGCACGAACCCGGGAGGCGGAGCTTGCAGTGAGCCAAGATGGCACCACTGCACTCCAGCCTGGGCGACAGAGCGAGACTCTGTCTCAAAAAAAAAAAAAAAAGATGAAAACACAGAATACGAAGGCAGGTGAATATTGGTATTATAGGAAATCTGGAAGCTTCAGGAGAGCAAAGATAACTGCTCACTTTGTTCTTCTTCCAGCGATTGAGCAGAGCTGAATGGAAGACAAGCTCAAGAAAACCTGAACATTTTAAATGACTAGTTTTCAGAGTGCCTCAAGATGAATGTCAGGAGGAAGTTTTTAACTTTGTAAATTTGTTCCTAACAATCACTGTTGAATGTGGGGAATCTTCCCCAACTGTTTCACAGATCACTAAAGAGACTCTATTGAATTCCACAAACATTTTTTGAGTGCCTAATATATTCAAAACACTGGGTTAAGAGCTGTAGAGAATAGTAGACTACGGCAGTGTTTTTCAGTCTTTTGTTCATTATGCCTCCTCCAGAATACTTTTTAGACGTTGTTTTCTTAATCCCTCCCCTGCCATAGATATAGTGTGTACTGGTTCAGGTACTGTATGTATATTTGTACTTTATTGTTATAAAAAGAGTAAGATATCTCCCCCATCCCAAGAACCAATTTTGCCCCGTTGCTGGGCACCATTTAAAGTAATGTTCCTATCATCAACACTGGGTCCATTTTTCGTTTGACAGCAGTCTTGGTGATTCCTGGTCAGGAGGGATATATAAACATTCCAGGAGACCTGAGCATATTTCTGTCCCTGGGCTTTGCTACCTAAGCTGACTGGGATCCTGATTAAAGACCTTTCTGGTGAAGCAAAGATCCCAATAAGAACATATGACCAATTTCCTGCAGTTTACTAGGAAAGCTGTATCGTAGTTCTGGGAACAAGTGTGTCGTCACAGTAATTCTCACTCATGGCCTGATACACGCAAGGAAGAGTTAAATAAGAAAGCTTGACATTCTTCTCTGTGAGATCAATGCTAAGTATATGTGATCCAAAGGCTATGAACATTGAGATAAAGGACAGTGGGTAATTGAAATCCATCCACGCTGTTATTCTGGCCCTCTAATTAGAATGCATTTTAGTGTTCTGTATCTCAGTTTTTGTGCCTTCACCCCCTCTTTTATTATTCACTATACAGGAAGCATCCAGGATGTGGGAACATTGTGACATTTGCACAATTTTTATTTATTGCTGTGGAAGGCTTCCTCTTTGAAGCTGATTTGGGAAGGAAGCCACCAGCTATCCCAATAAGGTATGGTACATTAGAGTCTCTTTTAGCTTTTGGATTTTTTAAGAAAGTAAAGAGGTGGTACCTGTATAAAAGGAGGATGAGACATTCTTTTATAAGATTTATTTCAAAGATACCAGTAGAATAATAAGTCATTTTCTGAATTTAATATGTTGTGAAAATCCGGGGTACCTACTTCGAAAATAAAATTTCTGCCACAAGATTTAAAATAACCATGATGGAGACAAGAGTGTGTATGTGTGTGTGTTCTTATTTAGTATAGGATTAGTCAGAAGGCCTAGTGTGACCACAAATTTTGTGCTGTCTTCTGTGTTGGTGAAGTTATCAAACATTCTAAAAGGGGAGTATCCTTGTTTCTTTTTAAAAACGAATGGCTTTTGGAAATAAATAGAGGTAGTAGTTACATAACTTTGTGAATGTACTAAATGCCACGGAATTGTTCACTTTAAAATGGTTAATTTTATGTTATGTGAATTTCACCTCAATTAAAAGAAAATGAATGGCAAGCAAAGTCAAAATTTGTTGATGCCAGACCTGTAGTACATTAGTCCAAATGTGCATAATTGTACTCATGGGGCCAAATAGAAAACAGGGCAGTTCTTATGTTAAACAGTGTATTGAAAACTCAGCCTTCTTGCTGAGAGTGACTTGAGATAAAAGTGTAATCCATCCAGTTGTGAGTATTTAGTAGGATGATGTCACTTACTCCCGTTTAGAGCGACATTCTGGTGTGAATATATCCAAGTATGAAGGCAAAGGCCCATCTTTGTTGGTTTTCTTTTGCAGCATTCTTACGTAGCCTGCTATAGAAAATCTGGCTGAATTTTGTTAATATTATACTTTTAAAGTTCCCAGTGCGATGCTAAATATTCCAGATACTTTTAGTTTTTCATTTGCTTTAGTATCTGCATAAAACTTTCTGCCCCTAAAGACCAGCATTTATATTGCAGTAAAAGCCCCAGCATTTCTTGACTCCTCTGGCCCTTTCCTGCCTCTTCCCACTATCTCTCCCCATTCTCTCCACCACTAGCATAGATCAGGAAGTATACCCTGTCACCATATCTTTTATAATAGCATCCTAGCTGGCTGACTTCCCTGCCTCCCACCTCTTCATCCATCAATTTCACTTAATATCGTTTTATCATGTCGCCCCACTCTGTGGTTACCACGATGTTCTGAATGATGTCCAGACTCCCCATCCTGCCCTTTGAGGGTCTCTGTGATCTTGCCCTCATAACCATATTCTCATGCATGTCCTATGTGTGTTGGCCATTTTATTTTCTGTAGGTGGAGCCATAAACAAAATTTTGCTCATGTCGTTCATCCCCATCCACAATTTCTAGGCAAGCAATGTGGAATAGTTAAATTAATTACCCTAAAAGACCTTGACAAACTCTGTAAATGGCACCTCTTCAAGGTAGAACTAAGAAAATTTGGCAAGAAACTTTGTAAAGTCGCTGATAGTATATTATTTAGAAGCTGTGAAGAAGCTGTTGCTGGTAATTTTGCATATGTGTTCATTGTCAAGTTCCTCAGACTTTCCAGACTATATTAATTCAGCCTTGGCTTGACTGCCTGTTGTGGTGTATGGCTCCACACCTAACTAGCAACGCAGAATCGGTTCTTTCAGGGAAGATCACTTAGGACTCAGTGCTGTCATATCCTTCAGATGTGCAAAGGTGGAAAATGGTTGGGAATCTCCAAGATCAACATTTCCTGAAGAATATGGAACCACTTATTTGCTTTTGCCCTGCATTCTTTAGCCATTTATTTTAAATGCTGTTTTTTTCTCTTACTCAATATAGGAAGTTGAGTCATATGAAATTTCTGACATTCAACTCTTTTTGACCTATAAAAACGGCAATTTTATATGGTTTGGCCCAATATATGTAGAAGGCATCTTATGTATTTTCTGAATCACAGTGATGACATACAAATGTAAAATTATTTGTTTAATCCATCTGTTCATAATAATTCATTTGTATTTATCCCTTTAAGTTATTAGGGTTACTGGATTTTTTTTTTTTTTTAGTTTTTGTTTCTATTATTTTAAGACCTATAAACTTTCAAAAAACAGAGACCCTGATTTTAAATAAAAATCTGTACAAGTCAAACCATGTCCTCATTAATTTGGAGGCCACTAGTTCAGAATGCGGGAGAATTTTAGCAGCTGCTAGGCTGAAAATAATCCTTAACTTAGCAAATACTTTCTTTAGAAACAGCGAAAATTAACAGTACAAACAAGTGTATAGAGGAGGTATTTGAGAAAATCAGCCATTTTCAAGTTCTTCAGAGGTATATGAAAATTATTTACAAAGAATCAATACAATCATTTTAAGTTGCTATGTATACTTGAAAATTTTTAAATAGTGTTTCTTTAAATGTATTTTATAACTTAGATTTTCCCATGTTAGTCTGGCTTTGTGAAGCGTTTTGATATGTACTTAGTAGTTGACATGGCATAATAGTGATGCAATCTTGCAACGCAGAGGAAACAGGCAAAATGCCTTTTTAGCCAAAAATATATATTTCCTATACTTGATTTTCTTGAAATCCTAGATTCTGTTTGATGAGCTGTTCTGTCTGCATTTCAGGTACTATGCCATAATGGTGACCATGTTCTTCACCGTGAGCGTGGTGAACAACTATGCCCTGAATCTCAACATTGCCATGCCCCTGCATATGATATTTAGATCCGTAAGTGCTGCCGGATCACGTGTATATGTTCCTCTGAAAAGTATAGTTAAGTAGATCGATTGAATATATGGCAGAACTAGAAGGTTCTTGTAGTAAGTGGTCTTGGGTAGAAGAATAGGTTTGTGAATGCGTGAGCAAGGGTGGCTTTCATCTGAGAAGGCAAAAAGAGAAATCTCAAAGTGGATGGTTTACTTTTATTCTTCTGAGGTCTAATGAGTGATTAATAAAAAGAAAATTAAATTTTCCCTAGGAAACAGATTTTACCTTCATTTTCCCTCATCTCTTTGATTTTATATTCAAACATGCTATTAATGTTATTTAACTTATTTCTTATCTCTTCTTCTTTCATAAAAGTACATTTACTTCTAGAACATGAAAGAGATACTTGTCTTTTCTGATTTTTTTTTTTTTTTTTAAGCAGAGACTTGAGATAATAAAGGGAAATTCTTGATGAAGGTAGGGTTTCTCCCAAAGCACTCCAGGCAAAAAAGGCTGATAATTGTGGTGATAACATTTCCATGTGGTCTGAGATTTTTGTGAGATTGTACTGTTCCTGAAGGGAGTTTCCAAAGCAATTATAATAAGGTGACCTTCAAAGCATTGAAAACATAGTGGACTTTCAATAAACACCTGTTGATTGATTGTCACCTTTTTAGAGAACAGAGAGATCCTTGCATGACTTTTTCCATTAAAACTGGTCAGGGGCTGTGCACAGTGGTTCAGGCCTGTAATCCCAGCACTTTGGGAGGCTGAGGTGGGTGGATCACCTGAGGTTGGGAGTTCGAGACCAGCCTGATCAACATGGGAAACCCCATCTCTACTAAAAATACAAAATTAGCTGGGCGTGGTGGCACACGCCTGTAATCCCAGCTACTCGGGAGGCTGAGGCAGGAGAATCGCTTGAACCTGGGAGGCAGAGGTTGTGGTGAGCCAAGATCGCAACATTGCACTCCAGCCTGGGCAACAAGAGCAAAACTCCGTCTGAGGGAAGAAAAAACTGGTCGGGGGTAGAAGGTGCAGGTAATGGGGAGAAACTTATTAAAAGCTCTTATAAATTAGGTGATGGAAATTTTGACAAAAATAAGTCTGTGATATCATTTATTCGTGCTAGCCCTGGCTTCAGCACTGAGCAATTACAGTTGACCCTTGAACAACATGGGTTTAAACCACGTGGGTCCACAAATATGCAAATTTTTTTCAAACAAATATGAAAATACAGTATTCACGGGATGCAAAACATGCCTATAAGGAGGGCTGATAATGACTATATTGAGAATTGATCCTTTTTATTCTCATTGTCATCTTTAAAAGGTTTTTTAAATATATATATATATACGTATATTTTTGGAGACGGAGTTTCGCTCTTGTTGCCCAGGCTGGAGGTGCAATGGCGCGATCTTGGCTCACTGCAACCTCCACTTCCCGGGTTCAAGGGATTCTCCTGCCTCAGCCTCCCAAGTAGCTGGAATTACAGGCAACTGCCACCACGCCCAGCTAAGTTTCGTATTTTTTAGTAGAGACAGAGTTTCACCATGTTGGCCGGGCTGGTCTCAAGCTCCTGACCTCAGGTGATCCGCCCACCTCGGCTTCTCAAAGTGCTGGGATTACGGGCGTGAGCCACCGCGCCCGGCCATCATAGTAGATTTTTATGGTTTATACTTTTGCCATCATAAGAACAACTAAATCTTTACTAATTATTCATCCTAGCTTCCTTCATTCCATGTTTTTTCCCCTTGCCCATGTTCCTATTCTCTCGAATTACGTTGTTTTTTTCCTAGTGCACTAAACCTCTCTGTTACTGTTGTCTCCTTTTGCAGGGTTCTCTAATTGCCAACATGATTCTAGGAATTATCATTTTGAAGAAAAGGTAAACAATACACTTCTGTATTTTGTGTATGGAAATGATACCCTGAGCCCCTGTCCATAAGCTAGTCACCTGGATTCCTTGTCCCAAAATAGTGATAAGTTTGCTTCTGGCCATCTACCTCTTTTCTTAGTTCTTTACCAGTGAGGCCCAATCATGCAATGTCCTGAAGCAGCTGATCAGGTAAGAGGCCACACCTGTGGTGTCTCTGTGTCGAACTGAATAGCTCTTGGCATCACTGAATTTTAGTGTCATACTAACCTGCGAAGCCAACTTACAAAGATGATAGAGAGGTTCACTGTGCAGTATGGTCACCACTAGCCACGTGTGACTATTTACATTTTTCAAAATTAAAGAAAATTAAATATTTAGTGTCTCAGTTTCATTAGTCACGTACATTTTTTTTTCTTTTTTTTGGAGACGAGGTCTCACTCTGTCATCCTGGTTGGAATACAGTGGTGTGATCTCGGCTCACTGCAGCCTCCACCTCCCAGGTTCAAGTGATCCTCCCACCTCAGCCTCCCAAGTAGCTGGGACCAAAGGCATGTGCCACCATGCCCGGCTAACTTTTTTGTATTTTTGGTAGAGATTGGGTTTCGCCATGTTGTCCCCGCTGGTCTCAAACTCCTAGTCACATTTTCAGTGCTCAGTAGACTCACAGAGCTGGTAGTGACCACGTTGGAGAGCCCAGATGTGGAACATTTCTAACATCTCAGAAATTCCATGGGATACTTCTGCCCTAGAAGATGCTTATCAGTACAGCATAGCAAACTAAGGAATGGTTGTACATATTAAAAAGGAAATTCCTAAAAAGGCCCAAATAGCCAAGAAGATGGAATGAAAGGTTCAGGACTGTTCTTTGTGACCATCACCAATGGCTCTCTTTGGGACAGGAGCAGGGGGGACAGGAGCAGGAAATACCAGAAGTACCTGGGATGCTTTTTCAAAGTTTTTGTCTGTCACCTTCATTCTGAGGTTCACCCCTCACTCCTAAGGAGGAAGGATGTTAGCAAGAGACAACACATACAGTTTGGGAAATTTATCAGGGAAAGTTCACTGTTAAGACCAAAATTATACAAGTTGATGGCAGCGTTTCAATGTATTTGATATCCAGCCCCAAGCTCTCTATACATGCTTGGAAAGTAGCTGTAAATTCAGAATGTGAGAACCTAGAGTTTTTAAGTATTAAGGGCTGTGTCATAAAAAGAACAATTGTCCTGTCCTACTAGGCTTCATATCATGGACCGTTTATCTCCTGAGGCTTATGAATTCCCTGAAAAGTACTACTGTAGTTGATTTCTTTCTTCTTGGTTCTCTGCATTTAAACATATATATATATATACATATGATGGTCAGGTTTATTACATTTGAAGTGATCATCATGCTTCTTATAGTGTGGAATTCGCCTTGGGACAGGCCTGTGCTCTTTCCCAACCTTTGATTCTGGCTCATGACAAGGATACAAAAGAACATGTTATAAGAGAAATTGTATTCTCCTGATAGTGCCCCAAAATGTTACGGGTCTTTCTCAAGCATCTGTTGCCCTTAAGAACTTGTTCTGAGTGTGTCATCTTGCATCTATCTAAGCCTTTTGACTCTCTTTTCTGTGTGTATCTCTTTCCCATTGAGCAGGAATTTCCATAAGTTAACTTTCCAACAGAGTAAATTAGTAACTTCTTATCTCCTTTTATCTTGGGTAGAAGCCCCTCAAGTTCATAGTGTGCTCCTCATTCCAGGATTTGAATATCAAATTTATATTCACCTTACCCATGCCTTTATTATTATTTTTGGCCTCAGTTGTAAACCTCTTCAGCGTGATCTTTGCAGACTGAAGAGGTTCATTATTTTTTACCGTACCTCCGCTCGTACCTGCTTCCTCCCCAACCGCTCTCTAGCGTGGTCCTCTTGGCCCTTTTAGTCCCTTTCTCTGCCCATTAGCTAGTTCTGCTGGCCTTTTATGAGGTACTGTGACCAGGACAATACTATGTATTTGAGTAGAAAACCTGGGATGGTTCATCTTCTTAATTTCTTTTAATCCTTGCCTGAGGCCTTTTGCTTGATCACCAAAAATCTGAGAGGGTGCTAATGATACTAGCTAATGTGAAATGCTACTGTTATTACAGCCCATAGTTCTATAATCTGAATATCCTCCCCCTTATCCAACTATGCCAACATTTTAAAACAATGTTAAGTCATTCAGAGATTTAAAAAAAACAAGCCTCCCCCAGAGAATGGATGATTGGATTATTTTCTGAGCATTGAATCCTGCTGCTTGCACCTGATAGCCTGTTTTTCCACTCGCACAGTGTGTCTTAGGACACAGATTTGGTCCCCCTAAAGACAGGAAAAGCAACAGATCCTAGTAAGGACTGGGTCAGCCTTTCATCTGGACTCTTGAGAGCAGAATGCAACATCACATCTGGTCTATTTCTGTTTTTGTCTCCTGATGAAATAATCGATTGGTCAGCAAATTGTTGGAGACAGACTAAACAGTACTAAGGAAAAGTGTTGGTTAGAAACTAGTCAGTATCCTGATTCATTCATATGCATACTTCTGTGGACTCTGCTGGAAAGTAATCCTGTCTGTCATACTTTAGTGATTTGTACTTTCATGCACCATCTGACTGTAAATATCACTGGGAAATTCATATCTGTGCTTTCCTAAGGTGTTTTTCTTCTTTTTTTTCTTTTTTGCAGATACAGTATATTCAAATATACCTCCATTGCCCTGGTGTCTGTGGGGATATTTATTTGCACTTTTATGTCAGCAAAGCAGGTGGTAAGAAGCTCACAAATTATTTTATGTTCACTACTTGCTATTGGGGCCCAGTTACCAGGCAATTAATACAATTCAAATTTTTATGTAATACAAAGATTTTGAAAGAGAAGAGGGGAGGGAAATGGGTAACATAAATGTTTCCCTTGTATGTCGGCACCTTGCACGTAGTTCTGCTCTCTGTACCTAGTTTATTTTCTTATTTCCTAGACTTCCCAGTCCAGCTTGAGTGAGAATGATGGATTCCAGGCATTTGTGTGGTGGTTACTAGGCAAGTACAATAATTATAATAAAGCTAATTGCCTCTGCAGTTGTGTTTGCTGAGTTTTCTCCTAAGAGAAATGTTTCTTGGCAAGAAGCTTCAGCTAAACAAATTATGCCATGGAAGAGAGGCACCTGGGATCATATTTCTCTGAGCCTTAGCGTTCAAGAAATGAAAAAAAGAAAATGCCCCCACATTCATGGCAGTATGTTCTACAACATGGATCCATGTTTTTCTTGGTTGCCACTGGTGTAGAAAGAAAAGTGTGTGTCTACTTGCACATCACATCCTTTGAATGTCATCCGTCTCTTCACGATCTGTCTGCCAAGTTGAAGCTTCTGCAAGAGGGCACGTTAGAGCAATTGACTCTTTAAATTTCCGAGGGACTCATTTCTAAAGACTTATTTTCTTCAGAGGTTAGCTGTTCCATATGGCAGTGTTCCCAAACCTGACTGATTATCAGAATCTCCTGGGGAATTTTTAAAAATACAAGGATCTCTGTGGAATTAAATAGGCAGCTCCTGTAGAGCTTTGTTCTCACATTTTTTGATATGGAGCTGAGACTCGTTCCAAGGGCTTTCAATGACAACAATAACGGATTGAGACTGACCAATTGGAAGAGAAATAGCAGTGAAAGAACTGTGTTCTCCTTGCTTCTTGGCTTTGAGACTTTATCCCTTGTTGCTGTTTGTAACATAGAAAGATCCTTATGTGCTATTAGAAAAATACTCCAGAAGAAAAATTTGCAAAGGATATGAACATATAGTTCATGGGGGAAATAGTAGCACCCAACAATTTTAGGTTCAGCCTCACTAGTCTAGTAATCAGAGAAATGCAAATGAAACCCATGCAATACCTTTTTATGTTGGCCTATCATACTGGCAAGATGATAAATGGTTATCTCATTGCTGCTGAGGGTACAGTAAAACAACTATTTTTATATAATAAAAATAGTTTGGGTATAAATGGACACAGCATTTATGGAAAAATATTGTGTATTGTATTTTTTAAATGTCCACAGCCTTTGACTCAGTAATTCCACTTATGAGGGTTTATCCTAAAATATATCAACATTTGTTTAAAGATTTGTATACAAGGATGTACATTGATTTTAATAATGAAATAATTGGAAATAACCATCCTCATACATTTAAGTGTGCTACATCCATATCATAGTCATTAAAAGCATTCTATTTAAAAAATTTTAATGACTGATTTGAAGCAAAATTCCAGGCAAAAGCTCATGAAAAAAGCAAGATATAAAATTCCATATGCAATCTGATCCTGTCTTAGTGTAAAAAAATTTACATAAATGAATATATAAGAAGATGTAGAAAGCTGTAAAGGACTAGATGGTAATAATGTATTTTTATTTCTTTTTACAGTTTTGTACATGTTCTACAATTAGTTCATAATATTTGCAGGACTTTAAACAATAATGTTCTTCAAGAAAAACATCTGGAAATGAACAAATGCAGACATCTTGTCACCTGATGTTTGTTTTTTAGGTATTGGGGCATTGACTTTTGCTCTTCTGATGTCAGCAAGGATGGGGATATTCCAAGAGACTCTCTACAAACGATTTGGGAAACACTCCAAGGAGGCTTTGTTTTATAATGTAAGCAACTTCCTGAACCTGGGAACGTGAAAATTCCTAAGTTGTAAAATGTTACTTCAAGTGAACTATTAATATTCTCTGATGTAGTTGAAGGTGTATTATTGGTAGATGGCTTTGAGACCCACAGACTGAAGCAGTTTTGATGGGATGCTCTGGTGGGTTCCAAGTCACAGTTCACTACATGAGATGATCACGATCAATCAAAGCAAATTAAATTGTGTCTGCATATTTAGCAAATCCTTTTGTGCAGAAAGACTATATGTTTAAATTTCTCCATTCCCTGTTGTTGAGGAAAGGATGCTGGCTCCATTGTTTGCTTTGTCTGTGATGGCCCTCAGACCCTATAAGGGCAAGAACCATAATTTGGGGGTTAATATCCTGCCATACAAGGTGAAGTGGTCAAGAAGCACTGTATACATTTAACTTAAGTCTAACTTGCTTTTCTTTGTATTGCTGTCAAACAACCTGTACGACTTTTAATCATTGTAAAGCTACTCTAATTATTCTATAATGTTTTTGCACTTACATTTATCTGACCTGTTTCTTTCCATAGCACGCCCTTCCACTTCCGGGTTTCGTCTTCTTGGCTTCTGATATTTATGACCATGCAGTTCTATTCAATAAGTCTGGTGAGTTTGGGGTTAGACAGTAGAATTACCTGACAGTTTCTGAGGCAGAGTCTCAGTTTTACTCTTGACTTGACCTCGGCCTTTTTCATAATCCTATTCAAATCATGTGTTCCTTTCGAAAATGTCTCCATTCCACTTTCCAGTCATTGCAGCAGCAAAAGCTTTTACAGGGGTTTCTCAATTATTTACAAATGAAGTAAAAGAATATCTTCGAGTTTTCCATTTTGCTTTGGAATTTGTGTGTTTGCATTTGAATGTGAAATGTTTGATGTTTTGAGAATGCAAATGAATACTTACAGCACACTGCAGAGACTGGAGCCCTGCGAAGTTGGGCAGCCGTCCAGCTCTCTCAACTGCTGTTTATCCTTCTCTGCCATGAAAGGCAGAGCTGCTCACAGATCCAGCCCAAGCTGCCATGGAGCAGAGCAAGAGGGGAGCTCAATGATGACAAGGTTTTTCTCCTAGTTACAGATGAGACAGGCAGCAGATGAATAAGCAAAATTAGTTTCAAGCGTCTAGTGTAAGTTAGCTGTTACTTTTTAAACTGGCCAGTTAATAAATTAGCTATAGATTGTCAGTTAACTTGAAAGGGATCACTTGTATGATCTGATTATCTACTAACAGAGTATAATATAGACACATTGAACACACAAGGAACAAATAAACGTTTTTAAAATCAAGGCTTTATGTTGCACACACCTCAAATGCTTAAGTGCATTTTGTAGAATGACAGTAGGTGCTCAGTAAACATTTGTTTGCTATCTGAGCATGAGTTGTGAAGTTATGACTATTCTCTGCATTTATAGTGTTGCCTCTCCCATTTGCCCCATCCCCCAAAAAATGTGAAGGTAGTGTGTAAGAGTTTGTAAGGCTCTGAATTACTCAAATAATCATTTCTTCATATTAACACAACAGTTTTTAAGATCTCTGAGAAGTCCCACGTAGCAAAGGGCTATTGAAATAAAAATGTTGTCAAATTCCATGTGATTGATTTAGTTGTTAGAATGCTGCTTCTAAAAATCACAGGGCTAGGTATTTATGATAAAATGTTTTACAGAATCTGCCTTCAACTTCTCCAGAATCATTTCCAAGTTAAAGATACATTTTCCTTCTCTTGCTTTCCTTGAGATTAAGTTTCTGAGATCCGTGAATTTTCCAAGAGAGCTAAATATCTGTCAAAATATTTTAAGTGATATTCATTGTCTCTTTCCTTCAGAGATTCAGTGTATCTCTGAAGTTATTAAAAAGTAATCACGTTTGTTAACTTCCTTTTCATTTCAATACTTGCTAAGGATATCAAAGATAATAGAATACCAGATTATTGGCATTGCCCACTGATCCAGAACTAAGTTTCAAAAATTAGTCTTTATGTGTATGCGTGTGTATGTATATATGAGACATTTTATTCGTGAAAGAAAATTAATATTTCTTACCAGATCTCAGCATCATTGTATCAGAATTTCTTAAATTATGCTGTATAATTCAAAACCTGAAAAAAATTTAGTAATACAAAAAAACTGAGCCATTGAGGATTTCTATGTCTGTATTCTCTTTCATCTTATTTCCTCCCACAAATTTACTGTGCAAGTGTCATTATATAAAGCTAACATAAGAGTGAGAGTGTGTGTGTGTATGTGTCTTTTAATAGAGACAGGACCTCCCTGTTGCCCAGAATGGTAGATTGGTCTCGAGCTCCTGGGCCCAAGGGATCCTCCTGCCTTGGCCTCCCAAAGTGCTAGGATTACAGGCGTGAGCCACTACTCCTGGCCTAAAACTAATGTAAGAATATATTTAAAGTTATTCACAGTTCCATCAACCTGGACATCTGCCAATTTTATTTTTATTGATTTTCTTCTAGACCATGTCTGTTTACAGAGATTCTTACATAGCTGTAATCCTTGTGTGGATATAATTTTATATTTGTTTTTTACTTTTTTTCTGAGTTTTTTTTATGTGGCTATAAAATCTCTATGATTTTTGTTTTTATCAAATGTACAATGCCTCCTCTAATGAAAGTGCCTTTGTTTATGTAGCCATTGCACCATCATTGGGCATTTGATTTTGATTCAGAGTTATTCTTTATTATGTATAGTACTTTAATGAGTGCAGAACCTTTTTCTTCCTTTGAATTAAACTAGGATTAATTCTGAAGGATGGGTAGGAATACTTTTATAGACCCTTAATAAGGATTATGAAATTGATTTTTTTAAAGAATGACGCCAAGTTATACTGCCACCAACCTGTGGCTGCCAGTTCCATTACCAACTTGCCAGATTAAGATATTATTTATACATTTTGAATTGGCTAGGCGCAGTGGCTCAAGCCTGTAGTCCCAGCATTTTGGGAGGCCAAGGCAGGCGAATCACTTGAAGTCAGGAGTTCAAGACCAGCCTGGCCAACATGGCGAAACCCCGTCTCTACTAAAAATACAAAAATGAGCCAGGTGTGGTGGTGTGTGCCTGTAGTCCCAGCTACTTGGGAGGCTGAGGCACAAGAACCACTTGAACCTGGGAGGCAGAGGTTGCAGTAAGCTGAGATCATGCCACTGCACTCCAGCCTGGATGACAGAGTGAGACTCTGTCTCAAAAATAAATTAATAAGTTTTGAATTGCTAATTTTGTAGCTATAAAATGGTACAGTCTTATTTACTTTGGAATTCTGTAATTACTAGTGTGATTGAACATACTTCCAAACAGTAGTTGCTAGCCGCCTTTCCTCTTGTGTTGAGTTGTTAAGGCTGTCTATATCATTTTATCATTTTCAACTTTTCTGTGCTTCACAGTCTTTCTTTGTAAAGTGAGGTACTATTCAGGCAAATGGTAAAACACTTCCTTAAAAATTAAAACTATTATTTGTTTTAAGAAACCAATTTAATGACTTTAGTGGCTGCTATAGCCTGGAGTCAAGGCAAGTAAAGTGATGCGTGATCCAATTCTATTTGCAAGGAAGACAATGTTGCTGTTCCTATTATGTTCAGTCTGTATTACCCTGTTCAAAAGATGAAAAATTCAGCTGTGAAAAAGCAATATGGCTATATCCTCTTGTAACCTCTACAGAGTTATATGAAATTCCCGTCATCGGAGTGACCCTGCCCATCATGTGGTTCTACCTCCTCATGAACATCATCACTCAGTATCCTTTGGACTGTGCCGTCACCCTTATGTCATCATCAGGTTCTTTTGGCACAGGAATGGTCATTCTTTTCTTCTAACAGTGTGTTGACTTGAATATGATTTTCGCTGGATTTATTCTGCGGTAAGCTGGAGACAGAGACCAATTCAGGGAACTCCTTGTAGAGGGCAGAAGAGATGCTAGTGGTGTAGTAGGTCAGTAAGGCACAGGGCAGCAGGAGGAAGTGCTCTGAGTGGAAGTGTAGGAGTCCATTGATTGATAGTGGCGGGTGTGGTGGCTCACGCCTGTAATCCCAGCACTTTAGGAGGCCGAGGCGGGCAGATCACTTGAGGTCAGGAGTTTGAGACCAGCCTGGCCAACATGGTGAAACCCCCTCTCTACAAAAATACAAAAGTAAGCCAGGCATGATGATGGGTGCCTATAATCCCAGCTACTCCATAGGCTGAGGCAGGAGAATCGCTTGAACCCAAGAGGTGGAGGTTGCAGTGAGCTGAGATCATGCCATTGCACTCCAGCCTGGACAACAGAGTGAGACTCCATCTCAAAAAACAAACAAAGAACTACTGTATAGCATAAATCATCTGTGATTTGTACCTGTGATTTTTTGGTGTCCTAAGATATTTCCAGTGATCACAAGCTGCTGCAAAGTCCTGAAAGAAATTTCAAATTACCAGCTACTTAGGAGGCTGAGGTGGGAGGATCGCTCAAGCCCAGGAGATCGAGGCTGCAGTGAGCTTGATCACTCCACTGCACTCTAGCTTGAGTAACAGAACAAGACCCTGTCTCAAAAAAAAAAAGAAATTTCAAAGTAATCAAGTTTTCGTTTTTTAAAATGGTTATTTCGAATGACCTTACTTTCATTATAAAAATAATTATGTCTTTGAAATAGTGAAACGAATCGAGATTGACCTCATTCCTCTGAAGTCAGCTCCTAGATTTGCCAGAGTCCCTTTCTGGAGGAGGGGATAGAAGGGCTGGAGGCAAGATAAATAAAGGTGAATGGGATCACCCTTACCGAGAGCGTCACCCTCTGTCATTATCTTGGAGGTGCCTGTCATTGTAACCATAGGAAGACTCCAACATAAGAATAATTGGGGGTTTTTTGGCGGTTTCAAATTGGTACCCATAAATGGAATGGCAGGACAGGAGTTGTTCTGCAGGTTCTCCCCAGGAGGAGCCTCAGAGCTGCCGTAGCGGACCTTCATGTTTTCTTAGAATATGAGAAGTTAAACCAGGGACCATGCCAGAAGGTTCTCTCACTGATCCCCCAAGTACAGTCTACAGAAAACTACCTTGACTCCACTCCTCCAGGTACGTGTGCATCCGGGGTGTGTTTATCCTCACCACAGAATGCGCCTCCCTCACCGTCACGCTCGTCGTGACCCTACGCAAATTTGTGAGCCTCATCTTTTCCATCTTGTACTTCCAGAACCCCTTCACCCTGTGGCACTGGCTGGGCACCTTGTTTGTCTTCATTGGGACCTTAATGTACACAGAGGTGTGGAACAACCTAGGGACCACAAAAAGTGAGCCTCAGAAGGACAGCAAGAAGAACTGAGGCCTGTCTGGAGTACGTAGACCAGTGTCGTCGTGAGGGTGGGACCCTGTGAAGGTCTGACCACCGTTTCGCTTTTGTTAATGCCGAGCTACCCGCAGTGCTGAGCCAGCCGTGCAAAAGGAAATCTTCAGGAGGGGACTTCTCACGTTGCTCAGACTGACACATGTAGACTAAATAGAAACCCCTCAGCCCTAAAATAGAAAAAAGAACAGTTCTGGACTATTGAACAGCCCATTCATTTATTTCTGTTTTGTTTACCGACATATTCAGTATTATTCTTGTTTTCTGAATTCTGAGTCTCCTGAACAAAAGGCTTACTATCCATGGTCTTGGAAAAGATTGTCCCTTCTCTTGCTGTTGTAATGCATCTCTGCTACAGCAGTCATTGTCATCCTGTGACCTTATCCCTTTTGTCTCCCATCACCTTTTCCTTCTTCAGCAGCACCTCACAGTCAGTCAGACGCTGCAGGCACCACTATCACCAGGAGTGGCCAAGTAAACCGAGACACCAGTAACAGCAGGGCTGGACTTCCTCCAGCGTTTTGGGAAGGAAAGAGATGTTCCCCTGAGCTGATTCCCAGTGACAGTGCAGCAAGACTAGTGGGACTCCTCTTTCCCACATTTTGCTTTTTTTTTTTTCTATGCAAAAGTCAGATGCTTCTATCCATTGCTTTCTGTGATTAGGGCGGCCCTGCAGCATATCTCACAGCAGACACAGTGTTCATAACAAAGAAAGGTTGTGCCGGGCACGGTGGCTCACACCTGTAATCCCAGCCCTTTGGGAGGCTGAGGTGGGTGTATCACTTGAGGTCAGGAGTTCAAGACCAATCTGGCCAACATGGTGAAACCCCATCTCTACTAAAAATACGAAAATTAGCTGGGTGTGATGGCGCATGCCTGTAATCCCAGCTACTTGGGAGGCTGAGGCAGGAGAATCACTTGAACCCGGGAGATGAAGGTTGCAGTGAGCTGAGGTCGTGCTACTGCACTCCCGCCTGGGTGACAGAGTGAGACTCTATCTCAAAAAAAAAAAAAAAAAAGAAAGGTTGTTATGGACTGGACACCCCTGAAGCCCATTGCCTAGGCCACAGTGGTGACGGCAGGATGGCCCTGCTCAGCACCGCAAGAGCCATGGCTGTCCCTGTTGGCCCAGCCGGGCACTCACAGGGCAGAAGGGTGGGTCTCAAGTGGGAGGATAAGGCTTCACCACCAGGAGATTCCCCTCTGCCCGATGACTCTGTTAAGAGTCACGACCCATCAAGGGAATGCATAGATGGAGATATATAGTGTGTGATGTGTAAATCAGGTCAAACCTCAACGACAATTGAAAGTTGTTATTGTCCTATGAGGTATCTTAGCATTCTCGATGGGTATTGAGGATGGTTGGATGTGCTTTATTGTGTGTGGAAACATGCCTCTCTTTGCTAATCATTTCAGAGGTCCAGTTTTCCTTTCACTGGACAATCTTGAATAGGAGGAACGCTGTTGCTGTAATATGCGTAGCTTCTGTGTGCTCTTGTGTAGTCTGTGTGTGATCAAAGGGCACGGAAGTGGCTGCACTTTCACATCCCTTTTCTTTACTTAGCTGGAACCTTACATACCAGTACATGCTCCTCTGTAAGCAGCTGAACTCACCGGCCACTTCTCTGTTTGCCTATAGACAAAGACTGTGTGTGTGTGTGTGTATGTATGTGTGTGTGTGTGGTGCACACATTGTGTTCTTAAACTGAGACGTGGCTCTGCAGGTCTCCTGGGCTCATTCCATGGTGTGGTATGTTTATTCCACTGTCCAGAGCTATTCTCTGATGGATTTGAGCAACAGCAGTGGAGATAAATGTCCTAGAGTCACCAGGTCGCTTGGAGAAGTCATTTAAGCTGCCTCGGGTTTTTGTTACTTAAAATGTGGATATTATTTCTCCACCTAAATCACTGAGTTTACAGAGTAATAATGTGTTGCTCTGGACATTGACAGCTTTCTAGAGCCAGTAATGGGCTCTTCTGAAGGATGCTGAATTAGAAGTGAACCTATTCATAGGATCAAAAGCCACTTGCTTTGAAATATGTAGAGTTCCTCAGAATTGACGGTGCTAGAAATATCCAAGTGTTAAATAACCTTTTAAAAGCAACAAAAGCTACTTTTTTCTTACCACTTAATAGAAGAACCTGTCCCTAGAGGCGACTTCATTGCTATGGATCTGGAGTCTCTGAACTCTTAATAGGATGCAGCCTCACATACATAATGTCACCCATTTTATGTTGATGAAAACATTACAAGTTTTCTTCATTGGGTATGTGTTGATGTTCACAGACAGTACTTGGGCCCATTAGGTTTTCGCGTCTGGTCTTAGAGCATGTGTATTCATCTCAGCGTGAATACCTCAGCCAGTCTTATGAATAGGAGGCTATGTATGGGCAGGGAATAGATTAGATTAGAACACTCGCACAAGATGACCACATATAGAAGCAGAAAGCCCCAAATTCCCTGGGAACTGTTTTTTCTCTAGTAGCTGAATATAAGGAAATATGTCTAATGGACACCAGTTAATACTTTTTAAAACTACTCTTTAAAAAAAAAATACGTTCCCCTTGGTTAACTGATTTTTTAATCCAGGGTGGACATTTTTTCAACCTTTATTAAAAAGACAAATAAACTATTTTGTAGAAGATCAGACTCCTACTTAACTGGAAGAGAAATGTCTATTAAATGTCTCTCCTCTTTCTCTGGGTCAAGACCATGTAATTTTATGCTTCAGAGATGAAGATACTGTTTGTTTACAAAGAGTTTAGTTTTTAAGACATCCAAAACTCTATGCTAGAGCAAAAATCAAATAGCAAAGGACACTAGCCAGAAAATACAGTGTGTGTGTGTGCACCTGTGTGCCTGCTGAACAACTTGACAGTGTAACAGATAAGGTAACTGAAGATGGTGGATATTTGAATTGTATTAGCTTAATGTCTACATATCTTTGGCCAAAACTCTATTGTCATATTAGAAACATGTTATCTTTTTCATGTTTATTAGTAATTTATTTTTGATTCTTTGTTTTCTTTTTCGTCCAACTAAAACAACTGTAATGTACTTGATACATTTATATCAAGTTCTAAAGTATTTAGACAAATCCAAATACTTTGTTTTTAGTTTTTTCCTCCTTTCCATCCTGTTAACCACAGTGAAACGCTGCAGTATTTTGATTTGGTCAGTGCTACGGAGGAAGACCATGAAAGCTGAATTGGTCTGTGCCACCCAGAGTAAACCTCTTCTCTTCTTCTGGAAAGATGGCGTGATGTTTTTCAAGGATTCTAATAAATATCCCGCAGTCATCTCCTGAGCAGCTTTCCTCTGTTTCACTTCAGAACTCCTTCCCCCACTTTCTTCACTCCAGTTTCTTCACTTGCAGCGTTTTCTGCTAAGAAAGACTTATCATCTTGTATCTGTTTATGCCTCTCTTCTTTGGGGCCCCTGGATGTTTTTGTGGATTTTTACAGAGTATTTATATCTGCACAGCGTGTATTTTGTTATACATTCTTACAAGCATTGATATTGGGGGGTACATTCATAATAGTGAGAATATCTGGCAGAATGTGTGAATGCCATATCTGTAGATGACGATGAATGTGAAGGGTTAATGTAGAAATGTTTGTTTATTCTGTTACAGCTCAAAATGGAGGCTGAGAATCTCTACCACCATTCCCTTCTCTATTTGAGAATCTCTACCACCATTCCCTTCTCTATTTGGGAAACAATACTCTCTTATTTTGCTATTTTTACCTTCCCATTAACTGGCTTCACTCAACAGTGCCAGATACCTATGGAGAGGGGAAGTAAAACACCTTAGGTCAGGAATAATAAACCAATGAGTTAGCTCAGGGCCGGTGGACATGTTCACTGGTGGACCAGTTGGCATTGACCTAAACGGACAGAGAAATGCACATGGAGGAGAACTACGTTGAAATCAAGATCCTATGTCTGTTGTATTTTCTCTTTGCCTGGAGTAAATAGCATTATAAGTCATTCCACCCTTATTAGATAACCAAAGCATATTGGTCTCAATAGCTTTCTCCTGAAAAATGTGATTGAATCTTACCTGTAGCAGTTCACTCTTAAGGTTGAAAGAACTGTCAATATAGATAAAATCCATTCCTTATTATTATTGATTGGTGTGACATTTGAAAATGTGTCTAAACAATATTTGTAAGTAAAAGAACCAGTCATAAGCCTCAAATGTGTTCAGTGTGTACCAAGCTGGAATGGGAGACTGGCCCCTCTTGGCTTTAAAGTAGCATGTTGTCTTTTTCTAGCAGCTTCTTCCTAGTAGACATTCCAGGGATGGGAGGGGCCAGGGATCATGTCTTACTCATTTCTGTATCGCCAGCCCCTGGCATAGTGTCTGGCTTATGTTATGTGAATAAATGAATGCTTGCCAAGATCTCTTCTTCCCTCAAGTTTCTGGAAAACCTGAGGGTTCGTGATACCTGTTCCCACTCCTCATCAGCGGGTTGGCAAGAAAGCAAATAAGGGGAAACATTTTTAACATTCCAAGCAAGAGAAGGAAGAACGACTATTGGGAGGAGGTACACCAGAGATTGCTCAGTGTGCAGCCTGCTACCTCACTTTTGGCTCTGGATTGCCTGGTGGTAGAAGGGAAGAGTATTATGTAGTTAGCACCTTACATATTTGATGCTCAGGAAGAAAGTGCAAGAAGATCCCTAATAGAACATTAAAGATTCTTAAAAGTTTTTGAAGTAGGCTGCTTGGGGTGACCAGCCCCACCCTTACATCTCCATAGTTGGTACAGTTAGCTTGTAGCAGCTGAAGCTGATGCCTGGAGATCACTGTCTGTTGGTCTGATCTCAGTATCATACTGAGACACCTCCCCTGAGCCTTACCTACTTAAATTGGTAACCGTCCTACCAAAATTTGTCAATTTTAATCAAGTGAGGCAAGTTGCAAGGGAGCCAGAGATACGTGAAAAAAGAAAAGCAGAAATACTGATACTTTCTAAGAAAGAAGTTGTAATAATTTCTTTGGCACATTGACTTACTGATATCTTTTGAAATGCATAGATGACTCTTGTGAACCAAAGAGAGCAGTAGTGGTTATTCCCCGGCGCAATAAAAATGCCTTTGTGTATCACTTGCGATTGCCAGTCATTTCTGTGCCAGTTGCTTTCATTCCAGAGAATGGCCTCATTCTCCAAAAAAAGATGATGATTTTAGAAGTAGGATTTCCTAACAAATTATGTGGTGGGGAGGGACGGCGGGGATTTTATTCATCCCGTCTGAGCTCTTCATACAGTATTACCATTAGGTTTTAAGAACAAAGATGGGGGAGGAGGGAGTAGAAAGCTGAGAGTACGTAGAACAGCTACAAGACATTAGTGGGTATTCAGATTTTGAGCTGTGTAAATATCAAACATCGGCTTCCAGCCTTAAGAGTTATTTGAGCAGAGAGTTAAGGAGGAATGGGAGATTTTGTGAATAAAATGTTTTGCCAAACTGAATGAGTCTTTTTGCCATTATTTCTTATAGAGAGCTATTTTTTACCTTCTGAAACAACTCATCAGACATCTGGGGTTTATCTTGAATTGTACCATCATTGTTTCTTAATAAAAGTGATAAATTTCTTGCAGGTGTTTCCAATCACCATTACCTTTGAAGTGCCTGTGTGCAGTTTCAAAAGCTCTCCAATTTTTACCTTGTATAGTGGTGGTGGCATATTTTACTACAAACGATTGTCAGCAATCTCTCTTCCTAATGCCTCGCAGCTGGATCAGTAATAAACCACTTCTCAGGCTGGTTTCTGCGCCAGAAATTAGTTTACAGAGGATCAGCCTACTTTTGGAAGTTTTAGAGGTTTGTGGCAGTACATTCTATAGCAAATCTCTCAAAACCTCTTTGCCTTGATAGAAATACACTGACTTTTGTCAGCTGCAGTGACCAGCTCTCTTTGTCTTTGATATGTTGCTTTTAAATAAACCTCAGCTGGAAAGTAACTCTTCAAAGCAGTTTACCTCACCCAGCCTACTTTTAATCATGTTATGCAGTAGCCCCCAGGTACAGAACACAAAAAGAAAAACAAATGAGAAATTTTGCACTAAATATAGCATAGTTAAAATTCATCTCTTTAAAAATGGCATTACTGTTTTATCAGGACAGGGCTGGATGTTCTTAAACAGCCCTGGGCCTGTCATTACACGCAGGAATGGTCTCACTGCTTCTGAAGCCCTTTCACTCTCAAGTCATTTGGGCCTTAGAGTGTGTTGAACTCTAAGATGTTACGAACCACAAGCCTACAAAAAGGTAAAGAACCTTCTGGGGGACTAAATTATGGTTTAGGTCAACTCTAGCAAATTGTATCATCTCGTTACTGGAGGAGACTTCTACACAGAACTCTGTGATTCTGGTGCTAGCAGCAAAACACAATTGCAGACAATGCAGTGGTATCTCAGGCTGAGATGTCCCTCATTAATAAAGGCTCCAAGCACATAGGTGGGTGTCAGCAAAGATCCAATTTCTTTGTCCCCGTCTTACATTCAGCATTCGAGCAATGCATTAATTCATTCTCATGCTGCTAATAAAGAGATACCCAATCTTGGGTAATTTATAAAGGAAAGAGGTTTAACTGACCCACTGTTCCGCATGGCTGAGGAGGCCTAAGGAAACTTAAAATCATGGCGGAAGGGAAGCAAACACATCCTTTTTCACAGGGCAGCAGGAAGGAGAAGTACAAGCAGGGGAAATACCAGACACTTATAAAACCATCAGATCTCGTGAGAACTCACTCACTAGCATGAGAACAGCATGGGGGAAACCGTCACCATGATTCAATTATTTCCACCTGGTCCCGCACTTGACACGTGGGGATTATTACAATTCAAGATGAGATTTGGATGGGGACACAGCCGAACCATATCAGGCAGCCATAAGAAAAGAATACATGTCAATGAGTTGAATGTGTGTTTATGTCAAAATTTCTCTTTAAAAGGAAAAACGAAGCACATCTGGCTATGCAAGTGTTTGTTAATAGAGCTTTTCAGTAATGTTCTTTATCTGCAAATTAAAATCATCTCATCATTAAAATTATTTTGGTATCTGATTGTTTCTTAATCAGCACTTCAAGGAATTAGCCTATGGCTCCATTTTTACATGTGACTCCATGATGTACAGATGCATTTTAAGCCAAGGGAGCTTATGATTATAATTACTGGAGTTTTATTATTTCCTGTAATAGCTTTGAATGAAGTTTACTGCATGAAACACTCCTTTCAAGAAGGCCATAAATCTGTATTGATTTCCCAGAATCTTCAGCATTGTTAAAATAATAGGTTCCATTCCAGCAATTAAATGGAGTGACATAGTAATAATAGTAAACATATATTTACTACGTGCAAGGCGCTTATATTTATTTAGTCCTCATGAAAAATTGTTGACAAGAAAATCATCCTCATTTTACAGATAAGGGATCTGAGGCTCAGATGAGCTTCCTAACTTGCCTCAATTACTCTTATATTTTGGAGCCGGGATTTGAGCCCATGAAATCTGATTTCAGAATGCATACTGTTAAATCCCTGCATTATGCCACCTCAAAAATCTCAGTAATGAGACTACAGTCTCCCTTTGCCCTGTGTGTCCCTGCTTGGTGTAGATTTTTATATGCTAAATATCATCAATAAGTCTTGCGTCTGTTATGTCATCATGTGTCTGAATAATTCATGTCCTGTTTCCTAAGAACTTATGATCTGTTCTGTAGTACAGGTGTATTAGTCTGTATTCACACTGCTGTAAAGAACTACCTGAGACTGGGTAAATTTATGAAGGAAAGAGGTTTCATTGACTCACACTTCCACTGGCTTAACAGGCCTAATGGGAAGCATGGATTGGGAGACCTCAGGAAACGTACAATCGTGGCAGAAGGCAAAGGGGAAGCAAGCACCTTCTTCACATGGTGGCAGGAGAAAGAGAGGGAAGGGGAAGTGCCACACTCTTTTAAACCATCAGATCATGCGAGAACTCACTATCATGAGAACATCAAGGAGGAAATCTGCCCCCGTGATCTAATCCCCCCACCAGGTCCCTCCCCTGACATATGGGAATCACGATTAAACATGCGATTGGGTGAGAACACATTGCCAAGCCATATCAACCAGCAAGAAGAAAATAAAACCCAGGAAGTTAGCAGCAAAACAGGACTCTGAAGCCATTCTGCTTCTCAAATGTTCACATCAAAATGTACCCATTTTCTCTGGTATCTGTAGCATATGAGTTTCAGGTTAATCAGCAATAATAAATATACAGAATAGAAAAAGGTAATTGAATCAAAACATCAATCAATGCTACTTAAGTAAGTGTAATTTGCAGAATATTTAATTTATATATTAACTGGTCTTTCAGTTTCTCCAAGTTCTGTCCCAGAAAACATTTAAATTCTATTTTCTCACCTACCTGGATAAATGCCATCCCTGAATTATCCTTTGATAATAAACCTTCAACCATTATACAAGGATCATTACATGAGTTTTCATTTTCAATGATTCAGTATCTTTGACACAAATGGAGCTTAATACTTTAGCCATTATCCACCGGATTGCCTAACATCCCCCGCTCAAAAAAGGATCAATGCTATATTATGGCTCAGTTTTTAGTTCTAGAAAACATTAGTCTCTACAGATGTGTTTGCATGCGTAATTTTCTCAGAAAATGAAAACTAGCTGTCATCTCTTTTATGCAGATTTTATCAGGATTATGTTTAATTGCATGTAATGGAAACTCAAACCAGTCCCAATCTGATGGTTTATTTTTCACAGGAGATAGGCACATTGGGGCTGGGTCAGTCACTCAAGGAAGTTGTCAAGGAAAACAAGTGGAAGCCACTGTAAAATGGCACATCTGCAAAAGCCCACTTGCCAGAGGAACAATCTGATGCCTTCTGCTTCACTTCTGCCTTCTGCTTCACTTCTGCCTTCCAAACCTCGAGTACCTGTCATTAGAGGAATCCCAGAAAGCTGCCAGCAAAGATTATGGGAAATGTAGATTCCAAGACTCCCAGCCCCTCTGGTACAGGAGAGAAATGAATGGGGAAATACAACTGACTTGGCAACTGGCAATCCAGCACAGTCCACCCCTGTAGTGGACTATTCAACAATAATGTTTAACTTCCAGACAAAAATAATGAGCAACAACAGCATGCTCCTAATATGATGTGACTATCGTTCATGCAAATGAACATGCTATCATTCTTTCCCAAAATGGAGATTCAAAGTCCCTTAAGTCTCCATATCCATTTCTAGTTCAGTTGGCAGTTCCCCTTTGATAATCCTGTGAACCTAAAGCCAAAAATCAAAAGCTAACCACACATCTTCTATAAAATCAATTCACTAATGGTAATATACTAATATGTATGTAACAATGCAAAGAGTAAGATATGCAGGGTTGTAATCCTTATGTTAGCAATCGTGCATGAGGCCATACGCCACTCCTCAGTCTGTATTCCCTTTGCCCTCTGCCAGCTCCACTGCTGGTCATGGGTCTTCACCTTGTGGAAGGACCAAAACCTTGATTCCCTTTCCTGCCTACATTGGTGGTGGTGTTCATTAACTTTTACCACTGGACATGTAAGTACGAAGAAAGGTACACAGGGAATGCCTTGAGTTTCACATATTCCTTATCTGCATGATGTAGCAGGAACTCTGTTTCCCCTTGATAACCAGGATCAATTCCCCCAGCAACTGTAGTCATCGTCTTTCTTGTCTACTGCTTCAGGGGCATAAAAAGGCAAATGTGACCAGGTGGCAGTCTCAACTCTTTCCTCAACTAAACCTTTGTTGTACTCCTTGGTGACAGCGTTCCTCCCTTGAGAACTAAAACTTCCAGACCAGCAGCACTTGAAGTTGTGGGGATCAGAAATAAAAATTTTGCAAGGGGTTATTATGGGTAACAATGAGAAGCCATTCACTTCTGCCTCCTAACTCTTGGACCTGGGGTTTCTTGTGGGTGAAAAGGTGCCATATTGAACCGGTTGCAGTTCAAGCATACCTTATATCTTGTAGGACAGCAAGTTTTCATTAATACAATCAGCCTCCATGGAGACTCAACCAAGTAAACCAGGATTTGTCAGCTTACCTAGATTATCCTTGTCCGACTGCCAGACAAGCAACGAGGTCTCAGGTGTTCGTTACTGGTTTAAAACAACTTGAGTGGCATAAAGAGATTTAGCTGAGCTTCATCTGTCTGTGACGTCTTCCTTCAACATTGCTTAAACACATGCAAATGGAACACACTCACATTTACAGTATTTCTGCTGTGAATCCTGAAAGCTACATTCTCTGTTTTTCCTCTGAAGGCTCCTCAGCTCCCTCCACCCCACACACCTCTTTCTTTGGTGAGCCCATTTTAAATGTGTTAAATCTAGGAAAAGATGTCATCAAAAGGAGAAAAGCAGGTGGGAAAGAAAGAGATGAAAACACTCTTTGACAGTTCACTTCTGTTTTGCAGCTGTGAGAGCTGTAGATTGAATTGTTACCCCCCTCACCAAGCTAATTAATTCTCTTTTTTGAAAAAGCCACGTCTCCTTCCTTCAATCAGTGTCAACAGCCAATTACAGTCTTTCATCACCCAAAGTGTAATAACGCAAATGTTATCAAGAAAGAAAACAGTTGGACTGACAAGATTAGCAATTCACTCCTTCTTTCTTAATCTTGTAATCACACGGTATACAGCAGTTTACAATAATATACACCCAAGTTTGCTAGTAAATTACTCTATAAAGGCCGTGTGTAAATCCCCCATCATGTCATGTCTACGCTTTGCATAGAAGCGTGTGTCTTCCTGTAGGAGACGTGGGTTGAATTAAGATCGCCTCCTTAGAGAGTTTTCTCCTCATCCATTAACCACTGCAGAAGTTGTTAATTATGTAAACAGAGGCACGCTTGGTAGAATATAAAACCACGAATGGCATTTAGGGGTAACAGAAAACCGAGGCAGCTGACAGTGACAGAAGGTATTTCGCCAATGCTAACATTAACACTTTGCTGTTATCTGCTGGAAGACAAAAAACTTCTTGCTTTATGGGAGTCTTTGACTCCCATATTTGTTGATGTCATTTGGAATTTGTCCTTAAAGTCTTTGGGAAGCCCAAGTTTGTTATTGGTACACTCCTCACAACCCCGGAGGGCGTGAGTACAATGGGTATGAATTTTGCACCACAAACTGGGTTGTGAAAGGAATGGTGCATAGAATTGTTATGAAGACTTTGATTTCAAGAGCTCATTTCCAGCCCTCATTCTGCCAGACTGGGAGGGCTCTCAAGCTCCACCTTTGCTAAGGCACCCTCACTTCCCTGGTGCCAAACAAAAACCCAGGAGTCTAATGTGATGTTTAAAAAATGAATGGGGTCTTCTGTATTTCTACCCATTATTGGTTCTTGTGGTCCCTGAAGCCTGGTGACCCTGCAGCTCCAGTGCCTGACCCTGGAAACATTGCCTTGGCTACCCCTGGGCGTTTAACTCTGAGCATTTCCCTGGGTCCAAACCCCTGGCTTACCTCAGGCAAGAGACCACAAAGGGCTTGGAGTGGGGAAATTAAAGCTTGGCAAAGGGATTTTAATGAAGAAAAATGAATGGCAGAGGCAGATCACAGTGAAACACTGGAAGTGTAGCCTTGAGGTGGAGGAAGGATTAGGGCACCTCCTTAATTTAGAGCTTTCTGTCTTCCTGTTATTATTTTCCTAGATTCCAAGAGGACTCACCACAACCACCACCAACTCTTTCAAGGAGATGGTGTGGCTTGTGCCCTCTGTGGTCTGTGGGGTCGCCTTGTCTCTGCTGCTGCGTCCATGCCCATTCCTTGACTTGCGATGCTGAAGGAGAATCTCTCCTTCCTGGGTGGCCACAGGAATATCAGCCAATCTTAGAAGATCTTATCTGAGAGTGATTACAGATAAGAGTGGCCCTCTGCTGAGGAACCGGGAACACATTCCCTACTTTCCCAAAGTCTTCTGCATCATTTCTGCCAGAGGACCTCTAGGGCTCTCAGGCCAGAGGACTTGTGATATAGTTTGGCTGTGTCCCCACCCAAATCTCATCTTGAATTGTAGCTCCCATAATTCTTGCATGTTGTGGGAGGGAACCGGTGGGAGATAATTGAACCATGGGGGCGATTTCCCCCATACTGTTCTTGTGATTGTGAATAAGTCTCACGAGATCAGATGGTTTAATAAGGGGAAACCCCTTGTGCTTGGTCCTTATTCTGTCTCTTGCCTACCGCCAATGTAAGACGTGCCTTTCACCTTCCACCATGATTGTGAGGCCTCCCCAGCCATGTGGCACTGTAAGTCCATTAAACCTCTTTTTCTTTATAAATTACCCAGTCTCAAGTATGTCTTTATCAGGAGAGTGAAAACAGACTAATACATGATCTTATAATTGAATGGCCCAGGAAGCCCAGGCCCCACAGTAACCACTGCTGGAGTCATGCATAGTCAATCCAGGATCAGATACTGGCAGCCAATGGGTAATACAAAAAAAATTAGAGTGAGAACATATCCCCAAATCATCCTTAAGTAGCCAAAATGTAGCCACGGTATAATAGATAATTCATGGAAGCCAGCGTTGCTGCGCTCAGTATGTTTAGTGCCTTGTGTTTGACAATCTCCCACCAAGAGTGAATGGAAATATTTCTATTTCAAATCAGACAAAAACACACACGCTCTGCTGTGGATGCTGCGTATTGAGTTCAATTCAAGCAGCTAAGGCACAGATTCCACAACACACTTTGTCAGCACAGTCCGCAGGCATTCGAAGGAGATAATGAAAACTCCTTGAGGTGCCTCTGCCATTTCCAGTCCCCAGAGTGCCCTTGGAGGGCATGGCCCACCCCCTGTTTTGCAAGCAGAAACTTGAGCTGATACATGAAGTTTTAGAATACATGACCAATGACAAGTTACTGAAAAGGCCCATGCAGGATTAAGAATTCTGATTATTTTTAAGTGTGCTATTCTAATTCATTAATTGTTGAGTACCACAATTCACAAGCACTGAGCTAAGCTGTAGAAATACGTAGCTGAAACAGCTTGGTACTGATTTCAAGATGCCTCCAACCCGTGTGATGTGGTAGTTCTCACTAACCAAAGACAACTACTGAAAAATATTAGTATTTTTCTTTCCAGTTTTTCCTTCACCTATATGCCATATGCCAAAATAGTATCATACTAAATATACAGTTCTATGTTGTTTTATTCACTTAGCACTGTTTTGTATACGTTTCTAATTTTCTTTGAAAATGTGAGTTTTAATGACTTTATGACAGTCTATTATGTAGATGTTCCATAATTATTTAAACAAATTCATTATTGTTGATCATTTAACATTCACCGTTTCCAAACTTTATTATAAATAACAATCACATGAACATCTTTGTAGGTAAATATGTCTGCACTGATCAGATTGATTTCATTCCTAGAATATATCTCTAGAGACAGACATATTAGTCCCTAGAGTGTAAATATTTAAGATTCTTAAAGACAATTTTGTGCTGTATACTTTACCTACATCATTAGTCAAGTATATATTGGGCAAGCTATTAGGTGCCAGATAAGATGCTAGGTACCAGGAGCACATTGCTGAGCAAAATCAACAGAGTCCCTGTTCTTACAAATGTTATCATTGACCAAGAATCTAGATCTAATCTTGGAACAAGAATCTTTATAGATTTAATGTCAAATTTCATGCAAAATTAAAAGCTTAGAGGAAGGAAAAATTAAGAACAAAAGGAAAGCTTTGACTCTTAGAGTATCATTTATGCAAAGAATTCCAAGAAACAAATGGCATTAAAATGTGCTAAGCATTATAGCAGCTGTCAAATTACCTATAAATTATGTATTGTGTTCAGTTAGTTAAGGTTATGGAGGAATACTGGAAATTGGTTTAACTCCAAATGGTGCTCAAAGGAAGAAATAAAAATAATTATTTTACTCCCCAATTTAATAATGAAATAGAATAATTTGCACACCAGAGGGGTTAGCAATTTGTTTTTTTGTTTTTGAAAAGTTATCTAGGAAAGGCTATCAAAAATGCTAGGAATGGGAAAATTTAAGAGGAAGGAAGTGTCTATTGGGAATTTCTGCATAATGTGACGCATCAAGTTGACATGAATGGGTTCTCCTCCTGTTCCAAATCCATAGATATTCCAGGGGAAAGTATGACAAGGAAGAGAGGGGGGAAAAAGATGAAAGGATAATAATTAAGCCACAAACTAGGAGAACATGTTTGTGTACGTACAACAGATAAAATATTAATAGACAGCATTTAGAAAGAACTCCTAAAATCAGTAAGGAAAAGACAACTAAATAGAAGAACAGGCAAAAAAGACATGAACAATATTTCACAAAAATAGGAATTTCACAGAACAGAAAACACCCAATGGTCACTAAATATGAAAGGATGCTTGATTACATTAATAATTAGAGAAATGCTTTTTAAATCCAGAGTGACATATCACATTACATTCATCAGATTGACCAAAATTGGAAAGCTGGAAAATATTAAGTTTGGACAAACAGTGTACCCACAGAAACTTTTTAAATACTACTGTGTAGCTCAAATTGGTAGAGCCCACTTGGGAAATAAGAAGACCTGTCTACCCTGCAACCAGAAATTCCACTCCTGGATATACCCATAGAAAAACTCTTTCACATGTGTACCAGCAGACATATGTAAGATTTTTCATTATAGAACTGCTTGCTTTGCAAAAAACTGGAAAGACCAAAATTGCTGTTGACAAGAGAATGGAAAAGTAGAAAAGTAATGAATGTACTATAGCTTCAGCCATCAACAAAGCTGAATCTCAAAAGCATAATGTTGAGCATAAAAAGCCAGGCTCACAAGACAACAAACAGAATGATAGCATTTTCATAAAGCTCAATAATTAGCAACATCAAGCAACATGTCCTATTAACCAAACAAGGTAATCACAATCTAGAAATTTAGAATCGAGGTTATCTCTGCTTTTCTGGGCTTCCATTTTAATAAGAGGAAATACATGGTAAACAAGATACATAATTAAAATAAATGTTAGATGTTGAAAAGTGCTCTGGAGACAAATGAAGCAGGGAAAGAAAGATGTGGGGTGTAGGTGGGGGCTCTAGACAGACAGATGTTTAAATAGGATGATCAGGGAAGACCTGAGACATTGATGCGTGAGCAAATATCTTAGAAGATGAGGGAGCAAGCACTTTGGTGATCTGGGCAAAGAGTGTCCTGGGGAAAGTTACAGGAAATGCTCACACTCTCATCCGTACGTAGCTCAGTTTCATAAGTGAAAGTCATGTTGTCAACACTGGTGCAATGAAATCAAGCAGCATCCTTCACCTTCTGTTATCTTGCCTTCCCTGTTTCTCCATTTCCCTCCATCCTCTGGCTTTCTGAACCATATACTGATTAGTTTTTTAAGGACCTGCCCAAGAACAAGCAAGTGTAGTTATTATTTAGGCAAATTGAGTGGCTCAATCAAATCCTTATTTGACAGAATTCATAGTTAGATCCAGAATTTTGCTACAATTTATAAGAACTGCAATTTTAGGTAAATAGATTGGAGCTTTGTACCTAAGCTCAATGATCCAGTAAATATAAAAATTTAAATATTCCACAGTGGCAATTCAGAATATTTTTGACTTTATAATTGGCATGGTCTTTTATAGGAGTTAGAGAATAAGAGGCATGCATTAGGATAATAGAATTTTCAAGAGAACCTTATAAACCAGGGTGAAAATTAGATTTGGGGCTTTAGTATCTGGGATTCTAATTTAACGTGCTGTGGAATGTACCTCATCAAATTGCAAAACTAATCTCTCATGCCAACGACTGCCTGGGTTAATAAAAAACCTGAAGTCTTTTACGTTAGTAAACAAGAGAAAATGTGTAACTGCAGACCTTTCTCCTTAAATGCAACCAAGTTGTATATGACCTTAGTGGAGCCACTTTGATTGATGGAAGCATTGTAATTAGTTAATCAAATTGCTCTCATTTTTTACAGTTCTTGTTTGACGAAACTTCCTGCATATGATTTTTAAAAAGAGTAATACCATAGATCCTGTCTGGTGCTAGGCTGATTTTTGTACTGAGTAGCTGTTCTTTGTGTGTTAATTTCATCATCTTTCTAAACAACACCCTGTGCTATTAATAGTGTTTGGGATTGGGATAGTTTCATTAATCAACTTCTTTAAGGAAGGTTTTTTTCAGAAACGTAAAAAATGATAACATAGAATGCTTATGCACTTGGAAATCTAAATGGCACATGTACGAATATGCGTGCAATGTCTCACCAATATTGCTATGAGAAGTGTTTGTTTTAGGGGATTTGATGTGATTTGGGAGAGGAAGGAAAGGTACATTTTCCAGGTGCCCTCACACCTCTTCTCCCCCTGCCACAGACATTGCGTGGGCACCGCGCTGTGAGAAGACCATTTGACCACAGAATTTAAGAGTTGTTGCTATTCATAGACTTCTAGCTAAGGCCTAATTTTCATTTTTTCCCATTTCTCTTTTAGATTTTGGTTTATTTGTTTTGCTAAGGAGATAAATATTATGTATCTATACATATATTACAAATGTAAACATATATATGTGTGTATTACCTACAGCTGTGCATTGCTTTAATGAGATTTTCTCACTCTATTTTTATTCTTTTGTTTTCTATTCATATTCATCCTATTGTGCAATTTATCTATTTAAATATTTAGGCTCTCTATTTTGTCCTTTAAGATTTATTATTACATGTTTTAATGTTATACCTTAAAAATACTTAGTTTGAACTGTTGGTTTAGGATAGATCTTTTAACTTCTCAAGTGTCTACATTTAACAAGTCTAATATAGAAATATCCTATACTATGGTATTTATTTTTTATGTGTGTTTTTATTTATTCCTGATTTCTTGGGTTTGAAATTCTTGTTCTCAAGCATTTGAATATCTTACTGATTCCATTTTTAATCTCTCTATATTTAAATTATTTCTCACGTGTATGAAAGGAAACAGAAAGTTGGACTCACATGAGCCACCTGTAGAGTGATCATGAAATTATTGTCTGCATGAGAATACTTTTGAGGGTGACAGGGACCTCTGTTAATAATTTTGCTGAGACAATAGACATAAACTGGGACAGCCAAGGGCAGACCAAGGTGCATGGAACTCTCAACCTACAGGGACACTTCTAGGTCTTCCCCTCCCCCAGCATTCCCACACACCATGAAATGCAGAGCTGCATTTCTGGGATTTCCTAATAGATCTTCCATACCTTCCAAACCTGTCTGGGCAAACAAACTTATAAAAGGAAAATAGCTCATGTTTATATGGAGCATCGATCATTTGACAAGCGCTTTACATGGACAGTTCAAGGGGAATGGGGCATAAACTTCCCTTGAATGTAGATGTAGCCTCTTCCAAAACGGGTATGGTGTAGCTATTTCTGCTTCTCCCACATTTTTGTGAGTTTCTCTGTGCCCCAAACTCGGTGGTCTCTGATATCCTTCCCGTTGGATTTGGGGCCAGTCTTCCCAACAGCATGCAGGAAGGAAAGGTCAGAGAAAGCATCCACTGGCGATGATCTCTCCGCAGTCCTGGCTGACTGGTGAAAAAAAAACATATAACCATAGGGAAGTGGTACTGGAGAGGCCCCTGGCAGGCTGTCAACTTGCTCCCTGCCTCCCTCTGACCTGCATATGCTCATGTGTATTTGTGGCTGACTCTTCTCCCTGGCAAACAAAAGGAGTTTCCTGCTATATGCAGCAGCTCCTTGGTTCCTTTTCATCCTTATGAGGATGCTGGGAACGGCAGCAAGGATTAGCCTTAGGAAGGATTCCTCTTAAAATAAGAGAACTGTGCTTCTGCTGAACACCTTCTCACCTGACAGCACCCTAACTGGACAGACATGGTCCTCTTGGATTGCCAGAACTTTAGCCGGATCCATGTCACCTCCCCAGACAGACCTTGGCTGCCCCTGAGGAGCGGCCGGCCTCTTACAATAATTATTGCTACCATAATTTATTGAATCTAGGATGTGGTGCATTGTCATATACACCATCATTTTCTATTCCACCAAGAAGAGAAACAATGCTGCCAGTTCAGCCATGGCATGCCATCAATTTTTAAATGTGCCCTGAGTTTAGAGATATTAAAATGTGAAAAATATCCTCTTAGAATCAATGGAATTCTTTTTTTTTCCTTTCTATTTTCCACCACTTGATTATTAATTCTCTTCCAAGATGCAGCCCCAGAGAATTGAGGACTTGAGGCTAGAGGCCTGCCTGATATTGTTCAACCTGATTCATGATATGTCCCCATCCATCTCCCCCACCCTGTCCCCCACCTTTCTGTGAATGACACCACCATCGGTCCTTCCGTGACCGAGCCTAACAGATGAAGAAACAGAGCGGAGTAAATTGCCTAAAGTCAGACTCCTAGCAAAGGGCTGAACCAGGATTTGAACTCAGGAATTCTGACAGCAGTCTCCCACAGTGAATCATTCTATAATAGTGCCTTCCTACATAGTTAGACATGCCTGTCAAATCACGCCTTTGGTGGGGATGGGGAGAATTGTGATTTCGTATTCTATAGTCGACATTATATGTCATTACAAGAAATAGAAATGGCTTTGTCAAACTCAAGACTGTATTTAATGCCCGTAAGCTACTGAGAGTGTGGTCCATACCTTCATACAGTGCCCTCTTTGGGAGAACTGGGAAAGTAAGTCTCTGAAGTCATTATCAAGAAAAGCTGTGCTGCTTCTGAGCAATTGTTTGACTTAAGGTCTTAGGGTCACCATGAGTCTTGATACTGTGGAATGGAGCTTGCTTCTTTCTTTGCTTTGGCTACCAGGAAGCTTCATTTTGTGATTCTAACAATTAGAGCTTGCATTTGATATATTAAACATTTTTCTTTCTTTTTGCCCCAATATCCTTGTCCTTTTTGTGCCTTATCTAATTGAATTGAATTTACTACTAAATATTCTCAAATATTTTTGGAATGAGATGATATAAAAATACATAAATACACACATTTTTATGAACTTTTGAAAACTTAGTGCTCTCTAGAAATTGGAGTGCAGATAAACCTGGTTAATGTGGTAGCATATTGGCAGCTACCTCTCCTAAACTTCTCATTCAATGAATTTATCAAGGGGGTGAAAGACAACAGCTTGATAAAATCCAGGAAAAAACTTCAACATTAACAAGGGTAACTGGCACTAGAAATAACATCTAAAGTTGAGTCCATATGCCAAAGTCTTGGTATTTCCACTAAGCAAAGTATCCTGAGCATAACAGAAAAAGCATATATATCTTGGGAATAGCAAAATAAATGCAAAGAAAAAAATTCAGTCATTTCTCACCTCTCATCTCTCCTGCTGGAATACAGAAATCAAGCAGACTCTTCTATTACTGTATATATTCCAAAATGCTCCCTTCCCCTCACTTTCTCTTCTGGCTTTTAGATCAAGAATTTGACCATGAGACAGTTACCATATAAAACAATTGGTAGTAAACATTTAAATTACTAAAAAGTTCAGAGAGAATTGCAGTAACATAAATATTGAATATAAAGCCAAAATAGCTCTTAAAGATGTATTTGAAAAAAATGGAGATGAGATTCTATAAACTGAGTCTGTAATTTCTAATTAAACTTATAATTGTGGGAATGGGAAAGACAGGGAGAAATGAAAAAAATTAAATACCATGATATACATCAGAGTAGAGAAAAATATACCTTCCAAATTACTATAAATGAAAAGAGCAAAAAAAGTATAGCAAAAAGCATAAACCAATAAGTGAAACAGCAAAACATCAGTGTCAAACTCAATAAAAAATATAAAACAAAATGGTAGAAATAGGACTGAACTTAGTATGAAAAATAAATAAAAATAGTTTTGCTCTACAACTGAAATGAAAGACAGATTTGAATTGAGTTAAAGAAGATCAAGAGTGAGACCAAACTTAAATTACATTAAAAAGATAAGATTGAAATGATAGGTATAGAAGGCAAATAAAAATAAGCACAGGTGGCACTGATATTTTCAAAGGAAAGTTCAAAGCAAAAACAATTCAATACAACAATGAAACAAAAAGGACTCTTTTCCATTGAAACAAGATGAAATCTGTAATTGCAATATAATAGTCCTGTGCATTTATGAGCTGATTAACATAACATCAAAATTTATATAGCAAAAAACTATTTGATATATAAGAAAGAGACTAAAACACAATTATAATTAGGTACTAAAATCCCACACCATCTATTACAGAACAAGTTGATAAAAATAAGAGGATGTATCTAGGTAATTTAAATAACATAATCAGTAAAATTGAATTAGTAGATATAGCAACATTTTATATCACAGATTTTCTTTTCAATTCCACTGATTTTCTAAAATTGACCACATTATCTTAAGGCAAAAAGAACATCAATAAAATTTAGAAATATAAACTATATAAGCCATACTTTTATTTCTTTATTGTAATTCACCAAAACTAGAACTTATAAGGAAGAAAACTCTCAAAATCACTGTTGGGTCAAAAAGCACAAAACCATAATGATAAACCCTTTATAATTTCACTGTCCAATATGGTAGTCACTAGTCACATGTGATTATCTACCTTTCAATTAATTAAAATGAAAAGTTCATTTCCTCAGTCACACCAGCCACATTTCAAGTGCTCAACAACTACACGGAGCTGGTGGCCACCATAGTGGACGAAGTAGATATTTCTACATATTTCCATCATCACAGAAAGCTCTATTGGACAGTGCTGCTTGTGGAAGACAGGATGTGTATACACAACCAAACACTACATAGGAAAATATAGAGTTAAAAACTTCTCTATTTAAAATAAATGCAGACCAATAACAAATTAAGATGAATATTTATAACAAATGGGAACCACATAGTTAATATTGAATAGACTATTATTAATATTAAATCACTTTCACAAAAATATAAGAGAAAACACCAACATCCCAGAATAAAAATGTAACAAAGACATGAGCCAACAATTTGTGGTTCAGAAGGAAATACTAATAAAAAATAAGCATATGAACAATAGTAAACCTAATCAGTAAAATAACATATTTTTCAACAAACAAATTAGTAATTCTAAAAAAGTATAATACACTTTATGCTAATGAGGGTATGTTAATATGATCACTCATAAACTGCTGAAGGCCAAAAATTAAAAAATTTGCCAAAATCATTCTAGAAAGCCCCCATTCAACCTTGTGGAGCAGCGGTTCTCAAACCTATTTGCACACTGGACTCACTCTGGGGACTTAAAAAAAAAAAAGTGCAATGCCTGAGCTTCCCTGCTCATAGATTCTTATTTAATTGGCTTGGGATGGATAGTGGGCTTTGGTATTTTGGGAGCTTATAAAGAGTCTGTTATGCACACAAGGTTGAGAACAATTACTTCAGAGGCATAACCTCAGGGACCAGTTTACCATAGAAATCTCATTTGAATGTGGGACTCTGAGAGGAAGGGCATTCATGCCCACTGCCTGGCTCTACCATAGAGAGCTCTACCAGGCATCAGGTTCGCCAAGTTCTCAATATGTCTACATCCCAATATGTCTTCCCCTAGTCAGGGGAAGACCAGGTGTGTGTCAAGGCAGAGAAGGGCTGAGCCTGACTCTTGGCACAGGGAGCAGTTGGCTTATTATGTGCTTTCATGAAGGGAACCAAAGTTCCATGAAGAAGATTGTTCACACACCTGGAGAGGTCAGAATGATGGGGATGCAGCCACAGCCAGGCATGCATTCTGGCAAATAGACAATACTCAAGACTTTCTTATGAATGCAGGGAGGAACCTAATGTCTCCCCTGATGCCTTGAAACCCCACAACCCCCTGAAGTTGGATAAAATCCGAAGTAAAATGCAAGAGAGGAGAAACTGTGAATTAAATGAGATTGTCCTGAATTGACTGAGAATAAGATTAATTCTTTCACTTTGGATTGCACTTAAAATTAAAAGTTTGTGGCCTGAAGTATTCATACTCACCACAGATGCATTACCTAGCTTAATCATCACAAGACTCTTAATAAGAAATTCTGTTAGTTTTATAAATGATAGTACTGTCATTCAGACAAAGTAATTTTCATTTCTTATACTTTTTGCCTTATATACTTTGATGTCATGTTATTCAACTCATAAGGGCTTATAACTGTTATTATATCTTAATAATGGGATGTACCTGACTTAATGTAAAAGGTATTTTATGTATCATTTAATGATTTTTGTCTTGACTTCTACTTTGTCTGATTATAATATTCCTACCCCTCCTTGCTTTTTATTTGTGTGGTATTTACTTCTGATGCCTTTGTAAGCATTTCTTACGTACCACTGACTTTTCTACAACCATCCAGCAATACAGGAAGGAAGGGAGGGAGGTAAGGAGGGAAAGGAAAGAAGAGAAGGGAACAGAAACCCTATCACAGTGAGAAATTTTTTGACCTATCCATATGAATAAGTAGGAAAAAATGAAAAAGGAAATAAATGGTTTGAATAATACAATGAATATGATTGAATTAATACATACTGCAAGTGTTTGTACCCTACAAAGAAAACACCCTCTTATCAATACTTATTCATGGTAAAACTCCTATTAAACTAGGAAGAAAATGAAACTTCTTTTTCCAAAGAAGTTTATCTACCTAAAATCTATAGCAAATTTCACACTGAATAGTGAAGCATTAGACAGATTCAGATGTGAGACAAGGATGCTCGTTATCATTGTTTCTATTCAACATTGTATTGAAGATTGTCTCCAGTGCAGCTTAGAAAAGAAGAAAGGAAAGGGAAAAAGAAAATAATAACGGATGGAAAGAAAAGGAATATTGTTATTTTTTATTATACTATCTGCATAGAAATCCTGAAATTATCTATAATACATTGTCAGAATTAATACACAGGGTTATTTGTAGAAATGAATTGCATTTTATACACCAGACGGAGAAAATATAACCTTTAAAAACATCCAATTTACAACAACCAAGATAAAATGCATCTAGGAATAAATCTCACTAAAGATACATTTGTCCTTTATGGAGAAAATTATACAATTGTATTGAAGAAATTAATGAAAACCTACATAAATAGAGAATGTTTACAGATAGGGAGAGCAAGTATCATAAAAAAAGAGAAACCTCCTCAAATTTTTGAATTAAATGTAATTCTAACCAACTCCAAGTGAGGCATTTGTAGAATTTGATACATAAATCCAAGCATTTATGGAAACAATCTATGAGAGAGAGGGTATTACAAACTAGGAGGGGAGAGTAATGGGACAACTGGAATAAAAAAAAATTCAATCCTATCTCACATCATACACAGAAGTTCATTCCAAGTAAAATATAGGCCTAAATTGGAAGAGTGAAACTTAACAAAAATTTAGAAAAATATCTGAGATTATGTTTATTACAATAGGATAAAAAAGAAACTCATAAGATCTAAAAAGTACAAATCAAAAAGAAAAAGATTGACAAAGTTGGCCATATAAAAAACTTGTATTCATTAAAATATAACATTTTAAAAGGTGAAAAAATAAGTCACAACCTGGAAAAAGATCTTTGTAATATGCTTAATTAACAAAAAATTATTAACCAGAATATATAAATACATCAAACCAATAAGAAAAAGATAATAACTCAATTTAAAATTGGGCAAAACATATAAACAGGCAATTCACAGAAGAGAACTGTAGGTGGCCAATAAGCTTATTTAAAAGGTTCAACTTTACTTGACAATTGGAGAAATTCAAACTAAACACTTAACACCACAATGAGATTACATTAACATTTATTGGATTAGCAATAAAAAGACTATTAATGCCACTTGCTGAAAATGTGAAAAAATGAGCACCCTCTTACGTGTTGGTGAGAGCATATTACAGCAACCACTATAGTAATATCTGATAGTTAAATATTTGTATACCTATAACACAGCAATTCCACCCCTACACAAGAATGTTTTTAGCTGCATCCTTTGTAATAACAAACATGTAGAAACAAATTTAGCATTCACCAACAGAAAAGTGAATAAATTACCATATATTCTTACAGTGTGATATTATATAGCAATAAAAATTACAAAACTGCAATAATAAAAACTATGTGGATTAATCTTACAAACATAATGTTGAGAAAAAAGTTAATTGCTGAATACATGTAATATAACACGAAGTTTTGACTCATGGAGAACAACAGTATATATTGTTAGGAATAGACACATATATACCAAAAGTGTAAAAAATTCATGGGAAGGATAAAAAACTAAACTGAGAATAATGGTTACATCAGGGTGGGAAATCAGGAAAATATAATTAGAAAGGATACAAAATGGGCTTTAAATATATTAGTAATGTTTTGTTTCTTAAAGTGGATATATTATGGGCTTAGAGTTTTATTATATTATTCTTTTTCACTTGTAAGATATAAGTCTTGTGCCTTTTTAAAAGATCTGCATCTAAAAACTTCATTTTGTTGAGTGAGTGTAGTTTAATTTGTTTCCAAAGGCTCATTGCTAGTATGCAGAAATACAATTGATTTTTTGTATCAATCTTGATACCTGAGAACTTAATGAACATATTTAGTCATTCTAAGAGTTTTCTAGATTTCTTGGAATTTTCTATGTAGATCATAATATTATCTGCAGATAAGGATTTCTTTCTTTGTAATGTGTATTCTTTTTATTACATTTTCCTGCTTTATTGCACTGGCTTGAACTTCTAGTCCTATGTTAAATGAGTGATGAGAGTAGTCATCTTTGCCTTGTTATTCTCAGAGAGAAACCATTTAGCCTGTAACCACTAAGTATGATTTTAACTGTAGGTATTTTGTAGCTGTTCTTCAGCAAATTGAGGAAGGTCCCCTGTATTCCTAGACTTTTATTATGAATGGATATTGGACTCTGTCAAGTGCTTTTTCTGCATCAATTTATATATTCTGATTTTTCCTCTTTATCCTATTATTATGATAGATTTCATTGGTTGGTTTCAACTGTCGCACCAGCCTTGCATCTCTGGATTAAATCCCACTTGGTCACAGCGCACACATCTTTTATGTATTGCTGAATTTTATTTGCTCAAGAAATATTTACCAAGATGGAATATATCCAGAGCCACAGAAGAATTTCAATAAATTTAAAAGAATTGAGGCTAGGCACAGTGGCTTACACCTGTAATCCTAGCATTTTGGGAGGCTGAGGCAGGAAGATCACTTGAGGCCAGGAGTTTAAGACCAACCTGGACAACATGGTGAGACCTCATCTCTACAAAAAAGAAAATTAGCCAGGTGTACTGGCACACATCTGTATTCCCAGCTAGTTGGGAGGCTGAGGCAGGAGGGTTGCTTGAGCTTAGGAGGTCAAGGCTGTAGCAAGCTATGGTGGCACCACTGCACACTAGCCTGGGCAACAGAGAGAGAGACCCTGTCTCAAAAAAAAAAAAAAAAAAGAATTGAAATCATATAGAGTATGTTCTCTGATCTGACCACAATGAAATCAAACTAGAAATTAACAACAGAAAGGTTAACAGGAAAATCTGTAAGTATCTGGAAATGAAACAACACACTTCTAAATAATCCGTGGATCTACAAGGAGGTCTTAAGGGAATTAAAAATTCATTGAACTGAGTAAGAAAGGAATCCCTCCTCCTGATTGTTTGGAATAGTTTCAGTAAGATTGGTAGTAGCTCTTTGTACAACTGGTAGAATTTGGCTGTGAATCTGTCTAGTCCTGGGCTTTTTTGGTTAATATTTTGTTAAGAATTTTTGCAGCCGGGTGTGGTGGCTCATGCCTGTAATCCCAGTACTTTGGGAGGCTGAGACGGGAGGATCACAAAGTCAAGAGATGGAGACTATCCTGGCTAACACGGTGAAACCCTGTCTCTACTAAAAATACAAAAAAAATTAGCCGGGTGCAGTGGCAGGCGCCTGTAGTCCCAGCTACTCAGGAGGCTGAGGCAGGAGAATGGCGTGGACCCAGGAGGCAGAGCTTGCAGTGATTGGAGATGGCACTACTGCACTCCAGCCTGGGCAACAGAGCGAGACTCTGTCTCAAAAAAAAAAAAAAAAAAAAAAAAAAAAAAGATTTTTTGCATATATAAGTGATATTGGTTTGTAGTTTTATTTTTTTATATTGTCTGATTTTGATATCAGGGTAATATTGGCCTCATAAAATGAGTTGTGAAGTTTTCCTTCCTCTTCTGTTTTCTGGAAGAGATTGTATAGAATTGGTGTGAATACTTCTGTTAGCAATTGGTTCTTCAGTGAAAGCATTTGGGCTTGGAGATTCTTTTTCAAATTCAATTATAAATTCTTTAATTCAACCTAATTCTTCTATTTCCTTAACATATTTATAGGCTTATTCAAATTATCTATGCCATGCAGCATGAGTTATGGGAGTTTGTGTTTTTTAAGAAAAGAGTTTGTTTTATCTAAATTGCCAAATTACATATGTAGAGTTGTTTGTAGTATTTCCTTATTATCTTTTTGATATTTATGGAGTCTGTAGTTTCATCCCCTATTTCATTTATACTATTGGTAATTTGTATTAAAATATATCATCTTCATCTGTTTTTACTAAATAGATAGTCCATTTTATTATGTTTTCAAGGAATCAGCTTTTTGTTTTATTGATTTTCCTCTACTGTTTTTCCACTTTCATTAATGTCTGCTCTTTATTCTTTTCTTCTGCTCGATCTGTGTTTATTATGCTTTTGTTCTGGTTCGTCAGGTAGGAGCTTACTGATTTAAGACTTTTCTTGCCTAATGTAGGCATTTAGTGGTATAAATTTCCCTTTCGGCACTGTTTTAGATGCATACTACAAATTTTGATAGGGTATATTTTCATTTTTATTCAGTTCAACATATTTTTTTTTAATTTTAGATTCTGGGGGTACTTGTGCAGGTTCGTTACACTGGCATATTGCATGATGCTGAGGTTTGGGCTTCTAGTGAACCCGTCACCCAAATAGTGAACATGGTACCCAATAAGAAGTTTTTCAAACCTTGCCCCCTGTATTAGTCCGTTTTCACGCTGCTGATAAAGACATACCGTAGACTGGGTAATCTACAAAGAAAAAGAGGTTTAATGGACTCACAACTCCACATGGCTGGGGAGGCCTCACAATCATGGCAGAAGGCTAAAGGCACGTCTTACATGGCAGCAGGCAAGACAGAATGAGAGCCAAGCAAAAGGTGAAACTCCTTATAAAACCATCAGTTCTTGTGAGACTTATTCACTACCCATGGGAACAGTATGGGGGAAAGTGCCCCATGATTCAATTATCTCCCACCAGGTCCCTCCCACAACACGTGGGAATTATGGGAGCTACAATTCAAGATGAGATTATAGTGGGGACACAGCCAAACCATATCACCCCTCACCCTTTTGCAGTCCCAGTGTCTATTGTTGCCATCTTTATGTCCATGTGTACCCATTGTTTAGCTCCCACTTATAAGTGAGAAGATGTGATATTTGATTTTGTTTCTGAGTTATTTCACTTAGGATAATGGCCTCCAGCTACATCCATGTAGTTACAAAGGACAGGTTTTCATTCTTTTTATGGCTGCGTAGTAGTCCATATTTTTACTCTTTCCATTTTTCTTTCTTCCTTCATGATCTTTCAGGTTTCCTTCTTTTATCATTTCCATTCTGTTTCAATAATTTCCTTCAACTCTTCTTTTAGGATAGGTTTGTTGGCAACAAATTATTTTTGTTTTCTTTCATCTGAGAATGTCTTGATTTCTCCTTCATACCTGAAGGACATTTCCACTGAATATAGATAGAATTGTAAGTTGACAGTTCTTTCCTTTGAGTACTTCAAAATATACCACTTCCATGGTTGTTGATGAGAAGTCCACTAGCATTTGTTTTTTCCTCTATAATTAAGATATAATTTCCCTCTCATTGCTTTAAGATTTTGTGTTGTTTTTGGTTTTCAGTAGTGTGATTATTATGTGTCTTGTGAATTTCTTTGGCTTTAACCTGTTTAGGATTCACTCAGCTTCTTGGATTTGTAGGTTTTTGGCTTTTGCCAAATTTAGAGATTTCGGGTCATTTTTAAAAAAAATATTTTTCAGTCTCACACTCTTTTTGTACTCCTCTAGACTCCAATGACACAAACATTAGATCTTTTCACATAGTCCTACACATCCCTGGGACTCATATTGTTTTTCAGTCTATTTTCTCTCTGTTGGTCAGATTGGGTAATTTCAATTCTTCTGTCTTAAGGTTCATTAAGTTTTTTTCCTCTGTCCTCTCTATTTCACTCTTGTGCCCATCCAATGAGTTTTAAAATTTCAGTGATTGTACTGTTTAGTCATAACATTTCCTTTTGGTTCTTCTTTATGTCTTCTGTTCTTTGCTATGGCTTTCTCTTTCTTTGCTGAAATTATCTATCTCTTCATTTGTTTCAGTCATGTTCCTAATTGCTTGTTGAAGCATTTTTATGATTGCTACTTTAAAATCCTTACCCAATAATTCCAACATCTGTGTCATTTTGGTGTGGGCATATATTGATGGTCTTTTCTTATCCAAGTTGACATTTTCCTAATTCTTGATATGGTGAGTGGTTTAATTATATCTTAGACAGTTTGGATAGTGTGTTAATGAGACTTCAGATCTTATTTCAATCTGTTGTCTCAGTAGGACGTTTCTGACACCATACCAGTGGGGCAGAAAGGCACTGACTCATGACCGGCAGATAGAGAGAGAAGCCCAAGTTCTCCACTTGGCCTCTGTTGACACCCAGGGTGGGAAAGAGGGCAGTGATGCCTCATTAACGCTTTGGGGTAGAAGTTTAGGGTCCCCACTAGGCCTCAACTGAACCACCCTCACTGGGAGGGGGAGAGGCACCTTGTCACAGCTCTTCACATGGCCTCCACTGACACTGCAGGGATGTGGGTTGATGGTGAAAGTCCTGGCTCTTCATGAGACCTTTTCTAATACTCTCCAGTGGGAAGGAGAAGAGGTTCCTCATTATTACCAGGTGAGGAATAGGTCCAGGGCCCCCAAGTGGCTTTCAATGACATTGTGGGAGGGCATTCTCATTAATATTGGGCAGTGGTTAAAGTCCTGGCTGTCCACAACACCTTCTCTGATACTGTCCCAGCAGAGAGAAGGAGGAGAACCTTGTTACAGCCAGAAGAGGTTGAGAGCCTTTGCTGACAGGGTAGGGAGCATAGTTTAATCCATGGTGTTTGGCTGGAATGGTGCAGCTATTGTCTAAAAGTTTTCTATCTTTTGAGACTGTCCCTTTCCTAGTCCTTTGGCTGGAGAGAGTGGGCTTTCGCTGGGGCTTTTGTTGATGTATCCATTAATAACTTTGAATTTTAGTTTCTCTAGCACCCAGTTTAGGATATATGAGGAAAACCAAACTCAGAGGATTCACCACCATGTTGTTACTCAGGCTCTGAGATCCATAGCCCATCTGCCTTCTTTTCACCTCTCAGAGGTTGAGCTATAATGTTCAGGGTTTTAGCTGTATTCGGTGAGAAAAACCAGGAAATGTGCAGCTCCTCCATGCTGTCTTAAATCAGAAGTATTATTTTTATATTTTCTATTGTCCCTAAAATATTTCATAATTTTTTTTAAAGATTAGACGATACTTGTGAAAGTTAAACTATTCTTGAAGATTCTTGGAATACAGAGACATATCCTCTTCCTCCCCACTTCTCCAGAAAAGACTCCTCTGATTTCCTTGCCCAACGTGGTCATCTCCTTCATGGTCCCCCCGCTCCACCCTCACCAACCCCAAGAAAGGAACTTTAATCAGCTCCTGTTTGAGAGCAGGACTGGGGGAGGACAAGAGCCAACAGCAAATTGTGTTACAACCAAATTTGTCACAGGGAAGAGGATTATTAAAAGGGGTTTTGATATTTTAAAAAGGAAAGTCATTAGAGGATTCTGATATTCAAAATATTTAACAATGAGTATAGTACTATGTGGAGGCTTCTCTTTTCACTAGTCATCATGCACAGAGTACTCAGAGAAAAGACCATTTTCCAGTACAAAGGAATGTATCTCAAAGTTTTAACAATCAGGATAGCCTACTGGGACATACTAGCGGAATACCAGCCTTGTCTATAACTGCTCAATGGAGGTTTTTCTTTTTAAGACAAGGAGTGAAACTACAAAGATGATGAAAGTTGTCTAAAAGTATATCTAATCACAAGCAGTCCCTAATCAGAGTCAAAGAAGGGTGAAATAAAAGAATCAACTGTTGCTCTTTATTCTTTCGTGTTGCTAAAGTAAGTCAAGAACCCCCCAAAATTACATTAATTCCTTTTGAGAGATGCAGTCGATATCATGTTGGCGACAAGTTAAATGGAACTCTGCAATCCTTTCATAATCAGAGCAAAATAAATCAATCCTCTAGAGCATACAGGAATGTTGTAAATGGACATATTGAAATTTTAAGAGCACAATCCCAGTTGGATATATCAGAAAGCCACTCTGCATATCACGGTGCAGAGATCTTGGGAGATTTTTCCATCTGATATTTCCGAGCAGGGAGCAGGTGGAAAAAATTATTTATAGCTATAGAAAAAAAAATGAAATGACATTTTTAAAAGCTAAGAATAACTCACATTAAAAAAACTCACATCTTTAAAAATCATTTAAGAAACAATTTTTTAATTAAAAAACTAAAAGACACCAGCCAAAGAATCACAAGAGAAACTGGCTGATAGAATTAAGGCAGGTAGAACATTCTTCCGTGGGTAATGGGTTGAGTGAGAAACAGCTGGACCCATGGCCAGGTAAGGCAAGGAATTCGACATCAGCAGAGCAGGTTTTCCATGTTAGGATCAGACATCAAGTGCTAGTCTACCTGCGGCCCTGAGGGATTGGAGGGAGGGTGGGTTTGACGTTGGAACCTGGGCGACTGATGACTGGGACCGAGTGTTGTCTGTGTTGGTGAGACTCTTTTTCATGTGAAAATGATTGTATAGGTAGTGCTGTAAAACATTCAGAAAAAAAGATAGTTAATCCCTTGGTTTCTTGGTACAAAGAGAATAAGTGTTGCATGATATAAGCACCAGAACAATTTCTAGAATTCGTTCATGACAAACTATAAGAAATAAATGAGGCCAGGTGCAGTGGCTTACACCTATAATTGCAGTACTTTGGGAGGCCAAGTGAGTGGATCACTTGAGGCCAAAAAAAAAAAAAAAAAAAAGAAAGAAATGACATTCAAGGAAGAATAATAGTGGATGAGGTCAGAATATAGCATGTACATGGTTGAACAAGCCTTAGGTTGTATAGAGTTGCCCAATGACCAGAGGATGCTACAGCAAGCACTCACTAGCGATTCTTCCACCTGTCATGCCTTCTGTAACAATGCTCCACACAGTACTCTTTCACAATCATACACATGCACACAGACACACACACACACAGTGAAGTGAAGTTCTTCCTATAGAAGCTTCATTTAATGCCCTCTAAAGATTGGTCTGCTCACCAAGCAGGAAGACATCTGGATGTCAGTTTCTCCAGGGACTTTGGGAAGCAGGAGGAGTTTAGAAGATAGAGAGGAAAGGTAGAGGCATGGTGGCCATAGCAGAAGCAGAATTCTCACTGGTAAGAAAGCAGAGTAGCAGGGATTGAGAAAGTAAAGCAGAGGATTCTATAGAGAGTGAGAGAAACAGAAATGATGGATAAGATTATGAAGACTGGATCTATTGGCCAAATCAAACCAATGAAAAGTCAAAGGGAACATTGACCGTTTTAGGACATATTCAAAGAAAAAAATAAGACATTGTTTGAGAGGATATTGTTATCAGCAAAAGAAAAGAAAAAAAACTCCTCCTTTTTTTTTTTTTTTTTTTTTTTGAGACCAGGTCTCGCTCTGTCACCTAGGCTGGAGTGCAGTGGTGTGATCTCAGCTCACTGCAACCTCCACCTCCCGGGTTCAAATGATTCTCATGCCTCAGCCTCCCAAGTAGCTGGGATTACAGGCATATGCCACCACCACATCTGCGTAATTTTTGTATTTTTGGTAGAGGTGGGGTTTCACCATGTTGGCCAGGCTAACGTTGAATTCCTGACCTCAGATGATCCTCCCGCCTTGGCCTCCCAAAGTGCTGGGATTACAGGCATGAGCCACTGAGTCTGGCCCTTCCTTGTTTGCTGGTTTTTGTTTTTCTCCATGGGGATATCTTTTAAACAGGAAAGAGCAAAGCAAACATGTTGAAAAGAAAGCAGACGGTAGAGGAGTAGGCCTCCTTTTTCAATCCGTTCAAGTCCCACAACCAGCTAAATTACATCTCAGGGTGCCGGAATTGCTTATGGAAGCAGTTTTGGAGTATCCACCCTTAGATAATTCATCCACAGTGAGAACAGCATTGGAGACAAATAATATTGCCATTTAAAAAAATAGGAATAAAGGTTTACAAACCAGTATATTTGACTTTATTTTTATTTATTTTTGAGACAGAGTCTCGCTTTGGCACCCAGCCTGGAGTGCAGTGGCACAATCTTGGCTCACTGCAACCACCGCCTACCGGGTTCAAGTGATTCTCCTGCCTCAGCCTCCTGAGTAGCTGGGATTACAGGCGCACACCAACACACTCAGCTACTTTTTGGATTTTTAGTAGAGACAGGGTTTCGCCATGTTGGCCAGACTGGTCTCGAATGCCTGACCTCAAGTGATCTGCCCACCTCAGCCTCCCAAAGTGCTGGGATTACAGACATGAGCCAATGCACCCAACCACATTTGACTTTAAATCTTAGCAAATTTCAGTTTATTAAAGAAATGGTTGTGTATTTATAAAATACTATAGTGAATGATGAGTGTTGAAGGGGTTTGCAAATAAAATTTACTTGAAAGTAACTTAATTTCCCTTTTATTTAGGCAGGGGTCAAGTAAACTATGGCACATAGGCCAAATCGGGCCTGCAGCCAGATTTATAAATTTTATTTAATTTGTAAATAAAATTTTATTGGAACCCATCCTGTACCCATTCATTTGCACATTGTTTATAGCTGTTCTCACGCTACAATGGTAGGGTTGAGAAGTTGCACAAGAGCCCACATGGCCCACAAAGCCAAAAGCATTTACTATATGGTCCTTTAGAGAAAGGTTGCTGACCTGTAAGTTAGAAAATACCACTGATACAATGTATCTTGATTTCTACAGGGCACTTATCAAAGTTTCTCATGGGGTTCCACTACAGAGATTTGACTAGTAATCACATAGTAGTGGACTTTCCCTGAAATTAAGTCTGCAGAGACTTGAGACTTGCCATGTGACACTGCACTTGGCTGAGTCCTGAGTCCTGTTGTTGACAGTGACTATGACATAGGCAGAGGTCACATGCTTGTTGGTTTTATAGATTTCAAAAATCTATAGAGAATATGGGAGATTAATAGGGAATATGGGAGAATAGAGAATATGGGAGATTAATCAGATACGAAATGATCTAATTTGATACAAATTGAGCTGGAATGTAGGGCCAAACCAAAATGATAAAAAGATGAAAACAAAAGTTACATTTATGTAAAAAAAAAAATCAACTTCACATATATGGGATGATGGAGACCTAGTTTGACAGTTCATGTAAAAAAAGACATGAGAGTTTGACCCAGAGCCAGCAGTATGATATAGTTGCTAAGAAAACCACTACAGTATATCAGCAAAATGGCAGACTCAGAACTTCCAGACCCTTATTGTCCCGTGGAAACATTAAATAAACAACTACAGACTGGCTGAAATAACTTTATAGGAACTCTGGAACCAGTCAAATATCTACTGCAACCAAACAAATGCCCAGTCCAGGAAAAGCCACACTCAAATGGTGGGAAATCTCATGGTGCTTTCACCTGCCCTTGCCCCGCCTCACCCCAGCACGTTGCAGTGATTTGGGGCAAGTGCAGTCAGGTCCCCAGTCCCCTTCTATAAACCAGAGAGAGTAGGGCAGATCTAATTTGCAATGTTCTAACCCATTTGGCAGCTGCCTGATTGGTCTCTGTGTCATCTAACTCAGAGTTCAAATGGCCCAAACAGGCATAGCTGGGATCTCAAACGAGGAGAAGCCACAGGAGCAGTGGGCATGGCTCATGAAAACCACACAGGGGCTACTAATTGAGGGATACGATAGAACAGCTAAAGCCCCAACAAGCAGCAGGGGTGAGACTCCTAGGAAAATTAAAACATTTAAAAGCAACTGTGTCTACTGGGGAACTGGGAAAAAAGCACACACACAAGCCCAGGGAAAATGCATACCCAGGAAAGGCCTGAAAAGATGTGAAGCCTGCATGCAAGCCTGATCCTAGGCTTAGAACACACGCCACTAATTAGTCCTCTGCAGCGCTGAGCTAGTCTGCAGCTTTGGAGAGGTAGCTGTTTTTTCAAATGCCCAATTTTCAACAAAAGAGCAAAGGCATACAAACAAACAGAAAAGTGTGGCCCATTCAAAGGAACAAAATGAATCTACAGAAAGCATCCATAAAATACACCAACACAATCTTCTGCTATGTGTATACAAATTTACAAGCACAATATCTAGCAGGTATCTAGCAATTTACTTCTTACTTGTACCATAAACTCATCTTATCTGGCTCAATATTATATATTATATTATAATATGCATATATATGTTACAATCATATATAGTTATATGTGATAATACCATATTATTATACGACAGATATTATGTTATTATTCCCAAGGCTCAAATGTTAACTGATTTGCCCAATATTGTGCAGCCAGCCAGTAGAGAAATGGAATTAGAACACAGGTCTTCTGATTCCTAATCTAATGTCTTTCTACTGTACCACACCACTGATAACAGCCCCACTTTGCTCTGGCCAGATGGGTTAGAATAAGGTATTTGACCCTAAGCATCCCATTTAAGGAAGGATACAGGCAGGGGGAGGAAATGAGATGGGGACGGTCCATGAACACTGTCCTATGAGAAGCTAGAACTATGATGAGCCTTGGTGCTATGTTTGGTCTAGAACTCCCGGTTCCCTCGGGCCCTGGAGTGGCAGGTCCCAGCCTTTACAGAATTCCTAGAACATTTCCCACTTCCTGCGAGCTGACATGAAGGCCAAGAGAATTTGGAATTACTTCCTGGAGCTTTGGTGTTAGAACTCTCATCCTTATTGCTTGTGTCCTGCATGAGTCAAATCCTTGAAAATCTCTTATTCCAGCCAGCTATCCTGAATACCACTGCAGTGAAGGGGAGTCCACCCTCACATTGCTTAGAAGATGCCTGCTTCAGTAATCCCTTCCTTTTGGAGACAGTATCTATTGTGTCTTCTCATGCCAGGCAAATTAAGAGGTCTGTATTATCTTGCTAGTTCCTCCGGTCACCTGAGCAAGCAGGGTTCAGGCAAAACATCCCCTCAAGACTACAAATGGTGGCTCTGTCCTAGCCTCCATGCATTAGAGAGTTCTCCCCATTCACTTCATTCCTCTATCAGCTACTCACAGCGCCCCACCTTTCCTATTGACACCCAGATTATTCTCTCCCATTCCCATTTTCACCTCCAGTCCTTTGTTTTCCCCACCCTGTTCAAGGTCTTTACTCAGTGTTATTTGTGAACACTGCCGCGGAGCCCAGAGAGAAAAGTGCAATGGCCATTCTGCCTCTTTCTGGACATGCATGTTCACATGTGTGTTTGGGATCTAGGGGCAAAAAGGAGGTGAAGCGGGGCTGGGCCAGATCCTTCAAGCCTAAAGCCATCAGAATTCTGCCGAACCGCCACAGTGAAGACTGGACTGCAACTCAAAGCCTCCATGCTTTCCTTCACCTTCATTGAATGGAGTCTACCTCACCAAAGCCTCTTCCAAAGAGCATGTGGTCGTTGTCCCAGACCGCTGCAGATAATGTGGCCGGGTGGACAGTGCAGCAGCTTCTACTCAAAGTAGCTAAGTGACCGTGGGTGGATTCCCCACCTTTCTCAACTTTGTTTTTCACCTATAACAATGGGCAACAAAATAACACGCTACCTTAGAGGGAGATTCTGACTCAATACTCTCATTTAATTTTCAAAAATCAGGATCAATAAAAAGACAGTAGGAAACATATATAAACAAATATAAATATATATAACTTATATTTATAGTACCATATGTAAAACAACGCATACCTTTTTTTTTTTGAGACGGAGTTTTGCTCTTGTTACCCAGGAGTGCAGTAGTGTGATCTCGGCTCCCTGCAACCTCCGCCTCCTGGGTTCAAGCAATTCTCTTGCCTCAGCCTCCCGAGTAGCTGGGACTACAGGTGCCCACCACCACACCTGGCCAATTTTTTGTATTTTTAGTAGAGATGGGGTTTCACAATTTTGGCCAGGCTGGTCTCGAACTCCTGACGTCAGGAGATCCATTCGCCTCGGCCTCCCAAAGTGCTGGGATTACAGGCATGAGCCACCGCGCTTGGCCTAACTCATACCTTTCCGGGTCTCTTCGGTCTCACTGTCACTGGCTCCTGATCCTAGGTGTGAAGAAATGCTCCCCTCCGGAGGCTGGAAAGGCAATTCTTTTGACCACGGACAGAACCGAAACAATGAACATTTCATGGAAACCAAGGAATCCTTCCCACTGAAAAAATGAAAAACCAAAGATCTTTTTGAGATCCAAACTATTCGCTACTAATGGCCACACGATCTATGCCTATGACTTCACTGGGTTACCTTTATCAAGTTCACAGTAGTTAGTGGACATGTCTTGTGTTGAGCTAGTGTTCAACAGTGTCTATAGAAGGTGCTATATAGAAGCTGACATCTCTTAAAGTATAATAGGTACTGTACACATTAGCATAAATGTCTCATCCATTATACAAGACATGGCTGAGTATTTACTAAGAGCAAGACATCATGATAAGTGTTGGAGTATAAAACAAGATAAGGCGCAGATCCTAATCTCCAGGATTTTAGAATCAGTGCTATTTCAAGGATAGAGAAACAAAACCATGGTAGGTGGCCTGATCTGGACCTCACACTGGGCATAGGTTTTGGGGACTGTGATTTTGCTTCCTTTTTTTTTTTGTTTTTGGAGACAGAGTCTTATTCTGTCACCCAGACTGGAGGGCAGTGACACGATCTGGGCTCACTGCAACCTCCACCTCCTGGGTTCAAGTGATTCCCCCGCTTCAGCCTCCCTAGTAGCTGGGACCACAGGCATGCACCATTGCCTGGCTAATTTTTGTATTTTTAGTAGAGATGGGGTTATGCCATGTTGGCCAGGCTGGTCTCGAACTCCTGACCTCAGGTGATCAGCCGGCCTCGGCCTCCGAAAGTACTGGGATTACAAGTGTAAGCCACCATGCCCCACACTCATTTCCATTTTTAGGATAATGTTCAGGTATGATTGGGCATCTGAAATCCCTGCCTCTGAGCCCAAACACTTCCTACCGCCAGGTTCCTCTCCTTTGGGATTCACCTGTTTCTTCACTGCCTTCCAGGGAGGCAGCTCTACCAGGGGAGCTCATCCTGCAAAGCCCTGGCAAGCAGCTGAACCTTGTTTACAGGCACTTCTACCACTGTGCCTCATCCCCACCATATTTGCTGTCATTGGAGAATCTGAAATTGATCACACGAAAATGGCTGATATTTAAGCCATTACGTTTTGGATAAATCTTGCCTTTTAATGAGGGCCAACGTCTTAAAAGAATGCAGCTCTCATGGCAGATTTCAGGCCTAAGCAAGAAGGCAGGAGAAATTTACTGAGTGAAATTTCCTCACTAAACATGGAAGTCATGCCATGAGTAGTCCCTGACTCAGCAAGGGGGACAGCTTTGATTCCACCTGACAGAAAGGTGGACACGATCCTCTCCCCTCTCCCTGACCAGTGCAGTCCCCATCTCCCACCTTGGGACCCCAAAGATTGTTTACACTCTTAACCCTTTTCTGTCACTCATTTATCAAGTCATTCTCAATTCTAACACTGAGGAGGTTCAGGAGATATAGCAGTGAACACAAGATCTGGACCTGCCCTGTTCGGCTTACAGACTGGGAGGTGTATCTAATCACACACGTGCTTTACAAAAACTGAGATATGAAGGAAAACACAAATGCTATAAGATGATATATTAGGCATACCAGGACAGCTCTCCTTGAGGAAGTGCCATTTTAGTTAAGACATGAGGGATGAATTAGCTAGAAAAGGGGGAAGGTGGGGTGGAGGTTGAAACTGGAGGGGAGGAAGGAGAATGCTCTCAGCAGAGGGACCGTTGTGACATCTGAAGGGCCTCACTGGGAGACAGGCTTCTCTTCTCCAACTTAATGGTTCTGGAATGCTTCTCAGTCAAAGTAAACTTCAGGAATGATAGAAAGATGCTGGCTTGGAAAACTAACCGGAAAAAGACAAGGAGTGGACTTTTTTTTTTTTTTTTTTTTTGAGACAGAGTTTCGCTCTTGTTGCCCAGGATGGAGTGCAATGGCGCCATCTCAGCTCACTGCAACCTCCGCCTGCCCGGTTCAAGTCATTCTCCTGCCTCAGCCTCCCGAGTAGCTGGGATTACAGGCACCCACCACCATGCCCAGCTAATTTTTTGTATTTTTAGTAGAGACGGGGTTTCTCCATGTTGGCCGGGCTGGTCTCGAACTCCTGACCTCAGGTGATTCGCCCACCTGGGCCTCCCAAAGTGCTGGGATTACAGGCATGTGCCACCACACCTGGCCAGGAGTAGACTTTTTAAGGGAAGGTTCGGGGGTGGGAATAGGATAATTCAACTACTGAAAAGGCAGGAGCAGGGAAGCATGAGGCCTGGAGTTTTATACCACTATGGCTTGGGAAGAGGGCGCCATAACCCAAGTGATGTGTGTCTCTTTTGACACAGGCGACAGGGGGCTTGTTTTGGCCCATGTTTCTGGATCTCACCAGCCAATGACTCCAGGACCAGATGGTGGCTGATTGAAGTATTTATAGACCGTGCTCTTGACCTCCCCAGCTGTCTCATCACTGGATGCCCTCAGATATTGGTAGGACCTCGGCAAGGAATCATGCTGAGACCAAGCAAAAAGATCCCCTCATCCCCCATGCACACACGGAAAGATTTCTAGTTAACAGCAAGTGTCAAAAAAGAAAATAAAACAGGTATAAATGTAGGCGAACCCCTCAGACATAGAGTTGAAATGCAAATATAGGACCTTCCCATTTTTAAAAGTTTAATAATTTTTCTTTAGAAAGCCACAGAGAATGTGAATTATGTCGGAGATGCTGGCATATCTTGGGGAGCTTTAGCAAATAAGAGGTAGTTTGGGAAGAAAAAAGAAACCTCTGGTAGAAAATAATGAAAGTCAGACAAAAAATATGTCTGAACTAATTGTCTTTCATTCATCACAGACGTGCCTGTGTCATTGGTGTTTCTCTATACATGTCTTCTTCCTTCAGTTAAATTCTAAGTCTTGTAGACTGTAGCCAAGTGGCTTAGCACAAAGATTCGAGCCTTTTGGCTTTGGTTCAGACCTCAGCTCTGAGACTTGATAGCTTCAAGTCCTTTTACCGACTAATTAACTTGCCTCAGTTGTCACATTTTTAAAATGAGGAAAATGACAGCATTTTTTTCTCGCCGGGTAGTAGTTATAAATTTGTGTGTGTGTGTGTGTGTGTGTGTGTGTGTGTGTGTGTGTGTTGAGATAACATATGTCACATTCCCAGAACGGAAACTGGCATGTGGTTGAGTGTTACACAAGATCCACTAGCTTTGTAACTCTGCTTCTCATATCCCATACACATTCATACTTCAGTTCAATTGTTTTGGATTGACTTATCTTTATCCACTGAATTAATTTCCTAAAAATAAAGTTCACTAATTGCTTCTCATTATAAAAGTAAATCATACGCATTATAGACAATTTAGAAAATACAGAAAACTAGAAGGAAAAAGGAAAATCACACATAGAAAGCCACTCTTACAGTTTGGCTCTTTTTGTTTTGTGTAATTGTGCACATTTTCAGTGAACAATTTTAAGTTATCAACAGTTTTCTGAACCCTGATCTTTAATTGCTGCATAATAGTCCATCAAGTATATGCTTCATGCTTTATTTGACCATTCTGTTATTTTTTGACATTCAGGTTATTTCCAAGTTTTTCTGTCATAATGAATATCTTTGCATATGATGATTTTCCACATGTTAATTTATTAGTATCTGCTAGGGTCTGAATGTTTGCATCCCCACAAATTCCTATGTTGAAATTCTCATCCCCAAGGTAATGACATTAGGAGGCGGGGTCTTCAGGAGGTGCTTAGGTTATGAGGGTGAGGCCCTCATGGTGGGATTAGTGCCCTTATTTAAGACTCCAGAGAGCTCCCTCACCCCTTCCATTGTGTAGAGGACACATCTACACAATGCCACAAGATGGCATCTGGAAACCAGGAAGTGGGCCCTGACCAGGCACTTGATCTTAAACTCCCAGCCTCCGGAACTGGGAGAAATAAATGTGTGTTGTCTATCAGCTACGCAGTCTATGGTATTTTATTATAGCAGCCTGAATGGTCTAAGACAGTATCAATTCCCAGAAGCAGGATAACTAGGTCAATAGTAAATATATTATTTAGGATTTTGCTATAAACTTCCTAATTGCTCCCCAAAAGATTGTGAAATTTTATCTTCCAACAAAATCTGGGCTCTCCAGCAGTATCTTTCTGTTTGCACCATTTAAAAAATAATTTTAAAAAATCAGTTTTGCTAATTCAACAAGCAAAAAGTGGCATATTATTTAAAATTGCTGTCTAATCACAAGCAAGATTAAACATTATTTTTTATATTTATTCATTAGCTCCTCCCCACACTCCTTTTGTGAATTGTGTATGTCTTTTGCTCATTTATCTGTTGAGGACCATACCGTTTTTCTTACCAATTTGTCTGAACTCTTCACGTATTGAATATTAACCCTTTTGTTGTATTGTGTAAAGCTTGCTGTTTTTCTTTTAAATTTGATTTGGACCTAGACAAACTTTTTCTCAACTCTCCAAAAATTTATCATTAACATTTTAATCAACGTGCTGTCTCTATATAGTTAAAATTAAGTCAAATTATACAGAGAGGCTTTGTCTGTCACCCAGACTGGAGTGTAGTGGCACCATCCTGGCTCACTGCAACCTCTGCCTCCCGGGTTTCACTGATTCTCCTGCCTCAGCCTCCTCAGTAACTGGGACTACAGGTGTGCACCACCACATCTGGCTAATTTTTGTATTTTTAGTAGAGATGGGTTTTTGCCATGTTGGCCAGGCTGGTCTTGAACTCCTGACCTCAAGTGATCTACCCTCCTGGGCCTCCCAAAGTGCTGGGATTATAGGCATGAGCCACGCCGCCCAGGCCTGACATCAATTTTAAACATATCTTTTAATAGATAGGATTTCTGCTATGATACGGAAGAACTTAACTCACTTTATAACACTCCCCCTACATAGTTCTATCACTATTCTCAGTTCTTCCATCTGTCAGATCTGCATCTTCATATATCATATTTTAAAACTACATTTCTTCTTTCATTAACAACAGCTAATAAAATTGACCCTCCACCTCTACCTCCTCAACTTTGTCATTACGGGTCTGCTTTTCACTGTCAAAGTTGATTATATTAAGCTTTGTATTCATAGTTCTGTCTTTTCATGATTTGGCCAAAGGTTGATTAAAACGTCAAAAATTCATAGGTAATTTTCCGCTGCAGAACCTAGTAGGTGGCTGTGATGATACTTTCTTTTCTGTAGTTCCAATGTTATGATCCCTATCCCAGCAAAGAAGTACATTTCTAGGATCAAGTTCAAGTTGAACTCCACTTGTTCACACTCCACATTTAACTTAGATTCGTACCTGGCAATAGGAAAGGCTGATGCAATTGGGTCTATACAAGGTAAAGCCTGCCATTTAAATGAAGGCATCTATGTTTACTAGGATGATATTGACTGTGGCAGAGATTAAAAGGGTAGGAGCCAGTCTTAATGAGATATCCCCAGGAGTTCAGGGCTCTAGTATTGAAAAACATAGTGCAATTAGCTATCATCTGGGCCTGTCCTTGACCCAGGAGGTAAGGGAATGGGGTGATATAGGCATACTGAGGGTGACACAGCTAATGTGCAGCACTCACATTGTCTGTATTATGTTTGAATGGCAAGCAGAGGCCACAGCACTGGTGCACTTGGGAATCCAAACCCAGCTCTCCTGGAAAGCCCATGTGCTGCTGGGCATAGGCACCTGCCTACTACTTGGACCTCAGATGTCTGTCAACTACAGCTAGGGCTACATGGCACCAACATTCCCAGATAGAGGTATTCTGGGATGGGGCACTCTCTCTGCACCCTAAGGATTCTGCTTAGAAGTGTCAGTTACTTGTTATCAAGTGGCAGAGAAGTCTAATTGCTTGCTCCAAGGAGGAGGTCCATCTTACCATCTTGGGCTGAGTTCTTGGGACTGTCTTCTTTTTGTTGGACGACAGCTTTTGGAATTCTATGCCAGAATGTTAGGTCCCTTTAATTTAATTTAATTTAATTTAATTTAATTTAATTTAATTATCTATTTGAGACAGGGTCTGTCACTCAGGCTGGAATGCAATGGTGCAATCATGGCTCACTGCAGCTTTAACCTCTTGTGTTCAAGCCATCCTCCCACCTCAGCCTCCTGAGTAGCTGAGACGACAGGCACACACCACCATTCCCAGCTACTTTTTTTTTTTTGGTATAAACAGAGTCTCACTATGTTGCCGAGGCTGGTCTTGAACTCCTGGGCTCAAATGATCCAATCCTTCTACCTTGCCTTCCCAAAGTACTGGAATTAGAGGTGTGAGCCACTGCACCAGGCCTAGGCTCCCTTTATACAGAGCAAAGTCTCCTAGGAGACCTTGTTTCCCAATCTCTTGCTCCCACCTAGGTTTACTGAGCTTGCCCAAGAAGCACTTGCTAGAGAAGAGTAAACTGAGACCAATATTGCCAACATCTGGCTCTTCCAGTCACCAGACAAATCTCTCCTCTACTTCCTGCATTGGGAAAGTGTCATTATTAACCTATGCATGGGATCTTCTCTTTAGATTTATACCTAGACTGAGTCTTTTGCCCTAAATATAGCAGTAGATGCATTTATGTTTTATGGGATAGAGCTTTTTATCAAATGATAGATGCATAAAGATGTTCTTCCATCTTTTAGCGAAAAATGCAATAACCCAAAGTGATAAAGATATAGTGCATACGATAGTAGCTTATATGTATAACATATAAATTAAATACATACATAGCATATAACTATGTAGCATGTTAAAGGGAACACAGAAAGAATGTGAAAAGAAAAATTTCACTGGATTTTTATACAGGTCGTATTAGTTTGCTCCGGCTGCCATAACAAGATACCATGAACTGAGTGGCTTAAACAATGGAAATTGATTGTCTCACAGTTATGGAGGCCTAAAGTCCAAAATCAAGGTGTCAGCAGGGCTGATTCCTTCCAGGGTCTGTGAGGGAGAATTGTTCCGGGCCTCTCTCATCACTTCCGGTGGTTTGCTGGCAAGCTTTGGTGCTCCTTGTCTTCTGCCCCATCACCCCAATCTGAGTCTTCATCACAAGGTATTCTCCCTATGTGTGTGCCTGTGTCCAAATTTCTCCTTTTTACAAGGACAGCCTTATTGGCTTAGGAGCCCACCCTACTCCAATATGACCTCATCTTAACAAATTACATCTGCAGTGACCCTATTTCCAAATAAGGTCACATTCTGAGATCCTGGGGGTCAGGACTCCAACATATGAAATTGGGGGAATGGGGGACAGCTCAAACCATAACACATATGTTTTGGGAAATAATATGTCTGCATATAAGACACACATCAAAAAAGGCATCACAGAGCAAGTTCTGTCTTTCAACAATTATTTTTCCTTTGTGTCAAAGTATTAAATGAATACTCATTGAAAGTCTGAAGAAAGAATGTGGTGGAGTTAAAAGACATATGCATGACCACGGGTGAAGTGTGAGACTTGAGCCACAGGCCTGACCCCTTTTACCATGGGAAGAGATGACGTGTAAACCTACTGCAGCCCATTAGGCCATTTTGTTTTCTCTTTTTTGCTGTATTCCCATCTGCCTACCTCACTGTACTAACAATTCAGAGCTCAAACAAATCCTCAGAGATCACAGTTTCAACACGGTTACAGAAAGCTAATTAACTAATTATAATGCTAGGGTCTCTAATCTCTAGTGAAACATGCAGACTGAGAGGGGACCATTTAGAGGGGACAGCTATTTTTCATCATCAAAATTATGGAAGGAAATCCCAAGTGTCAGAACAATAAAACTCAGAAATAAAGGAAAGCATTGCTCATTTTAAAAGTTTTCATTCTCATTATGATATATCACCATCATAAAATATCCCTTTGCTGTGACAGACTTCTAAAATAACTTTGTAAAGTTATGCTAATGCTTCAAAAATTATAAAAATGCTCATTGTTGAAAATACGGGGGGTGAACAAAAAAACAAAAACTGGCCATAATCTTATCACTAGAAGATAATAACATAATATTTTGGTGTAAATCCTTTTACTTTCTCATTTATTGAATATTTCATTAAATTCTTAGGGATTTTTAATAGTTTTTTAGGATACAGAAATAAAATATATATCCCTGTGCAAATAATTTAGGTGTTACAGGAAAAAAGGATAAAGAAGAAAAATAAAATAACTGGTAATTCTAGAGAAATAGCCACTGTTCACATTTTGGTGAGCTTTCTTCCGGTCACTTTGTATGTCCATTACATTGCCATGCGTTTGGATGCTCCACAGAGACTGCCATACCCACAGCCCCCTTCTGAAGAGTTTTCCACTTGGTTCGCTGTCACTGGTCTGACCACAGAATACTGGCTAAAGGATAGGTGCCTGACATAGGGACAGCCAATCTATAGACCAGCCAGCAACCTATGAGGGCCCTGGTTAGAGATCTCTACCCAAGAGAGGCACCCCGTAGTAGATGGCAATTGACCCAACCAGCCAGATCTTTGTGTAAATTTGTTTTCAAGACCTACAGCGAGATGGTCAGCTGCAGTGACAGGAGCAACTGAAGGAGAAACAAAATGTAGTAGAATGTTCTCAAAAGCACAGTGCTACAATCAGCAATGGAGGCTCTGTTGTGGTCTATATGGGACCCTCAGCGTAAACATTTTCAGCTTTTGAGCCACACTATGACATATTAAACACTGAGACCCTGAAATGGCCTTTTATGTATTGCACTTCCATTGGTAAACATTTTGAAATACAGCGTCATACTAATCAGAATGGTTGGTTGCAAATACAGACACTCTTTGGCCAAGGTGAATATTAAAAAGGGAATTAGTGGAAGGCTATGGGGTACTTTATGAAATTAATGGAAACTAGAGAACCTGGCCTTAAAATGAGGCGGGAACAAAGGTAAGCTAGGAACCAAGAACACAGCCGAATCACAGTACAGGAAGAGATTAGCAGAACATCATTGCCTGCCTTACCACAATGGATGTCTGTGCTCTTCCTCTGAAATCTCGGTTCTTCTGCTGCTGGTGACTTGAATAGCCTCTAACTGCCCCTGTGTCTTTCTATCACTCCCTCAAGATTCAAGGTCCCAGATAAAAGCTTCCAATGGTGAACCTAGGTTATATGCCTGGGCCCTCCATAGAGGGGCAGGGTCTACTCCCTTCAAATTCTACAGCGGGAGTTAGGGCCCTGCTTCCCAGTTTTAGGATTTCTCTGAAGCTTAGAGATGAGTACCATAATTTTAACTAACCAGCAGAAAATAGCCAATTCCATCCAACAAAACACCTCAACTCACCTCTTTTCAGGATATGGTCCAAATGGAGGTTTAAAATAGTCTTCACAAAGATCAAAACTTTTCCAGAGTTCTTCTAAAGTTGTATAATAGTGTAGACCACTGGTGAGAGGTGCTGGTACTGGACCCCTGGAATGGGAAATTTAAAAAAAAAAAAAAACCAAAGGATTTTGTAAAGATACCAAGTGTACACACATGTATACCTAAATATCCCAGATAAACGCAAATGCCAATGAGATCTATGTGAAATAATGTAATATATCCACTCAGAAACATGCACATCAGAGCTTGTCTAAGTCATTGGCATCATTACATTCTAATTTGAAGGTTAAGTAAATATTCATTGCTGTGAATATTCCATAGCCATTAAAGTACTAATATAGGCAAATTATCTTCCTGGAGATTCCCTAGTCCATTTGTTATGCAAGGGCTAGCAATATATCAACTGCTATAAAAGTTAAAAATAGGTGTTTTCCAACTTTATTTATAATCTAATGCTTTGAAATGGTATCCAAGTAAAATATTTCTAAAAATTCTACCATTATACGTTCAACTAAACTCTAGCATAAAATATCCTTTTTCATCTATTCATATGTGCTGTATGCAAGTCTGTTCCCTCAGACTGACTTGAAAGAAAAAGAATCATTAGCCATTTTTCGTGAATAAACCCTGCTGTTCTTCAGACTTGCTAGAGTTGCTATGTGCAAGGCAGCCCAGTTGCATATAAATGCAGGCAAATTCAAAGCATCTATCTGCCTTTGTGATGACCCATTTGGAACTCATATTTAAAACTGCATAGTTTCTCTGTCCAGAGTGTTCGAACAGGCCTGGCATTCTGCTGGGCAGTGGTCACCTAGGCCCAGCTTCAGCTGCTCTGGGGGACAGTGTCTCACTCCTGGCCACCATCCTCCCAACCTCCCATACAAATTTGCATATATCACACAGCCTGTCTTTTGAATCTGACTATCCAAAGATAGCCTACCAACATGAAGAAAATTAATCACTCTGTTTTGACATGGCAGCAAACAAGTGAACAAAAATGTAATTTTATTTATATTGATTAAAGATTCTCAATAGATAACTTAAAATTACAAACAATAAAAAGAACCGAAACAATCATGCAAGGGAAAGGATAGACGATAGTTAAAGGTGGTGAAGCCACAACTCCAGATTAATCACCCGTCTTCTTCTTGCAAAGAAATATTCTTTGCAATCTTCAAAAAATCATCAGTTTCTAGTAGCTATGAGCATATTGTGCCTTTTAAAAATGTATACAAATGAAAAGGAAATACAACTTCTAGAACTGCTTTTACTGCTGAAACACTGGGTCCATTTTAGGACAGAGGTCTCTGTTTATGTTCACGATTTAGGATTCATTTGATCTATTTGAACACTAGGAAATCAATCTAAAGTTGCTCATGTGATAAATTGCTACCTTTGAAATAGGAGTGTGTGATCAGGGCGTATCCTTCCCATTAGAGCTTGCCGGGCTGCCTCGTGCTGTCTGTGTATAGAATCTCTTTCCTAGGTAAGAAATGTCATTAGAAAATTGCATTGATGTTAAAAATGTCAGATGATTAAAACATCTATAATAATTCTCTTTGGTACTAGAGATTGACAAATATGTGGGAAGAAAAAGGGGGAAAAGGCATAAAAAACAATTGATATTCACTCAGGAAAAAGAAAAGAACCAACTTTATAAATAAAGCCAAAGTATATTTATAAAGACTGTAATATAATATATAAACTCTATTTGACATCTAAATAATAATATGGCAATTTTTATTTACATTTTATGTGTGCATTTTTATCTTTCTAATGAGATTATAAACTTCTCAAAGGTACAGACTATTATGGTCTTTTTAGTCTTCCCAGATCTCAGCACATATAGTAGCTAACTGATTGAATTAACACAGCCACCAAAATTTAATTATGATCCGGAAATAGGAAAAATTTATGGGGGCGGTCTTTCTCTCATTATTTCACAAATATCACTATCATTCTTTAGTAAGCATTTAATGGGGATACAGATACATACAAGATAGTCTCTGCATTCAAAAGGTTTATGGTCTGGTGGCAAAAGGCAACAAACAAGGAGGAAATAAAACCCAGATGGCACATGTTGTTTTATAAATAACAGAGGATGCATTGATACACAGATCACCTGATGGAGTATGACCTATTTAGCAACTGTCCAGGTACTGGATTTCCTCCCTTAAAGCAAACCTAATACATAAAGTTCTTAATTTACAGAAAAGATAAATTAACAAGTGATTCTTTGTTTTACATAAAAGACTTACTGACAAGAGGATTTATAATGGTATTTATTTAAACAGCAAGTACACTTAAAATACATTAATCTTTGCATTGTATGTATTTTGCTTCCAGTAACTTAATCTGAAATAAGCCTTGCTGTTTTGATTTTTATGTCATTACCAGGCTCCACTATAAATTGGCATTCACTTAAAATTTCACAAGAAATAACAAACAAGCATGCAAGGGAAAGGACAGACGATAGTGAAAGGTGGTGAAACCACAACTCCAGATTAATCACCTGTCTTAGCCTTGGGGGCTAGCATAGTTTCAAGTGTTTGCTTGCGTGTCTTTAGGGGAAGTTTTTAAAAATCAAGTTTTAAGAATTAAGTTGATGTGATTGTAAAAACATTTTTGCATCACAATAACTGATCTGTAGCGATGCCAAGACTGACACACCTAACATCTCTGGAAATAAGTCATATCCCAGAGAGATCAGAATCCCTTTTGTCACTGCTGTATCCCCTGCACACAGCACACAGACTTTAGCACAAAGCAGGACCTCAACAAACCACTTTAATGTACAACAGTATAAATTTGGGGGGGATAATATAAAGAGTGAATAATGTTTACCATTTTTTATAACCTGGATTAGAATTTGCTGTCAACTGTTCCTAGCTTGAAAAAGTCTAGGTCAAGCTTTTGAAATTGTTCCTTAGAGACCATGACACATGAGCGCTAACGTGGGCTCACTGAACACACTCTCTGGTGGATACTTGATTACCAAAATCATTTTACTTTTTCCCTGAGCTCTGTGTTTCTATGTAAACAAGATGAGGAGAAAATTGTATTGGGAAAGTCAGGGGAGGATGTAATGAGAGAAGAAAGGAACAAGCCCTATTTACATTTCACCATTTAAAAACTACAGGTTTAAATAATTCCATGAATATATCTAAATAGCTTGACTTTACTATAAAATAACTATATATTAACCAAGTCTGCTGTGAATTTACTTTATTTTTTGTGTTTGTTGTTATTCACTCTCCCGTGAATTTATTATTTGCTGGGAATCACTTTATAGTAGTACACCATTTACTACTGTGATTTCATTGTATACCGCCCTTACTTTTTCCCTTATTTATGCTTAATTTATATTTTATTATAACTGAGAAGATGACAGTGGTAGTGGCAGCATACTTTTTGGATCTTCTAGAATTCCACATAAAAATAAACATAGCAACTAAATAGCGAAATCAAAAACATGTCAAAAAACTTACAACGAAACCAGGTGACAGGGTATCTCCTCAAACCCCAAAATACAGGTGGGGCTTTCATAACCACAACACCTGCATGGTATCAGTATCTATGCAGGAGGAAGTCAGATGATAGCCACAACACCTGCATGATGTGAGTGTTTATGCAGAAGGAAGCTGAAGGAAGCAGCATGGTGACTGAAAGACCTGGAAACAGGGGAATGCCAAGACAGCTGAAAAATATTCACTGAAAAGCAAAGCAGGGCAATCTGGGAACCACAGCTGAAATAGAAGAGGGGTTGTTCCCATTCCAGTAGTGTTTGAGTATAAGAAGTCATAGGAACTTTTTATTTATTTATTTTTGTTTTGTTTTTTGTTTGTTTTTATTATTATACTTTAAGTTCTAGGGTACATGTGCACAACGTGCAGGTTTGTTACATATGTATACATGTGCCATGTTGGTGTGCTGCACCCATTAACTCGTCATTTACATTAGGTATATCTCCTAATGCTATCCCTCCCCCTGCCCCCCACCCCTGTGATGTTCCCCACCCTGTGTCCAAGTGTTCTCATTGTTCAATTCCCACCTATGAGTGAGAACATGTGGTGTTTGATTTCCTGTCCTTGCGATAGTTTGCTCAGAATGATGGTTTCTAGCTTCATCCATGTCCCTACAAAGGACATGAACTCATCATTTTTTATGGCTGCGTAGTATTCGTGGTGTATGTGTGCCACATTTTCTTAATCCAGTCTATCACTGATGGACATTTGGGTTGGTTCCAAGTCTTTGCTATTGTGAATAGTGCCGCAATAAACATATGTGTGCATGTGTCTTTATAGCAGCATCATTTAAATCTTTTGGGTATATGCCCAGTAATGGGATGGCTGGGTCAAATGGTATTTCTAGTTCTAGATGCTTGAGGAATCACCACACTGTCTTCCACAATGGTTGAACTAGTTTACAGTCCCACCAACAGTGTAAAAGCATTCCTATTTCTCCACATCCTCTCCAGCACCTGTTGTTTCCTGACTTTTTAATGATCACCATTCTAACTGGTGTGAGATGGTATCTCATTGTGGTTTTGATTTGCATTTCTCTGATGGCCAGTAATGATGAGCATGTTTTCATGTGTCTGTTGACTGCATAAATGTCTTCTTTTGAGAAGTGTCTGTTCATATCCTTTGCCCAATTTTTGATGGGGTTGTTTGATTTTTTTCTTGTAAATTTGTTTAAGTTCTTTGTAGATTCTGGATATTAGTCCTTTGTCAGATGGGTAGATTTTAAAAATTTTCTCCCATTCTGTAGGTTGCCTGTTCACTATGATGGTAGTTTCTTTTGCTGTGCAGAAGCTCTTTAGTTTAATTATATCCCATTTGTCAATTTTGGCTTTTGTTGCCATTGCTTTTGGTGTTTTAGTCATGAAGTCCTTGCCCACGCCTATGTCTTGAATGGTATTGCCTAGGTTTTTTTCTAGGATTTTTATGGTTTTCGGTCTAACATTTAAGTCTTTAATCCATCTTGAATTAATTTTTGTATAAGGTGTAAGGAAGAGATTCAGTTTCAGCTTTCTACATATGGCTAGCCAGTTTTCCCAGCACCATTTATTAAATAGGGAATCCTTTCCCCATAGCTTGTTTTTGTCAGGTTTGTCAAAGATCAGATGGTTGTAGATGTGTGGTATTAATTCCAAGGGCTCTATCCTGTTCCATTGGTCTATATCTCTGTTTTGGTACCAGTACCATGCTGTTTTGGTTACTGTAGCCTTGTAGTATAGTTTGAAGTCAGGTAGTGTGATGCCTCCAGCTTTGTTCTTTTGGCTTAGGATTGTCTTGGCAATGCGGGCTCTTTTTTGGTTCCATATGAACTTTAAAGTAGTTTTTTCCAATTCTGTGAAGAAAGTCATTGGTAGCTTGATGGGGATGGCATTGAATCTATAAATTACCTTGGGCATTATGGCCATTTTCACAATATTGATTCTTCCTATCCATGAGCATGGAATGTTCTTCCATTTGTTTGTGTCCTCTTTTATTTTGTTGAGCAGTGGTTTGTAGTTCTCCTTGAAGAGGTCCTTCACATCCCTTGTAAGTTGGATTCCTAGGTATTTTATTCTCTTTGAAGCAATTGCGAATGGGAGTTCACTCATTTGACTCTCTGTTTGTCTGTTATTGGTGTATAGGAATGCTTGTGATTTTTGCACATTGATTTTGTATCCTGAGACCTTGCTGAAGCTGCTCATCAGCTTAAGGAGATTTTGGGCTGAGACGATGGGGTTTTCTAAATATAAAATCATGTCATCTGCAAACAGGGACAGTTTGACTTTCTCTTTTCCTAATTGAATACCTTTTATTTCTTTCTCCTGCCTGATTGCCCTGGCCAGAACTTCCAACACTATGTTGAATAGGAGTGGTGAGAGAGGGCATCCCTGTCTTATTCCAGTTCTCAAAGGGAATGCTTCCAGTTTTTGCCCATTCAGTATGATATTGGCTGTGGGTTTGTCATAAATAGCTCTTATTATTTTGAGATATGTCCCATCAATAACTAGTTTATTGACAGTTTTTAGCATGAAGGGCTGTTGAATTTTGTCAAAGGCCTTTTCTGCATGTATTGAGATAATCATGTGGTTTTTGTCTTTGGTTCTGTTTATATGATGGATTACCTTTATTGATTTGCGTATGTTGAACCAGCCTTTCATCCCAGGGATGAAGCCAACTTGATCGTGGTGGATAAGCTTTATGAGGTGCTGCTGAATTTGGTTTGCCAGTATTTTACTGAGGATTTTTGCATCGATGATCATCATGGATATTGGTCTAAATTCTCTTTTTTTTGTTGTGTCTCTGCCAGGCTTTAGTATCAGGATGATGTTGGCTTCATAAAATGAATTAGGGAGGATTCCCTCTTTTGTTATTGATTGGAATAATTTCAGAAGGAATGGTACCAGCTCCTCTTTATACCTCTGGTAGAATTTAGGTGTGAATCCATCTGGTCCTGGACTTTTTTTGGTTGGTAGGCTATTAATTATTGCCGCAATTTCAGAATCTGTTATTGGTCTATTCAGGGATTCAGCTTCTTCCTGGTTTAGTCTTGGGAGGGTGTATGTGTCCAGGAATTTATCCATTTCTTCTAGATTTTCTAGTTTATTTGCATAGAAGTGTTTATAGTATTCTCTGATGGTAGTTTGTATTTCTGTGGGATCCATGGTGATATCCCCTTTATCATTTTTTATTGCATCTATTTGATTCTTCTCTCTTTTCTTCTTTATTAGTCTTGCTAGCGGTCTATCAATTTTGTTGATCCTTTCAAAAAACCAGCTCCTGGATTCATTGATTTTTGAAGGGTTTTTTGTGTCTCTATCTCCTTCAGTTCTGCTCTGATCTTAGTTACTTCTTGCCTTCTGCTAGCTTTTGAATGTGTTTGCTCTTGCTTCTCTAGTTCTTTTAATTGTGATGTTAGGGTGTCAATTTTAGATCTTTCCTGCTTTCTCTTGTGGGCATTTAGTGCTATAAATTTCCCTCTACACACTGCTTTGAATGTGTCCCAGATTCTGGTATGTTGTGTCTTTGTTCTCATTGGTTTCAAAGAACATCTTTATTTCTGCCTTCATTTTATTATGTACCCAGTAGTCATTCAGGAGCAGGTTGTTCAGTTTCCATGTAGTTGAGCAGTTTTGAGTGAGTTTCTTAATCCTGAGCTCTAGTTTGATTGCACTGTTGTCTGAGAGACAGTTTGTTATAATTTCTGTTCTTTTACATTTTCTGAGGAGTGCTTTACTTCCAACTATGTGTTCAATTTTGGAATAAGTGTGATGTGGTGCTGAGAAGAATGTATATTCTGTTGATTTGGGGTGGAGAGTTCTGTAGATGTCTCTTAGGTCTGCTTGGTGCAGAGCTGAGTTCAATTCCTGGATATCCCTGTTAACTTTCTGTCTCATTGATCTGTCTAATGTTGACAGTAGGGTGTTAAAGTCTCCCATTATTATTTTGTGGGAGTCTAAGTCTCTATATAGGTCTCTAAGGACTTGCTTTATGAATCTGGGTGCTCCTGTATTGGCTGCATATATATTTAGGACAGTTAGCTCTTCTTGTTGAATTGATCCTTTTACCATTATGTAATGGCTTTCTTTGTCTCTTTTGATCTTTGTTGGTTTAAAGTCTGTTTTATCAGAGACTAGGATTGCAACCCCTGCTTTTTTTTCTGTTTTCCATTTGCTTGGTAGATCTTCCTCCATCCCTTTATTTTGAGCCTATGTGTGTCTCTGCACGTGAGATGGGTCTCCTGAATACAGCACACGGATGGGTCTTGACTCTTTATCCAATTTGCCAGTCTGTGTCTTTTAATTGGAGCATTTAGCCCATTTACATTTAAGGTTAATATTGTTACGTGTGAATTTGATCCTGTAATTATGATGTTAACTGGTTATTTTGCTCATTAGTTGATGCAGTTTCTTCCTAGCATCGATGGTCTTTACAATTTGGCATGTTTTTGCAGTGGCTGGTACTGGTTGTTCCTTTCCATTTTAGTGCTTCCTTCAGGAGCTCTTGTAAGGTAGGCCTGGTGGTGACAAAATCTCTTAGCATTTGTTTGTCTGTAAAGGATTTTATTTCTCCTTCACTTATGAAGCTTAGTTTGGCTGGATATGAAATTCTGGGTTGAAAATTCTTTTCTTTAAGAATGTTGAATATTGGCCCCCACTCTCTTCTGGCTTGTAGAGTTTCTGCTGAGATATCCGCTGTTATTCTGATGGGCTTCCCTTTGTGGGTAACCTGACCTTTCTCTCTGGCTGCCCTTACCATTTTTTCCGTCATTTCAAATTTGGTGAATCTGACAATTAAGTGTCTTGGAGTTGCTCTTCTAGAGGAGTATCTTTGTGGCATTCTCTGTATTTCCTGAATATGAATGTTGGCCTGCCTCGCTAGGTTGGGGAAGTTCTCCTGGATAATATCCTGCAGACTGTTTTCCAACTTGGTTCCATTCTCCCAGTCACTTTCAGGTACACCAGTCAGACGTAGATTTGGTCTTTTCACATAGTCCCATATTTTTTGGAGGCTTTGTTCATTTCTTTTTACTCTTTTTTCTCTAAACTTCTCTTCTCGCTTCATTTCACTCATTTGATTTTCAATCACTGATACCCTTTCTTCCAGTTGATCAAATTGGCTACTGAAGCTTGTGCATGCATAATGTAGTTCTTGTGCCATGGTTTTCAGCTCCATCAGGTCATTTAAGAACTTCTCTACACTGTTTATTCTAGTTAGCCATTCGTCTAATCTTTCATCAAGGTTTTTAGCTTCTTTGCAATGGGTTCCAGCATCCTCCTTTAGCTTGGAGAAGTTTGTTATTACCGATCATCTGAAGCCTTCTTCTCTCGTCAAAGTCATTCTCCGTCCAGCTTTGTTCCATTGCTGGCAAGGAGCTGCGTTCCTTTGGAGGAGAAAAGGTGCTCTGATTTTTAGAATTTTCAGCTTTTCTGCTCTGGTTTCTCCCCATCTTTGTGGTTTTATCGACCTTTGGTCTTTGATGATGGTGACATACAGATGGGGTTTTGGTGTGGATGTCCTTTCTGTTTGTTAGTTTTCCTTCTAACAGTCAGAACCCTCAGCTGCAGGTCTGTCAGAGTTTGCTGGAGGTCCACTCCAGACCGTGTTTGCCTGGGTATCACCAGTGGAGGCTGCAGAACAGCAACTATTGCAGAACAGCAGATGTTGCTGCCTAATCCTTCCTCTGGAAGCTTCGTCTCAGAGGGGCATCCGGCTGTATGAGGTGTCAGTTGGCCCCTACTGGGAGGTGCCTCCCAGTTAGGCTACTCGGGGGTCAGGGACCCACTTGAGGAGGCAGTCTGTCTGTTCTCAGATCTCAAACTCTGTGCTGGGAAAACCACTACTCTCTTCAAAGCTGTCAGACAGGGACGTTTAAGTCTGCAGAAGTTTCTTCTGCCTTTTATTCAGCTATGTCCTGCTCCCAGAGGTGGAGTCTACAGAGGCAGGCAGGCCTCCTTGAGCTGTGGTGGGCTCCACCCAGTTCGAGCTTCCCAGCCTCTTTGTTTACCTACTCAAGCCTCAGCAATGGCGGATGCCCCTCCCCCAGCCTCGCTGCCACCTTGCAGGTCGATCTCAGACTGCTGTGCTAGCAGTCAGCGAGGCTGCATGGGTGTGGGACCCTCCGAGCCAGGCACAGGATATAATCTCCTGGTGTGCCATTTGCTAAGGCCGTTGGAAAAGTGCAGTATTAGTGTGGGAGTGTCCCAATTTTCCAGGTACCATCTGTCATGGCTTCCCTTTGCTAGGAAAGGGAATTCCCCGACTCCTTGCGCTTCCCGGGTGAGGCGATGCCCCACTCTGCTCTGTGGGCTGCACCCACTGTCTGACAAGCCCCAGCAAGATGAACCTGGTACCTCAGTTGGAAATGCAGAAATCACCCATCTTCTGTGTCGCTCATGCTGGGAGCTGCAGACTGGAGCTGTTCCTATTCAGCCATCTTGGAACCTCCAGAAGTCATAGGAACTTCTAAAGGAGCTGGGTCAACCGTGAATTCTTGAAACTGACCCCCTGGGGCCCCTTGCTAAGACAGGCTCCGCACTCAGAGAAGGTGATGGGAGTGGAATAAAAATGTATTAGAATGGATCAAACAGAAACAAAAGAAAGAGAAGGCCTAGACCAAAGGGGTGGGGTCAGAGAAGAACAGAGCCAGGAAATCCCAGGAAGAAAGCTGTCATGTATTTTGATACTATTTGAAGGGATTGTGCTCCCTTCTAAAAGTCTGAGAAAACTAATTTCACATAAAAATGAGCAACAGAAAGTATCTAGTGGAATCCCAAAGTTATTGTGAGAGAAAAAGGAGGAGAGTAACATTCTAACAGACAATGAAAGCTTTCATATAAAACCAGAAAAAAAATCTGCAATCTACTAATTCAGAATAAACGAAAGACATTAAGAAAATGACACAAAACATCAAGGAACAGATAAATTACAATTTTAAAAACTCATGAACTAGGTGGCAGAACTCAGGAAAGAATTAGAAATAAACAAAAAAACCCACCTCAGAAACGAAAACTAAACTAGAAGAAATACAAGAGTGAATAAACATAACAAACAATGGTTTAAGAAAAATAGAATGTGAGCAGGCTAAAAAATTTTAAATAAAAAAGAAATGAATACAGGTAAAAAAGGACTCAAGAGAAAATGATGAATATTTAAGATAAAGAAGACTCAACATACAGACAACAGGCATCCTTGACAAAATAAACAAAACAAGGAAACAGGGTAATGATAAAAACTACAATTCCAGTATAAAGTACAAGTGTATCACACACTGTTATCCACATACAAGAACTCAGGAAATATTGTTCCCATAATCCCTCTTGTATCTAGTAAAGAATAAGCTTAGACAACAAAAAACTAGAGCAGTGTTGACCTATGGTCTAATGATGAGTATTAAGTATGTACATACTTGAGAACTAAGACAAAAGGAGAGTATTCAATGACTATGCTTTGATAGTGTAGCTATGAATCCATAAATAATGGGGGGGAGAACATTTGTAAAAAATGTTTTTAACTATTTTTTGGTTTTCATTATGGGTGCTGGTGGTATTAGTACTGTTATTCTGAGACTGTTCTGTGTGTAAGATGGGATAAATCAACGGAGTAATTTAATGGGAGATTGTATCATCTCCTGTGTCTTTCAGAATTAGGGTTCTCAGTGTGGAAGAAAGAGAAATACATAATAGAAAAAAACTTAAGTAAAAATCTTGAAAGTCCTGAATTTGAATTGGAAATACTAACTGAATTTATGAACTATTTTATCTATCCACATAAAAGACCTAGAAATGACAACCACCCCAATAGTAATGAACATCCCTGGTAACAACAATGTGTTCTTGCACTACCATTTCTCACTTAAAGAAACCCAGATTTCTTGAAGAAAAGACTGATTCCAGGTCTGGGACAGGGAAAGCACAAGAAATCATGGATTATCTTGTCATAACAGACAGAAAGACAGCTATGAAAGACTCCACAGGTCATGTTAAAGGACACAGATGCCAACTTGAAAAGGCTTCCATTAGCCAAAGGTAAGATAATATGAATTTCAATAAGGATAAAAAATGCGGTGGGTGGTATCCTTCAAATATGCTTAAATGAAGATCATAATGACCATAAATGATAATTTAATATTAACTGGTCACCTTCAGAGAATAAAAGGGAGCCAATTCATTATCTTGAAAAAAGAATTAGCTGGGTGTGGTGGCTCACCCCTGTAATCCCAGCACTTTGGGAGGCCCAGGCAGGCGCGTCGCAAGGTCAAGAGTTTGAGACCAGCTTGGCCAATATGGTGAAACCCTGCCTTTACTAAAAATACAAAAATTAGCTGGGCATGGTGGCAGGCACCTGTAGTCCCAGCTACTCAGGAAGCTGAGGGAGGAAAATCACTTGAACCCGGGAGGTGGAGGTTGCAGTGAGCCAAGATCGTGCCACTGCACTCCAGCCTGGGTGACAGAGTAAGAGACAGTCTCAAAAAAAAAAAAAAAAAAAAAAGAAAGAGAAAAGCATTTAGCCTGCTGATCCTGTAAGAACTGATGAGAGATGAAAGAAGCATCTCTTTATAGTATTATTCCAGCTAATAAAAGAAAATGAAATGATAGAATTACAAAATCATCAGTTTTCAATCCCCAGCATATTAATTGAACTAGGTATTGAACAACAGCTAATATAATAACAGTAGGTGTAAGAAATTTCTTCTGCTAGCTTCTTTTAAATTTCTGGCTACAAATCCTCTTAGTGTTAAAATCTTCCAGCCACTGAAAGGACACAGTACCTGATAAACTGTTCAGAAAATAAGCTTGTTTTTACTTTTCAGAGCTGGATATCTGTATGGCCCTATAGGCGCCTATGGGTGTAGGAAACTTCTGCTAGAAGAACATCACAAAAAGAGAAAAACAGATGTTATCTACCTTTTAATGAAAAATAAATACCACTACTTACTGCCTTGCTAAAGGAACAGACCCTGAATCTGAACAAACTTCTGGATCCAACTGCCAATTGCAGGAAATTCAGGGACAGAAGAACATGATGAATGGCACCATAAGCATGCAACTGGCAAAACCCAAATTGTGGGAGATGCTACAGTCTAAACAGAGTCCTTTAACAGGAACTTGTAAAGAAAAGAAAAGGCTGGGTGGAGAACCTGTAGATTAAAAGATACTGTAAATATATATTATTTATTTTAAAATAGATAAGACTAAACTAGAATCTAAGGATGCACACTTGTGCAATAAAACCAAAAAGGAATATAAGGAATTGGTTACTACAGAGTCAGAATGATGGTTACCTTTGGAGGGAGGGAGAGTAGGATGGGGCTCATGGAAGGGCTTCTGGAGTGACTGGAAAAGTTCCATGTCCCAACTTGGGGAGTGGTGACAAGGAGGTTTGCCTTATAATAATCTATACATTTATTTTCCTTGTTTTTTAATTTAATAATTTAAGAAAGGGTAAGAAAATATATTGTATTTTGATAACATAGAACTTAAATATGAGGTAGAAGATTGGGACTTGAGGAAAAATTAAAATGTCACTGTGCTTCTTACCTATTAATATCTTACTAAAAATGTGATATCTTATGCGGATAACATTTGTTCTAGCATTGTCTTGATTTAGCAAATAAAAATATAATATTGACACTTACTGAGCACTTAATATATTCCAGGAAATTGATGTCAACTAACCCCTTTAATCTTTTCAATAACCTAGGACTTGATTACTATTATCTCTACAGATAAGAAAATGACTCAGAGAAGACATGTGACTTGCCCACATGACAGTGCTCTAAACTATACTTCCCCCTGTTCCTTCATTCATTCAACAAGTATTAACTGAGCACTACTATGTGCCTAGCATCGTATAAAATAATGAATACATCAGGGAGTAACAATGATTTCTGCCTTTGGAGGATTTATAGTCTAACAGGGGAAGACCAACAACAAGCATAATAGATAAGCAAATAGCCTAATGCATTAGAGGGTGATACGAATTTTTCAAAAAAGAAAAAGCAGAGCAGGGAAAAGGGGCTAGGGAGGGCCAAGGAAGGACACAGAGTAGGAGATACAGGTTGCAGTATAAATTAGGGTTTCAGGGCAGACAGCATAGAGGTGGTAAAATGTGAGTTAATAGTTGAAGGAGGAAAGGGAGTCAGCCATGTGGCTATCTGGGGAAAGAGTGTTCCAGAAAGAAGAAACAGTTAGTGCAATGGCTCTAAGGCAGGAGTGCTGGTGGGTTAGAGGTACAATCACTTGCCAGTGTCAGTGGAGCTGAGGTAGGAAGAGGAGTAGTAGGAATGAGATCAGAGACACCAAAGGAACAAGATCATGGAGGACTTTGCAGGAAACTGAAAGACACTGAGCAACATGGAAGCAATTGCAGGTATTTGAGCAGAGGGGGCTCATGATCTGACCTAGGTTTGCAATTGATCATTCTGTCTTCTGTGTTTGCAAATAGCCTATAGGGGCAGGGGTAGAACCAAAGAGACCACTTAAGAGGTGGCTGCCGTGATCTAGGTGACAAATAATGGAAGAGTAGACCAGGATAGTGGGCAGATTCTGGATTCCAGAATAATTTGAAGGTAGGGCCAGTAGAAGTTTTTGACAGATTGGATATTGGGTTGGGAGAGAAAAGAGTACAAAGTTTTTGGCCTGATAACTGCAGATACAGAGTTGGCATCAAATAAGAGTAAGATTTAGGGCAACAATCAGTATTTCAGTTTTGGAAGAAGTGAGTGTAGATAGGGAAATAATGGAAGGGAAAGGAAGAAAAGGAAAAAGGAGAGAAGGGAAGGGAAAAGAAAGAAAGGGAAGGACAAAGAACTGAGCCCTCAGATCCTCCAATATCAAGAAATTGGAAAGAAAAAGAGAAAGGAGACTGAAAAGGAACAAGAGAAGCAGGGGGAAAACAAAGATTTAATTAAATGGCTCAGACAATAAATCTATTCTTAGAAGAACAAATTTATCACAAGAAGGAATATGATGCTAATTTTAGGAGGACTAGAGATACAGTAAGATAGTCATTATATAATCTATTCCCTGCCCACCTACCAGTTGGAAACAACAATGAAGAAAGGAATCAAAGGACGACTTTGGAGGAAGGGTTCTAGTACATCACAAATCATTCCTTTGTCCATTCACTTTTACTCATTCGTAGGTTCAGCAAAATTTATTGAAGCCATGCAGGCGGTCAGACAACCACACTAGATGTTGGGAAACCATCTATGAACAAAGCGGAGTATCTCATCTCAGGAAGACCAGTGTGTGACATCACCAAGAGACTGGGAAACTGCAGCAGACTGTGGTATCTGAGGGTCATATAATGCTTAGAAAAAGGGATATTGGGAATTGGCCTCATGAAGAGCAGAAGAACAGCTTTGAGATGCTGATCTGTGCCCCTATGAACCTAACTGAAGCTTTTTTATGACAAAAGACATATTGAAAATGAAACAGTTTAGAGCAGGGGTGTCCAATATTTTGGCTTTCCTGGGCCACACTGGAAGAAGAATAATTGTCTTGGGCCACACATAAAATACACGAACATTAACAATAGCTGATGAGCTAAAAAAATACATTGCAAAAAAAATCTCATGTTTTAAGAAAGTTTATGAATTTGTGTTGTGCTGCATTCAAAGCTGTCCTCAACCACATGTGGCCGGCAGGCTGTGGGTTGGACAAGCTTTGTTTAGAGCCGTGAGGATCCTGAGTTCAAATTAGACACGAAGAGCAGAGGGCAAAGATACTGGAAATCAAATGTCTTCTCTCGAGATTCACGTTGATCCCTGGGTGACAGAGCAAGACTCTGGCTCAAAATAAAATAAAATAAAAAAGATTCACATTGATGTGTTAATACTGAAAAATGCACCTGAGTAAAAGAAGGCATTTTTCTTCTGAAATCAAAATAGACATTCCTAAGCTGTGTGATACTTGGACAAGCAGCCTCTTCCCTGAGCTGACCTGGGTCCTAAGAGTATTGAAAGGAAATGGTGCTTGGTGGATGCAAGTGCCTAATACTTTGTCACCACAGGTCCACTTTCTCATTTCCCCTTCATACAGTTAGTACTTACAGGATTGTACTGGCCTTGTCTGCTGTACACACATATTTGCTAAATTGTCTCTCAATGAATTGGTCATTCAGCAATTTTTCTTTCTGGAGAATTGGCTCTCAGTGACTTGGCTTGCTTCAGGGGTAAAGGTGTTGGAGGAGCTGGTTGCAGAAACAGATATGATGGAGGTAAAGGAAGTCAAGCTTCTTCTAGAAGGAAAAACCTAGTCACAATAGCAAATCCAGAGCAAGAAGCCTTAACTAAGTCAGCATAGCCTTCATGTATGCTTTCCAGGGAGCCAACCATGCAAAGAGCATTGGGTTACTATCAGGGAGGGAGACTGAAGTATAACAATATCTGGCAAGTAACGCAAAAGAACTTAGACACTTAGACATCTGTAACCTATACATGAGTGTTGCAAAAATAAAAACCTCTCACTGATAGGGTTGGTTATATATTTTTTGCAACAGTAAGAAAAGAGCTGTGCACTTTTTTTTTACTCAAACCTGCAAAGAAAAATGTTTAAGTGTTTATGAAGTAAGGCTGATTAAAATTACATTTACAGTTCTCTAAGATTCTCTTAGAGATGTTCAAATTAATGTGCTTTGGGAGTCATTCAGAAAAGTACCATTTAAGATAGGAAGAGAGAAGAAATAAAGCAACAAAGAATTGTATAAGCAAGGAATGAGAAAATGAGTAAATTGGATATTTTATTAAATTATCTAAATTCATATTAAATTATGATCACATTTATAGAAAGAATTGTATATTTATAAATGATTGGAGTAGCAATCAAGAAATGTGATGTTAGCAGATTTTGTTCAGATTGAAGAGTAAAAAATAATATTCTTGGGCATTTCTTCCTAACAAAGACAAATTATTTAGGTTCTAGAGGAAACCTCCAGTGACCTTAGGAATAGGAAATAAAGGGCCTGGTGCGGTGGCTTATGCTTGTAATCCCAGCACTTTGGGAGGCCAAGGTGGGCAGATCACGAGGTCAGGAGTTCGAGGCCAGCCTGGCCAACATGGTGAAACCCCATCTTTACTAAAGATACAAAAAATTAGCCAAGTGTGGTGGCACGTGCCTGTAATCCCAGCTACTCAGGAGGCTGAGGCCGGAGAATCACTTGAACCCAGGAGGCAGAGGTTGCAGTGAGCCGAGATCGTGCCATTGCACTCCAGCCTGGATGACAGGGTGAGACCCTGTCTCAAAAAAAAAAAATAAATTAAAAACAACTGTCAGTATATTGGAAGTCAGTAATACTGGGGATTTCCACATTCCATTAGCCCATTTTCTACTCAAAGAAAGAAGGTAGTAGTAAGAGGGCTAGGGATACACTGACCTTATCCCATCAGTACAAGTAGACCAGAAGATCTCACTACTAGAATATTAATTCTATAAGGACAGGGACCAGGCCCATATTGTTCTAGTGTCTGCAGCAGGGTCTGATCAGGAAATGTCTGCTGATATTGAAAAATCAAATCAATATCCTACATACATGATAAGAATTCAACAAATATAGGATGGGTAGATAAATAAATAAGTGAGGAAATGGGAAGAAGGCAAAAGAAGGGAAGAAGGGATGGGAAGGGAGGAAGGGAAGGAAGCAGGGAGGAAGAGAGGAAGGAAGGAAGAGAAAAATGAAAGAAAGGAAGGAAGGGAGAGAGAAAGTAAAGAAGGCAGGGAAAAGGAAGATAAGAAGTAAAGAAGGGAGGAAGGGAGGGACGGACGGAGGAAGGAAGGGAGGAAGAGAGGGAGAACGGGAGGAAGGAAGGGAGGAAGAGAGGGAGAACGGGAGGAAGGAAGGGAGGAAGGGAGGGACGGAGGGAGGAAGAGAGGGACGGAGGGAGGAAGGAAGGGAGGAAGGGAGGGACGGAGGGAGGAAGAGAGGGACGGAGGGAGGAAGGAAGGGAGGAAGGGAGGGAGAACGGGAGGAAGGAAGGGAGGAAGGGAGGGACGGAGGGAGGAAGGGAGGAAGGAAGGAAGGGAGGAAGGAAGGAACGAAGGAAGGAAGGAATGGAGGGAGGAAACAAAGAAGGAAGGAAGAAAGGAAGGGAGAAAGGAAAGAAGAAAGGAAGGGAGGAAGGAAAAAAAGGAAGGTCCTTTTGAATATGGGAATGGAGATGATGGCTATGAGAGCAAAGGCTCTTTCTAAGCTTGATCAATAGCAATGACAGAAGGAACTCATCTGCCAATAAACTATCACAGACCACAGACACTACTTTCTTACATGGCCACACCTCCTTTGACTCATTATTTCACTTTTCTCAGATTTATGTTCAGTGGGGTAGTAAGCTGGGTCTCCCCCTAATGTGGGCTACTGCCATGATCCTCACTCTCTTCAAATCCTTCAGATGGATCATCAAGTTGGACTCTGGGTGATTTGGGCTTCAGCATCACCCTTGGATCCTCACCTTACAGATTGCTCTTAATTTTTCAAACTACAGCCCTCAGAAAATCCTACCCAATCCCAGAGTGGGTTTTGCTAACTCACTGCAGCTTGTCCAGCTAATGAACAGAACAAATAGCATTCCAGTTCACCAGGTGGCCTCGTAAACCTCACAAACAATTGCCAGCATCTCCAGGTCCCTCAAGACCCTTTTCAACTATTACCACCATTTTCCCCCTCTGGAGATAAGCACTCTCCTGACTTTTACAGTAACCACTTCTTCTTTATAGTTTTATCACCTAAATGTGCTTCCCTAAATACTGTGGTTTAATATTGCCTGTTTTAAATTGTATATTAATGGAATCAGATTGCATGTATAGCGCGTATTCTTTTTAGTTAGAATTCTTTAGTTCAACTGTATGTTTGTGAAATACAACCAAGAAGTTAAGTTTGTTGGTTTACATTACTGTACGTATTTTATTATATGACTATTCAAAAATTTACATAGCTGTTCTACTGCTGATGGACATGTGAATTTCTAGTTTAGGACTATTATGAACAATGCTACTATAAACATTTTTGCACATATCTTTTGGTACACATAACCAGTCATTTCTATTGGGTATATACACAAGAATACCACGGTTGAGGTGTAGGGTATCTGCATGTTCAACTTTAGTAAATAATGCTCAACTATTTTCCAAGGTATACCAATTTCATTTCCCATCAGTTCTCTTATAAGAGTTTCCATTGCCCCACATATTGATAGTCTTTATAATTTTAGTACTTTTAGTTTATGCATAGTAGTATCTCATTGCGATTATATTTTGCATTTCCCTGATTAATAATAAGGCTGGGTATCTCTTCATAAGAATATGGGCTATCTGGATATTATTTTGTGAAGGGATTTTCCTATGGGTTACCTATTTTTTTCTTAATAATTTGTAGGAGTTCTTTATATATTTCGGATACACTTTGTTGGTTATAGTTACGGCAAATATCTCCCCACTCTCTGTAGTCTGTCTTTTTTTTCCTCATGCTGTGTTTTCAGTTAACAGGAGATCTTAGTTTTAATGTACTGTAATATTCCAGATTTTTCCTTCATAATGAATGCTTTTTGTGTTACATTTAAGAAATCTTGACCCCATGATCATAAAAATATTATCTTACATTATTTTTTGAACTATTATTATTTTGCTTTTCACATTTTATAGATAATCTACCTTAATTTTTATATATGGTGTGAGATCAGGGTTAAATCTAATTTTGTTCCTATTTATATCTAATTAATGCTATACAAAAGGCATCACTTTCCTGCTGCTCAGCAGTGTCACTTTTTTCATAAATCAACTTTCCATGTGTGCATGGATCTATTTCTGGGCTGTTATTTATTTTACTTGTCTATTTTAGTGGTGATACCAGCATTTTCAGATACATATTAAAATCAGATTATTAATTTCCACAAAAATGTGAGAATGTTTTTGACTGGATTGCTTTGAGCGTATAGACCTATTTGAAGAAAACAGACATTTGTATAATATGGAATATGGAGCCATCAATCCATAAACATGGTCTATCTCTCCACTTTTTAGGTCTTTAATTTTTCTAGAAAATATGTTTTACATTTTTCTGAATAGAGGCATTATACACCTTTTATTAATTTGTTTTTAAATATTTGACACTTTGGATGTTACTGAACATAGATAGATAGATAGATAGATAGATAGATAGATAGATAGATTTTTTTTTTTTTTGAGATGGAGTCTCCCTCTGTCACCCAGGCTGGAGCGCAGTGGCGCGATCTCAGCTCACTGCAACTCCAGTCTCCCAGGTTCAAGCGATTCTCATGCCTCAGCCTCCCATGTAGCTGGGACTGCAGACGTGTGCCACTATGCCTGGCTAATTTTTGTATTTTTAGTAGATATGTTAGCCAGGCTGGTTTCAAACTCCTGACATCAAGTGATCCTCTCATCTCAGCCTCCCAAAGTACTGGGATTACAGATGTAGGCCACCACACTTGGCCTGAAAATATATTTTTAAAAAACTAAATATATTTAAAATTGTTGCTATTACATAGAAATTTATTTTTATATGTTTTATGTTTCTAATAATCTTGTCAAATGCATTTATTAACTATTTTCAAGCTTTACACTATTTATTTCTTGTTTATGCTTTATTGCACTGGCTATGACCTCTGACACCATGTTGAATTACTTATTTATTATTCTACTCCTTCCCCCAATTAGATTAAAAGTAATACATTTCCTAATCTTCTTTTAGTATCATCCTAGAGATTAAAATATGTTTTCTTGACTCATCAAAATTTGATAATCTGATATTATTACATTTACCCTCTTCCTAGACTTCAAATGCAAGGATTCTAGAACATTTCATCTCCATTTATACCCTTCTTGACTTATTATAATTGTTGTCATAAATTTAGTTTCATTTTTAATTTCTATATTTTAATTAAACATTTTTTATTGAGGTAAAATATACACATATAATTTACCATCTTTACCATTTATAGATGTACAGTTAATGGTGTTAAATACATTTATATTTTTTCCCTTCATTCCCCATATTTTAATTTTATACATTTTAATTCCATGTATTGTTAAAGCCATTGCTGTTTTATATAGTCAGCAACTCTTTAGATTTACTCATGTATTCAGATTTACTCATGTATTACCCTTTGTCTTGTTCTTCATTTTTTTCTCTATCTATGACACTCTCTATCTGAAATCATTTTCATTCTGCCAAAAGAAAATTCTCTACTGTTCCCTTTCATGTAGGCTTCCTGTGACAAATTCTGTTTCTTTGTCTAGAAATACCTTTAATTCACCTTCATTTTTGGATGATATCTTCACTGGGTCCAAAATTCTAGGTTGGCAATAAGTTATCACCTTAAAGATATTCTTTGTCTTCTGGCTTTCATGAGTTCTTTTGGAAAGTCGCTGTCAACCTAATTGTTATTACTTTTTTTGAAAGTAATTTTATCCCCTATGACTGCTCTTTAGGTATTTTCCTTTGTTTTTAATTTTAGTACAATATGATTTCAAAACAAATATGTGTCTAAGTTGGGTTTTCAAGATTTATTTAATCTATGGCTTGATGACTTTTATCAGGACCATAAAGTTTCAACCATTATTTCTTCAAATCTTGTTTCTCTTCCACTTCTTCTCTCCTTTTAGGATTCAATAACATATGTTAGAACTTCTCATGTTTGCTTTATGTCTCTTATTCACTCTTCCACTATATTTCCCATCTTGTTATGTTTCTAAGATTTATTTTTCTTATCAACTTTTCAGTCTATTAATTCTCTCTTTAGCTGTGTCTAATTGGGTATCAATTTCAGTTACTGTTTCCCCCCAGGTTTTATAATTTCAATTTAGTTATTTTTTATTGTCTCCACTTTTGCTGAAATTTACATTTTTGTCTTATATCTTGGCCATTATAAATGCAGTCACATTAAAGTCTTGCTTTGATAACATCAATGCTTGGAGGCTTCAAAATATGTATTTAATGCTGCCAAAATCTGAAGGCTCTTGTAGGCCTGTTTCCTATCATCTGGGGATTCTGTTATTTTTAGTTCATGTTTTCCCATGTCCTTATGTGCCTGGTTATTTTTCATTATGCATTAGACAGTGTATTTACAACATTATTTATATATATTTTTTCTGCCATGGACCTAGGGACATCTGGGATCTTTTGAATATAATTTCAGAAATAAGAGTACTTTAACTGTGGCTCCTATGAAGTCCTGACTTCTTTTTGTTCACCTTTACTCCAAGGTTGCAGGCTTTCAGTTACCAACCTAAAGAAAGCATCGTTCGCTAAGTTTACTTCCCTGATGGACCTCATACTTCGATGTTATTGTCCTAGTTCCACAAGACTCTCAAAGTGTCAATTCAGCCCTCAACCATGTCTACCTCAATTAGCAAAAGTCCATAGGAATAAGTGGCCTCTGGTACCAGGTTCACCTCTCAGGATCATCCTCCCCTAATGCCTGGCCAGATAAACTTTCACTCTTCTGTTTATTCTCTGATCCCTTCAAGTAGATATTTTTTTAATCCAGATTTTCTAGTTGTTCTCAGCAGGAAGGTTACTCTGAATTACCAGGTCTGCCTTTAGTGGAAGCAGAAGTCCAATTAACCACTTTTCAGGTATCTGAAGGTTCTTGGTGATACAGGGATGCTGATGATCGCCCAAAGGAGAGCTGCTGTTCTTGAATATAAAGAAGTACAGCTGAGGGCCTGAGTCCTTCCTCACTCCCTGCCTACCATCACTGACATAGCGACAACATTTGTTCTGTAGTCAATCATTTACAAAGAAGTTTCATGTGCATCTGACACAATGACATTGTAAGATAGGTATTATTATTTCTCTGTATGTACTTTACAGAAGAGGAAATGGCATCTCATAGCAGGTAAGTGGCTTTTGTAAGGTTACCCAGTAGATGGCAAGGCTGTCACATTATTCAAAAGTTAGCGCATTTTTCTCTTGGGTCAAGAAGCCAATAGTTAAATGGAAATAGAAATGAACATAGATGAAATACACACATAAACATGTACTTACCCAGCTAGTTATGACATGTGCCATATGTGACTACCAAGAAATAAGACTGGTTTCCTTAAGACACACACAAAACCAGCCTCGTTATTTTGTAATCACAACTTACACACATGTCATTGCATGCGATGGCCAAGGGAAGAGAATATTAGATTACAGAGGCGGTATAGAGAAGGCCTCATGTACACAGTGAGTTTTGAGGTGGATTTGAGCGGGAGAGAAAGAATGCAATCTTTAACATAAGTGGGAATGGTGCTTCAGAGAAACAGAAACAGAACCAGAAACACACACACACACACACACACACACACACACACACACACACATTGGAGATGGGAATTTCTACCTTGTCCATCACTGTCAAAGCCCTCATAATAGTTTGCAAAAGAAAATATAAACACATTCAATGTACACTTAAGACACCAAAAAGCACAAAAATGCCTTTTTTCTTTTGGATAATTTAAGATAAATGTTTTTGACAGAGACAGCTGCAATTACTTTCTTCCATCCACTAAAAAGTTCCAAAAAGACATGGAAATTTACCTTGGGAAGGTAAGATGAGAAAAAACAACAACTTCTTCTTAGGGTTGCAGTGAGGGGTATGTGAAATAACCTACACAAAAGCTCTTTCTAAATTATAAATGCTGCATAAAGGCAGTGTGTGTTCTCTAACACACATCATAATGTCTCACGGAATCTTCTGTTGTGATGGTCTCAGAAAGGTATGTTGCTTGTTTTGCAGCATTATACCAGCTGTGCAAAAGGTTAACAACCTATGAGATCTCCTAAAATGTGATAAATACTTGCAAATTCCAAGAGCACTGAATTCATAATCTTTAAAAGAAAAATGAGGCACCAAACATAATCTTAGGTGAATTCACCCACATATATGACAAGAGCAATTCAGTATTATATTTGCCCTAATTTCTTAAGAGTGAATCTGTTAGTTCTGAGGGAGTTTGATTTGCTTTTCTATGAAACTACCTTGTTACATTTGTATTTCCACCTAAACTACTAGCACTGAGAGGCAAAGGCACCAGAACCTCAGGGCTCTGCAAATTACTACCATCAGGGATCAGTAAATGCCACAGTGCTGACACTGGACACAACACATGCTCCACACTGGGTTCTAGATGCTGTGGATTATGGGGGCTGCTCAGTTTCTCAGGGAGGGGCACTGCAGGCAAGGAGCAATCTGGTGTAAAAGTTCATGAAACTGTTTCCAGTAACAGGTGGCCTGGGATATTGGGTCCTTTCCCCCACCAATCATCACCAGGGTGGCCCCTTCCACTCTCACACTGCCTTTTTATCCTCTCCTCTCTCCAGTTTCCCCATACTGTCTTCATTTTATATTAAAATGTTACGGCTGAATCACAGTTAGGAGCACAGAGTGGGTTTTTTTTTTTTTTTTTTTTTTTTCCAGTTCTGTTCCCCTGTCCCCAGCCCTTAGTACCTTATTGCCCTTGACCAACACTTTTTTTTTTTTCTTTTTGAGATGGAGTTTCACTCTTGTTGCCTTGGCTGGAGTGCAGTGGCGAGATCTCCGCTCACTGCAACCTCTGCCTCCCTGGTTCAAGCGATTCTCCTGCTTCAGCTTCCTGAGTAGCTGGGACCACAAGCGCGAGCCACTACACCCGACTAATGTTTTGTATTTTCAGTAGAGACGGGGTTTCACCATGTTGGCCAGGATGGTCTCAATCTCTTGACCTCAAGATCTGCCCACCTCAGCCTCCCAAAGTGCTGGGATTACAGGCATGAGCCACCACGCCCAGCCAACCAGCACTCTCTTTAATTAGGCCCCAACATTTTCTAACAGGTGATATTTAGATTGGACATTTTTTTTTTAGCTTTTATTTTAAGTTCAGGGGTATATGTGCAGGTTTGTTAGGTGAACTTGTGTCATGGGGGTTTGTTGTACAGACTATTTCATCATCCAGTTATTAAGCCTAGTACCCATTAGTTATTTTTCCTGATCCTCTCCCTCCTCCCACCCTTCACCCTCTGATAGACCCCAGTGTGTGTTGTTCCCTTCTATGTGTCCATGTGTCCTCATCATTTATAAGTAAGAACATGTGGTACTTGGTTTTCTGATCCTGCATCGGTTTACTAAGGATAATGGCCTCCACGTTCCTGCAAAGGACATGATCCCTAAACACGTTTAAATAAACCATGAATACCCATTAAGTGGAAGAGGGGTGCAAGTCAATGGCATGTGCTTCTGCCTATCAGTGTGAATCCAGCTGTGCATCAGGACAGCCCACCTGGGAAATGGGCTGCCTCTGATTGTCAGGGTGCAGTCTTATCACCAAGGATTAAAGATGGACAGGATTTAGTGGTCTGAAGGTTTGCACTCTGGATTTCCATGTCCCAAGGGGACATTAAAGAACTGATGCTGTATTTGAAAGTCCAAGAAGCATCAAGCCACACCATCCAAGAAGGCTGGAATACCAAGGGCAGGAGAGAAAGCTGTGGGCTGATCTGGAAAGAGCTGGATTTCCCAGGACTGGAAGGACAAAGAGTGATAGGTTCCTCATGCAGAGGGAGCCTTACCTGTTGACTTCTACCCATTACCCCAGGTATAGCAAGATCTCAGGGGTAGGTATAAGAAAAAAACCTACTAGTTAGCTGGGCTCATTGACTCATGCCTGTAATTCCAGCACTTTGGGAGGCTGAGGTGAGAGGATCACTTGGGGCCAGGCGTTCAAGGCCAGCCTATGCAACATGTCAAGACCCTGTCTCTACAAAAGAAAAAAGTAAAAGAAAAAAGCTACTAATAGTAGGAAAAAGTAGGATATGGAGAATACCAGGGCCACTGGCTCAGAATGGGATTCAGTGCCTTAGATGAAAAGCATCTCCATGTCAACCATGGTGGTTATGAGGCTAGAGGCCCTTCTGCAATTTCCCAGGATTGTGTAACTCTCGGGATTCTTGAACTTAATCCAAATATGGGAAGTGATCCCCATTTCTAACGACATTTGATTTCCCAGAAATCCTGGTGAGATGGGAACAATTCCAGATTTCATTGATTTTGGATAAATATGACTTTCCTACACTCAGTATCATGGAACAAATTCATCTTATTTATAGATGTTTAGTGGGCACCCACCTACCCCCTGCTGCCTCTGAGAAGCCGCAGCCTGAGCCACAGGTCGTGCCTTCTGCCCTGCCACAGGTGACCACACAGGCAGGCTAATATGACCACCACAGCATGGCTTGAAAAGTCAAGCTGGGCTGGGTAGATTCTCCTGCCTTCAGCGACTTGAATTAAAGAGATGGAAGGAAGTTGCCGGGAAGAATGAGCACAGAGCCAAGAGGCCTAGGACAGTCAGGGCTGGATGGCGCATGAGAGTAGTGCTCAAGCTAGTGGGAGCAAAGCCTGTGGGTGAATGGAAGAGGCCAGCCAGGAGAGGGAGGGCTACCACATGCAGGAAATAGAAGCAGGGAGATACTGTTTCTTGCACCTAGAACACCCAACAACTATTGTGACTCAGTAAGAGTAAAATGTATATAGCATACTATATCTGTATATGCCCCAGCCTAAGACTTTTTGCCTGAAGTAATCAGTAATCAGTCTGATTCTTTTGACCACTGAACACTGCCAATGGTTCTGACTTGATGCACCTATTTGTTTAGAACAGGCTATCCTTGGCGGGGCATGGTGGCTCACACCTGTAATCCCAGCACTTTGGGAGGCCGAGGCAAGCAGATCACCTGAGGTTGGGAGAGCCTCACCAACAAGAAAAACCCCATCTCTACTGAAAATACAAAATTAGCTAGGCATGGTGGCGCATGCCTGTAATCCCAGCTACTCGGGAGGCTGAGGCAGGAGAATCGCTTGAACCTGGGAGGCGGAGGTTGCGATGAGCGGATATCACACCATTGCACTCCAGCCTGGCAACAAGAGCAAAACTCCGTCTCAAAAAAAAAAACAAAACAAAAACAAAACAAAACAAACAAAAACAGGCTAGCCTTAAGGAATCACAAGGAATTGACAACCAAAACAAAAAGTTCTGTTGCTTCTGCAGCAAATTGCAATTGCAATTAAGTCTCTTTGTATTCCCAGATCATCACATAAAAATGATTACAGATGGAAAACAAGTACAACCTAATCTGAATGCAGTGCCAATTTTGCATTCCACACTCCTGTGCATGCTGCTTTCTCAAAACTTTCAGAGAAATAAGTTGGGACTAAGTGATGCGACTGGTTTAAGAAGTGCTAAGTTATAAAACACGGACTCTTTGAGTGGACTCACTTTTCAGGCTCAGCCCAAGAATACTCAAATTTATACCCTAGCAACAAAGCAAGTTTTCCCTTGAAATACATCTTTCACTGCATTAATTTTCTTGTAGTGCTTTTCTGTTCTTACAAAATAGAAGATTTGAATGTCAGAATTTTCACTGGGAGCCCAGGAGAAAGGTACTCACAGAATCTGATATTGAATATTCTACTTTTAGAACCAGTGTCTATTCTCAGGGATGTACAAAGAGTCAAAATCCTGTCTTCAGCTGACACTAGTGAGAGAATAATTTTGGGGAAACTTATTAGTCTCAAAATATTAAATCCCCTCTTTGTCTGACATTGTATAGAGCTCAGTTGTGGCTTCACCCCTTCTATTCCTCTCTTACCGCTGGTGTTTTTTTGGCTGAAAGTTTGGCCCAAAATTTAATGAGGTAGTTTCTGTCTGTAGAATGCAGGAAATCACCCATATTCGAAGAAATATACTTTGTAGGATGCGCTTCAGGTTTCAGGTGGGATGTCTTAACATCTGGTAGGAAAAAAAAATAAAGTTTAAAATAAAAGTCATAAAGGAAATTTCTGAAGTGATAGAAATGTTTTATATTTTTATTTGCCCAAACATAACAAGCTGGATACTTAAAATGTGCGCATTTCAACTTTAAAATAAAATAAAAATATATCTTAGAATAAAATAACTCATAATAATAAAATCAGCCTATAATACCTAATAGATATATCCTCCGAATATACCCAATACTTAATCAATTCAGGCTTATAAATAAAATCAAAAGAAGTAAGACATGTCAAAAACAGTGGCTTCTAGATATTTAATTGAAAAATTACCCTTATAATGACTTTTCATTTGATGAAAGTCCAAAAGGCTAAAAGGAAAATAAACTATGCAATGCTAAGAGGCTTTGAAATAGAATGGAATGATGAGCCCACTGTTTCACAGAATTTATTCATAAATAATATCTAATATTTCCTTTAAGATGTTAGAATGTTCAGAGACCTAGAATATAAGAATACTGTATAAATTTTTATTACTGCTCATTCACAGAGGGCTAGGAGTAAATAGCTTTGGCTATATGGGAGCATCAACAATTTCAGGAGTATTGCTTTTAAAATGCTAAAATAAATGATATCCACATGTACCTTCAGTCAATATGATGGACTGAGCAGAAGTGGAAAGCTACCCCCACCCAAAGATGAAAAAAATACTAATATATAACATAAATTTGTTTTGTTTTTAATAGATAGTAAGGCGGAAACTAAGAAAGAAAATTTTCTAGGCACTACAAGTGTAGTGAAGACTCGAAGTCAGAGGAGTGGGAATTGATGCTAAGAGGTCACAGGGCATCAGGGGCTGAGGTTTGAATACATGGTATGAGAGGGGGAAGCCACAGCCCCTGCATGCTTGGCACACAAGACCCGACTTGGCCAGGTGCAATGGCTCACATCTGTAATCTCAGCACTTTGGGAGGCTGAGGTTGGCAGAACACTTGAGCCCAGGAGTTTGAGACCAGCCTGGCCAACATGGTGAAACCTCATCTCTACAAAAAAATACAAAAATTAGCCTGATGTGGTGGTGTGTGCCTGTAATCCTAACTAATTGGCAGGCTAAGGTGGGAGGATCACTTGAGATCAGGAGGTAGAGGCTGCACTCCAGCCTGGGTGACAGAGTGAGACCTGCCTCAAAACAACAACGACAAAAGAAAAAAAAAAAAAGAAGAAGAAGACCTGGACTGTTTGATAAGTTGACAAGTTGGAAAAGGGGTATCTGGAAATGTCAGTCCACAGATGTAGGGACTTTGCCTGGGGACAGATTCTTACCTAACCAGACGATAGAAACACCTGTAGGAAATCAGACTCTACTTTGGTTTGGAATCTGAACTTGAACTCCTCCCAAACTGTGTGGCAATCCCAAACCAATAACACAAGGTAAAAGTTGTTGCAGACAAGTAAAACTATTTAATCATGGTAAGGAAGTCTAAAGTTCCACCTAGCCCCTGTCTTGAGAAAGGGAGCTTGAACAGATGCAACAAATGGGCGAGGACTATATCAAAAGAATTTCAGGTAATAGAACAATATAGAAAGGAATATTAAAGAAACTGTGTTTAATCACAAAGTGACAAAATGAGACAACTGTATGCAGAAACATTCTCTGTTGAATCTCTGTGATAAAAGCCACTTGACCCATATTTATTGAGCACCTGCTACGTGCCGACTGGTGCTCTAGATGCTGGGGATACAGCAGTAAATAAAAAGTTCTTGACCTGTGGGGATTACATTCTAATATTGGAGTCGGACAAATAACACGTTAAATAATATCAAGTAACGACAAGTGTGATGAAGAAACAGGAAGCTGGATGAGGGGACAGCATGAGAGATGGCATGGTGGTCAGAGGAAGTCCACCTAAGGTGGTGACATCTTGAACAAATATTAAAAGGCATAAAGAAGAACAGCATTCAAGCATCTGGGGGAAACTAGATCAGACAGGAAAAGTGGCTGGTATAAGAACATAGATGTATCCTTAATATAACTTCATCACAGTAAAGAATTCAGTGTGGCTGAGGCAGAAACAGAGAGAGAGAGACAGAGAGAGAGAGAGACAGAGAGAGAGAGACAAAGGAGGTGCATCCTGTGCTAATTTATCTTTTGGAAAAATCCCTTGTCCTGTTGATGTCACTCTAAGTACAGCGCATTAGGAAAAAGACTAGATGAACTGGAACCATATAAATAAGATAAAATTTAAAGAAACAAAAGCTATATTCACTGAAATAATTTCCATAGAATAGATCCTACATAATACATAAAACTTTATTCAAAATATAGTTTTTGTGTCCGGGTTCCTTTTTCCAGTTTTCTAAGACATAAGTTGCCTGTACTGTGGTGTAAATAAGTCAAGTTCCATCTGATGACACAATGCAGCTGTAATTCCAAAATAGTGTCTTAATGATTTCTTGGGAACAAAACGTTTTGGGTGAAGATAATGTGTTTAGATTACTATTAAACTACATTGTAATACTGCCGCTTTAACGACTTGAACTCCTACAATAAAGACTTTCATAGAGTTCTTAATATATTGTCTAATGTCTTAGTACATCAATGGACAAAACAGCTTACTTCCCAATTTAAGGAAAAAACCATAATTACCAATGTTATAATACCATGTGACAAATTTTCTTAATGTGATTTTATTCAAGCTATCTAAATTAAAGTCAACCTTGAGGCAACATTTTAATATGTATAAACTACTTTACAGTCCACAAAAAGAACCAAGTTCTTCAGTATATAGGCTAGTTAAATTTATTTAAATACCTGCAATGAAGCATAAATGAATTTAATGATCCCAGGCAGATTTTTAAAGTTATTTTATGGATTAGTATCATTACAAATGCAGGAAAATATAAATGAAGTATCTGGAACAACTGGAACCATGTTTCAAATTACTTCTAAATGGCTTAGATCTTTTATGTTAGACATACTCATTTGAAATCAAACAAATTAAAACAATATTTGTATAAAACATTTTAAAACAATAAGCATAAAATCCAACCTAAACAACAAAAGCAGTAGAGGCCATGTACCTAAGAATAAAAGATTTGTATGTATATTTCACATTGTATCATCAAACAGACTAAATAGGGCCATTTACTGCAAAAAGGAAAGTTAAAAATAGAAGATGTTGATGATCTGGTATCACAGGCATGTAGCCAGGTCAATAATTAGTGATGAACTTACCATTTGGGGGTCAAGTTATAAATATTTTGAAAAACAAAAATCTCTATTTTAATGACAAGTGTTTCTACATTAATAAGATTTCTTATACAGCAAGGCAATTTAGTCATTCTCCTGTCCAAAAATATGACTGATTACTTTTCAAAATGAGCTTTTGACATTTAAATAAAACCTTGCAAAAAAAATGTATCAACACTAGAGTTGATCTCTCTTTGAAAGCACTTAGAAATGGATGACTTAGAAACAGACTTTAATTTTTAAATAAAAGTCCTGAGATGCACAGACAACTTCAGAATCACTTATTTTTTCCCCACTCAAATGGGGCTTTGTAATCCCAGCACTTTGGGAGGCCGAGGCAGGCGTTCACTTGAGGTCAGGAGTTCGAGACCAGCCTGGCCAACATTGGCAAAACCCCATCTCTACTAAAAATATAAAAATTAGCTGAGCATGGTAGCATGCACCTGTAATCCCAGCTACTCGGGAGGCTGAGGCAGGAGAATCACTTGAACCTGGGAGGCGGAGGCTGCAGTGAGCTGAGATTGTGCCACCGCACTCTAGATTCCAGCCTGGGAGACAGAGTAAGACTCCATCTAAAAACAACAACAGCAACAACAAAACCATATAGTGAGGGTTTTTTTTTAAACAAAGGAAAAAATAACAAGAATAATTCATACCTACAATGATTAAATGCATATATACATATGATGTAAATACCTGTAAAATTAAAATCTCTGTAAGTCTTGATACTGAAATATGTAGTCATAAAAAAGAGCTTAAAAGAAAACAGAATAATCTGCTATTGAATTTTAAATACTTTTAATATGATAGATAATTTGTAGTGGAAAATTAAGACAAAAGTTTAGTTCATTAAGAAGTGCTATCTCAAAACTAAAGGTGGCAAAATAAGCTATTTTTCTAGGACAGAATTACATCTTAAAAGTCTTGTCTATCTGTGCTTCTAAGAAAAGAATAATATCAACTAGAAAAATAATAATTTTGCATAGTATCCATGATAATTTCCATAGCAAAATAAACTTTTAGAGTAGAAAGTTATCACATAAGTCCAAGGAAATACAGTAATAATGTTGTAAATAGTCATGTTATATATGGGAAAGTGAATACATTTATTAAACTATACTAACAGTGAAGTGCTATATTCTTGAGTGTCTAATCAAAGGAATAATTAGTTATTTAAACAAAAACAATTTCTATATCAAGAAAAAGGAAAACATACACATTTACATTCATAAGAGCAAATAAAGTACAAAAACGTTCTTTTCCAGTAAACTTCATACATTGTAATGTCTTCAGTGGAGGTGAACTAATGGGTCAATATTTGGGCCTTGCATCAAGAATGTTCCAATTAAAACATAGAGCAATAAGGCCCAGAATTCCGAAAAAAAAAAAAAAAAGGATGAGTATTTAATGAAGTAGTTACTTGACACTTTAAAGAAGATAAAACACATAGAACAGGTAAATTTCAAGAGTGGAAACTTGCTATATATGATCTGTATTAATATAGCAGATTTTGGGAAAGAAAAGAGGTAGCAATGATTGGCAGGAAGCTTCAATATACGCTAAAGATTTCCTTTCCTTCAACTAACATGTTCAAATAACTGTATTTCTGATGGGATTGCCACCCAATCCCACACCCTAAGCATGATCTTTGCTTGCTAAGGGCTTATCCTTCAAGAATAACCTTTTCAAAGATGTTACTTCATTGGTCACTTTCTCCAGCAAAAACATTCTCTGTCTTTCTTCACTTTGCTTTTCTATTTTTATCCTAGGACACTGAGGGTATATAGATCTGGTAATTGTAGAAGCTGGTCTTTGTCTCAATTGAGCCACAAAAAGAAAAGAAAATATCTACTATCTGGACAAGTGACTTGACAGCATTTCCTATCTAACCAATCTGAAACCCAGAATATAAATGATCTTGATTTTATCAATAATGAAATCATAGTAAAAATAACAGATAGCATTTATTGAGCATGTACTATGTGCCAGATGTTACTACAGGTCTTTTATGTGTGTATCACATGGAAATTCATAATAATCTCAGAATTGATGTTTCCCTACTCACTTCTCCAAACTGCAATGCCTCCTATGAATGCCCATAGAAGAACCTCTTGATTTTTGTAATATTTTGCTCAACTGCAATTTCTTTCCAATATTATTCTAATTTTAAGTTACCTAATTAAATCAAGGTTATCAAATTTTTAAAAAAGGATTTTCACAAAGACCATCTCATTTACCAAATATTTCCACCCAGTTTGAACAGTATCATCCTCTTTCAATGAACAGGAAAATGCAAACATTTTTTTGCTGCTTTCATGTTAATACGAACAAACACTACTCATAGAAGCATTTACTGTGTGCTAGATATTGTTCTGGGTGGTTTTCAGTATATTAACTCATTTAATCCCCATAAAAATACTGAGGTAGGTACTATTATTACCTCCATTTTATACATTAGAACTCTGTAACTTGCCCAAGGTCACATGGCTAGATTGTAATGCAAATGGAATTTTCAAGAATTATTTTGAATTTTAGTGTTGTTTGCAATAATGAATTTCTAAGGTTACAATCTGTAATAAAAAGTCTTCAGCTTTTGCAAATCATGACTGCACTCTCATAATCAGTTTTAAGATTAGAGGTTTGATCTTCTAACACCATTTATCTGTCATCAACACAAAGAAATGGTTAGGCCCTTCTTATCCTCTTCTCTGAATGCCTGGTCAATACAGAAAAGTGATTTCTAGAATTATGTCTTTCAAATTGGACTACGCAATTAAATTCATTTACAGACGTACTGTGCTACATAGTATATAAATAGTGCAATTATCTGAAGTGGAACTTGGTGGATCTTTTTATGGTAATAAGATGATTTTCGGGCTTGTCATGGAGCAAAAGGCAAGGAAGTAAGCTGATCAAGATTGTTCTCAAGTGCCTTTTTTTTTTAAAAGCTTTATATAAAACGTATACATATAGATTTTGGATGTATCTTATCCTGAGCCCCCACATTGACAAAGAACATAACTGCCAATACACCAGATCCTTGTCCCAGAGAAGAATTCAGCATAAATGATGTCAACCCATCCAACCTCACTTGAAGGCAACCAGAGCTGGGGGGAAGTCTGGTAACAGGCCTCCAAGTAAGGACAGCATCAAAGCAAACCTCTAGGGCACTCAGTGCAGGGTTTTCCAAACTGCAGGTTGCAAACAAAATTGTGAAATCAATTTAGGAGGCCACAACCAGAATTTTAAAAATTGAAATTCAGCGCCATAGAAAATATCAGAGTTGTCTATCACCATAGTAAAGGTGTTTTATGACACTTTTTTTTTTTTGCCAGGTGTTTTATGTGTTTACTGGGTCATGATATTGTAACATGTATACTTCTAATTATGGATCTTGGTCAATAAAACTTTGAAAGCCACATATCTAAGGAGTACTAAGTACATATAATTTTCTAAGCACTACATTTAATAAAACAGGATTCCTCATAACAAGCAAATGGAGTCAGCTGCAGTAAGTGGATCTTAGATCATAAAATGAACCTTACATTTTAGCCAGTCCAACTAAATCACCCAACATATGAAGACCTTCTATAAGATTCCCATAACACAGCATCTAACTTCTGGAGCAAGCCAGTCTGTTCCTCTGCAAATCACCTCTAACTCTTAGAAAGTTCATGATGTCAAATCAAAATAGAATGTAAGGCTGTTGCTTTCTCATGACAGCTCTTCAAAGTGTGTGTGTGTGTGTGTGTGTGTGTGTGTGTGTGTGTGTTTAAATTTAATTCTATATAACTTTTTCTGAATAAACATAGGTCATTGTAGAAAATTTAAAAAATACTAAAAAGCATAGATGGGAAAATAAAAATTATGCATAATCCATAATCCAGAGCTAATAACTAGAGCCATACTGGCTCTACCTCCTTAACCTGCTTTCTACTTACTACGCAATAAATAGTTTCCTCTAATTAAATATTCTTCTATGACATGATTATAATGACAACATAATATTCCAGCATATAGCTATACCATAACTTATTTCTAAAATCCCATTAGATAGCTAGATTATTTCTAGATTTTATCATAAAAAACACTGATATGAACATCCTTGCCCATAAGTGAGTTCCTTATGATAATCCTCAGATTCGAATTACTAGACTGAAGATATACAAAATGTTAAGGCTTTGACAGAAAATTGTAAAACTGTGCCCCAGAAAAATTGTGCCGATTTACTTTCTCTCCTGAGACATAGAAAGTGCATTTACCCACAGCCTCGCCAACAATAGGCATTAAGTTGTTTTTCATCTGCCAATTCAGTACAAAAAAAAAAAGTCTATCCTGTTTCAACTTATAATGAGGTTAAATACTTTTTGACATATCTATTGGCCATTTTTATTTCCTCTTCTGTGAATTTCCCAATCATGCCCTTTGTTCAATTATCTTTTGAAGTTTTGGAAATAACTGATTTAGCTCTTTAAATATTTGAGGAAGGCTTTCATGCCAAGTGGCAATATTATCTCCATTGATTTGAATATTAGGTGCCACTTTTCTTTAAAGGAGCTAAAGATGGTATTACTAATGTAGTCACTATAAGCCACAATGTTTTTTTGTTCCTATAAAGATCACCTTGCTGAGCAACATATCAAATGGGAATGATAGGAACCTTGTAAATATAGATGGAAAATGGCAATTTTTAAACATTGTTATTCTATGTGTAAAAATCAGAGGTTTCCCTTATACCAAGAGAATCAATAATAGCACTAAAAATCTCCTGTTGATACTCTTTTCCACTCCTTTCCTCTGACCACAAACAAAATATTGTCCAGTTCCACTGAATCTGAGACATTAGGAACATATACTACCAAAGCAATAACAGAAACACAAACAAGTGATAAAAAAAATTTGGCTTATCGCTTCCCTTTTGTACCCTAATGGAAATGCAACCCCAAATGCCTTCAGGAGCCTCAGAAACAGGCGCCCGAAGAGGAAAATTATACATTTCTAAAAGCAATTTTAAATTTCGAAAATTCTTCACCTAAATGAGACACGGACAACTCTAAAGTGCCCCACACCCACCTCACAGAAAATGGGTAATGATCTTAATTTTCTTCCTGTCTTGCACAATCTACCCTCTCCCACATGCAATCTAAATATTTACCTAATTTGACAATTCCTGCCCCCACAGCCTTATTTCAGGCCTAACCTTCTTTCCTGGACTACAGCAATAACTTCCCTGCCACTCCTCCTGCTTCCTGTATTGCTCTCCTCAAATTCATCCTCTATATCCCCTCCAGACAGATGCCTCTTAGATACAAATTCAGCAGCTCCCCATTGTTAAAGATCAAGTTTCCAAGCTCTTCGGTGTAGCACAAAAAGCACTTTGGATCTATATAGACCTGCATCTCTCCTGGCATTCGGGTCCTTAGAAGATGCTATGCCTGCGCGTGCCTCTGCTTAGGCGTACGTGGTTCCTTCTTCTAAGAAAACTTCCCCTCTCCATCAGTCTGCTGACTATTCTGCAACCGCGATGACTAAGCTGAAGGCTGACCTTCTCTTAGGAGTGTTTCCTGATCCAATGTTTGTATCCCAGGCCGAATTCAGTGTCCTTCCTTGGTATTCTTATGACATCTGGAAAAGTTAACAAATGGATTTTCCTGTCTGTAGGATGTAAAATGTAGCCTAACACGCTGTGGGGCCTTCAGCTGCCCTAATCACATGGTGTTATTAATATAATGAACTCTCTGTCTTCCTTGATAAAAGACAAAGCTTCTTGAAGTATCCTCATCACTTCCCCTTATCTAGCAACCATCACTGTCTGGCACATAGCGTGTGCTCAATAAATGCTTGTTGGATGAATGAACTTTTAGTAAAAATAAATACACTTTTAGTAAAAATAAACAAATGATATATTTTCTACAATTACTGTATTATTTTCATCATGGACAAATCAGATAAATCAGAGGGCAATTACTGGCATTATATAAGCTCTTCATTTTGCAAGAGGATTTCTATATCCTGGATTTCTAAAATATCAGTTTCCTCTACTGCCCTTGAAATAACATTTGAAATTCATAGTTTCATAGACACCTCTCTTTTGTGTAAGAGACATTTACACAGGCATTTAGTCATCAGTTACATTTTTAAATATGAGATACCAAATACAGTTTAGCATGCTGCTGTGTACACAGTAAGTGCTCAATAGATATCTTGCAGCTTTTTAAGAGTCACATCTTGAGTTGTCCGTTTCAGTCACAATTATCCTCTTTTTGGGTGGAGTATAGTGTCCATACATAGGAGTAGGTTCAATAGGTATGTCTGAAGGTAACCCTGGTCCTTGCCAGAGTAGATTGGTTTAAGAACAAGTGCCTAAACCAAGCTAGGCCAACAAGACTTTCTTTGGATTAGGATTAATGAACATTCATTCAAATTAATCCCTTTACAGTAGTGGGAGCTTCCAGAGGTAAAATCAGATATGGGCTTGAGAGCTGCTGGTAACCATGTTTCCCACCATGTGCAGAAACTGATAGAGTCATCTGTAGTCCAAAGAATGAAGCCAACATGGAGAAAGAAACAGAGAAGAGAAGTGGTGAGAGTCCTAGACCAGAGTCCAGGAGATGACTAGAGTCCTGGTTATGTTCCACAACTGGCCCCCAGTCTCTCTGAGACTTGCTGTAGCCCTGCCCTTCCCATAGTTTGTTCATATGAAATCTTCTACTCCCTTCTAATAGAGTCACAGAAGCTGGCTTAGAGTGGACTCCTATCATTTGCCAGCGAAAGAATCCTGATGGTATGAATAGATAAACGAACAACTGATTCACTTAAATGTTCTCCCCATTAATTCTTTTAATTGATTCAACCAGATGGTTTGGCATAATAAAGGCATGAGCTAATTTACATGAGATTTCTATTCAGAGAAAGAAGGAAGGTATTCATTTTGAAATACATTTCAAGCAAAAGTAAGTTTCAGGCAACATATTGCCAAGACAAATCTGAAGCATTTGATCACAGAGTCATGCATGCAAAATATGTCTTCTTCCCTACAGAAGATTCCCACAAGTTAACTGTAGGTTTGGAACCTCCAGGAACAGCAAAGTCTTCCTGTCTCAAAAGTTCTTTTTGCTTTGGAACTCCTCGATAATGCAAGAGGGGTGAGAGAATTTTCTAGAAGTCTAGAAGCGAATTTTCCTTATGAAGAGAAGAAAACTTAATGGCAATATGGCCCTGCTTCAGCCAGAGTTGGAACTCAGGTTGGATTCGTGTCTGGACACAAAGGCTACTTGCTGACACCAGCCTTCCAGAATGGCTCAATTTGGTGGCAGCAGCTGATAGAGCTGCATCCCTCTGCAACAACTGCTCTTCCAGGCTGTGACGGCAACAGCAGAAGAGGCACAGGAGTGCAGATTGGCTGCCTTCTAGGAATCCAAGGTTTGGACAGTGCTGAACAGCCCCTCCACCTACGCTGACCATGGGTTCAGGAGGAAGCCAGTGTGGAGACTCACAGGACCCAGCCATAGCTGGTCGTTCTGTGACAGTGCTGCCTCGGGGTTCCCAGACCTTAATGAGCTGGTGGCTCCAGGGATGGCTTAAACCTTGGTGCTCTGACTGCTCCTGGGGCGCAGTCTTCCCTTCCAGCTGCCCTGCTCCACAGTAGACACCTGGTTCTGGGGAGTGGCGGGGCTTTTGTCCTGTGGCACTGCCCCATGTTTTCAGGTTCGCTTCTCTTTGGTTTGCTGCTTGGAAGCAAGTGCATTGTGCCTTTGGACAGAGCTCTCTCTGGCCTGACCTCTCCCCTGATGGGCTGGTGTGTCTTTGACAGGCTGCTGGGTTGGGGGCTCACTGTCCTGCTCTGGGGATTGCGAAGCAATCTCTCTCCTCTGAGACCTGCCCTTTCGATGAACCTGTCCCTTTCTCCCTGGATGCTCCACAGGAGCCGAGCTATCCTGTAGCGACTCCGCAGGGGCCTTTTCCCTCTGGAGAGGTCTCCCGGGTGAGGGCTGGCCCTCCTGAGCTGGCTGATCACCATTGACGGGAGTTTTATTTTCTTGAGATAACCCTCCAAAAATCTCTCTCTTACAAGATGGCCCTTGTTTGGACACATCTACATTCCAAGCCAGGTCATTTGTGGGGAGGTTGGTATGGGTCCTTTTCCTGGAATTATGTTTTTTTTAATCTTCTTGTAATTGGGGGTCTTAGGTGATGGCTCGGCGTGGGGCGGCTCAGGAATTTCTGGTGTATGGACTTTGCTTCTCTGGTTGCTCAGATGGCCTAATTTGTAACAGTTACACACTGAAATACTAGCTTAGACAAGAAACAAGAGGAGGGCTGGGGTTGGGATCGTCGGGCACCATGGTGGGAGCTGGCTGATCGTGGGGTTCTAGCTGCAAGGCTGGCTGGTGGTTCCCAGGTGGTGCCTCTTCCAGAGGTGCCAGTCCTCTAGCCGTCCCTTTCTGGTTGGGGAGCTTTTTTTCCCTAGCCCCTGTCTGCTGAAGTGGCCCCTGGTTGTGGGGTGAGGCCCGCATGTCTGGAATCTTCCTCCTGGAGGAGCTGCCTGCTTGGGGAGCTTTCCTTTCCTTTGCAGGCCTTGGATCAGGCTGAGTCCCCGAGTTCTGGGGCAGCCCTGGCTCCGGAAGAGGAGCAGGAATGCGAGGGAGCCTCACTTTCTGAGCCGCCTCCTCCTGGGCGGGACTGAGGATGCGAGGTTCTGCTTGCTCCTGGCTGGGGGGACTGATAAGAGGGAGTTTCACCTCACTGACCTTCTCTTCCTGGACTTGCTGAAGACTGTGGGCTGCCTGGGGGCTCAGATTTGGTGGTGGTTTTGAGTGCGGAGGGCTGATGGGAGGAAGTTTACTGGTGTCTGCTTCCCGGGTTGGTGGAAGCCTGGGAGAGACCGTCATGGTTTGATGGGAGGTTGTTCCTAAAGCCTCTTCCCTGCTGGGCGATAGGAGTTTGGGTGTGGGCCTCCTGCTCTGGAGGGGAGCCAGCACCTGAGGCTGGGGCAGCCGAGTGGGAGCCAGCCGGCTTCTAGGAAGCAAGGTCCCCGGGGCTCCCCTGGCCTGGGGCTGCTTGGTATCTGTTGCTAAGTCTTGGGGATGTGGCAGTTCTGGGTGAGGGATACTGACTCGGATGGCTTCCGGTTTGGAGGTTTCCTCCTTCAGAGCTTGCTGAGAATCGCCAGCAAGTTTCTGCACCAAGTCAGTGTGGGAAGAATCTTTTGGAGGATCATGGTGGGAACTGCTGGGTGGAAGTTTGTCTGACTCAATTTCCTCATCCTGAATTCTCTGAGGGCTGAGGGGAGTGGGGCCAGGTCCCTGTAGAGGTTCAGACAGAGGAGGGCCAGTAGGGGTTACCTGGGCCTCCCCTGACTCCTTGTCCTGGCCTGGCTGAGGGCTGCGGGACGAGGGAGGGGAAGGGTGCACAGGAGGCACCAGGGTCGGGGTGATGGGAGACTGCCCAACCTCACTGGCTTCCACCTCAGGGACATCTGTCTCAGTGGCTATTTGTTTTAGGGGAAGATCTGATTGTTGGACATCCTCTTCCGTTGGGTTTAGGGATAGGTCCTGGGCCTGCTGAGGAAGACCCAGTGCTGATGAACTGAGGTGTTGAGGGAGCTCAGGATTGAGATGGCTGTCAGGAGAAAGCTCTTTTTGATGGGTTTCTCCATCCTGAGCCAGCTCTTGGTTCTGGGCAGGAGTTACGCTCTGATTTTCTAGGTCCTTGGCATGAATTTGCATTCCAGAGAGATGCTCTGTCATCTGGCCATCTGCTTGCAGTTTCGCCAAGCACCTGGGAGATGGAACCAGGTGTGCTGGCACCCCAGAGACAGTCTTCTTGCTAGCGGGAGCTCCTGCTTTAATATAAAAAGAAATTAACTATAAACAGAAGTTAACTAACTGCTTAGAAATTAATAAGAAAAACATCTTTCCCCTGTTAGATGCACATAGGCCCTTGAAAGGAATAAAATTACACATATAGGAGAACTTAACCTTCCCTTCTCCTTGGAGATACTAAGTGTCTATAATTCTCTCATTTAGTGGAACTTAGAACAATTTTAGTCAACTGAAAACATAAACTTCAATGAATAAACATAAGAGGTTTATGTCTGGTTCTTATTCATAGAACCAAAATTTACATCCAGATTTGTGGGTGGTGAGACATTTTCCAAGTGAATGAGACTTTAAATTTTTACCAACTTAGAGATCAATGCTGTTTTTGATGGTAGAAACTAGAGGATGGACATCCAAGCCAGATGAAATCCCATTTGTTTGTTTCCTTATTTAACGGCAGCCCTCTTATATAAGCCGTGAGCTCTGTGAAGAGTTATGTCTGTTCACCAATACCTGGCAAAGGGGCAGGAACTGAGGAAATGGGTGATGAATGTAAGAAGGAAGGAAAGAATCGGCCGGACAGAATCACAAGGCACCATGGCTCAGAACAGCTGCTCCTGAGGACCCCCATCCAGGCTGCTATTCCCGCACTCACATCCCCAGGCCTCCTCTTGGGCTTCCACATCTACCTTGCCTTCAAAAATGGCTCTCAGAGGCCACTAGCAATGCTGGTGTTACACAGAGGTGTCAACTTGGTGTTGATGGCAAGTTCTCAGAGTGACTGATCTCTGGGACAGTCTCACAGACGCCATCATCCAGCAGGCACTTGTTCAGTGAGCGCTTGTTCACTAGACGGATTCTGGGGGCCCAAATACCATCTTACCCCAGTCCTAAGGGCATAGCTCTGAAATGTGGAGCAGTCAGAGGTGGCACACCAGACTGGAACAGCCTTGAAGAAGCTAGTCTCAGCTCACTTTGGGGGAGATCTGATACTCAGCGACTCCAACCCAAATCAGACCTCTGAGGTGACCTTGGAGTGATCCATTCCCCAGAGGCAAACCAGGCTCCCAGCCCCCGATCCCCTCCACTGACGCAGGATGAGCTTGCACTGCTGGGTTCTCACTGAGCCCCTGGTCTGGACACGCACCCTTTGCATCCCATCAAACCGGTGTTCTCTAGGGAGAGGGCGGGACAGGTGGGAACAAAGAAAGGCTTCCCTCTTGGTGCAGTTTCTGAGGGGGTGTCCTGTTCATCATTTGGAACTCCCTAGTTTATAACTGTTATAAACTGAAATACTAGCTTAGACAAGAAACAAGGTTAAATTGAAAAATAAAACTGTGAAAATATCGAGAGTAGGCAAACTCATAGAGAAAAGAAAGTAGATTCGAGGTTACCAGGAGTTGAGGGGAGTAATAGATTAATGGGTATAGAGTTTCTGTTTGGGGTAATGACAAATTTTGGAAATAGGTAGTGATGATGGTTATACAACATTGTAAATGTAATTAGTACCATTGAATTGTATACTTACAATGGTTAAAACGGCAAATTTTATGTTAAGGTATGCTTTTTAACCAAAATATAAAATTAATTTTAAAAGATGGAAAAATATAAGAACAATGAAATCCTGTGCTAAAGCTTCTTTTGCTCCTTAATCTCTCTTGGTTTTCTGTAATCAGATATATAAGGATGTGTTCCCCACTTTTACAATTTAACAATTGACATAACTTGGCAAATCATACCAGGCCTTTTATTAAAGATAAAGGAAAACTTTACGGACTAGTCAACTGCTCAGTTCTCCTCTGTCTGACTTATCATAACCATCATCATTTCTTTCTACCATTAGTCAGATTAATGATTTGCAAATACAATTTTATTTTATGATCTATATAGCAAGAACTCAGGGTGATAGTTGGTACAGCTTTCTAAAAGCTTTGCTGGAAGCATTGACTATCCCAGAAGTAGGTTGTTTAGAGACAAATGGAAGGAAAGACATCCCTTAATACTGAGTTGTGAATATAGTTTTTACCTTATTTTGTAGAAACTATTTTGTTTACTTGTGCTTTTTAAGCCTTCGGGTATTAGAAATAAATGTTATCCACATTACAATAGGGAAAATAAGACAATTCTATATATATATACACACACACACATACACACATATATATATACACATACATATATTATATATATATATGTATTTATTTATTTATTTTGAGATGGAGTCTCACTCTGTCACCAGGCTGGAGTGCAGTGCTACAATATTAGCTCATTGCAACTTCTGACTCCCTGGTTCAAGCGATTCTCCTGCCTCAGCCTCCCGAGTAGCCGGGATTACAGGCACGCACCACCACGCCCAGCTAATTTTTGTATTTTTAGTAGAGACGGGATTTCTCCATGTTGGCCAGGATGGTCTCGACCTCCTGACCTCGTGATCTGCCCTCCTCGGGCTTCCAAAGTGCTGGGATTACAGGCGTAAGCCACCGCACCTGGCTGATATGTATTTTAAATTAAGGGGATATCTGAAGATTTCAGGGTTTATAATCACTGTGTACCTAAAGTTAGTATTTTATACATGCATTAAGTGAAAATTCAATTAATCCACCCATTAGTGAAAGTTTATATTTCTGGGTCCAGGCTGAAAGATGCTGTACTCAGAACTGATAAACCTTGCGCTTCCTTTTATCACTCTGTTCCACTCTCATTGTTAAGAGTAGAAATTCAGCTTGTACTCTTAGTTATAAATTAGCAACATAAAATTACAAAAGATCAAGTTATGTATTACTACTTCAGATATCTGGGAATACTTTTCTGTTTGCATTGATACAGGATTACCACTTTAAGAAAAACAATGCTGTTGGTCATAAGATTTCTGTTTGTACTGATGCCTAATCCAATTGGGAAAAACCTCAGCTCTAGACAGCCGGATTCTAATAGTGCACCATGACATTATGTATAGGTTTTTATTTTAAGAAATGGGAGCTCAAAATTACTTCTCGAATCAAGTTAATGGTTATTGGTTAGATTTAGAATAGAAAACCAAGGCTTCATATTTCCAGTCCAGTTTCCTAATTGCGCAGACAAAGCTGTCTTTCACAGAATCATAAATATTTTTTATTTCAATTTCTTCCTTTTGACAGCTCAATTATTTTTTAAAAAATTCATTATACTAAAACTATTGTTTTTTATTTCTAGAGGTCCCATTTATGTGAGTAATGTGTTTATACACATATATCTAAATTATAGAACTTAAAATCAGAGTGACCCAGCTCAGAGCAGGAGCAATGAGGTGAAGCACCAGCTGGGCACATGATGGTGACTCTGCTGGGACTCTGGGTCCCTTCCTGGGGAGTGCTGATGAGAGGTGAGGCCAGCTGGACTTCCTGGGTCGAGTGGGGACTTGGGGAACTTTCCTGTCTTACAAGAGGATTGTAAAACGCACCAATCAGGAACTTTCCTGTCTTACAAGAGGTTTGTAAAATGCACCAATCAGCGCTCTGTAAAACGCACCAATCAGCAGGATTCTAAAAGTAGCCAATCTCAGGGAGGATTGAAAAAAGGGCACTCTGATAGGACACAAATGGAACATGTCCATTCCCTGGACAAATAAGGGAATAAACGCTGGCCACCCCCGCCAGCAGCGGCAACCCACTCAGGTCCCCTTCCATGCTGTGGACACTTTGTCCTTTCGCTGTTAACACTAAACCTTGCTACCACTTACTCTTTGGGTCCTTGCCATCTTTAAGGGCTGTAACACTCACCACGAAGGTCCACGGCTCCATTCTTGAAGTCAGCAAGACCACGAACCCACTGGCAGGAACCAACTCTGGACACACTGACACTTGTTTTAAGGTAACTATGGTTGGCTCCACTCTTGTGCACTGAACCTGTAAACATCTGGTCCCCATTCCTTGGCACCTTCTTCACAGCCCTGAGACTCAGGAAGAACACTGGCTCTACTTCTTGTCCCACTAGAGACACCATTAAATGTGTGTTAATAAGGACCATGTTCCTTAGAACTTTTTAGATACTCACTTGAATAATGTCTGGCCTCTACAATGTGCAAGTTTATTCTTAAACCCACAAGTAGAAAAAGTAACTTCCTCAGCAAATTAATTGTCTAGATAAGATAAAGTGGTTGGCTTCAGAAAACACATTGTTTTTCAAAATACTAAACATGCCAAAAAAACAAAGGGGCCTTGAGGCTAGTGATTTGATCCATTAATTACAAATCTGCCTACCTACCTTTTACAGTTGGAATTCTATTAGTCAGTAACTAGATGGCTCAGTTTCAGTTATAAAATGTAACTGAAAGCTAAAACATTTTTACAAATTCAGTAATTCATGCTTTTCATTAAATCAGCCAAGCCTAACCTCATTAGTCCAAATAAATAAAATTTTATTATACCCGTTAGAATCAAAGTCTATTTTTCTATGCACACATTATCTGGTCTATTAATTTACCAAATGGCAACTGCACCCAATAGCCAGTGTTCTTGATAGTTGTAGAATAAGAAAAGATACAGAGACGGACTCTCACTGGCTGTTGAGGCAAAGTCTTGTTCAAGCCCCCCCAGTCAGTGGCAACCTCAGATTGAGAAACACACTGTTCTCAGTTACTCAGAGCTGGTCAGGCTCAGGGGACTGATTCATGTTTATCCAAACCCACAAGAGGCTGATTTAAAAGCCAGTACACCAATTAATTAATTTACAATGGAGACAAGCCTGGCTCAGGGATCAGGGCAGGGTGGGTAACGTAGGGTACAGCCCCGACAGGAGCAGGTCCACCCGATGGGACCAAATTAAAGATCAGAAGGTTGCTTGGGTAGCAAAGAATTAAGGCAAGGGGAGCCAGATTTTCTCAAGAGAAACTTCTACTGAGCTACAGAAGCCTCATTAGATACACTCACAGCCCTTCTCCATAGAGATGGCTTTCTAAAGAACCGACGCCCAGTGCAGAGATTCTGAGCAGGGCTGGATACATACACTGACATGCTCCCAATCTAATGTTCCCCAATCCCCACTTTGTAGACTGAGCACAGTCCTCCAGTCCTCCATTCCTATTTTAAGACAGGTCAAACTTTCTCCAGGAACATTCCAGTCAGCAGGTCATACCCTGGTCACTTCATCTCCTATAAGACATATGGAGAAGGAAATTCTCAGCCATTATCTGTTGATTTTTACCAGTTTCACGTTGACCTCATTCCAAAATACCAGGGGCCCTCAACCTGGGAAAAGTGTGCAAAATTACAAAACAGCATTGGTTTGAAGTCTGGCAAAATCATGACCTGCCCTGCCTCAGTCTGCCAGGATGCAACCTGGTAAACAAAATCCTATTTGGGCAAAAAGTCACAACCGCTAAAACACAAAGCTGAACATACTTGCAAAGCAGCCAGGGTCTCAGGTTAACATTTCACAATATGCAGTGTGTGAATGGGGTTCAGTCCATCAAGGGAAAGTTTTAAAACTTACTATGGTGGCAAAATACACATAACACAACATTGACTATCTTAACCATTTTTTTTTTTGAGATGGAGTTTTGCTCTGACACTAGGCTAGAGTGCAGTGGTGCAATCTTGGCTTGCTGCAACCTCCTACTCTCTGATTCAAGCAATTCTCCTGCCTCAGCCTCCTGAGTAGTTGGGATTACAGGCACATGCCACCACGCCTGGCTAATTTTTGTATTTTTAGTAGAGACAGGGTTTCACCATGTTGGCCAGGATGATCTCTATCTCCTGACCTCGTGATCTGCCCACCTCGGCCTCCCAAAGTGCTGGGATTAGAGGCATGAGCCACCACGCCCGGCCATCTTAACCATTTTTAAGTACACAGTTCAGTGGCATGAAGTATATTCACACTGTGCCACCGTCACTATCATCTATCCTCAGAACTCTTTTCATCTTCTCAAACTGACACTGTACCCATTAAACCACTCCCATTCCCTAGCCTCTGGCAACTACCGTTCTACTTTCTGGCTCTATGAATTGACTACTCTAGATACCTCATGTAGTGGAATCATACAATAGCTGTCCTTTTGTGACTGGCTCATTTCATTTGGCACAATGTCTTCAAGGTTCATCTATGTGTAGCATGTGCCAGAATTTCCTTCCTTTTTTAAGGTCAAATAAAATTCTATTTTATGGGTTCCTTCCACCTTTTGGCTATTGTGAATAGTGCTGCTAAAAACATGGGTGTGCAGCTCTCTTTTTGAGATCCTGCCTTCAATTCTTTTGGAGGTAGATCAGAAGTGGGATTGCTGGATGATAGGACAGTTCTATTGCTAATTTTTTGAGGAACCTCCATACTGTTTCCCACAGGAGCAATACCATTTTACACTCCTGCCAATAGCACACAAGGGTTCCAATTTCTCCACATCCTTGCCAACACCTGTTAATTTCTGTTTTTTTTTTTAATTTTGTTTTTATAGTAGCCATCCTAATAGTTGTGAGGTGGATTAAAGGGAGACTTTTAAATACATCTCAAAATTCATGTACCAAAATTCTAACTTAGGGCTTTAGAGTTCCTGGATTCCAAGGGAATGCACTCTTACATATACTACATCATGTGCTGCTCACCATCCATGTGGTGATGAGGAGCATTAGATAAGGAGCATTAGGTCCATGTAGCAGAACAGTAAACTGAAGCTCCGAACAGCGAAGGAGCTCACCCAAGAGAGCACAGGGCTAGGATCAGGAACATTGATCCTATGACTAGGGCTCTTGCCACTGTATTCCGCAGCACAGTATTTTGAGGACTCGGGTAACGCAAAGAAAAGGGGAAAGAAAACTCTCAGACTAAATACAAACTCGACAAGTAGAACAACATCTCAGCTCTCTAAGGAATGAAACCTCTGGAAGGCTGAGTTCTGAACCATGAGGTTAACCCTTATCTATTACCTCCGCCAAGGCACTGCCTAGCCTGTTCCTGAAGGGCAGTACCTGGAGGTCCATCATGACCATGGAGATAAGCAGAGTTACAGGTCCAGAAAGCTGACTCATGCTGCTTGTTTTGGGGACAATTGCCCCAGAAGAAGTACAGGAATAAAAGAGAACCAGCTTTAGCCCAAGTGATGAGTACCCAAATAGCAACTCAGATTTGTTTTCCTTTCCATGAAAAAAAAAAAAATCCTGGCACAAAAATGATAGAATAGTACCTGCAGTTGTAGCCAAACTCTTGGCAGGTTCCTCAGTCAATCCAAGGTATTCTCTAATGAGCTGACTCAGTTTTTGGTAGGCAACATCCAGATCATCTGCAGCAAAGAGAGTACATTTTAAAGCAACAGGATCACATCCAATACAGTTGATGTTCAACTATCGGTGGTAATGATTTGTTTACTGCATTTAATTTTATATATATTATGGTAGGCAGAATTCTAAGATGACCCTAAGGACACATCACCTTTGTATAATCAATCTCCTCCCCTTAAGTGTGGGCAGAACCTGTGAAGGCAATGAGATACCACCTCCACGATTGTGTGACATTCAGCAAAAGGGATTTTTGCGGATGTGGTTAAGGTTATTAACGGGTTGACTTTGGGTTAATCAAAAGGGAGATTATCCAGGCAGGCCCACCCTAATCACATGAGCCACATAAAAGGAGAGTTTTCTCCAGCTGTTGGCAGAAAAAGAAGTCAGAGACTCAGATCACAAGGAGGATTCGATGTGCTGGTGCTGGCTTGAAGATGGTGGGGCCACGTGGATGACACCTGAGAGCAACCTCCAGAAACTGAGGATAATTCTTGGCAGACAGCCCACAGGGAAACTGGGACCTCAGTTCTACAACCAAAAGAAACTCCATCCTGCCAACAAGAATGAGCTTTGGGGACTTATCCCCAGAGCCTTCAGATGAGCCCTCAGCTTCCTGATACCCTGAGCAGAAAATCCACCTATGCTGTACCAGACTTCTAATCTACGAAACTGTGAATTAATAAATGGGTGTTGCTTTAAGACACTAAGTGTGATAATTTCTATGCAGGAATAGAAAACAAATTCAACTGTGTAATACTTTAACATGTTTCAGAGACCAAAAACTATTATTAATAATTTGAACCATATGACATTGCTGTTTTCATAGGTCAAAATAGTTGAATATCAACAATTTCATATGGTTCAACTAATGTCCCCTGTCCATCTAGTTCATCTAGTTTCCCTTCCCCCTAAGAGGTAATCAGTGTTATTAGTTTTTTTGAGGATTCTGCCAGAGAACTTTTTTATGTAGCACAAGAAAATACAATTGCACAATTTTTTTACATAAATTATGGCATACTATATTGTAAACCTGTCTTTTTCAGTAACTGTATGTCTTGAAGATATTTCCCTATCTAGACACAGAGAATTTTCTCATTCCTTTTTATGACTGTGTAACATAGTGCACTTTAAAAATATATAGAAATTTGCCAGGTGCGGTGGCTCACGCCTGTAATCCCAGCACTTTGGGAGGCTGAGGAGGGTGGATTGCTTGAGGTCAAGAGTTTGAGACCAGCCTGGACAACATGGTTAAACCCTGTCTCTACTAAAAATGCAAAAATTAGCTGGGCGTGGTGGCGGGCACCTGTAATCCCAGCTATACAGGAAGTTGAGGCAGATCTATTGCTTGAACCTGGGAGGCGGAGGAAGAGGTTGTAGTGAACCAAGATCACGCCACTGCACTCCAGCCTGGGTGACAGAGCGAGACTCTCTATCTCAAAAAAAAAAATTATACATATATATATATATATATATATATATATATATATATATATATATATAAAAGTTTCTAGAATATATCTATAGAAATTTTATATGTGTAAAAATATGTACATATATATATAGAAATTTTCATATTTTGATAAATTCTCCCATGAACTATTGCTTTAAATTAAATGGTCATTTCTAAGCTAGTTTCTGAAAATGTTTATTTTACACATACATTTTTAAGTTATAATATTTTGAGTAGTTGGGTTTTTAACCTACGTGTAGATTATAATCAAATTACCTGAGTTTCATATGCCTTTCTAGAAATTTAAATGTGTATTTCAAATTATATATAATTTAACTTTGTTCTCACAATGTCCCCTAAAAAATGAACTTAGTTCAGGCTCATTTTACACCAAATCTTATTAGCTACAATCTTAAGAAATAATTGAGACAATGCTCTCATTAAAACAGTGGAAGATTAGACCTCTTGGATTCTTACCCCTTTTCGCAGCTCTTTGTGATTCACCGTTACAAGAAAAATAGCTTTTACCCAAGAATTTTATCCCCATGAAACAAACTTTTAATTCAGTAATCTTACATTTCAAAAACAAAACTTTGCTGAAAATTACCAACCTGCATTGATTACCTCATCAAAATATCCCGGAAAATTCTGATTAATTTTAATATAAAGGTCCACTCTGGAGACAGCAAATTCAATTTCTGCACGACTGAATAATCCTTTTCTCCGCAAATATCCCTCATATTTTTCCTTGTTCATGGGCACCACCAGGATATAACGAGGCTCAAAATAGGAATATTTCAAACTTCTTACACCCTGTGCATTAAAAGGAAGATAATAAATTGGAAACAGATACATGATTTAGAAATCATTTTGGAGCCATCTGACAACATGGGTATAAGAAGTAGTATTATTAATATATTGAAGAATTTATTTCATCTGTATAGTTAGCTACTATTTTTCTATAAATATCTCAAGATTGGATTACATTTCTCTCTTCATCAAGTTTTAAATTGTCATTGGAAATATTACAATTCACTCCACCTGGCTTTCCTTTAATTAATCATTCTAATGAATATGACTGTTAGAAAATTGCTGGATATAAAATAGGTACATTCATAGCAATATTGCAACTTTATTACAGAAAGGTAATTTCAATTCTATATTTCAAAAGGGTTCTGTGGAGCACCAGGAGATAGAGATCTTACCAGGGAGAAAAGGCTCTTCTGTGACCCCTTTGTCATCATCTTGGGACCCTTTCTGCACCTAAATCAGCACCCTGGTTGGGAAGGCCAAGCTCCTCGTCACCTGCAGACCAGGAGATCACAGCATGGAACTGTGTAAGGAACTGACTGGTCTGTGAGTCTGGAGGGCTTGGTCACAACTGCAGCTCTCTGGCTCCTGTAGACGCCGCACAAATCCTTCAAGTTCTCTGGCTATCAGTTTCCTCACGGGTGAAATGAAAGAGCCATTCCAAATGGACTCTAAAGTCCCGTCCATCTCAATCAGTTTCACTCAATGTTCAAAGTCTTTGTTTTAAAAATTCAGTTGGAAGAAATACAGGCTATTTCCAAAACAATTTCTGAAACAGTCAATGACCAGGGCAGTCTGGAAAAATACTTCAGCTGGGGAGAATCAGGGGAATCAAGCATGGATTATAGACTCAACCTCCTGGAAATGAGGAAGAGTGAACTCCCAGGGAGAAAAACAGTGAAAGATAGACACAAAAGATGGAGAGTTTCTGGACTCAAAAATGCATTAATTTTTGTTTCTGCCTTGTCAAATGAAGAAATTTTTTAGAAAAGACCTTTTATTTTTGCTAGTTATTATAGAAACAAAGAAAACATTCCTTAAAGATACAAAACCAATTAATCACTGAGAAGTAAGATTGGAAATATTCTACGTCAGGAAAGTTAAAGAGCTGGAAGAAATGTGTAAGCTAAGAAACACTTATACCAACACAAAGAGCCAAAAGGGAATTGCAGTCTCCTACTGTGTGAAGTCACAAAGGAAAAAAGAAAGATTCAGAGTTGACATCGAAGGATTATGTACCTGATTTGCCTAGGTTTTGTTTTCTGTATATTTGATCTAATTGAATTAGTTTTATAATTGCTTTTTTTTTAATTCCAAAAGTGTCATACTGCTCAGTTAAAGGATCTTGAAAAAACAATCAACTATTTTTGAAGGTTCCAAGTATGTAATAAAGCTATATTTTTAAAAAATAAATGAGTGGGAAATTCATAGTTTTACTCTGGATCTTAATTTTGGAGAAGCTTCTATATACTCTAATTATAGATCATTGTTGGGGGAAGACAGGGTATCAGGGTAGAGAGAAAAATCTCCTGACATCTACAGGTCTAAATTGCCAGAAGTATGAAAATATTACACCCAGTGAGCAACTGCAGTTAAATGGCAGCACAGCCCACACATCTCATGCAGAAGGAAGGAACAAAGTTGACCACATGGGGCTGCCATTGTCCTGAGGGGATGGGGAACCAGTTCCACACTCTAAGAATCAGGCTTTATCTACAACCTTTTATGTAAACAGAGGCCATGCTCTAAAAAGAAAAAGGAGCATTTAGTGAGGAAATAACAGAAAATAAAGCTCGAGTGGCAGTTTCACTCACAATATCTGTGCAATTTCTTGTATTGTAACCGAACTCCTGTCACTTAATGTTTCATGTGTCTTGCCCCCCATAGTAATTATAAACGGAATATCTTATCTTGTGCCTGGCAATGTGTTGCCTGTGCATTGTATACCCCTCCCCAACCTCAAATATGTATATACATTAACGCATGTACCCCATATATGTACCTCAATTATGTATCAGTAAAAAGTTTATACATATATACACACACACACACACATACACACACACCACACTCACACAAACTACACACACATTAATTGGTTGAATGAAAACACTTACTTCTATTTCCATATGAATACAGCTTGCCAAACCATCTCTTGCGATACCTTCTACGGTGTCCCTATTTAATCCATACTTGTGATTACCATAACTAAATGTTAGAATGAATTTCCCCTGGAATTCGAGAAGAACAAAGATTTTCATATAACAGCAGCCATCATGGAATTTACATAACTCAAATCATTTGATGTCTTATTCTAAATAATTTCAAAAACCTTACAAATTTTAGCAACTATATAAGGATGACAATGGGGTAAATGAAACTTAATTTCAAACTGTGACAGAGAAATTTATTCAGAATTCTCAGCTGACAAAAAAAAAATAGGTTTTTAGAAATAATTTGCTGACAAAATGTTGAGGAGTGTTAAGGCACTGCAGCATATGGTAAAATAGACTATTTTGTTTACTTACCCACTTCCTGCCAAACCCGCACCAAAACCTTCATTACTGAGAGAACAAAACTAATGGCCTGCCCTTTACTGCCGCCATTTCAGCTGTGCCAGCACACCAGGCAACCCAGAAAAGCCTTCCATTTCCAAAAGCCTTGCATTACCAAGATAAGCCATGAATTACAGATAATTCTGGGAGGCCATGAATTACAGGGACATCCTAAAAGCTTTGAAAAAGCAGACCCATCCTGTTTTTCCTCATAAAGATAGCTTTCTACTGAAACTGCCCCAAATGTCATCCAACAGAATTGGTGTCTGCCCTATAGCCATTTGAACTATAAATGATGCCTCTGTCTGTATTCTGGAAGCTCAGTTCTTCCAAAAACGGTATTCCCTTGGGAAAAAAAAAAGGAGGGGTGGGGCAAGTAAAAAGATGTCTCTTAAAATTGTCTGTGATTTTTTCTTTGGCAATACTATATTCATTAAACCACTAGGTCAAATCTAAACTGGGTAACTGATGACAACAGAAGGAATAAAAACGTGGATGATCTTGGCAAGAGTGACTTCTCATATATGTGATTTTGAAATAAACAATGAAGTGAAAACTTCCAGGGCTGCATTGAATCCCATCAAATGGCGGTGGCAGCATTAAGAACAGCAGCAGTTGGGTCTATTGCTACCCTGTGTCTTGGCCCCAGATGTTCTGGAGATGTGAGGGTACGGGGATGGGCTGTCTGTCAGGGAAGACAGGTCAGAGACCAGAAGGCGTAGGGTGTCTTTTGAGGTTGGGGGATGGGTCTCTGGGCAATGTGTCTGCTGCAGGTGATGAGGAAGATCCACATCCCCCATAATCAAAAGAAGTTTATGTTATATATTCCAAAAGTTAAAAACTCAACAATAAATATCCTTACTATTTTACTCCTTCAATGTCATACTTTCTTTGTTATTTGGAACAAATACTGTGACTCCTTTTCTATATATATATATATGTCTGGCTCTCCTTTCAGATAGACACTTTATCTTGTTTATTGCATCTGCTGGTTAGTATTATGTGTCAACTTGGAAGATGTTTGGGGTGAGATGAACATTTAAACTGGTGAACTTCAAGGAAGCAGACTGCCACCCATAATATAGGTGGACTTTATCCAATCAGTTGAAGGCCTCAATAGAACAAAAAGATCAGCCTTTGGATTTCATCTGCACCACTGAAACCTCCATTGCAAAATTATGACTGAGACAATGAAAGAGATCTAACCTAACTGACTCCATCTTGCTTCTAACCTCCAAACTGTTCTTGTTCATTCTTGGGCACAGGCTGAACTAACTTTGGGAGGAACTTAGTTTACACTTTAAAACAAAGATGATAACAGCCCTTTCCCAAAACAAACTCCCTTCTTGCATGGGGACTAGACTGCCTTTGTAGGACTAAAAAATTAGCCACAAGATTAGAAATTATGGTTTAGGAGTCATGCAGCTGGAGGCTACAAGATTCTGACCCTCCCTAAACTGCTCCTAAGATCAGTGCTTGAGATATTTTGTAGACCCTGCACTTGATGGATCAGCTGGCACCACCCAGATCGATAAACTGGCTCATCTGATCTTGTGGCCCCTACCCAGGAACTGATTCAGTACAGGAAGACAGCTTGACTCTCTGTGATTTCATCTCTGACCAATCAGCACTCCCGGCTCACTGGCTTCCCCCCACCCACTAAGTTGTCCTTAAAAACTGTGATCCCCAAATGCTCAGGGTGATTGATTTGAGTAATGATAAAATGTGGTCTCCTGCACAGCTGGCCCTGTGTGAATTATTCTTTCTCTATTGCAATTCTCATCTTGAAAAATCGGCTCTGTCTAGGCAGCGGGCAAGGTGAACCCATTAGGATTTCCTGGCTGCCCGGCTCACACTGCAGATTTGGATTTGCCAGTCCCTATAACCCATGTGTGCCAATTTCTTACACTAAATCTCTTTCTTTTAAGAGATGGAGTCTTGCTGTGTTACACAGGCTGGAGTGCAGTGGGGCAATCATAACTCACTGCAGCCTTGACCTCCTGGGCTCAAGCAATCCTTCTGCCTCAGCCTCCTGAGTTGCTGGGACTACAGGCATGAACCCCTACACCAGGCTAATTCTTTATTTTTTGAAGAGATAGGGTCTCATTTTGTTGCCCAGGCTGGTCTCAAACTCCTAGGTTCAAGCAATCCTCCCACCTCAGCCTCCCAAAGTGCTGGGATTACAGGTGTGAGCCCAACCCTAAATCTCTTGCTATACATATACACATCCTATTGATTCTGTTTCTCTGGAGAACCCTGACTAACACTCTGTGACTCGCTGTTTTCAAAATGTATACTTGAATTCCTTTTCAGATATATACTGTAAGTTTTTTTTATTGTTTATGTACAAGGACCTTCTACTGTGGATAATTAAAAAAAACATTTTCTAGAAAGATGTAGAGATGTAGAGTTGGGAGGAATCTTGCATAGTACATAGGTATAAAAGAGACCCCATTACAAGTTTGTTAAGAATTGGGATTAAGTGGTTTCCCTCCACCCCATTCTGGCTGGTGATGCTACTTTGGTTTCTTGCTGCATATGGATTTCCTAATAAATAGCAATAGTCATACTCCAGAAACCTCAGGGTCTGTGGTTTTATTTCTACAGGAGAGGGAGAGTTTCTGTGGGGACTGTGTATGTGTCCATTAAAAGGGTTCTCATATCTGTGGGCATGTTAGGGGGATGATTGTGTGTTGTGGGGGAAGTGTCTGATGGGATAGAGGAGGCCCCTGTGTGGGGGAAGGTGTACAGGTCTATGTGTTGTACGTGTCAGAGCAGAAAGGTGTGACTGTCCACAGTAAGGGTGTGCCAAGGCTGTCCGTCAGTGGGCCTGCTGTAATGGAGGATGGCGGGCAGGCTGTCTGGGTGGCTGCTGTGTAGAGGGGGGTTCTGTGAACAGAAGGCTGAGTGTCTGTGGGTGATTGGCAAAGCTGACAATGTGTCATAAGTTTGTCATCTCTAAGTTTGTCTCTCTTCATCAAACAGTCTCAAGCTTACATTAAAGGAAAAGAGATCAGAGGCACAATTCAAGTTCAAGAAAATTACATTATCCTGAAATGTATATATATGTTATCAGAAGCAGTAAAAATAAGTACTTCTCAAACACAGGAGGATTTCTGTAGAGGTAGTAAAATTCTAAGACTAAATATAGTATAGAAGTGTAGTGACTTTTTAGACTAGGAATTGAACCAGACTAGATTACAGATCTGATAAGGTATGAAACACCAGAGAGCAGATGGGGTACTGAGAACAGATGAACTGACGTGAGAAAAAAATTGCCTCATACTCTAACAAGATAAATTAACATTAATTTTGGGAATTAGTTGTCTTTCAACTTAAAAAGTCCTAAGAGAATGCTTCTTACTAATATCAAGATAACTTCTCAAATCTCTATTGAGGCTTTTAGAAACATAAAGTCCCAGAGTACTCTTAATCAATTAAACTGAACTGCCAAAATATAGCCCTAGGAGAGAAAATTATAAAGAATTTCCAAGATGTTCTTTTGACAAAGTTAGAGGAAAAATTGCCTAGGGATCATAGGATTTTCTCACTTGTATATCTCCACAAACACAAGAGAAGTCCAGAAAACAGGCACCATGTATAGAGTTGGCCATTCAAAATTAAACTCATAGAAACTGCAAAGCCTATGCTGAAATGTTCCATGATTTTGTACAATGAAGAATAAGCCAGGTCCATTATTTGGGGGGTGGGAACAGAGGAAGGAAGAAGGAAAAAGAAGGGGAAAGAGGAAAGAGGATATGTAGCTATAAGGGAATCACCAGTTGGATGGTAATCTTTCAAAAGCAGAAACACAGATGAGTCCCTCATCTGATAGTTCAGTGGACTTCAGAAAAGAAAAGAAAGTGGTGTAGGATTTACTTGGTGATAGAAACAATGAAGATATAAACAAAAATAAGGGCCATGGAGAAGTAAAAACAAAAGGTTTACAGATTCATTGGTCGTGATGAAAATATGAGCTACTCCTTCAGTTTAACTGAAGTCATGGGCAGATACATATTTACATTAGCATACACTTTCAACAGATAAAACATGCGAGGATTATGAGGGTTCCCTTTGTATGTGAAGGCCAAGAAGGAACATATAAGTTGTTTTGAAGAAAATGAATTCAAAGACAAGAGTGTTTTGAGTTACTATCAATAACCAGATTGTCAGGGTTTCAGTAAAAAACAAACAAATGCAAAAACCCAAAACTTAAACAAGATTGTTCTGAGTGCCTGTGAAATAGACTAATGCATGGTAATTACCTTGACCTTGTAAAAACATAGTCCTCAAAGAAGTTAGGGATCATCTCCCATCTTCTAGCAAGGGCTGCCATCTGCATTAGTGAACTGCTTGGCCTCCAGGACTGAGAACTTCTCAAACAGGAACATGACCATGGTAACATGTCCAGAACAAGCCAAGTAAATGGGACACGCCATACTGAAATGGTGCTTAGGGTTGTAACAATTAGAAAGCACCACAGATAATACACAGAAAGACTACTTTCTGGACAGAATACCCAAATCCCCAGACATACTTAATTTACAAGATTTCTGTGCCATCGGTTATGTAAGAACTGTTTTTCTTGAGTAAATCTGACTAATAACAGTAGCAGCAACTGATAAGCACAGATCACAAGAATTTTTCATACTGCTTTAGTTCTATTTCCTTAAAATGCCTACTCATTCATTTTTATTGGAAATTTACAATATTTTCTCCAAGACCATAAAATAAAAAAGCATGTGAAGAATGACGTATTAAGCACTTTAAGAAAAAAAAAAAACCCCATAAAAACTCACCTCTCATAACAAGCACAAAATTTAATTCTTCCTTTTTTTATTTATAACTATTTCCTAACATTTTTGCCAGAGAACGTGTATTTCTTGTGCAATAAAAACAAAGGCAAACATTCTTACCATGTTCACCATTTCATCAAAAACGTCTTGAGAGATAAAATGATAATCAACTCGATCCCCTTCTCCAAAGTAAGGTGGTCTTGTGGTATGACAGGCCCTGAAATCATAAAACAGATCACCTAGTCCATTTCTAACTTGAAATTCAAAATGGAAAAGGTTTCAATATAAATTATGTTTTAAAAAATGAAGTTAATCCACAAATCATAAATCATAAAGTAATACAGTTGTAAGAATATGTTGGTTTCGAAGTGCTAAATTATATTCAGTTGCTATCATCTATAAAGATTATACAAAATTTGGATTATCCATACCAAATTTTTACTCATTATTACTTATCACCTTCTGAACCACTTCCTCTGCCATCATGTAATAATACTTTAAGAAGTAAATCAATACTTATCACTCAACTATTTTCCACCCACCTGCTTTCGTGTTTAATCTATGAGCCTTTTCCACAGGCTGTCCTTCTCTCCTTCCACCTGGCTGGCCTACTTGTTTCTCAGAACTCAGTTTAAATGTCACCCCTCCAAAAATCCTTCCCTGACCTCTATGGCTGGATTATTCATCTCTTTATATTTCCACAGCCTTAGTGTCTTTGCCAATTGCATTCCAATTGTATGTTCAGGGCCCATCCCCTCCACCACCTGAGGGCAAATCTATCTCATGTGCCCTGTGCTTGGTCCATATCAACACTGTGTATAAACCTCCTGTGGCAATCCATGGTGCCAATGCTGAATGGAAGTCTCAGCTCAGCCAAAGAGGCCTTTTCTCTCCACTGTCTGAAATAGCCTCCCCATCCCACCACACCGCTCAACTACTGTCTATCCCCAGAACTGCTTACCGCTCAACTACTGTCTATCCCCAGAACTGCTTTCTTTTATATATTTATCTGTTTTTTTCCTATCTTTCCCAGCAGAACATATGAATCCTAAAGGGGAGGACCATGTCTTATTCGCCACTGCATTCCCAATGCTTGGCACATAGTAGGCATTTGATAAATTTTTGTAAAATGAATGAAAAATGAAACAGGAGAAGTGGATAACAGCTGCTAAGAACTCCATTTTATAGATGACTACAAAAATAACTCCTCTAAGGTCACACAGCAGGCCAGTGTTGGTCCTACAAGAATATGGTGGTCCCAACCACCAGGACTCTTGAGTTCATATAATTCTGCCTTCCACTGTTAAGTGCAGAAATGCAAACTGATTTTTAGATTTTACTGTAGTTTTAAAATAGGAGATGAGAGCCAGGCACAGTAGCTTATTCCTGCAATCCCTGTACTTTGGGAGGCCAAGGCAGGAGGATTGCTTGAGCCCAGGAGTTCAGGACCAGCCTGGGCAACATAGTGAGATTCTGTCTCTACAAAAAAATTTAAAAATTAGCCAGGTGTGGTGGCATGTGCCTGTGGTCTCAGCTGCTCAGGAGGTTGAGGTGTGAGGCTCACTTGAGCCCAGGAGTTTGAGGCTGCAGCAAGCCATAATTGCCCCATTGCATTCCAGCCGAGGCAACAGAGCAACACCCTGTTTCAATAAATAAATAATAAAATAAAATAAGAGATGAGACTAGCTAGACACTTGACATGTTATTTCATTTATTTCTTACAAAAACCATAAGCTAGGTATTATTTCTTATTTTTATTTTACAAATAATGAAACTGGAGGCACAGCGATTAAGTAATGTTACTAAGTAGCAACGCCAGGATGACTCAAAAGTCAATTCTTGTTAATATCATACTAATTCAGAGAGTAAAGTTCCAACCTCGAAAGGCTCTTCGTTGCAAAGTCAAAGACAAATAAATGTTTATAATTCATACCACTGCTCCCTTTCCATTATACTTAAGAATTAACTGTACTAATACATTTTAAGGTCTTAACATCATATTTAAATTATATACTCAGGAAAGAGAGTACATTCTAAGAGAAGGCTGTCAAAACACTGTGGCATTTGTTTTGTTGTTTGAATACATTGGCATTTCTTCACATGCCTTAGCAGAGACCTGACACCCTCTGTCTATTGGTGTCCTTGACAGTCAGGGAAGATAAATCAATAGCTTGGCACCCTTGCAGCAAACCCTTAGCATAGCCTTTACACATTATGCTGAACTTACATTTCTCAACAAAGGAATTGAGTGGCAAGAATTTCTTCTGAATACCTCAAAGAAAGACAAAACAAAGGAGCAATTTGAAGCTTCTAGGCAGGTAAATAAAGACATGGCTCCACTGATGTGCAGAATGCTGATGACAGAACCTGCAGCCACTGCAGACTTCCTATTAAGAAGAACCTAAGATGATCTGTGTTTTTTTAATTCATCATCCAATTTTCACATATAGAAATGTTCACCGTGTTATATGCTGCCCAAATATGAACATCTCAAAAAGAAAATGCTTCATAGTGAAGGCAACATTTCACTAAACTTACATAAGAAAAATGATACCAAATTCTAGACAAAGAAATTTGCTCGAGCCAGGACTTTCAAAATTCTTCTTTTCCCTTGTCTAAATCTTTCCACATATTCATTATTTACTAATTAATTTGCTAGTTAAATTATGGTTTGTAATGGGAACCACAATCCCTGTGATTTCACTTAACACAGAAAAGGACTAAGTTAGAGATGAACCCCAGACTCCAACTCTGGTCCTAAAAGTCTAAGGGTGCCAATTCATGGCCAGGTGTCACTGAAGCTACTACCAAACCAAGTTCACAGAAAGGAGATGATCAAGAGGAAAAGGAATTGGAAAGCCAGGCTAAATAATGGAATCCCAAAATATCCAGGGAAATGTAACAGGAAGAAAAGATATCTAAGAAGAGCTAGCAGGTGGATGAGGAAGTAGTATTTTTTTTTCTGTGTCATTCAGACGCATGCAGATTTAGAAGCTTAATTCTGAACCAGATTGCCTCAGGAAATAATGAACTTGTTATTGCAAATATTTAGGCAGAGGCTTGGCTCTGAGCACATCTGAATTCAAGCACATTACAGCACATCACATTGTTAGTAAGTGAGCTCTATCAATGGGTAGCCACAAAAGCCCAGGTATTCCTAGAGGAATCTGGGAGGTAAATGAAATTGGTCTGAATACCCAATGCAAATATATGTCAATAGCTTGCTGGACACAATTTAAGTGATCCTCCACACAAAAGATTCCAGCACATACTGTATCTAAGTATCAAACTCCATGAAGCCACTACTCTGCCCACTTTTCAGTAACTACACACCATTTTCTGACTCATGCTATCATCACCCGTCACTACATTCTACCTGGTCTGCTTGTCTCCAGACTTCCTTCCCTAAGCCCTTTCCCAAATTGCCAACAGGATACGCTTTCTAAAATGCAAATGTGATCACGCCATTCCCCTCCCTGTTTAGAAATCCTTTATGACCGGACCCCTGTCTGTCCTTCCAGTCTTATCTTCTGCCATCTCCCTTGATAGTTCAAGCTGAGCCATATGCTGTCCTCTCTGCCTAGAATACACCCTCAACTCAAGCCCCACTTCCTACTTCTCTTTTATTTCTATCTCAGAGGCTCTTTACCTCCCTCATCATAGCACCCATCAAACTATCTTGTTAGTATTTACCTGTTTAAATCTCATACTACTTTGTAAGCTGCCAGGAGGAGAAGAACCATGCCTGTTCATTTCACAGTTTCATCACCAGCATATAGCATTTGCACAGTGCTCGATAAATATTGAATGAATAAATGAACCATTCTACAAATTTGTCACATGTGTATAAACAGACACCTTAGCTGAGACTGCATTTAGGTTGCTACAGCTCATATCATCTCATGTAACTAAATAGCTGTGGTCTTTTATTTTACTCTATTATAATGCTAAAAATGAAATATGTTTAGTAGTCAACATCATGAGAAGCTTATGAAAATAGAGATGGCTATAAAATAGAGATCTAAGAAAGAATAAAGTTTTTCTTTCAGGGCCATTCAGATCACTTTCATGGCCTTAAATCTAGAAGATAAACAGGCATGCTGATATTGTTTTGGGTTGCCCTCATTATCTGGCACTTTTCCAGGAAGTCACTGATTTGTGGGGTGCTCAGCTGGAAATCAATAGAGAGACTTTGAAGAAAGTAAATGTATATCTCCAGGTCACCCATAACTAATACTGGTAAAGAAAGAACATTCAACATATTTCTAAAACCAAGAACAAATAGTAAAATCAAAACCTAACTACAGCAAAATCTCTCAGCCGCACCAATATTTGTTATGTGACTGAGTTATGTTTTCAATATTTATATATCTGGATATGCAACTTAGCATGTGAAAATTTCATTGAATGTCTTGATCTTGGGTCAATGCAATTTAGAAAGGAAGTAAAATGCCAGGAAAAAATTAAATGAGAAGGAAGGAAAGAAATGATTCAAGCAAATGGTGGAGCAAGTGCCTTTGTAAATGCTTTTATGTTTCACCATGAGACTCTCTATGCACGCCTTTTTTCTTTTCACATAATTAAAAATCAATAAAACTTATGTTGGATAAAGAATAATAGAAAAGAAAATCTAAACAAGAGCAATGACTTGTCCTTGAGAATGTGCGAATGTGCTTTGGTTTTTTTTTTTTAATTTTAACTAGAAAGTTGCTGCATATAATGGTAGCAGTAGCTTACTTTCTCAATGGATAAAGTAACTAGCTATCTAATATCCTTTTCCATCCGATGCATAGTCTTTTATCCGTGCCTTGATGAAATTCTTAGAATAATTTGCCACTGAACAAACCTTGACCTCTGCCTTCATGAGAATGACAGTGAACAGTTGGATGGTGCTTCTGAAACTCTGAGGGAGGTGGATGAATGAGTTTGTAGTTGGGAGGGGGGCAGTTAGGAGTGTCTTTCTACTCACCACTAATTCCAGCCAGAAGAGAAAAATAGCAGTGGCAGAGGTAACAGTACAGGAGCATGAAGCTAATTTTAGGATTCTGTTTTGCCATCTTGTGCCTCCACCTAAATTTCACATAGCACTGATTATCTAAGGTCTGAGTCTCCCATTAGATTACAAATTTCATTAAGGCAAGGACCTCACCAGTCTTGTTCCTGCTCTACCCTCAGGGACTAGCACAAGAGAGGAATTCAATAAATATGTATTGAAAGAATGAACAAGTGGATGAATCCATTCATCTCTGCATAGCTCCATCAGTGGAGGTTGGGGAAGATCACCCATGCTTCTTATTACAGTCATTTATATGATCTGTTGCACACCATGCCATTAATTCAGCCAACCATTCACTCAATCAGTCAGTCAGTTATTTAACAAATATTTATCACACACATATTAAGTGTCTGGACATATACTGGATATTGAGAACTCAATGGTGAACAAGGCTGACATGCGCCCTGCCCTCAATGGGCTACAGACAAGCAGGGAAAGCAGACATTAAATCAACTAATCACAAGCATGATGGATAAGCATTCTAATTAGGGAAATAAAAGATTCAATGAAAATGAGTAACTGGGAGGCCTCACCAGATAAGAATGTAAGGGCAGATTGGCTCCAAATCTTGACGATGAGTCAATAAACATCTCTAAAAACATATCCAACAAAGTATGTCTTAGCAGTAGCATATCACAGAGAAATAAACAGGACTGGGCTACCAACCATTTGCAACATAACTGGTATCAGAGATGTGAAAGGAACTGGAGAAACTTGGTTCCTCATAGGTCACTTTGGTTTGCTAAAAAGTTCCAAATTTACGCATTAGCAAAACAGCATATACCCTTTTGCCCTAGTTTGTCCTTCCATTCATTGCGTTCAGCTTATCTTTTAAAACAGGTTCAGTACATCCACAGAAACATAATGTACTCTATATTTTTATTCTAACATTAACTTTTAATTTATTTTTGTTACTTCGGGTGTCTAAAATGTATTAATAAATTTTTCCATAGTGTTTGTGGCCTAGAGTTGTTCAAATAAAGGATGTAATTTTAAATATCTAAATAAATGGACCTGTTTGAAATAGTGTTTACATTGTTTGAACATGTGTAGCTTCAGGGAAGGAAGTTTTTTTGTAATAGCATTAGGAAATAATTTGCACTTATTTTTCTGGCTGTCCTATATATCTTTGTAGCCACATCCTCAGCTCACTGACAGGCACCACTAATCTAAAAGTAATTTCTTTGCCATACACAAAAAGTACAAGAGGAAACCAGTTTAAGAGATGACAGACAATTCTAAATTTGATTCACCAAAACCTCTAAAAAAAAATCTTTTTTTTTTTTTTGAGACAGAGTCTCGCTCTGTTGCCCAGGCTGGAATGCAATGGCACAATCTTGGATTCTCATGTCTCAGCCTCCCGAGCAGCTGGGATTACAGGTGTGCGCCAACACACCCAGCTAATTTTTATACTTTTAGTAGAGAAGAGATTTTGCCATGTTGACTGGGCTGGTCTCGAACTCCTGGCTTCAAGTGATCCGCCCACCTCAGCCTCCCAAAGTGCTGGGATTAGAAGCGTGAGCCACTAGTCTCAGCCTCTAAAAAACTCTTTAAACTCAGTTGGAGTTTTGTGTGTGTGTGGTTTTTTTGTTTGTTTGTTTTTGGTTTTTTGTTTTTTTGGATGGTTCTAGTTTTTCGGATATGTTCCTCTATTTTAACTGGGTCATTAAGACATCACTAAGCAAAATATTTGCTCCAGAAAACTTGAAGTGTATTGAATGCTAACCTGAAGGAAAGAAAAAGAAAAACTTGCTGCCCCTTCTCCTTCCTTCCTCCTGAAATACCAAAAGAGGAAGACCTGTCAGAGACAAAGACGCTCCAGTGCCGTTGGCACATGTTCCAGGCTCAGACAGGAGAGGCTGTCCCTGAGCACAGATATGCCCACCACACATCACAACACGGTGATTCATGCTATCATACTGCAAGGCAACAGGAGAAGCCTGCCTTCACATGCCATTTATGCTTAATGAAAAAGATGTTGATTTTCAAACCCTGGAGGGTGATTTGGGCTGAGACTGAATTAAGTTAAGCATTTGGAAAATTAAAGTTAAAAAAAATACAGTGTATATCACAGTATAATAAGTGGCAAAGAAGCCAATAAGCCTTTTATGGAAAAGGTGGGGAACAGCATGAATGAGCCATGCTGGTTTGCTTGCTTATTTTGTGGTGGGTGGGGGAAGCAGGGAGCAGGGGAGTCATTGCTGTATGTTTACTGTCTGCTTGACAAAAGAAAAATTATTTTGTTTCGGTCAGGCGCGGTGGCTCACACCTGTAATCCCAGCACTTTGGGAGGCCAAGGTGGGAGGATCATGAGGTCAGGAGATCGAGACTATCCTGACTAACATGGTGAAACCCCTTCTCTACTAGTAATACAAAAAATTAGCCAGGCATGGTGGCAGCCGCCTGTAGTCCCAGCTACTTGGGAGGCTGAGGCAGGAGAATGGTATGAACCCGAGAGGTGGAGCTTGCAGTGAGCCGAGATCGCACCACTGCACTCCAGTCTGGGTGACAGAGCCAGATTCCGTATCAAAAAAAAAAAAGAAAAAAAAGAAAAATTATTTTGTTTCTTCCTGCTATATGGCAAGTTCTTCTATTGCCAGGAGTACACTTTAGCAATCATCTTTACCATATCGATTAGAATGGCACAAGAATCAAGATTCTATCGTTCCAGAACCAGGTAATCACATTGATCCAATTTTATCAATAATTTACCATCAAGGATTAACACTCACATGGTGCTCTGTCCTTACCAAGAGTTAATATCTATTGAACATTCAATTTACTTACCACTTTTGGCTTTGCTATAAAGTGTAACTTAAATATTAAGTTGTTTTGTACATTTCTGAAATTGCTTAAAATTAATAGCCAACATTAGCAATATCGGAGATTTTACTACAACTATTGATACCTCCAATAATTCGGATGAATTTCCAAGTCTTAACAAGCCAATAAACAAACTTACCCATATCTGAAGTAAGTGCTAAACTGTCTGCAGAGGCGATGGGCAAGCTCTCGTTTCCCACAAGCTTCAGGACCAGCTAGTATCAGCATGGGATAAGGGGCATCCAGGCTGGGAAGAGTGCTACAACACAGGACCAGAGTCAGTTCTCCTATTGCAGTCAGGGAGACAGCACATTAACTACATCCATTAGGCCACCATTAACCTGGCTAAATGAGCACTTGCTATATAAGACCCTGCGTAGAAGAATAGTTGTCCTTTCCAGAAACAGATTGATTATATGTCAAAAATAATATTCAAAGCATAGATAACAAATAAGGTAAAATATGAACTTACGTAAATTTACTTTAACATGACTTTTAAAGGAAAAATATAACATTTATTGGTTCTTGATGGCTAGAGTGAAATATTCCTCCCCAAAACTGATCAATGAAAGAAATAAGACTGTTAAAGTTAAATAAGACTGTAAAGTTAAGATAAATATTTATAACTACTGAATTAGAATGCAGGTATGCAAAGCCAACTTAACAGTAATAGCTAAAATTTACCTGAGCAATTACTATGTGCCAGGAAGCATTCTAAGAGTCATACATCCATTACCTCATTTAATTATCACAAGAAGCTAATGAAGATGTTTCTGTCATTATCCCCTTTTAACGTATGAAGAAACTGAAGTACAATGAGGTTAATTAACTTGCTCAAAGTGATAGTTAATAAGGGAGAGCTGATATACAAATGTAGGTTTGGCTGCCAAGCCTGAAGACTGGACTAAAGAATGAATTGATTAATAAAATCTCCCGCAGCCGGGCGCGATGGCTCAAGCCTGTAATCCCAGCACTTTGGGAGGCTGAGGCAGATCACCTGAGGTGAGGAGTTCGAAACCAGCCTGAACAACATGAAGAAACTCTGTCTCTACTGAAAATACAGAATTAGCGGGCATGGTGGTGCACACCCGTAATCCCAGTTACTCGGGAGGCAGAGGCAGGAGAATCTCTTGAACCCAGGAGATGGAGGTTACAGTGAGCCGAGATGGCGCCATTGTACTCCAGTCTGGGCAACAAGAGTGAAACTGTCTCAAAAAAATCATCATCATCATCATCATAATAATAAAATCTCCTGCAACACACTGAACAATGTGTTTAAACTCTACTCATGACACAAATTGTAGCAATCTAGAATAAAATATAAAATTTTAAAAAACCACATGGCTGAGGTGTGGATTCTATGAAGATGAAGGTGTAGATTCTGAGAAGAGTCTGTGGAAACAATGAAACAGCATAGTTTTTCAATCTCTCCGAATTCCCACAGAAAAACTTGAGAGCAAAAGCCTATGGGAAACACATATAAGTACATGAAACAGTATCGCCAAGAGCCATGGACCCACAAAACCTGTGTGGTACTACAGTCAATGCAGGAGGAAGAAGAGGGAAGCAATGGGCAGCATCTGACAGATCTGAGAGCAAGTGAACCCCAAAACAGCCACTGGGTACCTGCCAAGAGCAGGCAGCCTGAAGCTGTACATGTGCAAAAGCCTGGACATGAATGTTCATGACAGCTCTATTTGCAATCACCCAAAACTGGAATCAGTCCAGATGTCTTTCAACAGGTAAGCAGTTCAAGTAACTGTGATACTTTCACGCCATGGAATGCTACGTGGCAATAAGAAAGAATGAACTACTGATTCATGCAACAACTCGAATGCATTTCCAGGGAATTAGTCTGAGTGAAAAAAAGCCAATCCCAAGAGGCTATATACTGTATGATTCTATTTATATTACATGTTTGAAATAACAGCATTATAGATAGAGACAGGGACAGATTAGTGGTTTCCAGGGGTTAGGGAAGATGAGAGGGAGGGAGGTGCTATGGCTATTATAGAGTATTACAAGGGATCCTTGTGATAAAACTGCTCTATATCTTGACTGTAGTGGTGCTAAGATGAATCTACATGTGATAAAATTGCACAGAGGTAAATAGAACTAAAGACAAAAGAGCACATGCAAAACTGGTGAAATCCGATAAGGTTGGTGGATTTCCTGGTCAATTTCCTTGTTTTAATGTTCTGCTATAGCTATGCAAGATATCAACATTGAGGAAAACTGGATGACTGGTATATGGAATTTCTCTGTATTATTTCTTACAACTTCATGTGAATCTACAATTACCTCAAAATATATTTTTTCAAAAAAATAACTAAGAAAAAGAAAGTGACAAATATTGAAAATAAGCAAAAGAGAGCTTCTTCCTGAAGATGAAAACCAAAGGAACAGAAAACAGAGGCTATACTTCAAAAAAACCTTCCCTGAAATTAAAACAAACAAACAAACAAACAAAAAACACTACGCATTGAAAGGGCACACATTATACCTGAAATATCAGCTCAGAACTAAACCAGGACATAGTCTAGTAAAATTACTTGGCTTTAAAGAAAAAGAAAAAAACTTCCAATTAGAAAAAAAAAAAGCACATTACATATAAGGGAAAGAAAATTAAATTATCATCAGATTTTGTTTTATGCCAAAAGACAATGGAGTAACATTTTTAATATATTCAAGGAAAAAGGTGTGGATCATGAATTTTATATTTAGCAAAAATGACTTTCAAGTATAAAGGGCATACATTGTTATAACATGCAAGAATTCAGAGGATACTGATGCCATATCCCTTCCTAAGGAAAATACTAGAAAACAAGCTTCAAACAACCAAAGTGACTCAAGGGACATCAATATAACTACTGGTAGTGAGCAACAACTATGTAGTTAGCCAGAGAATTGAGACTAAATAACAGCAAAGAAGGAGAAAGCACGGTATGTGATGGCTGTATGTTTTGACAATATAAATATAGTACAACACTATTTTCTAAAAGGGGTGGTTGACACTTATATGAAATATATAGAATAGGCAAATTCATAGAGACAAAAGTACATTAGAGCTTACCAGAGGCTGGGAGCAGAGAAGAACCAGGAGTTATTGCTTAATGGGTACAGAGTTTCTGTTTGGGGTAATGAAAATGTTTTGGAAATAGATGGTGGTGATGGTTACATAACATTATGAATGTACTTGATGCCACTCAACTGTCCACTTTAAAATTGTTAAAGTGGCAAATTTTGTTACATATATTTTACCACAATAAAAAACATGGGAGGAAATGGGTAAATTGTAGGCAAAAAATATTTTTAATGTTTTCAGGAATCATTTTGGTGGTAGTATTAGTACTGGTATTCTAATACCACTGTGGTACAATCTAGGATTTTTTCAAATGAGTAATTATGGGATTTGGTAATTTCATCTTCCTCTGTGTCCCTTAGAACCAGATTTCTTGGTGTGGGAAAAAAGGAAATACCCATACAATAGCGAGGAGGTTGAGTAAAAGCTTAACTGTAGTTTTGGAATCAAAATTGTAAATATCAAGAATTCAGGAGGTATTTAATCCATCTATCTATAGATAGACACAGATAGGTCTACCCAAACAGACAGATAGATATAGATAGAACAGATACAGGTAGGTACAAATAGATTGGATGGATGGATGGATGGATGGATGGATGGATGGATGGATGGATGGACAGAGGAATTGATGAAAAGAGTTACATTCTTAGCTCTTTCCACTAAAAGGCCTCTAAATAAATGACCAACCTGGTAGCAATGAGTATCTTAACCCCCAGACTGGAATTGGGAAATACTATTTTTCACTAAAACTGGGGCTTCTTGCAGAAAAGGCTGATTCCAGATTTGGGACAGGACATGTACCAGATGAGTCTGGAGAACTTTGTCATATCAGAAGGTAAGAAGCTATCAATGACTACCAGACCAGAGTCAAGGTTTGGCCATGTCATTTTAATACTGTATCCTCACCCCAATTATACCAGGAGAGGGGACAGTGATTCCCCAGTAATGGCAGCATACAAGTCCCAAAGCCAAGGGTTGGGGTTCCTCTCCTGGATCCTGACTTCTGGTGCTGACAGAGAGTTGTGTACTGGCCTAGACAGAGTAGGAAGGGCATTGCAGGCCTGCACACTAGCTACTGGTCCTTTGTCCATGAGTTTCCACAATGAATGCCACTCCACCCTGGAACATCTGGGCCTACTTGGCCTTTATTCTTGTTTTCCTGACAGCCAGAAATGATCAAGACATATGTGTTTATCAAACACTGCTGCAAATTTCCTTGATATATGTTTTTATTTAAACGTACCCTAAAGCATGAAACAACTAGCAATACCATAAACTAGAATAGAAATACAATGAGGAGATAAATGCCCCTCTTTTGAATCAAATGTGCTTTTCCAGATGTATGTAATAAATGATAATTCATTTCACCTAGAGGGCCACCATAAACATGTGAAACTGTCAACGTCTACATTATTAAATTATATGTAAAAATCATGTCCTGGGTTGCAAAATAAAACATTTTGCTCTCTGTGGGAAACCAGCCATGTGAAGTACAGGAGCAAATACCACATGAAGAAGAGAAGCCATTTATATCCAAGAGATTTTACAAGTATTTTTAAAATGCCTTTGGGTATTGATAGAATTTCTGCATTATACTTAGAGCATAAATGGCCATCTGCTCCAACAGATTGTTTTAAAAAGAAATGAAGAAAGCATGGTAAATCTGTCTTCGAATTCAGAGGTGAGAGACTCTGTTCATGTGTTCCACCGAGCTGGGCGACTCCTCCCTGCTGAGTTTATCGCAGCTTAGTGCAAAGACTGTTTCAGGTTTTCCTTAGGCTAGCTGGGCTTCCTTCTAAGGGACTCCCTAATAATGTGAATTCATGGAACAGTCTTTGGCAAGGGTATTTAGCTTCCACTCACAGCTGAGGGAAAATTTACAATGGATATAAATTACCACAATTTTCTGTTAAGGTTAAGGTCTGTGTTTCTCTCCTAAGGCAGAAAAATTGGTCCTGGTTTTTTTTTTTTTTTTTTTTTTGAGATTTCACTGTTGTGTGGCACACGCTGGCCACCATACAAGTGGCCAGAAAAACTAGTGAAGGTGAATCAACTCATCACCATGCTTGGGAAAATACCAGCAAGAAAGCAACACACTCAAGTACATGATATTAATAATATACCATAATGGAGACAATATTGTCTATCAAATAAAGACTTGGCCCCTTCCCTCAGAGAAAGGGAAAAAGCAGCCTTTATAGGAAATAAAGGGGTCACAAAATAGGGGTTAGGGGAAGTGATGAGGCTGTCTTTTGCTTGCTCACCCTGAATTCCGGCCTTTGGATTTCTAATAAGTACCTGTCAAAGATCCTCTGCGGCTGCATCACGCTGTTGACAACATGGGTCAGGTGGTCTTGAGCTGCAACCACTTCAGGGGGAGGATCATATTTATTCACTGCTGAAACCTTTTCCAGAATTAGAGATGTAAAAGGGAAAAAAAGTTTTGTTTCTAAAAAGAAGACAAAGCTTGGATTTTTCCTTAATGAAATGTTGTTCACGTGCAGCCAGGTACACAAAATAATTTAACACACACCCATTAACATTAGTATTCAGTCTTCATGTCTACTCTAATTTTCCTAAAATTTAAGAAATGATAATTATTTAAAAATATTGAGTGGAGTCTTTTGATCTCCTACTTCTTTATTCTGCCTGGTTTGGGAGGGAAAATGGCAAAAAACAAAAACACACACAAAAAAACCACCAAACAAAAACCCACAGCCCCTCTAAAGCCCATGATTACTTTGAATATAGTAAACATTCCAACTTTTAATATGTGAAAAAGGAATAAAACTTATAGCTGTAGATTCCAGGTTTTGATGCATGCGGAATGTTTTCCTCATACCATTTCACCAAGAATGATTCCCACAATCTCAAATTCTACCAAAACTTCCTCCTCATTTAGCATAACTTTGTTCATTCAAGGATATGGGCCTTTTCTTCATAATGTACAGTTCTTCATCCCCTTGTCTTTCCCATTCTTCTAAATACATTATCCTCATCTATCATATGCCATATCTTTACTTAATACATGGTTTTAAATTGTATTCCTTTTGCAAAATGTTAAAGGAAAAGAGGAATCTAATAAGTACCTTTGAGTGTGAGAATAATGACAGACTGGCATCTGTAACTGCTTTTAACCAAGATTTCAGAAAGGCATTTATGAGATGGAATACGTGCCTCTCTACATATTTATACCTGTTTTCATTCCTGTCTCAAATTTGCATCCAGTGTAAGAAATCCCTCATTAGTAGAGATTTTGGCTGTCACCAGCTACTAAAGCAAGACAAAGCAGTGACCATGAGTATGAAAAGCAGGGAGGCAGGTGCTAGCATTCAAGTTCTGGTTATTCTGGAATTTTGTGACTAGATGAATCATTTTTTTAAAGAGCAGAATTAAGGATTTAAAATATCAGAGTAGTGATTTATTTGAGTACCTTTTGATTATATGGTAGAGTGACATTATAATGCATTTTATTGTTAAATGAATTTTTCAGGTAACACAGATAGAATCATACACCTTCCAAACAGGAAAGTTTTTCAAACTGATAGTCTGCCATAAAGCTGCGACCTATATAAGTGGAGTGCTGCTTCTGTTCCCCACAGCCAACCTCTTCACTGTACTAACAGCAAGACATCAGGCCTTTCACTGCATTTGTGTTGATACTCACCTTTGCAGAGGGTTAAATGAACAGATCCTAAGGCAAGGAAACATTCCCTAAATGAATTAATGTACATATTGTTATGTGTCTTATTTATTGATTATATTGCTTCCACAGCAGGCAACACGAGCTTTTGAGCATATTAACCCAATAACACAATGGTAATGTTATGACATGATTACATACCTTTTCTTCCACTTTAATCTTCTTCTGATCTAATTCTGTTAATCGCAGAAGCATAAAAATTACGAAGAACCAATATTCAGACTTTTCCTATTTAAAATATCAAGAGGACTGTTCAGTTGCCTTCCTTTTCCCAAATCAACAAGCACCAGCATTGGGTTTTCATGAGCTTGGGCCTTTCACCTACTACCTCATCATTCCCACACACACCCTCACAGGACTATGCATTTCACGCTTCCCAGTCCCCTTACATTAACTCAATGCAGACTGTGCCTTGTAACTTATAAAGGTCTTCAAGTGTACACTCTTGTTAATCTCCCTGTGAGATTTGAGATTAACAGGACAGGTGGATTATCTTCATTTCTTTTTTTAAAATTTAATTTAATTGGCCGGGCAAAGTGGCTCACACCTGTAATCCCAGCACTTTGCGAGGCCAAGGCAGGCAGATCACGAGATCAGGAGATCGAGAACATCCTGGCTAACATGGTGAAACCTTGTCTCTACTAAAAATACAAAAAAATTAGCCAGGCATGGTGGCAGGTGCCCGTAGTCCCAGCTACTCAGGAGGCTGAGGCAGCAGAATGGCATGAACCCAGGAGGCGGAGCTTGCAGTGAGCCGAGATCGCGCCACTGCACTCCAGCCTGGTTGACAGAGGGAGACTCTGTCGAAAAAAAAATTTAATTTAATTTTAAGTTCTGGGATACATGTGCAGGACGTGCAGGTTTCTTACATAGGTAAGGGTGTGCCACGATGGTTTGCTGCACCCATCAACCCATCACCTAGGTATTAAGCCCCGCATGCATTAGCTATTTATCCTGATACTCTCCCTCCTCCCGCCCCTGACAGGCCCCAGGGTATGTTGTTCTCCTCCCTGTGTCCATGTGTTCTCATTGTTCAGCTCCCAGTTTTAAGTGAGGACATGTGGTGTTTGGTTTCCTGTTCCTGTGGTAGGTTGCTGAGGATAATGGCTTCCAGATTATCCTCATTTCTAAAGGCTACCAAGCCTCAGAAAAGTGAAGCGTCTCATCTAAGATCCCGTGGCCAGTGACTCAAACCCTGTCTTGTAACTCCAACAAGTCTCAATTCTGCAAATAATGAAACTTTAATATTTTATATTATTTTGTTATTATTTATATGCAATATTTCGTATTAATTTGTATTATTATGAATTTGTTTGTAATAATAAAATGATATTCATTTATAAAACAAACTCCTTATTACTCCCTACCATCAGGATTATCTGCCTTTTGGAAATTATAATTAGAGTTTTTGTAGTAAGAAGCCATGCCTCTTTGAGGGGAAAGACATTAGATATTAGCGGATGATCTGTTATATATTAGGTTGGTGCAAAAGTAATTGTGGTCTTTGTCATTAAAAGAATGAAAAAAACCACAATTACTTTTGCGCCAGTCCAATAGATGAGACCGTATATGAGGTGAATGTACAAAGCTTAGGTGTAAATGTTGGGGAGAGGTTTTGTATATAAATCAGTTAATGTGTCAAACGGCTTGTGATGCTTATTCATGCATATGCACAAACACCCTTCAGGGATTTGAAACTGAGGTGTGCTGGCCACTTTAAGCCCTGCCTCTTACTTTTCCAGAAATGCTTTTAAATTGCCTCCCACTGTTCCTGTCCCAAGGGCAGCTTTTAATTTATAAATCTTTCTTGTATTTTCTGTTTTTCACCTATCTAGACATGTTCATCAAGATACAAACAAAAAGAAAGTTACTAAGAGCTACATGCAAAGTCAAGAGCCTGTGGAAACTAAGTGAAGGATACAGGTAGAAGAATGGAATGAAGGACAAACAGACAAGGAGAGAGGGGAGGAGACCGGGAGAAAGCATCTGTCAATGGAGAGAAAGAGAAGGACTTGAAACACTCCCTGATCCTTCAGTCCCAGAGGTGTGAAGAACTCCTGGGAAATGTATTATTCTGTTCTATAATTATTTCACATATACATCAATTTCATGGCTATATCCAGGTAAATTAGGTAGCTAATCTTAGATTTTCTTTCCCCTGTTATAGAATAGGAACCACATTCTGTCTCCACCTCTGGTGTCTTGCATTGTCTAATGTCAGAGAACATTGTTCTGCAATCTTATTACCTCCTTCCTGTAACCTTTACCACAGGGGATGAGTCACAAATGACCAGCAGAGCAACTAAATGATATTCAGTTTCAGGCTTTCCTTCGCTGACAGTCATGTGACAGCTTGTTAGTCATGAGAGAAGATCTTATGTCTTAAAAAAAAAATTGTCACTTTAGGTACTACTAAACCCTTCCTTAGAAAGAAGGAAGATAGACAAACTCTATTCACATTCCTGATATTCTTTTATCAAAAGTACTTCTTGAAGAATTCCTAGATAGTTTCCCTCCACCATCCCACTTTCTTCTCTGTCTCCCTCCCTGATATAAATAATGTCTCACCTGAATTGGATTTTCTAGAAGATTGAGAACTCGAAGGATGGGTAAATTTTTAATGTATTCTATTTCTCTCAGCTCAGCAATCTGTTCAATCAAAGAAAAAAATTATCAACAGACTAAATGCACAAAGACAATAGAAAACATAATACAATAGAAGCCAGTTTGGGTCCTTTAAATTCAACTTATTTTAAAAATTGCTCTGTCTAGCTTTTTAATGAGAATTCCACAGAACTTCACAGAACAAGGGAATTATTGCATACCCCTTCTATAACTGTGCATGCACACAACCACGTTTTCTTTCTTCTTCTCTAGCTAGGGAACAGTAAGTTTCCTCCTCTTATCCATGTTCACTTTAAGGCAGAAATAAAATAGCATTCAAAGTCAGAAAAACAGTACAAAAATGCACCCAAGGATGACCTGGTTACCCACCCCACCGCCATTCCTAGCCTTCCAGCCCCCCAACTTCCTTCCCCAATCCTGCTTCTGTTACCCTGGTCATTTATGACTGGTTAAAGCCTTTTTTTTTTTTTTTGCGATGGAGTCTCGCTCTGTCACCAGGCTGGAGTGCAGTGCTGTGATCTCGGCTCACTGCAACCTCCGACTCCCTGGTTCAAGTGATTCTCCTGCCTCAGCCTCCTGAGTAGCTGAGATTACAGGCACACACCACCATGCCTAAATAATTTTTGCATTTTTAGTAGAAACGGGGTTTCACCATGCTGGCCAGGATGGTCTTGATCTCCTGACCTTGTGATCCGCCTGCCACAGCCTCCCAAAGTTCTGGGATTACAGGCATGAGCCACCCGGCCAAAGCCTTCTTACTGCATGTACATATATGGCTTTATCACTTTTTCCAACAGAGAATTATTTCAAGGTAAAAAACTAAAAATTGTATGACATATTTCTTGATGGGTGTGTACTGTTCACCTTGAACTCTTTAGCTAACTTGTACACTTATGTTTTATATACTTTTCTGTATAGGTTGTGTTTCACCATTTTAAAAAGTAGGAGAACAGAAAGAAAAAAAAAAGATTGCTTGACAGTTCCTTAATTTGACCAGAAATAGAACTTGGATTGCGGCAGGCCTGAATTCTCTACTAAATTAAAGGCAAATAGGTTTACTTAAATATTCTGTAATTAGCATAATTACAATTTTATCTCAAGTGTAGATATTACACTTTTGCAAAAAGTTAATCATCACTTTTTCATTTCTATTTTTCTCCAATCATTTCTGCATGCATTGGAAAGCACTCCTACAGAAGGGTCACCAAAAACTCCTGAGTTATCCAACCACAATACACAGCTAAAATGCAAACTAGACCCAAAGCCAAGTCAGAGGACAAACATATGCACCATGTTCAAAGGATGCCATTTTCAAAGATACAATATGAAAGGTGAACACCAGAGTTGCAATCTACAACCTGAACACATTAATCTTGTTAGAGCAACGTTATACTATTATACACATCTTTTTCCGTAAGATGACTAAACTGTCCATCAGTCTGCCATTTGGATTATCTTTTTTTAAAAGGGATCAATTGTTTTCTATTGTATTATTCAGGAAAGTGGAAAAGTAAACTTGTGAACAACGGATTAATTTCCTTCTAGCATTCCATCTGCTCTTATTCTTTTTTATTTATTTATTTATTTATTTTTGAGATGGGTTCTTGCTCTGTCACCCATGCTGGGGTGCAGTAGTATGATCATGGCTCACTGCAGCCTCAACCTCCCTAGCTCAAGGAACCTTCCTACCTCAGCCCCCGACCCCCGAGTAGCTGGGACTACAAGTGTGCACTGCCAAGCCTAGCTAATTTTTGTATTTTTTTGGAGACAGGGTTTTGCCATGTTGCTCAGGCTGTTCTTGAACTCCTGGGCTCAAGCAATCCACCCACCTCGACTTCCCATTCCCAAGTGCTAGGATTACAGCCGTGAGCCACCACACTGGCCTGCTCTTGTTTTTTGGACCTAACACTAATGTTAAGAGGAGATGTGTTCCTTCATTTATCACGTCTCACCAACAAGTTGTGGCCATGTGCACTTGCACACATTGCTGGTCAGAGTGGAAACTGGTGCATTCTTTCTATAGGGCAATCTGATGTATTTCACTTGTTTCATAAGCTGTGAACCAGTTCTCCCACTTCAAGGGGTTTATACTAAAGAGATCGTCTTGTATCTAATTTTTTTGTAAAGAATTAGATTTCCCTCAAGGCCATAGTCTCTAAGCATCACCATCTGGATCTAAAGGGAACTACTAAAGTCTTTTCTTTAAAAAAATTTATATAGAATATGTAATTTCTATATGTGAAATATTCTATATTCTAATTTTTTGTAAAAAAATTAGATACAAGAATATTCAGTCTAACATTATCAGTAAAAGTAAAACAAGTATGAATTCCTAAGAACACCATGATCCTGTAATTAAATGGGTAACAGTACAGTCCTATAGTAGGAACACTACATGCTCATTTTAGAAGATAGTGATATTTACAATGATTGACATGGAAAGATTTCCTTAATATGTTACAAACACCATGAACTGAGTGATCATGGAACATACAAAATTATATTACCACAAGATGTCAGCTGGGATCAGTTGGTTTTTTGAGAATTAAATGAAAGGGACCCATCTTCCCTTCCTGGCCTTCCATGGGTAGGATGAGGTAAGATGGGAGAAGGTATGGGGTGGCCTGGCTTCACCTCCCCACATCTACTGAATTAGCAAAGTGCCACAGATACTGCTTGCCCTGCATGCGCCCTCCCTCTCCTGCACAACCTACCCCGAGGACTCCACCCTCACATCTTTTCTCTGCAAAGGCCACAAACCCAGGGCTGTGTGCATAACAGACTTTTACAGCAGGAGTAGAGACAACAGCACCCCAAATAGCTTGCAGTGAAATACCACCAGAAAGGTTATATTCCTATGGGAAGTTCAGCCATCTGCTGCCAAGAATGTCATCTCAGCACAGTTGATCCCCAGACTCCAGTCCAGCGCATTCTCTCACCTCCTTTGCCCCTATTGACGATAGTCCACACCCCCATCCCCAAAGCACGTTGACTTCCTCTTCTTTTCTTCTTTTACCATTTCCCTCAAGGCCATAGTCTCTAAGCATCACCATCCAGATCTAAAGGGAACTACTAAAGTCTTTTCTTTAAAAAAAAACTTATATATGTGAATATACATTTCTATATGTGAATATATAAAAATATATAAGTACATATAAATATATGTTATATATACACACATATATATATTTGTCGTCTTAGAAAACAATTGGGTACAACCATTAAAATTTTTTTCGCTGCCACATTTAAACATAAATCTGTGCAGAAAAATATTTTTCAAACTGCGGGGAACCCATCAACTAGTTGATGATGATGGTAAGTGTATACTGGAATAAGAATCAACAGACAGATCAATGGAACAGAATAAATACTTCAGAAACAGATCTTCTCAGTATTGGTTTTGTTTTACAATTTTAAGAAGGGGGAAAAAGAAAAAAAAAAAAAGATTGCTTGACTTCCTATATTTGGCCAGGGTTAGAACTTGGGTTGCCGCAGGCCTGAATTCTCCACTAAACTAAAGACAAATAGTTTTATTTACGTTTTCTGTATCTTAGTAGAATCTTAAGAGAAATAAGAATGGTGTATACTTAAAAGATGAACCACAAATATTTTTCAAACTGTGAGGATCTATCAACTAGTTGATGATGATGGTGAGTGCATTACTGGAATAAGAATCAACAGACAGATCAATGGAACCGAATGCATACTTCAGAAAGTATTTCTGTATCAGTGAGAAAATTAGTATTATTCAATGAAACTATTTTTTAAATGAGTTAATGAATGGGAATTGGTTAGCACAAGGCTGAGGATATAATGAGTTCTCAATAAATGATAGCTGTTATCATTATATTACTATTAGATATTGGAAAAAGTAAATTAAGTTTTTACATTTTTAGTTATTGTGGATACAGAAGAGTTGTACATATTTATGGGGTAAATGTGATATTTTGATACAAGCATACAATGTGTAATGATCAAATCAGGGTAACTGGGGTATCCATCACCTCAAGCATTTATTATTTCTTTGTGTTAGAAATGTGACAATTCTACTCTTTTAGTTATTCTGAAATATACAGTAAAATATTATTAACTATAGTCACCTCATTGTGCTATTGAACACTAGATCTTATTCCTTCTATAAATTAAAATTTTTGTTTCAATTGTACCATAAAATAAATTATGGATTAAGAGTTGAAAGGTAATGAAAGAAACCAGGGGAAAAAAGTTTAGGTGAACACCTAACAGATTTCAGAACAGAGAAAGACTTCATAAAAATTTTAAAAATAATAAAGGGAGACACAAAGAAAAATATTGATAGACTTCATAAATTACTTTCAAATGTGTTTCAAAAGTACAATGAGTACAACGAAAAGCAGAAGAACGATAATAAAATAAATGATAGTTAAGGGCATGAATAGACAATTTCTAAAAAGAAAACTAAGTGTCTAACAAACAGGTCAAAAAAATGTTTAACCTCATGGGTAATCAAAAATTTTTATATAAAATAATGCAAAATACTGTTTTTCTCTACCAGAGTGACATAATTTTTAAAAGATATTTGCTCACAAAGGTGTAGTAAGATGTGCTTATAATATAGTATTCTAACTTCATATACTGCTGGTAGGACACTAATTAGTATGAATCTTTATGAAATATAGTAAGAGTCTTAAAAATGCCTATATCCAGTAATGGTATTTCCAAGAATCTATCCTAAGTAAATAATTTAAAATACACTTAAAGATTTATAAATAAGAATATATACTACAACAAATTTTAAACATAAATTTCAATAAGTAAATGTCTCAATAAATCCTGACTTATCCATTCAATAGAATATTTTACAAGTATTAATCAGAATTCTGAAATGTTGGGACAATTTGTTTCCTACCTGGGAACTAGATGCCCACTTCACAGTACCCACAAAAGTAAATCCCAATTGGATTAAAGACTAAATATGGAAAAACAAAACTTGAAATTATAAGAAAATATATAAGAATATTTAAAACCTTAGGGTATAGAGAAATTTCTTCAATAAAACATAAAAAGCAGAAATTACAAAAGATCATAGTGAAGAATAACTTTCAGACCTCATCCTCTATTCCCCAGACATACAGTTTCACTTGATATATAAGTTTTCTAGGGTTTCCATAACAAACTACCACAAACCTGGAGGTCTAAAACAACAGAAATTTCTTCCTTCCACAGTTCTGGAGACCAGCAGTCTGAAATCAAGGTGTCAGCAGTCCTGTGCTCTCTCAGAAGGTTCTGGAGGAGAACCCTTCCCTACCTTCTCCAGCTTCCAGTAACTCCAGACCTTGCTTGGCTTGCAGCAACATAACTCTAATCTCTGCCCCATCTTCACCTGGGTCTTCTCATGGCCTTCAGTGTGTGTGTGTGTGTGTGTGTGTGTGTGTGTGTGTGTGTGTGTGTGTGTGTGTGTGTGTGTCTTCTTCCCTTCAGCCTCTTATCAGGACATTGGGTTTAGGGCCACCTTACATCCAAGATGTTCTTCTCTTTAGATCCTGAACTTGATTACATCTGCAAACACCCCTTTCCACATGAGGGGACATTCAGTTTCCTGAGGGTAGGCTTTTTGGAGGGGAGGGGCACACAATTCCACCCACTATACTTAGTAAGGATTAGCTTCCAAGAGAAGTGGCTCCATGGCCAGGGCTTGCCTTCTGTCACAGAGAGCTGGCACAGCATGTCCCCACCCTGCTGTTGGAATGGGACACTCTGCCTCTAAGGTTTAGGACAAGATAAAGAACCATGAACCAGGGGTTCTCGATGACAGTAAGGAGGCTGGATGGCAGCACTGTCACCCAGTTACCTGAGTCACCTGAGCTGCAAACCCGGGAGTCATCCTCAGCCACATCTTCTTCCTCATCCACCACCTCCAATCTGCCCTAGTAATTCTTCCTCAGAAATAACTCTAGACCCCAGCCTTCCTTCCCTTCCTTACTACTGCTACCTGATTGAAGGCCCTTGTCCTCTCAGCTCAAGCCATTCCTGTGATCTCCATTCACCATCTCCCTTCTCTGCCCTGTAGGAAGACACTCAAGCCTCACTTCTTATACACAGTCATTCCAGAATCTCATCCCATGCAGCTCAAACATCAACCAAGCATTTGATAGAAGGGAGGCAAATCTGGGTATTCCTGAGAGCTCCTGAGGGTCCTGCATTCAGTCAACAAATATTCTTTGTTTTTTTATAAGAGATGGGGGTGTCGTGATGTTGCCCAGGCTATAGTGCAGTGGTGTGATAATAGCTTACTGCAGCCTCAAACTCCTAGACTCAGGCCATCCTCCTGCCTCAACCTCCCAAGTAGCTGGGACTACAGGCACACGTCACCATGCCCAGTTTTTTTTATTATTATTATTTTTGGAAGAGATGGGAGTCTTGCTATGTTGCCCAGGCTGGTCTCAAACTCCTGGCCTCAAGTGATCAGCCTACCTTGGCCTCCCAAAGCTCCAGGATTACAGATGTGAGTCACCATGCCTGGCCAAGAAAACAAATATTCTTCAATGACACCTCTGAGCCAGGCATTGCTCAAAAGTGAACAAGATAAAGTCCCAGAGCTCATGAAGTTAACATTCTAGTTGGAAAGCCAGTGAACTGTAACAGATGTGAAACTAGAATATGCAATATGACATAACCCCAGGTAACAGTAAGTACTAATGATAAATTAAACAGTGTAAAGGGATAAAGAAAACAGGGAGGGGGTGCTGGAGAGGCCAGACGGGGTCAGAGGCCTTTTTTCATGAGAGTTTGCCAGAGGCTTAAATGAAATGAAGTGAATTTATTTGAAGATGTGGGGAAAAGCTTCCAGCAGAGACACCAGCTGTCATGAAGCTCCAGAGGTGGAAATACGCTGGATCTGCATGAGGATCAGAAGAAAATGGCTGACTTCACATTCCCGCCCCTTCTGCAAGGGAGCACTGCACCCCACCAGCTGCCCCTAAGAGTGCTGGTCTCTATCCTCAGTCACATAAACTGGCCACTGACAGCCAGTCCTGCGTAGCTGGCCTAACCAAGTCAGACGGTGTGGAACCTGCGGTCTCCTGTTCAACGGCCGGCACTCTACTCAGTGAGCCAGTGCTAAAGCAGGCAAAGGGTAACTATCCCTGCTGACCCCATCACCATGGAGCCAGGGCACCAGGAAGCAGGCCAAGTCCATCACTGTGATACAGGCATTAAGAAAGGGGTCAGGGGCAAAGGGGAAAGTCACATTCACCTTGGTCTGAGAGTTCAAAAATTGTTTGTAAAAGTGATGAAGCAGCATCAAAACCTGGACTTAAAGTGTGCACCCATCAGCACTCTCTGCAGAGAGCCAAGACTATCCAGAGAGCAGTTGCTGAGCAGATCAGGGTATCCTGCCTTGGGCATCACCTTTGGGTGTAAGGAGGCCAAAGACCTCCAAGGGGTCCTCCCTCCTGTTTGCATCCCAGGGCAGGAGTATGTTGGCCAGGTGGAATGGAGATTGACTTTAGCAGGAGATCTGATCACGCGAGCATCAATGGCATGCCTCTGCATCAATGTTGTCAGCCCCTGGAGGCCCCAAGGACTCACCCAGTCCAACCCTTCTCATTACAGGCCTAATCTAACAAACTTAAATCCAGAGAGAAATTAAATTCACTTAGAAGCCTGATTGGGTTTAATGCCCCCAAAGTTCCTTTTGCTCACGTATGTGAAGAGAAGTGTGAGCCAGGGTTCAGTGAAGAGGGGGGTAATGCACATTGCTTGCCGGGGACATTAAATGGCATCTGTCTTTGAACAACAAGAAGCAAGGAGTCTTCGGCAAAGAATGTTCCTTCTATACAAAGCAGCACAAAAATTGAGTGGAATAATGGTCTTCAGCTGCCATTGTCTCCGTCAGCATTCAAGAGAATGATTTAGAAGGAAAGCCAGAGCACTGCAAAGAATGGAGAGATGGGGAGCTCTGGGAGGAGCACTGTTATTACTCAGGATTCAAGTTCTCTCCATGCTGCCATTGCTTTATGAGTATTACCTTGTGAATCCTCACAAAAATTCAGAAAAGTAATTGGGAACCAACAGTGTGACATAACGACACTGAGACTTAGAGAAGTAAGACAGCGTTTTTCGAAGTCACTCCCAGACTGATATCTTGCTTCTAGAAGAAAGGACTGAGGTTATAATAGAGCTAACAGCTTGGGATATGTTTTAAATGCTGGAAATGATATAAAATCTAACAAGACTACAGAGTAGAGGGTAACTAAGGTCCCCAAATTCCCAGCTGATGGTAAACATTCTCAAGTGGCCTTAAGAAGATGTTCAAATGATCACATGTGGGTGCTACAATGTTTCAATTGCTAAAACCAAGTACATAATACTGATGAAGTGCTACCAATAAAACAATATTCTTAACATCAGATTAATCATATGAGAAGCAGAAGCTAGGTTATGTTTCTGCTAAATGATAAATTTTCCACCGAGATACACAGTATTCTCGGTAGTCCTGTAGAGTTCTCTGAGGAACTTTCCTGAAGGCTCAAAGAATATTTGGGGAGCCTGCGGGTTGCTCCTCAACCTGCCCAGGGGGAGTCGGGGAATTAGGTGATTGTTACAGAGCTCATGGGTGCCAAAGGATCCCCCTTTGGGACACGTGGCCACTTTTTTTTCATGGAGCCTCTTTAACATTTGAAAATTATAAACTCCTTTCTTCACGTGATGATACTCCTCTTTTTTCTTTAAAGTTTGTCAAATACAATTTGAAAAGCCTCTTGAAATGGAAGAGAACAACATACTATTTATGAGGTATTTCTAGATCTGTGCTGTCCCATATGGTAATTACTAGCCACATGCAGCTGCCCAGACCTTAAAATATGGCCAGGATGAATTGAGACATACTTTAAGTGTAAAATACACACTGGATGTCAGAAACTTAGTATGAAACAACAGAAGGTTAAATATCTCATCAATAAGTTTGTATGTAGATTACATGTTGAAATGACAACATTTTGGATCTACTGGGTTAAGTAAAATGCATTATTAAAATTAATGTCACCTGTTTCTTTGCATCTTTTTACTGTGGCTACTGGAGAATTTTACATGACATCTGTGGCTCACGTGATGTTTCGCTGAGAAAGCACTGTATTGGGGCATTACAACAGGCCCTTTCAGAAGGGAGGCCCATTAGCATTTTATGCACTATATCACCCTGCAGAGGTTAAGAACATTGAAACCGGAGGCAAACCATTCTCTATGTGCAGGCTGGCTCTGCTATTTGCTGGATATATGACTTTGGGCAAGTTACTTAACCTCTTTCTGCCCCTGTTTCTTCATCTGTAAAATGACAATAATAATAGGGTTATAATAAGGATTACATGAGATAAAGTACTTAGGAAAGTGCCTGGTACATAAGTACTCAACAAATATCTCTAGATTATTTTATGACCTGAATTGTTATTATTATCATTATTGTTACTCCTTTTCCTAAATCCTGAGATGCATTGAGTTGAGATTTAATGAGAGCTTTCCACCCTTTCACCAGCCTCTGTATATATGTGAGAATCATTTTAAGTAAGAAATTTTCTGAAAATCAGTCTTCAATGGCAAATGCATGAACAGGACACTAAAACCACATGAGATGGAGATTGTGTGGACTTCCTAAGACACGTGGTACAGTGAACAAAGGTTGTCCACCAGAATTAACTGGAGAAGTTGCCAAAACAACTTAATATACAAGTCAAGGAGAATGAAGATGAACAGCTTTGTCTGTGATTGAAAACTCCTCTGTTCCCAGGACTAATAACTGACTTTTCTTGATTCTTAGCAACCTAACAGATGAGGGAAGTCTGTTGGAAAAAAGGCTCATCACACAAAACCGACAAGCACCACCACAGCAGAACACAGCAAGATCCCCACAACACCCCAGCTCACTTGAGCTGGCACCAACTGTCCCTTTCAGGCTCAGCCCAATTTTTCATTTTCAAGAAGAAATAAACATTGAACTTCCTTATGAAAGCATTCTCCCAAAAATGTGATAAAGTATTCGATATAAATAAAATAACGTTGTAGACCTTACAGCATAAGAAGTTTGCTAAAGTTACCAACTTAATATGCCATGATTAGGAACACAAATGCTTTATTAAAAATAAAATGTAATTAAGAGTGAAAGCCAGTTTCTGTGGTTTTTGAAGTAAAGTGTGCGTTATTAAGCCAGACCTGAAAATTTGAGTAAACCCAGTCCCCAAGCCACCATGCAGATTGGTATATAAGAACTCCCTTCCTGTGCCTCTTCTCTTTATTTTATTTTTGAGGGTTTAAGCCTTTCCTAGGGTATTTGCATTTTTAAAACTTTTTAATATTTTTAAACTGACAGATAAAATTATATGTACTTACTGTGTACAACATCATGACTTGAAATTCATCAAATCATCATGTTACATTGTAGGATGGCTAAATCTAGCTATTTAAGAAATGTGTTACATCACAAAGTAATCATTTTTGCGGTAAAAATGTTTAAAATCTACTCTCTCAGCATGGAAAAACACAATATATTTTTATTAACGATAATCGCCATGTTATACAATCTATCTCTGAAACAAACTCCTTATGTAACCAAAATGTTGTATCCTTTGACCAACATCTTCCCAACACTCCCCCCATCATGGCCCTAGACTTTTCTTTAAATGGCAGATATGGAGCAACACCAGCCAATGGCTATTCTTATATCTCCAACCTCCTTACTCTGATATTTCAGACATTCCTACTGCCATCTTTCTACACAAAATTTTGAATGAACATGTATACTTTAGAAAATCATCCACACGTGGTTGCAGTTTAAACCTTAAAAACAATGTAATTAGGAATCATCACATTTTCAATAATTAAGATTGTAAGTATTTTTAAAAACAACCCTTCTGCAACTACTCCAGGAATTTTGCTAGAACAATATTTCTAAGCTGACATTTAATGTGTCCGCCCTTAAGAAACCAAAAATGAAGGGTGTGTGCTAAGTCTCTAATATGTCCTCTTATGTCAACACTGAAACCAAGACATGTGAAGTGCAACACTACCTTATTATCCTCCAGGTTGATCACTTCCAGGAGGTCATGATTCTCTAAGCCTTGGAGGCTGCTTATCTGATTGTGGGACAGATCCAGGTTCTGCAGGGCTTTCAGATCCTCCAAACCTGTGATCATCTCAATCTGGTTATTGCTCTAAAACAGAAAAAAATATATTTAATGTCTCAAAGACCTCTCAAGGAAAAGTTGTAATGGCAAGTTTTCATTTGGGATACTGACCCAAATCTCTCTAAAAAAAATCAAGAAGGCATTCTTGTCCTTCCCTCCATCCCATTTCCATCATTCACCTCTCTAAACACCTACACATACCCCAGAAAGAAGTTCCAGTTTTCCAGGTGGAAAATTCAGAATATAATATTTTCATTAAAGTTAAAGCAAGATGAGTATTCAAATCAGTAAGAAAGAAAAAGGCAGGTAATATAAGGTTTTAACATTGCACACCTGAAGTGTAATGACAGCATAACTCCAGATATATCACTAGAAACATAAATTTAATGTAACTCTTTCATCATCATCACAAGAAGCCACTTGACTATTATAATCCCCACATACATTTTGTTTTCAGAAACACCCTAAATGTAATCACTCATGTGGTGAGGGTGCTAGTAGTCTGTTATATTAGCATTCTCCAATGAGCCATGCCCCCAGTTATTCCTGCCCTTGGGCAGTTCTGTCCACTCTTTTTTTTTTTTTTTTTTTTTTTTTGAGAAGGAGTCTGGCTTTGTAGCCCAGGCTGGAGTGCAGTGGCACGACCTCGGCTCACTGCAACCTCCACCTCTGGGGTTCAAGTGATTCTCCTGCCTCAGCCTCCCAAGTACCTGGGACTACAGGCACGCACCACCATGCCTGGCTAATTTTTGTATTTTTAGTAGAGATGGGGTTTCATCATGTTGGCCAGGCTGGTCTTAAACTCCTAACCTCAAGTGATCAACCCACCTCGGCCTCCCAAAGTGCTGGGATCACTGGCGTGAGCCACTGCACCTGGCCGTGGTCCCCTCCTCTTAAACCTAGGCTGGACCTATGAATTAGCTTCACCAAAGAATATGGTAGAAGTGTGCCAGTTCCCAGCCTAAGACTTAAGAAGGCCTGACAGCTTCTGCTTTTGTGTCTCAGAAGTACTGAGCTACCACATAAGAACTGCAGCTACTGTGTTGGAGAGAACTTGTGGAGAGGTTATATGGAAAAGGAAATGTCACATGGGGAGACACCCTGACACTAAATAGAGAGAAAAACCTTGCCATCCCAGCCTCTCAACTGAGCCAAGCCCCCAACTAAGATGCCGGCTAAATGCAGCAAGCCCAGTGGAAGAACCTCCCAGCTGAGCCTGGCTCAGATTGCAGAATTGTTAGTTAATAGGATGGTTATTTCTCCAAGTCACTACAACTGGGGTGGCTTGTTATGCAACAGTAGATAACCAAACCAAGTTTTTCAATAATTCACACAAAAGCATCTTCCTCAATAATCAGAATAAAACGAAGATTTAAGACTGAAATGTTGTCTTCTTCCTCAATCTCCATATACCCATAACAACAAATAAGAATAACAATTATTCTTGGCCGGGCCTGTAATCCCAGCACTTTGGGAGGCTGCGGCAGGCGGATCACGAGGTCAGGAGATCGAGACCATCCTGGCTAACATGGTGAAACTCCGTCTCTACTAAAAAAATACAAAAAATTAGCCAGGCGTGGTGGCGGGTGCCTGTAGTCCCAGCTACTTGGGATGCTGAGGCAGGAGAATGGCGTGAATCCGGGAGGCGGAGCTTGTAGTGAGCCCAGATCGTGCCACTGCACTCCAGCCTGGGCAACAGAGCGAGACTCCGTCTCAAAAAAAAAAAAAAAAAAAAGAATAACAATAATTTTCTTCCCTCTATATTTTCCCTGGTACACGTTTTCTGGTACATTTCATAGCAAGAGCTCATTTTCTTCCTATTTTTAAAATAAAATTTCATTTCAATAATGAGCAAGATTTGTGTTCATTAATATAATTATATGGCTTTTAAAAACATGTTAATAGAATGCCGATAATCTACAAAGCTAAGTGATAGCACACAAGGGTTTATCATAGTATTCTTCTTATTTTTATATATGTTTGAAAAATATCATAATAAATAGAAAAAAATACCCATAATCCATTTGCCAAAGTAAAGTCAAATTTCCTTCTGTCCAGAGTTCAAAAAAGTTATATAAAGCATAATAGAAAAGGGAAAGAAAAAAAACTACACCAAACTTAATGTCATATCCATATTAATTTAACATACTGCAATAAGACCCCAATAGCCTATTCAAAATATCCCCACATATCAAATTTATATACAATATATTTCTTTCTAAAGAACTCTGAAATGCTTTAGATGTGGTAGATAGACTGTAATTCTTCTTAATACACTTCTTCCCACAGAATTTTGAAGTCCCTTAGGTGTGGTAGATAGACTGTAATGCTTCCGACAGTATCTCTAATGGCTTTCAAAGTGGTAGATGACATGAGAATAGTGAGGCATAGACAAGTTTAATTAGATAGCCTACTGTCATGTCATAAAAGAAACCACAACTGAAAAAAAATTTAGAATCACAGAATTTCTGAATTGAAAGCTATCTAGTTAAACTCTTCATCCAATGCTGAAAAACCAATGTATCTCTCCTAAAAGTGGACATCCAGCTTCTGAAACAAACAAGCTTCTTCCTGCTTGTTTCATAATGATTAGTTGGGAAAAGACTTTTAGAATAAAGCCACTTTCTTGAATAAATGAAATTAGAAACATTCTCAACCAACCAATTTTGGAAGAAAAAAACAAGCAGCATTTACTGTGACGAAATGAATTTTAAAGTTTGGAATGCATTGTCATTACTTGCTAAGAAGCTGGATGACAGAACAGCCCATTAGTGAACCACATTTTCCCCTTATATTTATCATAAAAGTTGACATTCGAGAATTAACAGTTGGTTCATATGGTGAATTGTTCTTCTTTCTCTAAATTGTAATGTAAATTATTTTCAATAGTAACTAAAGCTACTGGTTTCTTGATTCCATGAATTAAAAATAAAAGCATTAAAAACTATTGAAACAAATTTTATAGATTTTATTAAACTTTGGAAAAGAAAACCTTTCTATTATCAAAAAATTAAGAAAAATGAATGACAGTATATTCTGTGTATTCTAGTTGATCTTGGGTGATGAGGGCAGAGATTGGGAACAATCCACCAAATCTAAGAAAATAGAAGTATTCTATCCTTTTTCTAAAAGCTACTTGAGACAGAACTATCAACATGGATTATTTATTTTGTAATTGAAACACACTCTTAGGATGAAAATGCTACGTATTATAATTCTTAATAATGAGTTCATTCTCATTCCCTTAAGCACACCCCTATATCTTTGTCTGTTTACCATGCTCCACTTTAAATGAATGGGAACATCAATACAGAGAAGACATGTAAAGAAAAGAACAAGATTCTAACAGACCACAAAATGAAGCACACATGCTGCTAAAAATCCTTCAGATTGTCGTAAATTTTAAAAGTTGACTTTCTTTTCTAACTTAAACATTTTCAATCTAATTTATTGAATGCATTTTCATTTATGTTTTGCTCACATGCCTTCATGGGCGGAAAACATGAAAGATCAGGAAAATTATCAAACCCTCAGGTTCATCCTCAGTACTGGGATGCCAATACTTTATCCTGACCTAACTCACTGCAGGAATGGAAGAGGTTTGGTTGATGTTTTTTTGTTTGTTTTGTTTTTTTGAGACGGAGTCTTGCTCTGTCACCCAGACTGGAGTTCAGTGGCACGATCTCGGCTCACTGCAACCTCCGCCTCCTGAGTTTAAGCAATTCTCCTGCCTCAGCCTCCCGAGTAGCTGGGATGACAGGGGACCACCACCGCGCCTAGCTAATTTTTGTATTTTTAGTAGAGACGGAGTTTCACCATCTTGGCCAGGCTGGTCTTGAACTCCTGACCTCATGATCCACCCGCCTTAGCCTCCCAAAGTGCTGGGATTACAGGCGCAAGCCACCACGCCCAGCCTGGAAGAGTTTTAAGAAAGCACTTCGAGCTCTAAGCTAAGGGAAAGAAAAACTAACACATAGCCAATCTTCAGTGATCTATGGTTAAATAAGACAGAAATAGTATATTGTATATGTCAAAAATCAGCAGATAATCCAAGATGTCATTTCTTTCCTTTTTTTTTTTTTTTTTTGAGGCAGGGTCTTACTCTGTTGCCCAGGCTGCAGTGCAGTGACATGATCGTGACTCACTGCAGCCTTGACCTCCTGGGCTCAAGTGATTCTCCCACTTCAGCCCTCCTAAGTAGCTGGGACTACAGGCTTGTGCCACCATGCCCAGCAAATTTTTTATTTTTTGTAGAGACAGTGTCTGGCTATTTGCCCAGGCTGGTCTCGAACTCCTGGACTCAAGTGATCCTCCCACCTCAGCCTCCCAAAGTGCTGCGATTACAGGCATGAGTTGCAGTGCATGGCCCAAGATGTCATTTCAAGCAACAGTTTCAACAACCCCCTGTGGGATAGTTCTTGTAAGAAATTTACAAGCTACAAGCCTCATGGCTTGAAATCCCGCCTGCTGACCCCATGATAGATGTAATGAAGAACAGCAAAACCATCCAAGAGGGTAAGAAGTAGGAGAAAGGAGAAGAAAGAATCCTGGATATTTCACAGTCAATACTGTAGACCCCCAAGTTAGGGAGCTATCCTGTTATTTCAAAAATACTGTGTATATCTTTGGGACTATTAGAATCCTGCTGAATTTCTGTAAATTGAGTCATAGTCACACAGCAGGTCACACAGCTTCGAAAGAGTGCTCTCTGTGGGAAAAATAATCAAATTTAAACTTTCTGATTGGAATTGTTCATTTATTCTTAGCACTATTTTTGATTTTCTATAGTGGAAGACTGACTAACACATGTTAAAATAAAAGGACTGTCAAAATTCAGTGCCCAGAAAACATCTTGTGGTTCATTTGAAAGCAGTTAAAGTGTTAACAGCAATAAATATTATGCTTAAGTATCCTTAAATGTTATTTTCACCAATAAGATACTATAAAAAATATTTTTAAATACATACTAAAAGTATACCTTTCTTTCCCAGTATAAAAAAGCTGATCATTTAAAATACTGAATTTGGATAACAAATTAGCAAATCATTTTACTTTAGCATGAAATATTGCTTTCTTTCTCTCTCTCTCTCACAACCACACACACACACAAATGGTAAAGAAAGGAGCAAACAAAACTGAAGACAATAACATTTCATGAAGGAATTTTCTCTTTATATATTTGAATCCTAAGTAGTCATAATTCATGTAGTTACTAAAAGCATTAACTACTACTTCTATAAAGAACAGCATTTTGTTAGACTCACCAGACAAAGTATTTTGATTGGTAACTTGTTTAAGCCATTAATTGTCGTGATCTTATTGTTGGCCAAACTAAGGTGAATTAGGTTGTTGCACATCTCTAGTCCACTGATTTCTTCTATCTCATTGCCTATACACCATGACTACGTTTAAGGAAAATGTTATTAAAAGCATTTGGAAGAAAAAAAGAATCAGTGTTAAATCATCACTAGACAAAGCAGACCACAGCTTAAATAAAGAACGATTATATGCCCAATATAGGATGAGTATTAATCCTGAAATATATTTTTTCATACAGAACATGTCATATTTTATACAATTTTTATTTTAAAAAGGCATAGTGGCTGGGTGCGGTGGCTCACGCCTGTAATCTCAGCACTTTGGGAGGCCGAGGTGGGCACATCATGAGGTCAGGAGATCGAGACCATCCTGGCTAACACGGTGAAACCCCGTCTCTACTAAAAATACAAAAAAATTAGCCGGGCGTGGTGGTGGGTGCCTGTAGTCCCAGCTACTCGGGAGGCTGAGGCAGGATAACGGCGTGAACCCGGGAGGCGGAGCTTGCAATGAGCAGAGATCGCGCCACTGCACTCCAGCCTGGGCGACAGAGCAAGACTCCGTCTCAAAAAAACGCATAGCTTTTGAGTGTGCTGGATTGTATCTGACTCATTTAATCAGTACGGAAAGAAAAATCACCGTGGCTCATAGCTGCCTCATTGGCAGTGTGTTTTCCCTCGATCAGTTAAGTCTCCATGAGAAACTCATGTGTGTTCCCACAGGCAGAACTTCTGACTACCAGATCACCCTGCAGGGGCAACATGCACCATGCATTATCATCCTCATAACTGGGCTAAGAGCCTGGGAGATGTCATCTGCAGCAAATGGGTGGTCCAAAGACCAATACCCTGTTAGAGAAAGGAACAGCCCTTTCTTTCCGTCTACATTGACCTCCATTCAATCAATGAGGTCATAAAATCATTCAATCATAAAATCAATGAGGCTTAAACTCTGCCTTACTTTCTTCATCCGTTAAATTCCATTTATTGTGAAAATTTTAGCTTACCTTCTGTGTTCCATCTTGTAGTCACCTAACACTACAATTTCAAAGTCATAATTCTGTTCAGCTCTCTCTGTTCTCAATCTCTTTGACCAATTTCCAGGATTTAATGTCATTTCCCCATCAAAGCTCAGTTTTTCCTCTCAAGTAACCCATGACATCTCCATTTCTCAGCCACTCATAATCTGTGAGGCATCCAATCACCAAGACCTGCCATTTTTTTGCCTTAAAATATCTCTTTAATGATTTCTTTCCTTTTTATTCATTCCTCTGCCAACTTAACTCACCTTTAACATCAATAGTTACACAAATATCCATTACTTTCTGCCCTAAAGTCACTCTACACACTGTAGGCAGATTAATTTTTTTTAAATATTGATTGAATATCATGTTTCAATTAAAAAATTCTCATAGAATTCCAGATTCCTCACTCTGCCATCTAAGGCCCTTCACTATAAACAAAACTTATTTATCCAGTTTCATCCACATCATCATCCAATGAGAATTCCCTATTTCTGCCAGGTCAATTTCACAATAGTTCTGGAATGTACCAAGAACTTTCTTTTTCTTGCTCCTTTCTAAACCATACCCATTCTTCAAGATAACTCCAAATCCCACTTTTTTCTTATTTTTTTAACACTCACATTAAATCAATATCTTAAGTATTTCTTTTTGACATATAACACTTATTTTCTTACTATTACTTTTTAAATACACAAATAAGTGAAAATGATAGGCTAGGAGACCATATTCACAATATATACTAGCAGACAAAAGATTCTACCTAGAATACATTAAAAATGACAATAAATCAATAGAAAAAAAAACAACCTAATAAAAAACGGACAACGAATATGCCCAGGCAATTTCCGAAAGAGTGAATCTAAGTGGCTAATAAACACATGAAAAGACGTTCTGTCTCACCTGTAGTCAGGAGAATGCAAATTAAGATAAACTGCCATTCTTTACCCATCAGCTTGGCAAACACTTTAAAGTAAAAGGTTTTGAATAACAGATACTTTTATACTACTGAGAGAGTTCATTATGATATAGCCACTTTAGAGGCAATTTTGCAATGTCTATCATAACTGTAAATATGTCACAGCCATTCCATTTCTTAGTATGTATTCTAGACAAACCATTTCTTCCTCAAAGCCTCTCCTGGTCATCTTCTAATCTCCAGCTATCTCCTTCCGTTAATCAGAGAAACAAACAATTTTTTTAAGCAAGAAGGAAGAAGTCATAAATATCACAAAAACATTTTGCCTCCATAATTATTTGTAATTATCCCAACTTTACTACTTAGTAGATTTTTCATTTAAAGTGGGGATAATATCAGGTGGCCATTAAGGCCAAAAGTTAGGTCATGGGAAAAAAATTAGAAAATGGGTATGAATGAGCAACAAACCATAAATCACCTCACAATTATAAAGCATTGATACCATTACCAAATTATATTACATGAGGCCAAGGAAGCACGTCCTCTACCTCTTGGTCAATAGCACAGAAATGGAAAATTCAAGGCTGGGATTAAGCCTGAAAATACCTACGCCAGAGAAAGAGGTAAATAAGGAAACTAGACAAAAATGTAAAATGTACCAGAAATTCTTGGGTTTTCCTCAATGGTTTCAGTTTCAATCCTTAGACTGAAGTATAGCTCTGTTTGTGGTCAATATGCATTTTCAAATCTGTTTTCATAAAGCTTCCTGCCAGAATAGCCCTACAAACAGATGTTTATGCTCACTAATACTATCCTTTCTGGTTCTACTTTCTTTGGGCTGCTTAAATAATTGTTCTGGAACTAGAACAAAGACCAGATCTTTGTAGATACGGATTGTAACAAAATATGAATATGAAACATAAGAAATAGGAGATTAAACTATCTCACTCAGGTATGGATGAAATAAAATACCCTTGGAGCAGGCAATCTTTGGCAACAAAAACTATGCAAGGAAAACTTCGAATGGCCATCTGTCTCAGTTTAGCAGAGACAGAAATCATGTTTAAGTCCTATTTTAGGAGTACTAAAGTGTCCTGGTAGCTCTACCCCAACCAAGATGAAGATACTCTGAATCATGGCAGAATAAAACCACTGCTTGTGGGTATCTGCCTCAGGAAGTATTCTCATGGGAAGCAGGCAAGGATCAGAAAACTAGAAAACAGGAATCCTGAAATTATCAAGAGATATCAGGAATCAAAAAGGAAAGCTTGTTTATTGTGTCTACAGTAATTTTCTAAGACATTAGAGGCTAACCACAGTTCCCTTGGCACATCCATCTTACTCTCTAGCTTGGAATCCCACAGCTAGTCACGTGTTCTGAAATCAGCACTGCAAGGACAGAAAGGAGGAGGAATTCAGATGCTCACTGCAATCATACCTATGGTTTCTGCAGGTACCATTGCGGTTACTAACACCACTAGGGCAAAGGAGCAGGAGTTGCCTGAACATCTCTGTTGAGAAATATGCTCATTCCAGAAAAATTATTTCCTCCTGTTTCTCAGCTTTTCACTCTCCTTCAAATATCAAGGAATTTCAGACACTCTAAATTAATCAGGCTCCTGAGTAAAGAGAACTTTCTACAGTGATACAACAGCTTTTTCCTCTACTTGCTCCCACAGTCACCTCATGTGGGCCTGGTGGCACTGCCAACAGTCAATATGCAGGCCTGGGCCATAGAGAGCTTTGAGTTCATAGATGGTCTTCAATATCTTTATCTCCCCAATCTCTCATTCTCTTAAGGACCTTCACAAAATGTTACTTGCCCTTCCTCCTAACATTATTCGTGTTCTTTCACAGGTCTCGGGACTTCCTGATAAGAAGAAACATAATCTGATAAATCACTACACATTACAATGAATTAGCTTACTGGGTTAATCCTCTTACGTATATTTTAATTTTAAAAGACCAGTATCAGGAGAAAGAAACTCAAAAGAACTCAAAATCATCATACCGCATTCCAGCTCTAAACTTTTATGATTCTGTGAATAAATCTTTTAAAGTGAAATTGTAGATCCTTGGGGAAACTGAATGAAGGAACCCTGTGGCACTTAAGCATAACTTTACAACTGGGGTAAAGCCCAACAACATATTTTTACATTTTGACGATGCTGACAGTAGTTCACAATGCTTGACATGAATTATTCACTAGTTCAGTATTTGCTCTTATTCGTTTGTCTACAATCATAAAATATGGTTCAAGTGTATAGCAAACAGTTACTGAGAAATAGTAGGAAATCCACCACAGTTCTCTTAGTGGAGAGAGCTGCAATGATGGCTTTAATCAAAACCAATCCTGAAAGATCTGTATCACCTTACCAGTGAAAAATGCTCTTCACTATAGGAGAAAATCTCTCCAAGAAAAGAAACACGCATAGTTTAAATGCCTCTGTGACAAAAGTTGTAATTACTCAATGAATTGCAACATGGGAAAAACAGTGGAATTCAGAAGTCTCAGTTTAACCATTTACCAAATAATCTGGGGCAAGTTGTTGACCCTTCTGGAGTCTCAGGTTCCTCTTCCACAAAATAAAATAGTGATTAGCACTAGATGGTCTCTAAAATTCTGTCTGGAATTAAATTTCTATGAATTTTTCAATTCCATTATTCTATCATCATAAAATAAATTCTAAAAAACAACTAGTCAATGTTTACAGGTAAAGAATAAACTGTACTCTTTCTTAAGAATAAGTATATTTACATAAACTTGGCAAAGCTTATTGTATTGCAATTTAGGATAATTATCAATTAATCATCAATTATCCACATATGGAAAGACAAAATAGCATAACAAAATAAAAAAATTGGTATCTTATAGTTAACAATTCATTCTGAGATATTAGATATAATCTACTACAATTACACTGTCAGTATTACTAGCTCAACTGATTTTTTTAATTTTAAATAATTATTTTCAAAGAAATTAATTTATAATTTTCAGGTTTTTAAATTTTTACATAGAGCTGGGTTAAGTTTAATACTTGATTCACCATTGACCTATGCTTGACTGATTTTATTTATTTTTAAAAATATAATGAGCATGCTTGAAACTAGTGCCCCCACAGCCCAATCAGCAGAAAATTAACAACTTAAATCTACCCTGTGTCTCCTTCCCAGAGACAGTAACTATGCTCAGTTGTCTCTTTCTTCTTCCCTTCCTCCCTTAGTTTTATGCCTAAATTATATTTACATGCATGTAGATATATTCCATTCATTTTCTCTACTGTATGATATGCTATTGTGTGACTATACCATAACTTATGCTTTCTCTTATGAATGTGTGTTTGGGCTGTTTCAATTTTTTACTAGTACAAGCAATACTGCTATGAACATTCTTATACAAGGCTCCAGGTACACATATACTAAACTTTCCACATATAGGAATAAAAGTACTAGGTCATGGTGAACTTGGATGCTCAACTTTATATGACAATATAAAATTGTTTTCCACGGTGGTTGAACCAATTTCATACCCACAAACAAGGTAAAAAGATCTTCTGGATCTACAAGTTCTCCAACACTTGGTATGTTTAGATTTCTTAAATTTTGTCAATTGAATGGATGTAATACAATATCTCATGTGGTCTTAAGTTGCATTTCTTGGAATACAAATGAGGCTGGTATCTCTTCGTATGTTTATTTGCCTTCTCTGATTTATTTTCCATAAAATTCTTTTTCTCATCTTTTATTTTGCCCATCTTCTTATCCAGGGACATGGGATATATTTCTCTTTAGTTAGGTCTTCAACACCCTTAAATAGAGTTTTGTTAGTCCCCCTATCCCCACAAGTCTTATTCATCTTTAATAAAATTTGTTTTTGCTGTTTTTATAAATGGTGTTTCTTTTTAAAGTTGTTTTCTAATTGCTTGTTTCTGGCATACAGAAATGCAACAGATTTCCATTTATTGAAGTCGTATCTGGTCATGTTGAACTCTCAAAACTATTATTTATAGTACTTTATAGCAAATTTTTAATATTCTCTATAGATAAACATGTCATTTGCAAAGAATGACTTTTATGTTCTCCTTACTAACCTTTACACCTTTAATTTCTTTCTCTTGTTTTATGGTGTTGGCTAAGACCTCCAAAATAATGATGGGTTGAAGTGGCAATGGCAGACATCCTAACTTATTCCCAATTTTAAAGGAGAAAGCTTAGAACATGTACCCAATTAGGATAAAGTGTGTTTCAAATATTTTTGTAGACATCCTCTATGAATTTGTGGAAATTCCCTATTACTAGTTTACTGAGAGTTTTCATTGTGAATGAGAGCTGGATTTTATTAAATTGTCTATATCTGTTGAGTTTCTATATCTCTGGATCACAAGGTTTACTCCCTTTAATCTATTAATGTAGTTAATTATGTTTATAGATTTTCTAATATTAAACTCTCCATACATTCCTGAGAAAAACCCAATTTGGTGGTAATACATGGTCTTTTTAATACACTGTCAGATTCTGTTGCTAATATTTTGTTTAGGACTTTTACAGCTACATCATGAGTGAGACAAGCCTGTTGTTTTCCTTTATCTTAGTGCTCCTTGGCTGGCTTAGATATCAAAGTAACCTAATTAAAATGAATTGTGAATATGCCTTCTGTTTTGAGTGTTTGAAAGAATTTGTTCACTATTGGAAGGTCTGTTTTGAAAATTTGGGGTCTAGGCTTTTTTGGTAGAAAGATTTTTAATTTTTTAATTTAGCTTATTTTAATTTATAGTAAATTAATTTTATAGTTATAGGACTACTCAGGGTTTCTATTTCCAAACTGATGTGTAATATTTTTCTAGGAATTTTTGTATTTCATCCAAGTTTTCAACTGTACTGGCATAAAAGTTGTTTTAAAATTCTCTTTTTAATCAAACTGTTTTAATATTTTCAAAAACACTCTAACCTTGTGGCTTTTCTTCTCCTCAAGAGATTAATTTATAATCTAGATATATTTTTGCTTTCTGTTGTCCAGAAAAGCTTGTAAAACTTCACCACCTGTATCATGCACAATATGATATGCTTAAACAGAACAGGAGAGAAAGAAGTATATTTCATGCTGTTTCAAAACTAGCCTACTATCTTTTCAAAACTGCAAGAGATCTAAGAAGTTTATTTCATTAATAGTTGATGAATGATTGTTTTTGAATTTTTTAAAACACAGGTGAGAAATGGTGCCATGTTACACTCTAATTATATACCCATGTTCCAAACTTCTATTGGTTTTGATGTAATAATTACAGCTTTTTATACTTTAGTGATGACTCAATTGCTACATCTAATGTCAAGAAAAAAAAAACCCTAATTCCTTTTTTCATTATATCTGACATTTACAAAGTCATGATACTTTAGTTTTTACATGGAAAGCTAAATGTATATAGAAATTAAGACTCTCTTGATAGAAATGTTTTCAACTGTGTTTTGAGTCCAAAATACTGTGGAGTTGTTTTCCTTGGCAATTTCATGCCAAAACATAGAATGTTTTTCTGGGGGACAAGAGATCTCCATAACAAACTCCAGACTGCCATGGCATCATCAGCATTCAGGGAACCCTAATTGCTGAATTCTTTCTGGCTAGCAAGAGTTTAGGGGCTGCTGACTTCTAGACAAACCAGTGTTGTTTCTTTTTCTTTTTTTTTTTTTTTTGTTTGCTTGTTTTTGTTTTGAGACGAAGTCTCGCTCTGTCGCCAGGCTAGAATGCAGTGGTGCAATCTCGGCTCACTGCAACCTCCACCTCCCAGGTTCAAGCAATTCTCTTGCCTCAGCCTCCTGAGTAGCTGGGACTACAGGCACGTGCCATCAGGCCCAGCTAATTTTTTTTTTGTTTTTTTTTGTTTTTTTTGTTTTTTGAGACAGAGTCTCGGGCTCTGTAGCCCAGGCTGGAGTGCAGTGGCGCCATCTGGGCTCACTGAAAGCTCTGCCTCCCGGGTTCATGCCATTCTGCTGCCTCAGCCTCCCAAGTAGCTGGGACTACAGGTGCCCGCCACCACGCCTGGCTAATTTTTTGTATTTTTAGTAGAGACGGGGTTTCACCATGTTAGCCAGGATGTTCTCAATCTCTTGACCTCGTGATCTGCCCGCCTTGGCCTCCCAAAGTGCTGGGATCACAGGCATAAGCCACCACGCCCGGCCTAGACCAACCAGTGTTTCTTAAGCTTTAATGTGCACTCAAATTGCTTTGGGGGGGTCTTATTAAAATGCAGATTCTGATTTCTTAGGTCTGCAATGGAGCCCAAGAATCTGCATTTCTATGAAGTTCCAGGTGATGCTGCTGCTGTGGTCTTCCTGTGTAGCACTCTACACAGCCTGAGATAAATGGATGTCTGAGCCAGATAGCTTCTGGACTGTCCAGCTATTTCTTTGCAAACTCAAAATACATGATAGTCAAGCATGAAGTGAAGGTTCTACAGAGATATGCTGCTAATGTGTATGCTTTTAGTTTGTCAACAAAACATGTTATATTGGTCACTTTCTGATTTCTCTGTTAGGCTATAATCAGGAAAACTTGCTCATTTAAGCACCATCTAAATGTCCACTAATTGCTCATTTTCACACACAAGTTCTAAAGGGAGTGGTGCTATGTTCCAAGCTTTCCATCATATATAAATAAAGGATTTTTTTCTTTTACAAGATACATCTTCAAGAAAACGTACCCTCTGTTGTCCCTCGTATCAGCCTTATCACAAATGCAGTGTGTACTAGCTGCTGTCACATCCCTGAATGAGGCACCCAAGGCAATCAATTCATTCTCCATTCTGTCTCCCAAAATCCTCAGGTGACTAGAAAGATACTTACTGAGAAAAAGAAGGTACTGGCTCCCCTGCTACCCAGAAAACATCAGTCTCTGGTGTGAAGAAGAGACTCAAGCTCATTAAACTCACAGATCTCCAATTAGCCCCTTAGGCTCTAGAAGTTGGAGCTCGCTGTCTTTAAAGGAGGTGCTCTGCTTGCATGGGAGCCTGGCTCATGAAATAGCTATGTTGCAAATCAAATCAAAAGTTGTTTTTTTTTTTTTTTAAAAAAAGAAAGCATATTTAAAATACACTAGAAAAGCTTACTATTTAAAAAGAACTTATCATGAACTCTTTTGCAAAATAAAGAATCACTAATTTTCCTTATGACCATATCTAGATTTTCAAATACTGAATTTATATAAAATAGGACACAAGTTTCAGCAAATTTGAAGAAAGGAGTTAATTTTTTTTTTTTTTGAGACAGAGTCTCACTCTGTTACCCAGGCTGGAGTGCAGTGGCACAATCTTGGCTCACTACAACCTCCACTTCCCTGGTTCAAGCAATTCTCGTGCCTCAGTCTGGGATTACAGGCACATCCCATCACATCTGGCTAATTTTTGTATTTTTAGTAGAGGCAGGGTTTCCGCCATGTTGGCCAGGCTGGTCTTGAACTCCGACCTCAGGTGATCCACCTGCCTTGGCCTCCCAAAGTGCTAGGATTACAGGTGTGAGCCAACGCACCCGACTGAGAAAGGAGTTAATTACAACAGAACTTCTTCTCTGGTTCTAGAATAAGAATAAGCCTACATTTATCGGAAAAATGACTATCTTACTTGGCTTTTCAAGGGTAAGATACTCTTGACAAGCTTTGACTCACAGTTTCATTTCTTGGTAAATAAAATATTTATCCTCATTTTGTGAATACCAATTCCTAGTCCTTTAAATAAGTCACGTCTCTATTAAATTGCTTATCTGGTACTAGTCCATGTAATCTAATACAATTCTTGAATATGTAGTCTTTAATTTTTATATTGTTTTTAAAATTTTCCCCTTTACTTATTCAAAGGATACCATCCAAAATTAGTTTAGTGAGAGCATGATACGCTGACAAATCACAAATTTCAGAAATTTGGTTGTGGGAAAAATCCGCCTTCTGGCAAGAGAAAGAGAACAAGATGTTATATTAATATTTCATTTTTCATGTTTGCCACAATAATTAACTGTGCAAGAAGAAGGTATTTTTGAATGTAGAGTTAGAATTCATTACTGAAAGTACACACTAAGGCTAAAAGAATCATCTGTCTTTAATCTTTTTTTTTTTTTTTTTTTGAAAAGGAGTCTTGCTCTGTCGTCCAGGCTGGAGTGCAGTGGTGTGATCTCAGCTCACTGCAACCTCCACCTCCCGGATTCAAATGATTCTCCTGCCTCAGCCTCCCCAGTAGCTGGGATTATAGGTGCCCACCACCGCAACTGGCTAATTTTTTTGTATTTTTAGTAGAGATGGGGTTCCACTGTGTTAGCCAGGATGGTCTCGATCTCCTGACCTCATGATCCACCCGCCTCAGCCTCCCAAAGTGCTGGGATTACAGGCATGAGCCACCACACCCGATCATTTAATCATTTTCTAACTGGGATCCTTTTCTGTCCACTTTGAGGGATAGTAAGAAGGCCTCTTCCCCATGGTGCACAGGAACCTCCCAATAACCTAAATGCTTTCAATTCCTGCAGCCACGCTCTCCACTTTTAGCATTTATTTTAAATTTCCTTGGTCTTCCTTCAGGATTTACCTCAATTTCATCCTTACCCACAACCATTTCATTTTCTCTACTGCCCAGTAACCTGTATTCACTTCATTTCTGTGCATATCTTGTTTCCTGTTCCTTTACCTTTCTATTCCTATTTCCATATATTGTCCCATGCTACTCTCTAAATGCCAGAATTTTTTTTTTTTTTTTTGAGGTGGAGTCTCGCTCTGTCGCTCAGGCTGAAGTGCTGTGGCATGATCTCAGCTCACTGCAACCTCTGCCTCACAGGTTCAAGCAATTCTCCTGCCTCAGCCTTCTGAGCAGCTGGGACTATAGACGTGTGCCACCACACCCGGGTTTTTTGTTGTTGTTGTTGTTGTTGTTTGTATTTTTAGTAGAGACAGGGTTTCACTGTGTTAGCCAGGATGGTCTCGATCTCCTGACCAACCTCCTGATCCACCCGTCTCGGCCTCCCAAAGTGTTGGGATTATAGGTGTGAGCCACTGCGCCCGGCCTAGTCTTACTTATTTATTTCCAGGCAATGCCTCTTCAACTTTACATTCTTTCTCAAAATTGACTACTGTAGGAAAGCTTTTTCAGCAACTTCTGTTGTTCCTAGTCAAACATGTAAGACTAAAAAACAATATTAAATAACTTTAATTATTCACCTGCTGACAAAAGATAAACAAAAAAAGTTTTTTTAAGGAAAGAAAAACTCAAGTTTTGGAACCACTGCATTCATAATTTGCTGGGTACATTATAATCATTTTCTGGAAAACCATCAAGCAATTACATAATAAGCACTATTCTAATTTTTCCATGCCCTTTAAAATAGTGATTTCACCCCCCAAATTTATGGAGATTATTTTAGCAACACATTAAATACTAAACCCTTTAAGTACTAAAAACTTTATACAGTAAATACTAAAAACTAATTTAGAAACAACTCCAATGGCAAGAGTAGAAAACTGATGAAGTCAATTGCAATACAGCAAGCAACAGGACTACTTAGTAAAATACAAGTTAGCAAACTATATGAAGAAATAGAAATGTACAAATAAAAGTGTTATTAAAAAAATCAGAACACCAAATGTATGCATATACAAATGGGAGCTATGGAAAATGCATACTATGAAATAAGTCAGTTTGGCATGATGTAAATGGAGTTTAACATTCACTTTTTTCTTCTATAGAATAATAATAAACTAGGAATAAGCTTATCATGATAGGGCTTACTTATTATTGACACTTTTTCATCAACATCTTTCATTCTGGTGCCATAGTATGACATCTGTATAACTACACCTCAGTCAGGGCAAACGCTAATACTATGCTCTCTATGTAGCTATGGTATTAGGTTTCTTTTTTTTTTTTAGATGGAGTCTCACTCTGTCGCCCAGGCTGGAGTGCAGTGGCTCAGTCTTGGCCCACTGCAACCTCTGCCTCCCAGTTCAAGCGATTCTCCTGCCTCAGCCTCCCAAGTAGCTGGGACTATAGGCTCCCACCATCATGCCAGGCTAAATTTTGTATTTCTAGTTGAGGCAGGGTTTCACCATGTTGACCATGGCTGGTCTTGAACCCCTGACCTCAAGTGATCCACCCGTGTCAGCCTCCCAAAGTGCTGGGATTACAGGCCTCAGCCACTGTGCCCAGCCAGGTTTCTTGAAAGACCTTAAAGGGGTTTGTGCCACTGTTTGGACTCCCATTGGAACCTAGAGCTTGGAAAAAGTAGCCATCAAGTCAAATTAACATTTTTCACCTAGTAAGAGCAAAAGCATTCTAATAAATACAAAAAGAGTGCACATACAAGTCCCCGCTCTAGGAAATGCATGTTCTCTCTGGTTGGTGGTACAAGGCTCATAGATATTAAATGAAAAGGAAGTGGAGCTTCTCAAGATGGCGGAGCATAGTACATGAGCCTGACTTACTGGAAAGATGTGGGCCATGGGGTCTCAGACAGTGGGTTCAATCCCAGTTCCGCTGCCTCCCAGCAAAGGTGAAGTTAGTTACCTAACCTTTCATGCTTCAGTATCAGGACAATATCAGGACAGCCCCACAGCTTTACTGGGAGGATTAAATAATACATTGAAAACACCTGAGGCCAGGCGCAGCAGCTCACACCTGTAATCCCAGCACTTTGGGAGGCCAAGGCGGGCAGATCAGCTGAGATCAGGAGTTTCAGACCAGCCTGGTCAACATGGTGAAACCCCGTCTCTACTAAAAGTACAAAATTAGCCAGGTGTAGTGGCTTATGCCTATAATCCCAGCTACTCGGGAGGCTGAGGCAGGAGAATTGCTTGAACCTGGGAGGCAGAGGTTGCGGTGAGCCGAGATCTTGCTATTGCACTCCAGCCTGGGCAACAAGCATGAGACTCCATCTTAAAAAAAAAGAAAAGAAAAGAAAAGAAAACATACACCAGGAGGCCACCATCATTCCTTCCCAGGTCTACACAGAGCTCACAGTGGCTTGCAGCACCTCAGGGTACAGCTTGGCACTTGGTACACACTTCTCTAAAATGACCAATATATTTGCTTGTAATTCTCCAGGAGCTCAGAACCTTAAAGATGGGGTCCATGATCTGTTTTTGTTCATTTGTAGGGTCTTTCTGGGAGAGTGCAAGGAAGGGGTGTGAAAGGGAGAAACTCCAAAGTTTTTCCTGGGGTAGGGGTCATGCTGTTACCATGAATGACTGCCCTGTGGCTTCAGACAAGGCGAATGGAACAGCAAAAGGTGAATCAAAACAGCTTTGCAAATTCAATTCCTGATAACCTCAAGACGATGCGGCCCCACACTGAGTACAGATAGGCACCTAGTGCGGCTTATTTGCACAAAGGAATGTCATCCTGGCAAAAACTATAATTTCAAAGGGAAAAAATGCACTATTGATAAGGGAATGATATAAAACTGAAGAAAAATTGAAAATTAAGGTCTCTCATCAGTATAAGGGAATGTCTGTTTCTTGATTTCAAACAGATTTTCATATTTGTGCAACTCTCCATAGAATATTTTGGATTTAAGTTAATTTGGTTTGTAAATAAAATAAAACTAATAGATAATAAAAGGCAATAGTTGATGTCCATTCCTTAAAATGACTTTTTAATTAAATATTTGAGTCCAATACAACAACACTAATCACAAAACCCAGGGTGATCGTTTCCAGATTTGTCAGCACATTAGAGCCACCTGATGGTCTCTTTAAAAGTCCAGGCCAGGCGTGGTGGCTTACACCTGTAATCCTAGCACTTTGGGAGGCTGAGGCAGGTGGATCATTTGAGTCCAGGAGTTCAAGACCAGCCTGGGCTACATGGTGAAACCCCGCCTCTACAAAAAATACCAAAAAAGTTAGCCAGGTGTTTTGGCACGTGCCTGTAGTCCCAGCTACTCAGGCTGAGGTGAGAGGACCACTTGAGCCCAGGAGTCGGAGGTTGCGGTGAGAGTGAGACAAGATTGCGCCACTGCACTCCAGCCTGGGCGACAGGATCACTTGAGCCCAGGAGGCTGAAGTTGTGGTGAGACAAGAATGCGCAACTGCACTCCAACTTGTCTCTGAAAATAAGAAGCCCAAAGCCCACACCTTACCTTGGACCACTTAAATCAGAATCTCTTGCAGTGGGATTTGGGTATCAGTAGGTCTGAAAACTCCCTCAGGTGATTCCAATGTGCAGAAGAGTGTGGGAACCACTTCTCTCTGACCTTGCTACTTAAGTATGACCGATGGACCAGTGGCATGACATCATCAGGAAGGTTTTTAGCAATCACAGGCTCAGGCCCCACCCCAGACCTAATGGGTCAGAATTCCCTTTTCACAAGAACCACAGGTGATTTGGGCATGCATTTAAGCAACAGACTCACTGCTCTAGGGCATAGCAAACTATTCCATCCACCACTGTCCACAGGTAGTTTATTTCTGCTTCAGAAATGCAAAAGCAAGTGCGGAGAAGCAAGAATGGAGATCTGAAAGCATTATTTTCTTAAAAAGTAAAGTTAGATAAATAAAAGGGCAAAGTTTGAGCCTAGGACATTTTTACAGATTATTCAGATATAAAATTTTTCAGATAAGTTATTCCGCTATATGTCCCATAACATCATGCTGTACATCTGAAATATACACAATAAAATGCATTTCTTTAAATAAATAAAATGTACCAAGTAATATTTTTAAAAAATTGTTCCACTATAACAACAAAAAAAGGGCAATAATAACTACTATTCAAATGAGGGAAAGAGGAGACCAGAGGAAAGTTCGTTGGTTTGAACACTAGGTTTGAACAAAGCTTCCAGAAAGCCTATCCACTGACAGACCAGCTCCCTTTTCCAAAATAAAGTATACACAAAGCCTTCTTTTTTATTTCATTTCAGACACTTACATTGCTTACCTCTGTATCTTATTCTCTCTGAATTCTCTATTTGAGTGCTATTTTGCTTATTTAATGCACTTTTGCAAACCCCTTAATGTGTAATTAAGGTATTCATAAAGTCTACCTTGAGGTTTTTGGGTGGCTTGAAATTGAAGAACGTAGTCAAATTATTTTGAGAAGCATTAAGTTCTAGGAGATAAGGCATACAACTCACACAAGATAAATCTACGGAGGGAAACAGATACAGAATAAGGTAAGCCAATAAAATAACAAGACAAAGGCATTAAAAACAGTGTACATGACATCAGAATATTTTAAAATTATAACAGTTGCAAAGACATCTTAATTATTCCATATGAGTGAAAGGAATAAAATCAGGAGTATGTGAAATATACAAAAAAAAGGTAGAAAACTCTCGGAGTCAATAATTTAATCCTCTTCCCCAGGGGTGGCCAATCCTTGTATGCCCTATTTTGGGGGCAGCCAAGTAACCAATCCCTGCGGCCTCTTCCGCATGCCCGCTCACTCTGCCACTAACAATGAAATGCTACAAAACTTGCCAGCATTTGAGAAAAGGATGAAAAGCAAAAGCCTTAGATAATCCTCTTGATAATTAGCCCCTAAATAACTAAATTAGATCTTTTCATAAAGAGTGGAAATGCCACAATTAGGAAACTCTCTTTGTTGTAAATTAAATTTTGTTTCAGTTGGACTTACCACTAGATCGCATTAACTATTTGAAGTGATTTAACTCATTGCTGTTATTTGATTTTTGACTCCAGATTGGATCAAACGTACATCCGAGTTTTGCATTTTATCCCAAGCACACACTTTGAATCTTGAACACTAAGTAAAGAACTACTGTGCTAATAAAGGATAGTGCTAATGAAATTACATATAAAAGATAAAAGATATGAACTATTGTTTTACCTTTCTCTATGACTTTACAGCAGACACAGAGGTAGGGGAATGAATTAGGGAAGGAATCAGGAAGGGTCACACAGTAAGGGTTATGGCCCTGTCTCTACTAGTAAGTCCTTTCTCTGCCTAAAAATGGCAACAATGCTAGCATTTCCCTCTCTCTCCTCGTTCTAGATTCTAGATCATAGTATGCGCTATTACAACCTCCTGGGGATGGCCTCTAGTGGGAGAATGGAGCCTCCTCACCCGAAGCCAAGCGAAGTGCTTCTACCTTTCTCCAAGTGGCACAGACACATGCAGACCTGGGGAAGGAAGCCAGCCTGGAGTAGTTGGGGCCCTGCCCTGAGGTGGGTAGGACATGCTATGTAAGGGGCCTCCTGGTATCTTCCCTTCTCAATAGTCACTGAAGCCAGAAAATTCCCCCCAATTTCTATGTTATTTTTCTGGACGAAACCATGCCCTTCCTTACTAAATGTAAATAGTTCCAGGAGAGACAGTACTTTGAGACATTAACACTTTGTTGGAAATGAATCAGCAAATCAAGGAAGAACTCTTCGAGGAAACCTAAGGAGAAACTGTAATTGCTTTCCAAGTGGTATCGATTTGTCCATGCTGAGCTCAGCTACATGTCTGTCAGCAGTGGTCTCAACTCTACTAACTTCACGGGACCACCAGACTCTCCTGAAAGATGATCTTTCTGTGGGCAGGTAAATGGAGATCCTTCTTGAAGCAGAAGCAGCAGCTAGTACTTAGCTAGAGACAAAGAGATGGTGAGTGCATTTCACACACTGTAGATAGCCAGTGTTTTCATATCAAGACAGAAAAAAGTCCTTGGTCTGGGTTGCTGGACATTGAACTTGAGCTGGCCTGTGGTCCCTATCAGTGCAGTGACCTCCTTGCCCACCAGAGGGCAGGAGCTCCTCGTGTCTCCATCACTGGTTTTCGGCATGTGGTCCCGGACCAGCAGCATCAGCCTCATCCAGGAGCTTATTCGAAATGCAAATTTCCAGGCCCCGCCCCAAACCTACCGAATCAGAAACCCTGAGAGTGGGGCCCAGAAATCTGTGTTATCAGGGCTTCCAGGTGATTCGGATGCAGTCTGAAGTTTGGCCTGCACCAGGAGACCAGTGAGACTGTCATCACAAAAAGAAACATATGCGGTACTTTACACACAGGAGGCTTTCAAACAGTTGACGAACTAATGAAATGTGCCATCCAAGGTTAGTGAGGACTGATCGGGCTGAAGAGAAAGGCTTGGAGCGTAACTGTGGGCTCCCTGCTCCTGTTGTCAGCAGTGAGCATTGGCAAGGCCCCCACCACTCCGCGATTTCCTACCCAGCAAATGGAAACAACCGCGGAGGTATGGAGTAGGCCAAGTGCTCCTGCCAGAGACACTAGAAAAGGCCTTCTGATGAGATGACCATCTAAGATTTGCTTTAAAATAACCCTGGGGAAGCTGGGCAGGGAGGTATATAGATGGGCTGATCACTGTTGAACCCAAATATTCATTCCAATATTCTATTTGTGCTTTGTAATTTTCCATAATAAAGCTTTAGAAAACTAGAAAAAAGTTAATTGAAAGTCTTTCAAAAACAGTAGTATTTTAAGAATGAAAATGGGCTAGAATATTTCTTAATCGTTAAAAAGTGGACTTTATTAGGGTCCTAGAAGGGGAAAAAAACCCCAGAATCAAACAGAGAAGACATATCAGCAACATTTATTTGTCATAAAAAAGGCAGGCAAAAGAAGCAAGCAGAAAGATTATCAGTGAAGAAAGCAGGTCAGAAGTAATGATTTGCTCACTTCCCTAGAAATCTAAAGAAAAACATTATACACTGTCAACTTCAAATAAGATCAGAAAATTATAAACAAGGATCAAGCTTTGAAGAAAATTTGACAATGGTAGGACTAATTTCATTAAATGTGAACAAGGTGTCATAACAAATACCTTATATAAAACTACAAATTGTGGAGTTAGAGTTGAAAGAATCAACTAAATAAAGACAGCAAAAAAGAATGAAAAATATGTATTTGTGAATCCCTGGTGCTCAATAATAAGGGTAAAAGAGCTAACAGATTTAAAATGCAAAATGTAGGCCCGGGCACAGTGGCTCACACCTGTAATCCCAGCACTTTGGGAGGCTGATGCGGGCAGATCACTTGAAGTCAGGAGTTCCAGACCATCCTGGCCAACATGACGAAACCCTATCTCTACTAGAAATACAAAAAATTAGCCAGTCGTGGTGGTGCGTGCCTGTAGTCCCAGCTACTCCAGAGGCTGAGGCAGGATAATCACTTGAACCCAGGAGGCGGAGGTTGCAGTGAGTTGTGATCATGCCACTGCACTCCAGCCTGGGCAACAGAGTGAGACTCCATCTCAAAAAAAATGTTTTTTTAATTTTAAAAATAAGATTTTCAAAATGCAGAATAAAGAGTGTAATAAAATATAAATGCAAAAGCAAAATAAAGAAAAGAATCTGTTAAAGAAAAAAAAGACTAATTCATCTGCACTGAGTAACAGAGGAAAAGAAAAGAAATCATTAAATATTCAGGGAGTATTGAAGAAGTAATGATCGATCTCTTAAAAGGAAAAAATAAAGCCAACATTCCATCTCCTAGTCTTAAATATCATTGACTGCATCTCAGCCACATCATCATATTGCAGATCTGTGCCTTTTTCTCTCTCAGCAGTTATCGGTGCCTTTTTTACATGGAAAGCAAAGGATCAATATGTAAATTGATACACAAATTAGTGATATCAAGTCTGGCATTATTAAACCATATTACATACTGCAACGTTTAAGTTTTCAGATAATTCAGTGATCAATCTAGAATGACAATTACATACCTTCAATTTTATTCGCTGAAAGATCCAACTTCTGTAGATGAACATATCCACAGAGAATGCTAACATCAATTAAATTACAACCCTGAGAAAACAAAAGGTAAAAGACTTTAATGTTGCTTTATCAGGTTACTACTCAGCCTTCTTGCAATAACTCTTGATGGAAAGAAATCCAGAATTTCTTTCACAAGTATAGAAGAAGAGAGAGAACAAAATCTGAAGCCTGCTACTAATAGGATCTCAAAACAGATGCCATAAAAAAAAAGCCCTTCCTTTGAAGAAAATAATAGCTTAATAACGTTAGTGTTGTTAGCAAAAACAAATACAACATGAAAGGCCAATTTAAAGCAGTGTTCATGGAGACCGTTAGAACAGAGTCTTTTTTTTCTTTTAATAAATCACACAATAGCAATAAAGACAAGGCCTTTACCTAGTAGAAGAAAAAAATGTCTAGAATTTAAATGAAGTTTTAAAGAGAATTCACACCTCATCAGGAAATCATTAATAACAATACTACCTACACTTTCACCTTTTCATTTTCAAAGCTCTTTCACAATAATCTCATCTGATCAAACACACCTGTGAAATCTGTAGGGCAGCTTATTCCCAATTTAGAGATGAGGGATGTGAGGTACAGAGAGGTAGGTTAACAGCCTGAAATCACACAGCAAGTTAGTTATAGAGAAGCAGTATCTAAGTCTCTTGAATCCTTGTCCAAAATTCTTTCCAGGATATCTTGATTCTAGTCAACTTCAGATGAGGTTGAGGGGAATTTGGTTGAGTGGAACAAAGACTTCTATGATTGTTTTATGTCGTGATGGCGGAGTCAGAAAACAAGCAAACCAATGAAGAGTCATTATAAGCACGTTCTCATATAGAATAATGGTGATTGTTTAATGAAGGCCGCTAGAACAGTAATAATAAATAAACACTTACTGAATATTTACTATTTACAAGGCATTGTGCTTGGCATGATGAGAAATGCAATGATGGAAGAGAGCTATATTGTGCCCTTAAGAAACTTATGACTTTGGTAGGAGAGAAGATATGTACACAAATAATAAGAGAAAGTAAAAAAAATAACATGTAACATAAGTAAGACATAAAGGAAAAAAAAATCACCAAACTAGGCAACTCTAAGAAAGTGTATTCAGTAAGACAGGTTATTAAGTCAAAGTAATTCAACGTGTAATATCTCAAATGTAAGGAGGTCAGTGGCAAAATAAATTAAGCTTCAGTCCATCCAGCTGAAATAAGATTTAAAGGATTGCTTTTTGGGGTAGATCAATTTAAGGCATAGCACTACCTACAGAAGTAGAATATTGATTGAAAGGGGCTTGTGTGGGGATGCACTGGCTGCTGGAATTATATACCATATTCCAGCGTCAAACACAGTGCAATGCATACAGGGTGCTCCCTGTATGTTATTGCCTGACTGGCTGAGTCATCCATAAAATGTTACAAAGTGAAAATAGAAAAAGATTACTGTTTTAATATGCTGACCTTGAAGGACATGCCCATGGAACTAGCAAAGGTGAAAAAAGTTTAACATTTCTTGCTTAGCTTACTCATTCAAATCCAAGATAGAACAGGCTTATAGTGAATTACATACCCTTTCGCCAAATCATGGTGCCATGGTAAAATTTCAATGTGCGTTTTTTTTTTCTCATATGTACCTAAATTTACTCTGTGGATCTCCAATGAATATTTAATGCTTTACAATATAAGGAGGCACAACGACTTAAATTGTTTTTCTAGGACTACAGAGAGACAAAATGAGGAAAGAAGCAAGTATTCCCAGTAGTTTGCTCTTACAGCCTCTCTTTTGATAAAATTGAAGCCAAGGTTTTGTGCTACTCTATGATGAGTACTGAAATCTTAAAAACTGATGAATAATAATAGATTTTTTTTTTCTTTAATGATAGGTATCTTTTGGAAAGTAAGGTATAGCTCAAAGCCTCTTATTTCTTGACATACTTAGTGGGGAAAGTCAATATCAAAATACTTTGTTCCCTTGGATTCAGATATAAAGTTTAGTGTTTCTTCCACTGATCAGAGAGAAAATTCTTAAAGAGTCTTTGATTGGTTTTACAGAATCAAATTCAACCTCCTGGAAAGAAAGCATTGATTACTATAATATAGACTACTTAAGATGAAAGAAATAGAGTGTGAAGAGAATGAAAACTAAGAAATTTGGGGGGCTGATTACTGAATTGGTCAGGGCTCTTTGAAGTCTAATATTTACAGAAATATCTCTTGTCACCAGTCTCCATCAAATGCGAGGCTCCAAGATTTGCTGTCACCACAAAAGCTAAGAGTACTGAAGAAAATGAATATGGTCTAGCCAGTGTCAAGCTGTAGCCAGCCAATGGAGATTTTGTCATACTCACTGATAAAGTTAGATTGAGGTAGACTTGCTCAGTCCCAGAGCCTGAGCGCCCCAAGTGATGGAGTGCTTTGGCCACAGCCTCCTCTCTCAGGACCCCATCAAATTCCTCCTGTAAAAAACCCAGAAAGGTAGACAAAGAAAAGATTCTCATTAGAAAAGAAACAATCTATCTTGTCATATCCAGCACTTATTTAGTATATTTTATACCCAGGAGCTGAGCTCTCCAAAATTTACCAACCCCCAAAAAAATTCTGTGTTGATAACATATACATATTACATATAATTAAATAACTATCTGCCAAATCAATGTTTTCATTGCCACTGTTTTTTTCAGGTGGTCACTTGCATTAGGCATTCAAAGTTGAGTGAACATTGTAGCAGTAGAAGCAGCAGTATCAGTGGTGGTATTGATTGAGGGGTTCTCTATTCCAGACACTGTACTAACAGCTCTCAATGAATGAACTCATTGAATCCTTTGGACAACATGGAGATAGTTACTCTTATCTCCACTTTACAGGCAAAAGAATTAACGTTTGGAGGTTAACTTGCCTGAAACCAAACAGATAGTATGTGACAGAGCTGGAATGAAAATCCCAATCTGTCCAGTCCCAGGGCAATTCTCCCAAACTGCCCTAACCACTGCATTTGACTGCTTGCCCACACCCCAAAGGATGGTTACATCAAATTAAGGCAATTATCTCTCTAAATCTGGTATTCTTGCCAGATTGGTAGAGAAAACAGGTCCTTCAGTTCACTTCCTATTAGTCAATGTTGCTAGATTTATAAAATGTATAAGATTTTTAAAAAGGTGATGATCATTTCCATAAGGAGGTTGGCCCTTGGTCTATAGACATCACAAGAACCAAGGGCACCCTGACAAGCCCTTCCTCCAACAATGACAGACAAAAGAGATAACAGGTGGGTCAGTATTATGTTTGTGCTGCCTTCAACTCCATAATGACCAGCACATTAACACTGACATCAACATGAGAACACAAAACATAAGTGATCACATCAGTCACACCGACATAACTAGCCATGACTAGCATATAGATAACCATGGCAAAATACCCTTTTTCTAAGTCCTCTATATGAATTCAGGAACCAACAATGCAGCTCTGGCTGTAGGTACTGATGACATACGCATGTAGGCTTGTGCTATGATAAAGAGCTTCTTGCCGGGCGCGGTGGCTCACGCCTGTAATCCCAGCACTTTGGGAGGCCAAGGTGGGCGGTTCGCAAGGTCAGGAGATCGAGACCATCCTGGCTAACACGGTGAAACCCCGTCTCTACTAAAAATACAAAAAAATTAGCCGGATGTGGTGGCGGGCGCCTGGAGTCCCAGCTACTCAGGAGGCTGAGGCAGGAGAATGGCGTGAACCCAGGAGGCAGAGCTTGCAGTGAGCCAAGATTGTGCCACCACACTCCAGCCTGGTTCAGGGAAGTAAATACCACCTGCATGGAGGCAGCACATGGCTTCAGAATTGGGCAGGCATGGCTTGAACCCCAGCCCTGCCATTTTGGATGTGTGACTTTGGGGAGGTAAAGTTTTCACTGAGCCTGGTAGTTTTCAGCTATAAATAGGAAATGTTATCACCTTTGAAGAAGTTCAGGACATGTCGCTGTAAAATATGCCATGTTGGTATATTGATTATTTTGAGCTGAAGGCACTTGAAAAACAGCAAACACAGGGAAAGGCTCTTTCTGAACTCCCTTTATCTGCCTCAAGGCAGATCCTCCAAAAGAAACTCAGTTGTCCTAAATTTGCCCCCCTCCGGTGGTTTCATCAAACAAGGAAGAATGACTTTTACCCACCCAGGGGAGGAGACCAGAAGTCAATGTCACACTAAGACAGACTTTGTCACAAACTCTCATACCCCGCATCTGTTTTTCTAAGGGACTATTCATTCCCTAAAAAGCATTTACTTTCCCCTAAGTGGCCTGCATCCCTCCTCCCCTTCCTCTATTGAGATGGTACATAACATCTCAAATCTCACTGCTTTTTTGATTATTCACTTCTGTTTTTTCCTGCAATGTCCCCCACAAATATTACAAATTTATTCAAAATTAATACATGTATAATACCTTTTCTCCTGTTAATCCACCTGTTGTCTGTTTATTTTATAGACCCAGCTATAAAAGCTAGGAGAGTAGAGGGAAAGTCATTCCTTCCCAACACCTTCTTTTAATATTTTGGAGAAAGAAAAAAAAATGGACATAAAACTCACAGCACAGTATGTGCAACGTAGTGTTCCCAATAGATGACGATTTCTGTTACTACTAATTGATGAAGTCAGAAATTCCACATCGTAATGTTTCACTCACCTATGCCAATCAGGCTGTTCACAAAATAGGCAAAACACATTTACTTTTCTAAATAAAGTTCTAATTTATTATACAAGGCCTGGGAAGGAATGTTACCTTCCCTCCAAACTTTCCACCTAGCCCTTTAAAGTTCATCTGGCCCCCTCCATTTCCTGGAACTATGAAGACACTGCATCCTCACTTACTCACTTAGAGCAGGTGGATGCTTATTTTTCAACTTAGCCATTGACATGGAGATGAGCCACGCTGTCCCCATTTTTCCTTGGGGAAGGCAGCACTCTGCACAATAACCTCCTCACACCTCCTGATGTTCCTGACATTTGGCAGTATCATGTCTCTCCTTCCGATCTTTGGTCATTTTCAAGCTCCTGTTGTTATCCTGAGTGGCCTCAGAATCCCTATGGGTGGCCATCCAACACCCTATTGCCAGCACATGCACACATGCACAATTCTTTACTGCCGCAGCTCCAGACAGCTTACTTTCACGGCCATGCCCTGGACCTAGTCATCATGCTAAACTGCTCCACCCTGGAAACCTCAGACCCCAGTGTTTCTCTCTAATCCCACAATTGCTTATCCTTCAACCTACCTAGCACCTGTTGAACTTGTTCACTGACCACAACAAATCTCCAGTCTGTTCACAGATAGACACCTTTCTCAGAGTCTATCTGTTCCCTTCTGACTATACTCCCTTCCCTACTGGGTAGCCTATGGGCAATTTCTTTTTTTCTTTTTCTTTTTTTTTTAGGCATGGTCTCGCTCTGTCACCTGGGCTGAAATGTAGTGTTGTGATCTCAGTTCACTGAAGCCTCAACCTCCCGGGCTCAAGTCATCCTCCCACCTCAGCCTCCAAAATAGCTGGGTCTACAGGCATGTGCCACCATGCCTGGCTAATTTTTATAATTTTTTTATAGAGGCAGGGTTTCACCATGTTGCCCAGGCTGATCTCAAACTCCTGGGCTCAAGTGATCCGCCCACTTCCGCCTCCCAAAGTGCTGGGACTACAGGCATGAGCCACCGCACCTGGACCCATACGCAATTTCAATTTCTCTCTATCTTCAAGTCTCTGATCCTTGTTCCCTGGTTGCAACTACCCCATCCATATACAAATCAGAATCAAGTTCATAATCAACTGCTGCATTGAGGCAGGACTGTGTCATGTTCCTCATTCATCAGGGGGAAAAAAATCTCTATAGAATACCTAGCACATGCCAGCCACTGTGCTTGGCTCAATGGATAAGACATGGTGAATCAGTGAACAGATATGGTGCCTGTCCATAAGGGATTTACAGTTCAGTCTGGGAGACAGACAAGTACGCAAGCAAATTTTGGATTTGATAAAGATTATAATAGAGATAGGCAGTGTCTGCTGACTATGAGCAGGGCCCCCATTGTATGTCAGTACCAGGGTGGAGTAAGAAGTTAGCAAAATCTTCCTAGGAGAGACAGCAATTCAATTGAGACCCAAATTGTGAGTTACTCTGGCAAAAGGGAAGATAAGGCTGAAAAGCAAGCCAAGAAATAGTATTACAGGCAAAAGGGGCAGCATGTACAAAATCCCAAAAGCAAAAGCAAGCATGGCCCATTGAGAGAACGATGAAGGTTCAGGATGGCTGAAGCCTAAGTGTGAAGGAGGCAAACAGTGCCTCGCATGTGGTGAGTGCTCAAACATGGGTTGAATGAATGAATGCACCTCATCTGCCCCCTAGCTGCTGAGTGGGCTAGAGAAGACCCCACAACTCTGCATCCTGGAGTCCCTGTAAAGCTGACTTTCAGCTGGGCCTCTTTGCTATGAACGGTCTCCCGTTCTTCATCAGCCCCTTTTCAACTCCCCTTCTTGACTAGCCCATCTCTCCATAACTCTCAAGCTGTGCAGTGCCTCAACTCCTTTGCCGTCTTCTCCACTAATGCCCTTCTCTTCTACTTCTGAGGCAAAACGGAAGCTCTCAGATGTTAACCCTCTCAGCTTCCTAGGAGCACCTGTCCTAATGTTTCTCACTCAGGTCTTAGAGGAAGACTGTGCCTTCTCTCTACTCAGGGTCCCACACCCTTCTCTTTCCTCAGGGACCATTTTTGCCCCCTTTTGTCTGTGTTTTGAACCCACCATTCTCTGTGGTTCCCACTCCAGCTATACAAGTGTGTTAGACTCTTCTGTCCTACAGAGGCTTTCTTCAGTCCTGCAGGTTCCTTTAGCTATAAACTAGAGTTTCCTTTAATAACCAATCTACTCTAGAGTTGTTTGCTTTTTATGCCTTAGTTCTCCTTTCCTCGCCTCCCAACTACTCTTCAACTTCACTTAGCCTCCTGACTTCACCACCTCATAAAAACCACGTGGGCCAATGTCTCCAATGACTCTCAAACAGGCAAAATGAATGAGCACTTTTTAGGCCTCTTCCCACTTAACCTATTTGTAGCGTAACCCATTCCCATCTTCTTTTTTTTTTATTTTTTTGAGACAAGGTCTTTCTCTGTCACTCAGGCTGGAATGCAGTGGCATGATCATAGCTCACTGCAGCCTTGAACTCCTGGACTCGAGTGATCCTTTTGCCTCAGCCTCACAAGTAGCTGGGACTACAGGTGCATACCACTATGGCTGGTCGGCTAATTTTTTAAAAATTCTTTTATAGAGACAGGGTCTTATTATGTTACCTAGACTGGTCTCAAACTCTGGCCTCAAGCCATCTTCCTGTCTCTGGCTCCCAAAGTGTCAGGATTTCAGGCGTGAGCCACTGCACCCTGTCATCACGTTCTTGAGACTCTTGGCTTCCCTATCATATAGGTCTTCTTTCTCCTTATACTTCTCTTACCAGTCCTTCCCAGTTTTCTTCCCTGCTTCTTCATCTGCCTACCACTTAAATACCCTTGGTATCTGTACCTTTATGGGTCTATTCGTGGCCTTTTCCCTCCCATCCCTTCCTGGATGATTTCCCAGAATCTAGTGGTGATGATTCCCATGTCTCCTACTCTGAGATCTCTCCCCTGATTTCCAGTCATATTGTTCATATATCCAACTCCTTAACGCATAGCTCCATCTGTCCCTGATTCCTATGATAGATAACAGCTCTTCTCACTCCCCCTGGATTTTGCTAGAATCTTCTCACTGATCTCCTTGCCTCCAGTATTACAATCCTCCAATCTAATACCACCTGGCCAACAGAGCAGTTCCCCACTGTGTAGAGAACAAAGTCCATATTCCTACAACATCACAGTGCCCTCTACAATCTCATCCCTACCTAGGAGGCTTCTTCTGTTCTCACCTGTAACTCATCGGTAGGAAAAGCTGCCACCTGCCTGCCCACACACCACCTCTCCACCCAGGCAAGAGTCTCCTTCCCCTGAAGTCTTCCATGTCCCTGCAATCCAGCTGTCAGCTGTACTCATCTCTGTAAGACATACTACAGGTATGCTGAATTGCTATGATTTACTCGCATTCTTATCTCACTTTGAGAGCAGGGACCATGTATGTCTTCAATCATGTTCTCATCTTTTTCTACCATTACTGTTATTATTTATTGCAGCTATAATTTTTTGAAAGTCTATTCTGTATCAGACACTATAGTAAGAACTTTAAATATAGAGTTTCTTATTAAATTTCATGTTCATAACTATCACAGGAGTAGGTATTATTACCCATATAAAGGGACTGAAAAGAAGTGTTTTTCATGCATCAATTTTTGGGCCCAGAAACTTCTGCTCTGTACAGTCAACGAGTGCTTTCTGCATAGCAATCATTCAGTAAATGCTTGTTCAATGAAGGCTAAATTAATCAAATCACTTAATGGGCTGTAGTTAGCAGACGAAAACATGTAAGTTACTATTTGTATTATTAACTGTATCAAAATATATGATAAGCATTTAACATATAGGATCTCATTTAATTCTCACAATTCTTTAAGTATTATTATAATTCCCACATGAAGAATGAGAGAGGTTAAGTAATTTGCTCAACATCTCACAACTGACAAAAGGCTAAATCAAGCCTCAAACACAAATCTTTGATTCCAACAGCAGTGTTTTGAACAGGTGGTCCATACTGCCTCCCTCACTTCATAAGGGCTTCCGAGGTTTAAGGCAAATTGCATTAAAGGCACTCAGTAATCATTGTGACCATGATAGCATTGCAAAGGTGCTAAACTGGGAATAATAAACTGAGAATAACAGGCTAAGATGGGAATAATAAATCACTGAACATGAATTTCCAAATGTTTCTTTTTAAAACTTTGTTTCAGTTTATTTAGCATATTAATATGTGTGCAATACTAAAAAGCCAAAATAGAATAAAAACACAAAATTAATATTTAGAATGTAAATGGAAGAAATAATGAACCTGTTCCACATGTGTCTTACAAGCCAAAAAGGAATAGCTAGTTCTTGACAACCCCTTCTATGGTTTGTTAATGGCATACTGAAGACAGATTAACAATGGTGCTAATGAACCCCATAGCCAAAGAGCTATGTGTTAATTAGAATAACAAAGTACACTGGTGGTTCATTTGTGAATTCCTCTGGGGGGGGGGGGAAGCTGGTGGAAACCATACAAACATCTCAAAGTTGCAAAAACACTGCTATAGTTTTGCAACAGTCACTGTTAAAGATAGCAAAGTAAACCAACAAAAGACAAAAGAAGTAATAACGAATAGAATAATTAATAGCTTTCTATGGTCAACTTTAAGCAAAACTAATGGGAACTAGCTCATGTAGAAGGAAGTAAAAAAAGAGGAAAGACAAAATGGGGTATGAGGAAGGGAAAAAAGAAACAGGCCAAATGTTGAAAGTGAACAGAAGGACATTACAAAGGAAGGGGAACCCAAGTGGTTAATAGAAGAATCAGAGTAACAGAAGACACCGCAGGTTAGAGAAGGGAGAATAAGAAGAAATAAGACAAATGAGGAAAGGAGTTGGTGAAAGGGAACAGGCATAACACAGAAATATGTTTGGCCTCAAAGAGAAAAGGTGACTGTGAATAGATGCAAAGATGTAAAGAGGGGAAACCAGAAGAATATCACAGAATGAGAGCACTGAAAATATCCTAGGCTGGGCACAGTGGCTCATGCCTGTAACACCAGCACTTAGGGAGGTTGAGGTGGCCTGATTTCTTGAGCCCAGGAGATCAAGACCAGCCTAGGCAATATGGCAAGGCCCCCGTCTCTTACAAAAATTACAAGAACTAGCCAGGTGCTTTGGTGTACACCTGTAGTCCCTGCTACTCAGGAGGCTGAGGCAGGAGGATTACTTGAGACTAGGAGGTCGAGACTGCAGTGAGTCATGACTGTACCACTGTATTCCAGTCTGGGTGACAGAGTAAGACCCTGTGAAAGAAAGAGAAGAGGAGAGAAGAGGAGAGGAGGGGAGGGGAGGGACGGAAGGGAGGGGAGGGGAGGGAGGGGTGGGGAGGGGAGGGAGGGAAGGGGAGGGGAGGGGAGGAAAGGGGGGAAGGAAGGCAGGAAGGAGAGAGTAGAGGGGAGGGAGGAAGGGAGGGAGGGAAGAAAGAAAGAAGGAAAGAAAGAAAGAGAGACAGAGTGGAGGGAGGGAGGAAGGGAGGGAGGGAGAGAGAGAGGGAGGGAGGGAAAGGAAGGAAGGGAGAGAGGGGGAGGCAGGAAGGAAGGGAGGGAGGAAGGAAGGAAGGAAGAAAAAACGAAAGAAAGAAAGAAAGAGGAAGGAAGGGAGGGAGGGAGGGAAAGAGGGAGGGAGGGGAAGGCAGGAAGGAAGGGAGGAAGGAAGGAAGGAGAAAGAAAGAAAGAGAAAGAAAGAAAAAAGAAAAGAAAATATTCTACTTCTCTATATTATATTTACTTCTGAAAAGAATTTCACGCAATTTATACTGCCAAGGAAAAGGAAAGGGGAGAAAAAACCTAAAGAAAACTTTGAAATTAAGAAAAACTATTGAATCTAAGTTTCCTGGCAGCCAAGACAAAGAGAAGAACCTAACAGTGTATTGAAAGAAAGGAAGCAAATTAGGCCGGGTGCGGTGGCTCACGCCTGTAATCCCAGCACTCTGGGAGGCAGAGGTGGGCGGATGGCGAGGTCAGGAGATCGAAGACCATCCTGACTAACACGGTGAAACCTCGTCTCTACTAAAAATATAAAAAATTAGCTGGGCATGGTGGCACACACCTGTAGTCCCAGCTACTCGGGAGGCTGATGCAGGACAATCGCTTGAACCCAGGAGGTGGAGCTTGCAATGAGCGGAGACCGCACCACTGCACTCCCGCCTGGTGACAAAGCCAGACTCCATCTCAAAAACATAAACAAAATAGAAAGGAAGCAAATTAAATTACGCTTTTGAAAGAAAGCAATTTATTAGAAGCCAAGAGAAAAGAAGTGATGTGATGAGAAGTGGAAAAGGACAAGAAGACAACAATGGACTAAGAAAGGAAAAGGACCATAATAAGCATAAGAAAGAAGAGGAATTGTGTGGTGGTCAGAAGAGATATTGTAGAAAGGAGGGAATGGCAGTCATGTGAAACGCGAAGCCGCCATCCCAGTCAATATGGGTGGGATGATGGGAACATTCCCCACATCCTAAAATATTCCCACAATGAGCTGGCTGTTCGAACATTATAAGGCTCTTTTCTGGTGTGTGTGCATGTTGCTTGTATAAGGCATATGCCCCCGACAGAAGTAATGTATTCAACTTTTAAGTCACTTAGTCTTTGAAGAAGCACTTTCAAAAGCGGATTTTTTTTTTTTTTTTTTTCCTGGAGGGAGGCTGACGGGACTAGAACTGAGGAAGAGTGTGGAAGTATGTCATAGCCATGGGCAACAGGTGCTGGCAATGTCAGAGATGAACTCTGCCTATTCACAATACTGTCAAAGTATAATTTTGAAAAAGCTAAAGCCATAATTCCCAGACAATTATCTAGACACTCTTACAAAGTGACGCTGTGTTAACTCGACTCATAAGAAATCAAATGTGTTAATGAAAAAAGAAAGGAACTATTTAGAGCTATTTCAGGCAGGGGGTGAGAAAACGGGGTAAAAGACAGGGGAAGAAAAGAGGGGGAAGAGGCGTTCCTGGAGGCGAGAGAGCCTGAGAAGGTGTGGGAAGCTTCGGGCTGGTGGGGGTGCATCGGGGAGCTGCCGCTGAAGTAACAGGGCTGGACGAGGGAGCCAGGGAGTACGGGGTGGGGGGGAAGACACACCTCCAAATTCAGCATTTCGGACTCTGAGGACTCCTCGGATCCCGCCTCGCCCTCGCCCTGGTCCTCATCTCCGTCCGAGTCCAGCTCCTGATAGCGGTGCATGAGCTGCTGGAGCAGGTAGGAGGAGGCTATGTTAGAGCTGCCTTTCGTCTTCTGCCCCATGGGAAAAGACCAGCAAGGCTGACGCTCTTTTTCTGCGCGAAACTGTAACGATCGGGCTCCAGTTCGGGATCTGCCCAAGCCTCTCAGGAGAGAGGCAGCTCTGGTCCTCAGGAGAGCCCTCTCGGAGGTCGCCATCTTGTTTAGCGGGGTTGCCTAGGAGACTGACCCCAGGCAAGGGGAACCGCGGAGGATTCTGGGGCCTGTAGTCTCCTCCGCGCGTACTCGCCTTCTGCAGGCGGGGCAGTGGGCGCTCCACTTGACTTTTCTTTTTCTCAGTCTCTTCTGTTATTTTTCTCTCTTTGGTCTGTTCTGTTCGCTTATCTTTCCTGTTTTCACCTCTTTTCGCTACACCCCCTTTCTTTGTCTCCAGCTGTTTCCTCCCTACCCTGAGACCCCTCTTAGAGCTTTGTCATCCCACGATAGGATCGCAGGTGCGCCACCGTTGCCGCTTCATTCCCAAAGGGCTCTTTCCGCAGAGTCGTACTTTAGAAGTGTCTAATGTCTCTAAAGCAGTCTGTAGGAAAGCTAGTACCACTGAAATTTATGCAAAGCGCGACGCTAGGAGATGAGGGTGCATATAAGTGAAATAGAAGGCATGGTTCCTGTCCTTATGATTTAATTGCAGATAATAAAGAGAAACTACCAGACGACGCCTGAGAGCTGATTTCCAATTAATTTACATTCCCCACCCCCACCCCCCAATGATAAGCCTTGTCCTTGGGGAGAAAAACTGGCAGTGGTCTTACAATCCAAACAGAGAGAGAAAAAACTGCTGTCAAATTGACACTGTATCTGAAAGCGTCTGAAAAGCTATTAGCATCCCATAAATAATTATATTAGTCAAGTGACCTGCATTGGCAATTATTTTAATCTTGTTGCACAGGCTCTCTTTGCAGTTAAAAAAAATACTCTTTCAAGATAACAAAGCACGATTTTATGCTAGTGTGATTTTATGTGACCCAAATCCCATAGCCTTAAGCTCCACAACGTCGACACTCTATAGAAAAGCAGAATGAAAATTATAGTAACTATTATTGCCATAGTGATGACAATAGAGATCCTTGCAGGGAAGTAGCCCTCATCCTTCTGGCCTTACAGGGCCTTTTCTGCACGCTTCAATGACAGCAGTTGCAAATACAAAATGATCCTGTCAATGGCTGTCAGGGGAGAAGGAGAAAAAATCCTTATGGACACCATCCATTGACGATTATCTTTCTCAGTGCTTGAGGGACCGTTAAAACTGACATAAAGCTTTCAGAATTACCTTCCTTCATTATCTTGCTAGTCATAAATGTAAAGGCCACAAGCAAAATATCTCTTTCTGCCAGGCTCATCTTGCTTTTTGCTTATTTCTTTTTCCAATAAGTAGAGATTCCTCCAAGGGAATTTTCCCCACCCTTACCCTCGTAGGGCCTGGCTTCGGCTAAGTGACATAGGGAAGAATCAGGCAGAAAGTGTAAAAATGCAAATCTCGATCGTTTTTCTTTTTTTTTTTTTTTTTTTTGAGACGGAGTCTCGCTCTGTCGCCCAGGCTGGAGTGCAGTGGCGCGATCTCGGCTCACTGCAAGCTCCGCCTCCCGGGTTCACGCCATTCTCCTGCCTCAGCCTCCCGAGTAGCTGGGACTACAGGCGCCCGCTACCACGCCCGGCTAATTTTTTGTATTTTTAGTAGAGACGGGGTTTCACCGTGTTAGCCAGGATGGTCTCGCTCTCCTGACCTCGTGATCCGCCCGCCCCGGCCTCCCAAAGTGGTTTTTCTTTTTTTCAGTAACTTAATCAGCATTTCTAGTGAGTTTCGCCTATGTCAGTCTATCGAGGAGAGTGTCTGAAGGCAGTCAAAGAATAATTTTCAAAAAGTTAAAAACAGGATTCTTATATAAAAAATAGAATGAAGCACATGTGAAAGATTCTATTAGACTCACTAATTAATGAAGAAATCAGGAAGATAGTAATCAGGCATTCAGAGTCCATGAGAAAAGACATTCTGAAATAAGTTTGCCAAGTTATAGACAAAACTGGTTAATGTCCTACAGGACAATCAAACTATAGCCTTTGAGGTTAGTCTAAGAATTCTGCCTCCTTTCATCTTCACATCTACCCTCTGTCCATCCTCATTAGACAGATGAGAACACTGAGCCTCAGAGAGGTTAAATAACTGGCCAAAAGCCAAGTGGTGGTACTGAAATCCAAACCTAGAATGATCAACTCCACAGTTCACCTTCAACTACCCCTTTTGCGTGTGAAAAAAAATGAGGCAAGATAAAGCTACGCAATAAGAGGTCTCAGAAGAAAAAATACATCAGCCAAGGTTTTTTAAGTATCAATAAAAGAATTCATTCAGAGAAAAACCTTTTCATATAGAACCATAAAATATAAAAAACAGAAGGAACCTACAAGTCCATCTTATCCCAATTCTTTTTATAGAAGAAATTATAGCCTTCAGGGGCTAATGACTTGCCCCAAATTGCCTGGCTTGTTAGCAGCAGAGCAGGAATTAGTGTCTAGACCTCTTGTTGCTCAATTTTTACTCTTGCTAGTTCACCAAACTGCTCACTAGGCTGGACTTTTACTAACAGAATCCCTACTTTGGGATTCTGGGCATCAAAGTACAAGGCGTTGTATCCATAAAACAAGTTATTTTATCAGGCAGAGAAGACAGAATTAGACAGAGGGAGAGAAGGTGAGGGGAGGAAATATTTATTCTAAACTCTTCTCATTAGTACAAAAACATCAATAATCACTTCCATTTATTCATTGCTTACTGTAAACCAGGCCTGTTCTAAGGGCTATACACATATCTCGTTTAATTATTCCAACGGCCCTCTGAAAGAGGATTGACATCCCTATTTTCAAAGGAGAAGAAAGAGGCCCAAAGATGGTAAGCAATTGCCCAGTTACAAAATTTGTATCTAAAGTGGCATTACAACTCAGGTCTTCCTGGCTCCAAAGCCCCTGAAATTAACCATTAATAGTCTTCTTTCTCCAAAAGTATGAATTAGTTTCTCAGGAACTTATCACAAGGCATAGAGAACCTGACCCTGGTGAGATACTAAAAATGGGAGAGAGTGAGTGAGTGAGAATGGGGTGTGTGTGCATGTGCGTGTGTGTGTATGTGTTGGAGCAGGCAGGAAGATCTCAGGTTTCTGGGACCAGGGAATGAAGTGAGGTGGGCAAAGACAGTGGGATATGATCATTCCGGAGAGCAGGGTCTTTTTGTGATAGCCCTGGATCCTTGCCACCTTGGGTGAGAGGAAGGAGAAAGTAGAGGAGTGACATGATGATACTCTCAGAGTGCCTTTTTTGAGAGGGCATCCAGGATAGGCTGTCCTGGAGGGAGAACCAAAGGGGTAAAGAGCTTAAGTCAGAAAGAGGGTGCTGACTCCAGCTTCAGCTTCATGGTATCTTTGTGTTGGTGTTATTATTAACTCTTACTTACCTCAAACTCTTCTGTGTGCAACTGAGTTGTTCTCCCAGTCTGGAGCCAGCACCTAACCTCATTCAGAATGGAAAGAAGAGGCCAGGTGCACCTTCTGTTGCCTATATTTGGAAAGAATGCCTTTCCAGGAGTGTGGACCTTGGGCAAGGCAAAGAATGTGTGTCCCCTTCCCCTGTACATACTTACACCCCTTTTGTGCAAGGACAAACAGTGCTTCTCAGACAAGTTGAGATGGCAGCACTTCAAACTCACCGTGATTTTTTATGGAACACTGTAATTTTTACAGAACACCTTGAAATGAAGAGAGAAGATAGACAATAGAAGGCACCATTAGTATTAACATAATAATAACAATTAAAACACAACCATATTAATATTTATGAGTAATTGCTAAGTGCCAGACAACTAAGTGCTTTACATATATAAACTCAATCCCTATAGGTACCCTACAAGTTACAGATTAATATTATTATTCCCATATTATAGATGAGGAAGGATAGGCATAGAGAGGTCATGTAACCCTTCAATCCACTGTGTCAAACAGTGACAAAGCTAGGACTCAGATACAAAGTCTGGTTTCCCAGCCTACATCCTTAATCAAAACACTGTGCTTCTACTCAACTGCTTCAGTAAAACTTTATGGAGGAGAACCTTAAATTTGAGATAATTTGATGAATTAACATTATCCTTTGATGGTTTCTTATCCCTTTCTAGGAAGAAGAAAAGAAAGCTTATTATCTCATAAAAGCCTAATGGGTATATAGACATTAAGCAAACAATTACACTAATAATCATGTCGTTTTATTTGTCATATGGGCTAAGGAGGGAAAACCTAGGAGCCATGAGAATTTCACCTGTAGCCCTGACCCAGTACCATGGAGAGGGGCCCTTTAAAATGTTAGACAAACACTTTGAGCCTCATGATTATAAAGTTGGGAAAAGCCAACAACAGATGAGGAATGCATGTGTTACCTTTGCAGGAATCAGCTACATTCAGATTATAATTGTCATAAGTAATTGGGCTAATAAGATCCGATAAAGTCTAGGCAGAAGTTGACTGAGCCAAATAATATCCATCCTAGCAGATATCAAAGGTGCTTTGTAGGTTGCCCCACTAATAGATAACCCAGATCAGATACTGGTGTTGAGATCAAAGATAAAAATTGCAGTCCAGGAAAAGATAATCTTAAAAGCTCAGAGACTAAGGCAAAAAAAGTTAAGCCAATGAAGAATTGTTGCAAAGGAATTGCAAGCATCACGTTGTGAATAAAATCTGAACACAGGACTAGATAAGGATTACTGAGAATTTCTAGCTCAGATTATCTTAGCAGACAGAAAACTGGATATCATCAGGGAAGTCACAAAGACTTAAGATCAAAATGATTAAAATGATGACCAGAAGGGACTGTGTGAAATCTTTTGGGGATGAAGATATGAGGACTTGAGAATGTTACCCTAGGACAGTCAGGAGATCAAAGAAGACGAGGAGAAATTCAGGAAGAAATAATCACAGGAGGTGGTAAAAGGTACAAGTGCTTGAGAGACACAAGTTTTAATAACTAAAGGGTCCCAGTGGCACTGAATAATAAAAACAGGAAGAAGAGCAAATAGAAGACAGTTACATGAAAGGTTCAAGAAATCCTGCCACAGTGCATACACTTCAAAAATAGCAACACAATCTAGTTAAGAACAAGTGTGGAACAGTGCTGCTTTATGGAAAAGCAAGTCATGCAGGCTCTGATATAAAGCACAGGTAACACCCAAGTCATCATTATCAGCAACTGGTTATACAACCTATAAGGCCCTACTACACAGAGAGGGCTGTTTCAGGCACTGGGGATACAGAAAAAGTTAAAGTTGTAGTCTCTTTATTCAAGGGATTTGCATTATTGTTGGAGCAGCAGGACACCTACATCAAACATATTAAGTTAAAAGTATACAAGAGGAGATAGGTTCTGCCTGATTGGTCTGGAGTTGTGTTACAGGTCTTCAGGGAGGAACTGAATTGGAGGCAGCAGTGGCATCACTTTCCCCTTACCACTGTTGGCAGACGGGGCTCAATCCTGGACTCAGATAATGCAATGCTCGAGCCAGTCCAGGGGAGTTAAGAGAAAAATCTCAGTTGGGGTCAAATCTGTCCCAAGAGAGAGTTGCTAAAGAGCTTTAGGGAAGAGGTAAGACTTGAGTGAGACCCTGAAAGAGGAGAAGGAAGTGGGCACTCTGGGAAGGGGAAGTGGTAGAGATAAAGGGGAGGAGGCTGGCTGTGCTGTGCTGTAGGAAGTCTCTGGGAAGTCTGTCCTAGTTTGCAAACACAAACAGCTTTGAGTAGCCTTGGTATTTCTGTATTAATAATATAGAAATAAACTCTGCTCACAGCAAGTCGGAAGAAGGAGGAGGGTATTGCCTTCCTGTAAGAAAAGGGACATGAGTGAGGAAAAGGAGGAAATTGTGTCAAATGTCTAAGCAGAATCTAGAGATGAGAGTTAAAACAAAGGAAGAAAAGATGGGCACAGGTAGAGGTCCTGACAACAGTGAGCGGAAGGCAGGAGCCTTATAACTCCTGGTCTTACGTGACATCTATTACACACAGATGATGCTCTCCCATGAGGTTAATAGGAGGTTCTGTTTTCTGTGATCTACTGTACCTTTTAGGCACCTTACAGAACTTTTATTTATACCTTGTATCCAAACTTCCTCAGTTACTTTTCTCCCACAAGGATATCCCTCTTTCTTGCCAAAAATCTCCTGCACATAGTGGTGTGCTTTATAAACATGGATGACTGCTCACAAAGTTATCTTTATGGTGATTATGCCAAATGCATCTGCTACTTGGTTCCTCCTAAGTGAAATGACATCTGTGCAGATAAGTGCTTGGAATGAAATGATCAGGATGCTTGTCTCAGAGAGGAGTGCTGAGACTCTGAAGCCTCCAAAGAATTAAAAAGACACAAACTAGCATTCAGAGGGGCTAACAGGACTCATTTAGAGTCAGACCTGAGATCTAATCCAAACCAGCCCGAATGCCTACCTTCCAAGGTTACAGGAAAAGTTAAAGGAGATGAGTGTAAAGTTGGCTGATTCAGTGTGCTAGATTGCAAACACAGCTACCAATTCTTCCCATCCCTGCATGCACAACCCTTGCAAAGTGACTTTTGTAGCTCCTCCAAGTTAAGAGGTGGAGTCTATTTCTCTACCCCTTGAATCTGGGCTTGACCGTGAAACTTGCTTTGGCCAAAAGAACAGTAGCGAATGTGGTACAAATGCTTGGCCATTGGCTGCTCGTTCTTGTTGCTCTTGGGAATGCTGGGACCACCCTGTGAAGAAGCTTAGGCTAGCCTGCGGGATAACAAGAGATGCTGGGACCAGCTTCCCTTATGGGCCTGGCTAACCACATCCCATTGCCAGACATGAGAATGAAGCCAGCCCGGATTATTTGGTACCAGCTGCCTTGCCAAATGATTTATGAGGGAGCACAGTAAAAATCAGTTGAGATGACTCAGGCCAGAAGAACTGCTCAGGCAACCCCACGAATCATAAGCCAAATCAATGGCTATTTTAAGCCACTAATGTTTGGGATAGTTTGAAAGGCAGTAAAAATTAACTTATACATATGGTATCTGGATGTCTATAGGATGTGAGATGCCTACAGTCTCACTCAATGGTTAGTAAAAGACTTTATTTTCTGACTCTCACTGAAGTGATTAGTTTCATATTAGTCTTTGCTACTGTAAGTACTATCTTCCATAATAAACAAATCTTTGCTGCTATAAGGCCAAAAAAGAAGCTGCAAATCTTTCCCACAATGCAAGTGTATTTGTAGTCAGGGTTCTCCAGAGAAACAGAACTAATAGGATGGAAGATGTTTCTTCAGAGAAACAGAATGAATACAATAGGCTATAGATCCATACATACATATTACAAGGAATTGGCTCATGCAATTATGAAGATTAAGAATTCCATGATCTTCAGTCGGCAAGCTGAAGACTCAGGAGAGCAGGTGGTACAATTCCAGTACAAGTCCAAGTGCCTGAGAAGCAGGAGAGCTGGTGGTGTAAGTGCCAGTCTGAAGGCAGGGGAAGACCAAAGTCTTAGCTCAAGAAGCCAGGCAAAGTTTCCTCTTACTCAGCTTTTTTGTTCTATTCAGGTCTTTAATTAATTGCATGAAACACACCACATTAGGAAGGGCAATCTGCTTTCCTCAGTCTACCCACTTGTATGTTAATCTCATCTAGAAACACCCTCACAGACACACCCAGAATAAAACTTGACCTAATATCTAGGCACCCCATGTCTCACTCAAATTGACAAAATTATCACAGCGTGTAACACTTAGGGAAGTTTCTAAGTAAAGAACAGTGTCTTAGTCTTTTTTCTGTTGCTATAACAGAATACCAAAGACAGTAATTTATAAGGAAAATAATTTTATTTCTTACCGTGCTGGAGGCTGGGAAGTTCAAGAGCATGGTGCCACATCTGGCAAGGGTAATCTCACAGTAAAAGGGCAGAAGGCAGAAGGGCAAGAGAGAGTCAGAGGGCACAAGACAAGACATGAAAAGGGGGCCAAAATCCCAAAATAACTAACCCACTCCCATGATAAAAACATCATCCATTCATGAGGACAGAGTCCTTATGGCCCAACCACCTCCCAAAGGCCCCCACCTCTTGACACCCCACAATGGCAACTGAGTTTCAACATGTGTTTTGGAGGAGATGTTTAAACCACAGCAAACAGAAAGTCCTTTGGAATCTCTTAAAGAGAAAGAACAAACCTTACATCTCTGAGTGTTGCTGTACCAGCCTTCCCATCCAGCCAAGCAGGCCTCATGGATGCTCTGCTTCAACATCCTCCGCCATTTCATGCACCACTGTCTGGAAAGTGTTCCAGCCTTCCTTAAGGTTTGTGATGATGCAAACCATTAAGAATACTACAAAGTCTAGGGTGTACATAGAAATAATATGATAATCATGAAAAAGTACAAGTAGACAAGGAGTGGCTTTGAAATTCTTTCCCCTTCAAATCAAACATTAAATGTTTAAAATGGAAAGAGTATGATAAAGAGAGAATCACACCCTGAGTCATTTCACACAGGGCCTTCTGGTGAGACACAGGACATCAGCAACATTTCTGGAGGACAAAAATCCATTGCCATGTGAAGAATAAGACAGAAGCCTGACCTGTGCCCCTCATTGCCTTTAGATATCAAAGTGAGGGATTTTGTGTTTGAATTATTTACTGGTACATATACAGTCTTGCAGACACAAACAGCTTTGAGAAGGCTTGGTATTTCCATTATAAATAAATTGAGACGTAGGGCATTTTTCAAAGTCATTCATTATTGAGGCGTCCTCAAGAAGTTCTCACTTTGTCACGTTGTGATTTTCATTCCTGAGCAAATCAAGCTACTAAAGAGTCCATCTTGACTGGAAACTCATTCAGAAAGTGATTTATGGGCTTTTACAAAATTCTTTTGAAGAAAAACCATTTTAGAGAAATTTGATTTTAACTCTTTAGGTATTGAGTTGCTCTTAATACTACAGCCTTTAAAAACATTGTGGTAAAATACACACAACATAAAATTTACCTTTTAACTATGTCTAAGTATATAGTCCACTGGCATTAAATACATTCACATTGCAGTGCAATCCACCTGTCTCCAGATCTCTTTTCATCTTCCAAAATTGAAAGTCCATTACTACTAAACGATAATTCCCTATTCCTTTCTCCCCTGTTCCCTGGCAAACACCATTCTACTTTCTGCCTTTATGAATTTGACTAGTCTAAATATCTCATATAAGTGGAATCACACGGTATGTGCCTTTTTGTTAATGGCTTATTTCACTTTGCGTAACGCCATTAAGGTTCATCTATGTTGTAGCCTCTGTCTGAATTTCCTTCCTTTTTAAGGCTGAATAGTATTTCATTGTATGGATAGACCACATTTTGCTTGTCCACTCTTCTGTCAATGGACACTTAGGTTACTTCCTCCTTTTGGCTATTATGAATAATATTGCTATAAACATGGGTGTCCAAATATCCCTTCAAGATCCTTCTTTCAATTATTTGAGGTATATACCCATAAGTCGAGCTGCTAGACCATATGGCAATACTCTAGCTTTAGAAAATGCCATATAGCTTTTCACACTGGTTGCACCATTTTACATTCTTACCAACACTGCACAAGGGTTTCCATTTTGCTACATTCTCATCAACACTTATTTTCTGTTTTTTATAGCAGCCATCCTAATGGGTGCAAGATTATTTCCCATTGTGGTTTCCATTTACATTTCCCAATTATTAATGATGTTGAGCATCTTTTCATCTTTCATGTGCTTATTTGTATATCTTCTTTGGTGTAATGTCTATTCAAGTCCTTTGCCCATTTTTAAATTGGGTTATTTGTTTTGTTGTTATTGAGTTGTAGGAGTTTTTTTTTTTTTTTTTTTTTTTTTTGAGACAGAGTCTTGCTCTGTCACCCAGGCTGGAGTACAATGGCAAGATCTCGGCTCACTGCAACCTCTGCCTCCTGGGTTCAAGCAATTCTCCTGCCTCAGCCTCCTGAGTAGCTGGGATTACAGGCATGCGCCACCATGCCCAGCTAATTTTTGTATTTTTAGTAGAGATGGGGTTTCACCATGTTGGTCAGGCTGGTCTTGAACTCCTGACCTTGTGATCTACCCACCTCAGCCTCCCAAAGTGCTGGGATTACAGGCATGAGCCACCGCACCTGGTCAGGAGTTCTTTATATATTTTGGATATTAACCTCTTATCAGATCTATGGTTGGCAAGTAGTTTTTTCTCCCATTCTATGGCTTGTGTTTTCACTTTGTTGATTGTGACTTCTGATGCAAAGAAGTTTTTAATTTTGATGTAGTCCAATTTATCTATTTTTACTTTTGTTGCCTATGCTTTTACTGTCATGTCCAAAAAGTCATTGCCAAATCCAATATCATTAAGTCTTTCCCCTCTTTTTCTTCAGCTTCACTGAGGTACAATTGACAAATAAAAATCATATATATTTAAGGTATACAACCTGATGTTTTGATATAAGTACACATTGTAAAATGATCACTACAATCAAGCTGATTAACATATCATTGCTTCATACAGTTATCATTTTCTTTCATGTGTGAGTGTGTGTGTGTGAACATTTAAGATCTACTCTATTAGCAAATTTTAGTATACAATACTGTATTGTTCATTATAGTCACTATGCTCTACACTAGATCTCCAGAACTTAGTCATTTTGCATAACTGAAAGTTTGTACCCTTTACCAAAATCTCCTTATTACCTCCTCTCTCGGGCCCCTGGGAACCACCAATCTACTCTCTGCTGCTATGAGTTTCACTTTTTTAAGATTCTACATATAAATGAGATCATGCACTATTTGCCTTTCAGTGTTTGGCTTATTTCACTTAGCATAATGTCTTCCAGGTTCATCCATGTTGTTGCAAATGACAGGATTTCTTTCCCTTTTAAGACTGAATAATATTTCATTTTATATATATCTGTTGTATATATATATATGTGTGTGTATGTGCATATATATATATATAATACACATGATTGGATATGACACAAAAGTACAGGAAACAAAAGCAAAGATGACAAGTAGCAAGATTACATCAAAATTGAAAACTTACGTGCATGAAACATCACAATCAACAATATTTTATACTCGTTAGGCATGGTGGCTCATTCCTGTAATCCCAGCACTTCGGGAGGCCAAGGCAGGCAGATCACCTGATGTCAGGAGTTTGAGGCCAGCCTGGCCAACATGGCATAATCCCATCTGTACATAAAATACACAATTATCATGTCTGTAATCCCAGCACTTTGGGAGGCCGAGGCGGGCGGATCACGAGGTCAGGAGATCGAGACCATCCTGGCTAACACGGTGAAACCCCGTCTCTACTAAAAAATACAGAAAAATTAGCTGGGTGTGGTGATGGGCGCCTATAGTCCCAGCTACTTAGGAGGCTGAGGCAGGAGAATGGCATGAACCCAGGAGGCGCAGCTTGCAGTGAGCCGAGATAGCACCACGCACTCCAGCCTGGGCAACAGAGTGAGACTCCATCTCAAAAAAAAAAAAAAAAAAAATACAACAATTAGCCGGGCGTGATGGTGCACACCTGTAGTCCCAGCTACTCAGGAGGCTGAGGCAGGAGAATTGCTTGAACCCAGAAGGTGGAGGTTGCAGTGAGCCAAGATCATGTCACTGCACTCCAGCCTGGGTGACAGAGCAAGACTCCATCTCAAAACACACACACGCACACGCACACACACACACACACACAATGTTATATACATACACATATATATACACACACACACATACATATATATATACATATATATACACATATATATACATATATATATACACATATATATACATATATATATATATGTATCTGACATTTTCTTTACACATTCAACTGCCAATGGGCATTTAAGTTGTTTTCATATCTTGGTTATTGTGAATAATGTTACAATGAACATAGGAATGTAGCTATCCCTTCAAAATCCTGATTTCATTTCCTTTAGCTATATGCCCACAAGTGGAGTTGCCAGATCACAGGAGAGCTCTATTTTTAATTTAAGAAAATCCTATACTGTTTTTCATAATGGCTGTATCAATTTACATTCCTACCAACAGTGTACAAGGGTTCAATTTTCTCCACATCCTCACTGTATTAATCCATTCTCACAATGCTATAAAGACATACTGAGACTGGGTAACTTATAAAGAAAAGAGGCTTAATTGGCTCCCGGTTCTGTGGGTTGTACAGGCTTCTGCTTCTGGGGAGGCCTCAGGAAACTTACAATCATGGTGGAGGGTGAAGGGGAAGCAAGCACGTGGCTGGCAGGAGAGAGAGCAAAGGGGGAGGTACTACACACTTGTAAACAACCAGATCTCACAAGAACTCTATCATGAGGCAGCACTAGGGAGATGGTGCCAAATCATTAGAAACCACCCCCATGATCAAATCACTTCTCACTAGGCTCCACCTTCAACACTGTGGATCACAATTCAACATGAGATTTTGGTGGGGAAACGGAGCCGAACCTTATCACTCACCAACACCTGTTTCCCTTGATAATTAGTGATGTTGAGCATCTTTTCATATACCTATGGCCATTTGTATGTCCTCTTTGAAAAAAATATCTACCCAGGTCCTTTGCTTATTTTTTAAGTAGGTTATTTGTGTTCTTTGCTATTGAGTTATATGAGTTCCTTATATATTTTGGATGTTATCACCTTATTAGATATGTGGTTTGCAAACATTTTCTCTCATTCACTCTGTTGATTGTTTCCTTTGTTGTGCAGAAGCTTCTCATTTTGATGCAATGCCACTTGTTTATCCTTGCTTTTGTTGCCTATGCTTTTTGTCATATCCAAAAAATTGTTGCCAAGACTGACATCAACAAAAAGTCAAACTGTAAAATATTTAAAAAGGTTTATTCTGAGCCAAATATAAGTGACCAAGGCCCAAGACACATTCCCCAGGAGGGTCTGAGAACACGTACCCAAGGTGGTTGGTTACAGCTTGATTTTATACATTTTAGGGGGACAGAAGCTTCAATCAGACATCAATCAATACATGTAAGATGCGCATTGCTTCGGTCTGAAGAGTTGGAACAACTCAAAGTGCAGGCTTCAAGGTCATAAGTGGATTCAGAGATTTTCTGATTGGCAATTGGTTGAAAGAGTTAAGTAATTATCTAAAGACCTAGAATCAATAAATAGAAAGGAGTGTCTGGGTTAAGATAAGGGGTTGTGGGGACCATAGTTTTTATTATGTAGATGAAGCCTCCAGGTAGCAGGCTTCAGAGAGAATAGATGGTAAATGTCTCTTATCAGACCTAAAATGGTGCCAAACTCTTAGTTAGTTCTCTCCTGGATCAGGAAATGACCTGGAAATGGAAGGGGATTCTCTACAGAATGTAAATTTTCCCTGCAAGAAACAGTTTGCAGCGCCATTTCAAAATATGTCAAAGAAATATATTTGGGGGTAAAACACTTTGATTTCTTTCAGGGCCTGCTATCTGTCATGTGATGCTATACTAGAGTCAGGTTGGAATTCAGTATCTTATTGCTACTGACAAGAGTCTGTTTTGTCAGTCTTAAGATCACTGTTTTAATGTTAATGCTGGTCAGTTGTGTTTGTATTCCAAAGGGAGGAGGGTATAATGTCTGACCCCCTCTTCCCATCATGGCCTGAACTAGTTTTTCAGGTTTACTTTGGAATGTCCTTGGCTGAGAGAGTAGTCCATTCAGTCAGTTGGGGGTCAGGGGGAAAGCTTAGAGTTTTATTTTTGGCTTACATCAAGACCAACATTAAGAATCATTTTTTTCCTATGCTTTCTTCTGGTAGTTTTACAGTTTGAAGTCTTATGTTTAAGTTTTTAATCGCTTTTTTTCTTTGAGATGGAGTCTTGCTCTGTCACCCGGGCTGGAGTGCAGTGGTGTGATCTGGGTTCACTGCAACCTCCACCTCCCAGGTTCAAGCGATTCTCCTGCCTCAGCCTCCTGAGTAGCTGGGACTATGGGCATGTGCCACTGCACCCAGATAATTTTTGTATTTTTAGTAGAGATGGGGTTTCACCATGTTGGCCAGGCTGGGCCCGAACGCCTGACCTCAGGTGATCCAGCTGCCCTGGCCCTGCAAAGTGCTGGGATTACAGGCATGAGCCACCATGCCTGGCCAAGTTTTAATCCATTTTGAGTTGATTTTTATATATGGTGTGAGATAAGGGTGCAATTTCATTCTTCTGCATGTGGATATCCAGTAGTCCCAACATCATCTGTTGAAAAGACCCTACTGCTTTTTAAAAAAATATCGTTTGCTTCTCTTGATCCTTCAGCTTCCTGCTGTGGCTAGGCCCCGGGGACCTCAGCATCCTTTGTTGGTTTCCTTAACCTTGCCCATACCTCTGTAAATAGACCCTTTATTAAATTCTCTTCAGAATTTTGAGTGGGCCAAATATTTCCTGCTGGGCTCCTGCCCAATAAGAATGATACATGAACATAAAGACAACCATTTGAAAGGAGCCAACAAAACTAATTAGTCTAGAGAGATATTCACCATGGTACTTACATCCTGTTTGGAAGTTGATGGTTAAGTGAGAGAGACCCAGGAGTCATGTCTCCTGTGCTTTTTTTTCTTTTTTCTTTTCTTTCTTTCTTCTTTTTTTTTTTTTTTTTTTTTTTGGTATGGGGAGGGGAACTGTGGGGGAAAGAAAGGGAAGGAAAATTCTGAGGGGTGTGTGTGTGTGTGTGTTTTAAAGGCTAAGATTCCAAAGGGAAAACTTGATGTAAAAGACCAACATCTCTTACTGAGCAGTGATTAATATAATTATTATATGCAGACAAGTAATAGGATTTTACACTACCAGCAGCTTAAAGGATCCAGGAGGGTTTCTCCAGTCTCCCTAAACCCAGACAAGATGTTAAGCATTGTTTATGTATCACTCAGCCACAGAAATATATTTATAATTTGGACATAACAAGTGAACGCAGGACTGGATTACATTAAGCAAAATTTATCATATCAGAAGTGAATGAGAGCTATGACACTGGGACTACCCAAGTGTTCTATTTCTCTTGCTCTTGCTCTTTTAGTCCTCTTTCAAAGGGATTGTATCCTCTTGTTACAGTAGGTAGACAGCCAGGCATGAGAGTTGTAAACCCAACCTATTTCAAGGATAATAACCATCACAATTTACAGTTACATGGCTACTTCCTAATCCTTTGTTGTCTCAAAAATTACTCTTTATGTTAAACTTTTTAAAATAAATAAGTGGACATGGATCATAGTTAAAACTATAGATAGAGAGATCTTCTCCCCATCTAATCAGTTCATACGTATTGAAATAATGACTTAAGGCTAGGAGAGACGACTTCTAAATTTGATCCATATTTCTTTATCTAACCATTTCTCAAAGAAGCTGCCAAATCTTCTTAGATAAATCCTAAATGATATTTTATATTTTCATTATGCTTGTTTTTAAAAATGAAAATATAAAGACAAAGTATTTTTCACCCTGGCAATAAACCTGCACAGGCAGAGAATTAGATGTCAGAATCTTTAGTAGAAGCCACATTATTTAGCTGATGAATTAATACGAATTTGTGGAACAGGAGGTAGGATTGAAAGTTAAAGCTGAATAACAATTAGGTTGTTTTGTCATTAAAATTCTACTTTTAGCTGCTACTCATTTTCTTTTGACCACAAAAGACATTAGTTTTTCTGAGTAAAGAAGAAAAAGATCTGTATTGTTTTACAACAGTATCTACCAGACAGGCTGCCATTGTAGGAAGAGGTTGTCATTTGAATTGCTTAGAAAGAAATAGATGAACAGAAGGGAAAGATAGGGAGAGAAAAGAATACACCATGGTCTATGCCGAGTCTTGATTGCATAAGCAGACTCAGATGGGAAGCAGCAATACTGTTTCCAGGGGTAAGGAAACAAATGAGGGAGGGCAAGAAGAAAGAGCAGAGGCAAGCACCTCAACCCAGGGGAAGAGAGCACTGGACACCAACGTACGCACCGGCCAGACATTGTCCAGAAAAGGATCAGGTGCTTTAACAGGGAAGGTCATGTCATTCAGGATCAAAGACAAGTCCACTTACCTTCAAGTAACAGTGTGGCTATTGGCTTTAAGCCTTTAGCAAACTTCCATCGTTGAGATATTAGTTGGTGCCCAGAACTTACCTGGGGATGATGGAGTGTGAGAAATGTTACCCCAAAAATATCACCTTGGTGTACTGAATATTTTATACTGAAAGAATATGAGAAAACTACAGAAGCAGAAAGGTCAATCTGACTGCCACCCACCCTCCCCAACCTCCTGTAGCAGGTCATAAAACCTAAAAAGGATTTGCTGACCCTCCCCTGAAGCAGGTCAAAAGACTCTAATGTGGGAGGTGCCCACCTGCATGTGGAAGAAATAACATTCTTATCTTTGAAGACACAGAGATGGCAAGAAGAATCTGAACAGGCCTTGCTAAGTTTCCCTCAGTTTATTACCATTAGATCATTCCCTTTTTGCCCTATCATATTTCTCCACAATTTTCTGCTCTTCATCAAACCTACTATTAAAAAATACTCAGGGCCAGGTGCGGTGGCTCACGCCTGTATTCTCAACAGTTTGGGAGGCCAAGGCGGGTGAATTGCCTAAGCTCGGGAGTTTGAAACCAGCCTGGGCAACACAGTGAAACCTTGTCTCTACTAAAATCCAAAAAAAAAAAAAAAAAATTAGCCGGGTGTGGTGGCATGCGTCTGTAGTCCCAGCTACTCAGGAGGCTGAGGCAGGAGAATTGCTTGAACCCAGGAGGCGGAGGTTGCTGTGAGCTGAGGCTGCGCCACTGCACTCCAGCCTGGGTGACAGAGCGAGACTCCATCTCCAAAAAAAAAAAAAAAAAAAAGAAAATACTCAGGTTTAACCACTTCTTCAGGTCTTCCTTATGAAGGCTCCTGTATCACATAAAACTTACATTAAATAAGTTTGTCTGTCTTTTGGGGCCCCTGAGATGCACCTAAGATGGATAGAAGGAGACAATTTCCTCTCCTATAGGGCATAGGACTTGGGTTTGCAGCCTGATTATCCCTTCCCACCCTAGCCTGCCTTCCCTTCCCAAAACAAATGCTGGTCTACTATTAGGATCACCAGGGCTACTCACCTACCTTGTTCATGATTTCAGATAATAAACACAGAAACTAGATACATTTCATTGTTAAGCAGGCCCATTGATGTATTAATTGAGGGCAAAAGAGCACAGGCATTTTAATTATGTGACAAACTGTAGAATTTAGGCTGTAGACTGTCAAAGCTACAATTCTGAGCTCAACCACTCAAAGACCAAAGTGTCTAAGGTGAAGAAGTATCACCACATGAGGAATATGTAGAAATGCAAAACAAGGATGAAGCCACCACTGCTCAACTCAAGACTATTACTAGAAAATCAAACATTCTTCTTAAAGCAACTCTGGTAAGCACACAACTTCTGGAGGAACAACAGCAAATCAAAGAAAGCTGATTCCATAAACTTGGAGCCGCTCTACTAGAATAGAGGAACAAGAACTCCCTCTCAAAGAACAACAGTTAGAGAGCTGCCACGAGAGGCTGAGATTAAAAAAAAAAGAAAAGAAAAAAGAAAAAGAAGGGAATAAGGCCAGGCAGTGGCTCATGCTTGTAATCCCAGCACTTTCAGCACTTTGGGAGGCTGAGGCAGGCAGATCGCCTGAGGTCAGGAGTTCGAGACCAGCCTGGCCAATATGGTGAAACCCCATCTCTACTAAAAATACAAAAATTTGCTGGGAGTGGAGAAGGGTGCCTGTGATCCCAGCTACTCAGGAGGCTGAATCAGGAGAATCACTTGAACCCGGGAGGCAGAGGTTGCAGTGAGCTGAGATCGTGCCACGGCACTCCAGCCTGGGCAATGGAGCGAGACTGTGTCTCAAAAAAAAAAAAAAAAAAAAAAAAAAAAAGGAATAACTCAGCAGGAAGATGGCCGACCCTTACAAAAATGAAACGTGGGTCAGAGCCTCAGCCCTCCCTTGCCTTCCTAATGGCTCCTCTGAAAGTAGCTCTGTTAACTTTGCAGCTATCCCTTAAAGATACGAGGAAATGAACATCCCGTGACCTCATCTCAGCACTAAAAGGGGTCATATTTCAGTTGGAAAACGGCAGTCTTTCTCTATAATTTACATACTACACAGAAGCTTCTAGATTCCTGGAATTTCCCTTAGGAAGACAAGAAAAGTTTTTAAAAAGGTGCCTAGGCTAACCCGTGGTCTAGCAGGAGAAAGTGAACTAAGTCCAAACGACTCATAAAGATGGATGGGTGTTGTAATACAATGCGATTATGTACTAATGGAGCTATGGACCAGGGGCTAACAGAAAGCAGCAGAAATGGGGGCCAGTGGAGCTCTTTTTGTACCCAACAGTTCTCACTATCATAGACTAGTGAACAAGTGGAGTACCAAGTCCTAGTGAGGAGAGAAAGCATGCCAATGTTTTCCTTTTCAGTTTGAGCCTCCTAATTTGCTTGACTGCCTCTAGGTGCCTCCCTTCCTCAATATTTTATGAAGATACCCAATCCTACCAGTTTTCTCTGTGGATGTTGTGGAACTGTAAATTATTTAATGCATTTCTTCTGAAAACAAATCTAGGATGTCAACCTGCTAGCAAATTAATAAGCAGCTGGCCCACCAGGTACTGCCACCATTTTGGACACGTATAGAATAAAGGGATTTCACAGTAAGGGCACCTTCAATAATCCAGGCATTATACTGAGTTCTTTACACACTTTCTGTTTCTTAATAGTTATAATGGTGGGAATTATTATCCCCATTTTGCAGAGGGACAAACATAGTTTAGGAGTTTAGGTGACTTGCCTAAGACTGAGAGCACATAAGCTACTCAGTGGTGCCGCAAAAAATGTCAACCTAGGTCTTCCGATCCCTAAACCCATGCTCTTTCTACCACATTCTGTGCATCCCACAGAAAACCAGCTTGGGTCTTTTATTATTTCCCTTGATGATGGTAACTGCCTTTGGATGTTTCCAGTGGTGAAATGGTTACTTAAGCTATGTCACCTTTTTCTTTCTTTTTTTTTTTTGGGAGAAGCTGGGGCAATTAATTACTACACATTCATTTCTTTCCTTGTAATTTAGAGAGCTTTCTTTCTGAAATGCAGAGCAATTACACAGGGAGCCAGAGGAAACTTCTCTCCCATGTTCTTTTTTAAGATCAAACAGGTATCTGTCCACCAAAAGCAGTCATTCAGGCTCGAGCTCTTTAATGTGATTTATCCGGGGCTTTTCAAGGGTCTGCAGACTGTACCCCACTTGTACCTCTTGTCCCAATTCGGTCCCTCTCTGTATCCTCCTCCCACTCCTCTCTCTCAAATGCAAATGAATGTCTCAATATTCTCTGTGTCTTTTTACTCTTAACCCCTTTACAATCTTAAATTCACAGGGCACCCCAGATCTTCATCATTAAATTCACCAAATGGTGTGGATTGCCTACTTGTGCAAAGCACTGTGATAAGTGTGGTGCAAGATATAAACTCAAGTAAAGTCAAGTCTCTGCCCTCAGCTTATACTCTTGAAAGGGAAATAAATCAGGGTAAAGTAAGCAGAGAGTACAAATCAGGGTCCCATTTTTTACCAGCTGAGGAAGAAAGGGCAGGTGAGCCTTGGAAGTGAGACGGGAGGAGCGGGGCAGAAGAGGGGAGTCAGCCCCTGCTTCTTTCACTTTGCAGATCAACTGCAGGACTCTGCAGGTTGCAGGCCCCCCACTATTTTTTCCACCTCACCCTTTTCTTGACCTCTCCTCTTAACTAGCCCATTTCCCCTTGTTGTGCACTGCTGCCTTCCCTCTGCAATGAGGAGCTCTCTTCAACCACTTTTTAAAATGTAGTATTATTGAGGCAGGAGAACAAGATCTGGAGGCAGGGAACATAAGGCCAATTCACGCTGACTTCCTAGAACTAAATCAAATGGAAACACTTCAGCTATGACAGGAAATATCCTTTCCATTTACACAGTGCATACACCAAGTAAATGAGTTTGCAACTTTACTTCATCTTCCTCATTTACATAAGGCATACACCAAGTAACCAATGGAAACCTCTAGAGGGTATTTAAATGGCAGAAAATTCTTTAACCGGCTCTTGAGCCCCTGTGCTTGGCCCGCTCCCACTCTGTGGAGTATACTTTCATTTTCAAAAAATCTCCGCTTTTGTTGCTTCATTCTTTCCTTGCTTTGTCTGTGCGTCTTGTCCAATTCTTTGTTCAAGATGCCAAGAACCGGCTGGCCACAGTGGTTCACACCTGTAATCCCAGCACTTTGGGAGGCCGAGGTGGGCGGATCATGAGGTCAGGAGTTCGAGACCAGCCTGACTAACATGGTGAAACCCTGTCTCTATGAAAAATACAAAAATTAGCCAGGCATGGTGGCACACACCTGTAATCCCAGCTACTTGGGAGGCTGAGGCAGGAGAATTACTTGAACCTGGGAGGTGGAGGTTGCAGTGAGCCGAGATTGCACCACTACACTATAGCCTGGGCAACAGAGTGACAGTCTCAAAAAAAAAAAAAAATGCCAAGAACCTGGACATCCTCCACCAGTAACATATTTTATTGCTGCTAGCTGCCACCCCTTTTCCATGGGATCTTCAAAGGCTGTGCATGAGGAAGAGCCAGCTCCAGGATGTTGAGTAAAGTCTCATCCCTCAGCCTCACCTGAGGGAACAAGAGTTTAACAGGAGAGGGGCTGGGGCTTCCCAGGGTAGAGAGTGGGCAGCTGCCTTAGCTTCTGTCTGTGGATAAGGTTTCCTGTCTGCCCTACCCTATCAGTAGGTGTACGTGGCTTCAGTGTTGTGCTGAGTGAGGTCTTCATGGTACTGCTGTGGGGTGGGATGGGGGCAGTGGGATGGGCTGCATCCAATGAGCCACATACCTTGATGAGAATGTGAGACAGTCTTGGATACCACATGGCCTGCATTTGATACAGGAGGAGGGCAGGGAAGTGCTGGGTAGAAAAGGGCATGGTCCCTGGCTAGGGCTCCACCCTCAGGCCTGTGCCCAAGGACCTAGGTGAGGACAGGCATTTCTGTTTTCATACCCAAATACTGCATTTTCCAAGACCACCCTGGCCTGCCACGCCCCTATCCTGTGCCTGTAAAACCCCCAAAACCCTAGTGGGCACAGACACAAGTGGCTGGATGTCAAGAGGAACATACTGGCAGAAAAGCACACCGGCAGACACCAGAGACACTGGCAGGCCATCTACAACAGGACAACGTGGAGTTCAGCCAAGGGTGGTTGGAAGAGAACCCGGCTGCTGAGGGGCCCAACTCCAGGGAAAGACCACCCCGCTTCTGGCTCCTATCCATCTGCTGAGAGTTACTTTGACCACTCAATAAAACCTTGCCCTCATTCTCCAAGCCCATGTGTGATCCAATTTTTCCAGTACACTAAGGCAAGAACCCCCGAATACAGAAAGCCCTCTGTCTTTGTGATAAGGCACAGGGTCTAATTGAGCTGATTAACACAAGCCACCTACAGATGGCAAAACTAAAAGAGCACACTGTAACACACGCCATGTGACTTGTTCAATGACAGAGATACGGAAATCTACCAAGTACTGCCAGTAGAGTTGGCCTCTGTCCCTATGATGCTTACAGTAAAAAGGACCAGTAATACTGAAAATTAGGGCCTTTACTGGTAACACCAGCTGTTACTGGTAATATGTACTCGGGCAAGGCATTTATCCTCTTATATCCGCAGTTTTCCCAATGGAAAAATGGTGGTAATACATGTGTTGCTCAGTTGAATGTAAGAATTACATGAAATAGTGTAAATGCAGTGCCTAGCATGGTATGTGGCACATAGAAAAAACCACTGGGTAAATGCTCTCTTTCTCCCCAATTCCTTTCCATTAAAATTTGAGATTCAAGCTTGCTTTTGCACTGTAGGGGAACAAAAACATCTTTTCCTCATCCATTGCTAGCTTCATGGCTAAATCCAGAAACAAAAGATAGATTAACAAGAGAAAAAGCATACGAATTTATTGAATAAGTTTTACATACATGGAGGCTTTATAAAGAAATAACCCAAAGAAGCACTTTAAGTATATTTTTATGCTAAGTTTAGTGAAGAATGGACAGTCATGGAGAGATATGACTGCATAAAGGGGGGATGATTTGATGGTAATAAACTAGGGAGATCTTAGCAAGGTCTATTTGTTCAGATTCTTCTCTGTGTCTTTGTATCCTCAAAGATAAGAACTTTCCTTTCCTGCAGGTGTAGAGAGGGCACCTCTTGAATAAGAGTCTTAGAACCTGCTTCAGGGGAAGGTCAGAAAATCCTTCCTAGGTTTTATGACCTGCTTCAGAAGAGAAGTGTGAAAGAAAGTCAGAAAGTGACCCTCCTGCTTCTTTGGTTTTCTCAAATTCTTTCAGCCTATGATATTCGATATGTCAAGGTACCATATTTTGGAGTAGCATATCCTGAACCCCATCAGCACAAAATAATATCTGTAAACTGAGTCCTGTAGCTTTTATTTTTTATTTTTATTTTTAGATGGAGTCTCACTCTATTGCCCAGGCTGGAGTGCAGTGGCACAATTCAGCTTACTGCAATCTCCACCTCCCTGGTTCAAGCCATTCTCATACTTCAGCCTCCCTAGTAGCTAGGACTACAGGTGCATGCCACCATGCCTGGCTAATTTTTGTATTTTTAGTAGAGACTGGGTTTTGCCATGTTGGTCAGGCTGGTCTCAAACTCCTGAACTAAAGTGATCCGCTGGCCTTGGCCTCCCAAAGTGCTGGGATTATAGGCATGAGCCACCACGTACGGCCCTGAGTCCTCTAGCTTTTAAACAGGAGGAAATACCTTATAATTTTGAAGAAATCTCTAGCAAATTAATTGGTCACACATTTTGAAGTGTTAAAAAAATCTGGGGATGGGGAATCATTAGACTGGGGTGACTCCAATATTTTAAGTTTCTACGTAAGCAGACCAACGCCTGATGTAAACGATAAAACGAAACTGAAAACTTCACCAACCAGAAACTGCCAATAAACCTGCAACTAAGATCTTTCTACTCTAAGCAATGAAATAGATTTTCTTTGTGTTACTTCCATGCCAGCCTATATAAGCTCACTGCCCATGCTGCTACAGCTACAGAGCTCTCTGAACCTCTCCTGCTGAATTGGACTGTTGCCCAATTCATGAATTGTTCCTTGCTCAAATCAATTCTGTTAAGTGTATCTTGTCTAAATTTTTTTTTTAATCAGAAGAAAGATCATCCATTGTGAAAATGAGGTGTGAGGCCATAACTAGAGAATGGGTTTGTATAAATAGCAAGGATTGAAGTCTTCTGTTCAGAAGAGATGGTGCTGTGCTTCCCAATAAGTGGGCCACCAGCCACATGGGACCCTCAAACACTTAAAACTGAGATACACTTTAAGTGTAAAGTATATGCTGGATTTTGAAGACTTCATACCAAAAAAAAGTAAAATACTTCAATAATTTTAAAATATGGATTGCATGTTGAAATGGTAATATTTTGGACACACTGGGTTAAATAATACATATTATTAATATATATTATATTAATTATATATATTTTAATATATTATATAATATATAATATATATTTATATTATATATAAATATATATTTATATAATATATATAATAAATATATTTATATAATATATAATATATAAATTTTATATATTATATAATATATGTTTTATATTTTATATATTATTTAATATATGTTTTATATATTATTTATGTTTTATATATTATATAATATATATTTTATATATTATTTAATATATATTTTACATAATATATATTTTATATATTATTTAATATATATTTTATATATTATTTAATATATATTTTATATATATAATTTAATATATATTTTATATAATTTAATATATATTTATATATTATATAATATATATTTATATATTATATGTAATTTAATATATAATTATATATAATATTAATATATTATTTATATATTATTATAGTATTTATATATTATATTAATATAGTATTTATATAATATATTAATATAGTATTTATATACTATATTATATTAATATAGTATTTATATACTATATTAATATAGTACTTATATAATATATTATATTGATATAGTATTTATATAATATATTATATTAATATAGTATTTATATATTATATTAATATAGTATTTATATGTTATATTAATATAGTATTTATATGTTATATTAATATAGTATTTATATAATATATTAATATAGTATTTATATAATATATTAATATAGTATTTATATATTATATTAATATAGTATTTATATAATATATTATGTTAATATTGTATTTATATAATATATTATATTAATATTGTATTTATATAATATATTATTTAATATATATTATGTAGTATATATATTATTAAAATTAACTTTGCTTGTTTCTTTTTACTTTTTTAAGTGTGGCTACTAGAAAGTTTAAAATTATTGGCTGGGCCTGGTGGCCCATGCCTGTAATCCCAGCACTTTAGGAGGCAGAGGTGGGCGGATCACCTGAGGTCAGGAGTTTGAGACCAGCCTGGACAACATGATGAAACACTGTCCCTACTAAAAATATAAAAAATTAGCCGGGTGTGGTGGTGGTCTCCTGTAATCCCAGCTACTTGGGAGGCTGAGGCAGGAGAATTGCTTGAAACCAACTGGGAGGTGGAGGTTGCAGTGAGCTGAGATCATGCCACTGCACTCCAGCCTGGGCGACAAGAGCGAAACTGTCCCTAAAAGAAAAAAAAAGAAAGTTTAAAATTACATGTGGCTTGTATTCTATTTCTATTGGAAGTAGTAAGTAGTTTGTTTGCTTGTTTGTTTATTTGTTTGTTTGTTTTAGATGCAGCCTTGCTCTTTCGCCCAGGTTGAAGTGCAGTGGTGCAATCTTGGCTCGCTGCAACCTCCGCCTCCTGGGTTGAAGTGATTCTCCTGGCTCAGCTTCCTGAGTAGCTGGGATTACAGGCACCCACCACCACGCCTGGCTAATTTTTGTATTTTTAGTAGAGACGGGGTTTCGCCATGTTGGCCAGGCTGGTCTCGAACTCCTTGCCTCAGGTGACCCACCTGCCTCAGCTACCAAAAGTGCTGGGATTACAGGCATGAGCCATGGCACCCGGCCTGAAGTAGTAAGTAGTTCTGATGGCAAGCCATCCTGTGTGATCTTATTCAATATTATTTGTCTTAATGAGTTTTGGTGACAACAGATCACATGTGGTATTTGTCACTTGTACCGGGCTTAATAAATACTTAAGAATGGAAGGTGTTAAGTAGGGTTGAGTGCGAGTTAGATTCTACTACCCCTCACTGTTTAGCTGAACCAGGCTTTTCTTACTGTACTTTAAAAAGGGCTTTCTTCCATTCTGGCGCTAAAAGAATCCAAGCTCTGTCCAGATGGGGCTGCTTCTCTCTTTCTCCAGATGCATCAATTAATAATACTTTGATAACCCGAGCTTCCTCTCTGTCGGAGAGCTCAGTATTCACCAGCTAATTAACTCTACAAAGAAAGCAGAGCTGCTGTCATCTCAAATGTTTCCACTTCTGCTTCCTGAGACAGCCAGGAGAGCAAAGCAAGAGATCACCCCTGTGGGCTGTGGGGACCTTGGGTTGGAGTTCCTGCAGCTGTTTTTCTAGTTGAGAGGGACCTTCCTTGACAAACAAGAGTACTTCATCCTTCTGAAGAGAGGGATGACTTTGCTGAAAGCAGCATTCAAGTAGTTTTTGCCACTGACCAGACCTTTTCTTTGTTAACAGTACTGAAGTGCACACACACCCACACACACACACACACATTTCACTAGATGAGAACAACCTCCAAATGGATTAATTGGGTGGGTTATTTTGTTTTTTGCTTTTTGTGTGTGTGTGTGTATGTTTTTTTGTCGTTGTTGTTGTTTTACCATTTCACTTCATTTCTTGTAGCGTAGAACCATTATTTTTTAGCTGCCTTCAAAAATTCAATTATCTTGTTTGGATGAATAATGGTGCATTTTCTCATAAGTCCAACTGCCTGCTGGACCCCTCCACCACCTCAGAGTCAATGTGCACAAAACCAACTCCTCCACCTCCCCAACGTGATGCTTCCTCCTAAATCTGCAAATGGCACCACTGTCCTCACAGTCACCAGGCTCAAATGTTGACCACGTTCCATTCAATTCCTTTCTCTCTCTTCCTGTGTCATGCAAGCATTTGCCAGGTCAACCTATCATTTCACCTCTTGTCTTTATCCCCTCTTCTCTGACCTTCTGCCCTTTTCCTAGTTCAGACCTGCTTTGCATAGTTTTCAGATGATGGCCAAGCTTCTCACCTGGGCTGCTGCTTGACTCTGTTTCTCCAAGGAGTTGCATCCGAGATCATCTTCCTGTGCAGGTGCCGATCAAGTCACTTCCTGGCACACAACCTGGTTCCCCATGATCTACATGCTAAGGTCAGCCACCTCAAATCATTTTAGGCCAAGATAGATAGAAGTAAATATTAACACAAAAGAAGCAAACTCTGCCAGATAAAAATGTAGATGTCTTTTTTTTTTTTTAGATGGAGTCTTGCTCTGTCACCAGGCTGGAGTGCAGTGCTGCAATCTCGGCTCACTGCAACCTCCACCTCCCAGGCTCAAGCGATTCTCCTGCCTCAGCCTCCCAAGTAGCTGGGACTACAGGTGCATGCCACCACGCCCAGCTAGTTTTTGTATTCTTAGTAGAGAAGGGGTTTCACCATGTTGGCCAGGATACTCTCTATCTCTTGACCTCGTGATCTACCTGCTTCGGTCTCTCAAAGTGCTGGGATTACATGCGTGAGCCACCGTGCCTGGCTCCAAAATTTAGATGTCTTTTCCAGCATTCAAAGCCTCTGTTACTTGGCCACAATAACCTTCCCATACATGGCTCCTTTACAGACCGTGGTTCCAGTAGAACCGAACTGCTGAATGCACTCAATATATAAATACATATTCTTACCCCAGTAAGCTCATGCTCTTCCTTCCGCTTGAGGTTCTCCTTTTCATCTCTAAAGATACAGTCCTACAAACCTGTATTTGTTTGCCAGGGCTGCTGTAACCAAGTACCACATGCTGGGTGGCTTAAAACAACAGAAATATATTGTCTCACAGTTCTGGAGGCGAGGAGTTCAAAATCAGGTTGTTGGTAGAGGCTTGCTCCCTCTGAAGGTGCTGGGGAAGGAGCTGTTCCAGGCCTCTTCCCTGGCTTCTAATGGTTCCTAGGCTTGTGGCAGCAGAACTCAAGTCTTCACACGGCATCTCCCTGTGTATGTGTCTGTCTCCAAATTTCCCCCTGTAGGAGAGAAAAAGGTATTTTCCTCACCCATTAACAAGGTTCATGGCTGAGACCACTATAACAAAAAGACATATCAGCAAGAAAAATGCATATTTTTTTTAAGTTTTATGTGACATGGTAGCCTTTAGAAATGAAGACCCAAAGAACCAGGGAAACCTGTGCAGAAGTGTGATGGGAGGGCCAGGTGCAGTGGCTCATGCCTGTAATCCCAGCACTTTGGGAGGCTGAGGCGGGTGGGTCACCTACGGTCAGCAGTTCGAGACCAGCCTGGCCAACATGGCGAAACCTTGTATCTACTAAAAATACAAAAATTAGCTGGGTGTTGTGGTGGGCACCTGTAATCCCAGCTACTTGGGAGACTGAGGCAGGAGAAGCACTTGAACCCAGGAGGTGGAGGTTGCAGTGAACTGAGATTTCGCCATCGCACTCCAGACTGGGTGACAAGAGCAAAACGGTGAAACCCCGTCTCTACTAAAAATACAAAAAATTAGCCTGGCGAGGTGGCGGGTGCCTGTAGTCCCAGCTACATGGGAGGCTGAGGCAGGAGAATGGCATGAACCCCGGGGGGCGGAGCCTGCAGTGAGCCAAGATCGTGCCACTGCACTCCAGCCTGGGTGACAGCGAGACTGTCTCAAAAAAAAAAAAAAAAAAAAAAAAAAAAAGAAGTGTGATGGGAGGAGCAAAGGCAACCATCTAATGGTAATACACTGGGGGGAACTAGAAGGCCTGTTTGTTCAGCTCCTTCTTGGTGTCCCTGTGTGACTTTCCTTCCCTCTAGGTATAAGACAGGACAGCTGTCACATGACGGTCTTCAGGAGAGAAGAGAGGGAGGTCAGAGAGTGGCCTTTCTAGGTTTTATGGCCTGCTTCAGGGACAAAGCATGAGGCGGATGGTGAAAATGACCTTCCTGCTTCTGCTGTTTTCTCAAATGCCAAAGTGCCACAATGTTGGTAGCATGTCCTGAGTCCCATCACCCTTTTTACAAGGACACCATTTATGGGATTAGAGGCTCACCTTACTCCAGTATGACCTCATCTTAACTAATTACATCTACAATAACCCTAATTCCAAATAAGGTCACATTCTGAGGTACTGGGGGGTTAAGACTTAAAATATGCATTTTGGCGGAGGACACAGTTCAACTCATAACACCATCCTTTAGGCCAAGCCCAAATGCCATCTCCTTCTGGAAACACCCTTGACCCTTTCCCCACCTCCCTACCCCAAGCTTGACATAAACTCTATCCCTCCTTGAATGCCTCTGGCCTAAGAAACTCTTACATCTTTACCATACTTGATGGCACAAAACACTGGCTTTGCATCTGAGTCAGGCACTGTGTTGGACGTGGCTCCAAGCTATTTTCTAAAGGTTTTCTCTTTCTCACACCCATGTCTCATCTCTCTTGGAAGATGGAGGACAAGAAGCATAAATACTTCAGTGAGAGCTCTTGTTGGCCCTGGGAACTGGCTGAATGTGATGTGTCCCTGCCATGACAGTTGTCCCCAGAACCAGAGGTAGAGTTCTGAAGATAGCTGTGAGGATTTCTTCACTTCCAACTGCTAGAGAGGCAGTACCTCCAACTGCTACCCCTGAAGTACTGATGTTCTCAGCTGTCCCCACCCCTCCACCCCAGCAACTTTCCCATGCAGAGCAGTTAATCTGCTATTTAAGATGCAGACCTAGCTTTCTTTTCACAGCCTGCTCAGCCACATTTTGCAGTTTTGATTAGGAAATAGCACTGTGTGTGCAAGAATTGGGTTGGGTTACACCATTTAATAAAGCTATCATGACTGATGTGAGCACTACTCACAAAAAGGAACAGGAGAAACACAGCTGTACTCTCTGTGGCATGATATCACGCAGCTTGCACTTGGGTAAGGACCTTTCTGATGTCACCGGGTGAGGGATTAAGTCATAATTATGTAGATCTAAATTACCTTCCAGCAAACCCACTGGCGGTTCTTCATTAACATCACAGCAGGCTTTAATTCCAGCAGAAGACTGATCACCCTTCAGCTGCCCGACATCCAGCCTGAAGAATATGTTTGGAATTAAGCAGGGATCTTGGTTGAAAAGAACATCAGGTGCTATTTCTTTGCTTTGGTCTCAGACTTTATGTTGATATGTGTGAATCCTCCTTTCGTGACAGTGCTTGGGATGTGTGTGTGCCAGGTCCTACCCATTTGCCTTCATTGTCTCATGCTCACACACTGGAATCTGAGAATCCAGTAGTTATTAGGGACCTTGGATATCACTGATCATCTAAGTTTTGATCAGAAGGCAGTACTGATCCAAGTCGGATTTCCAGGACCATTTATGACTGAGGTGGTCAGTTGATGCCACCATGAACATCTTCCAGGCCCTGGATAACTCTTCATGCAATGGACCAGAGCTGTAACACCTTAGTGTCTATCCCTAGGGAGGCTGAAATAATGAGGAGAAGGGTCTTATGGATAAATGGGATTTTCTGGGAACTTGGGTGTTTCCCTCCCACATCAAGTTGTGGGGGTAGATTTCCAGTCAATGTGTAGGAAGCCTTGGGATTGATTAGTTGATTTTTGTTTTGGGTCACCCAGACGGTTGTCTCAGCAAGAATAGTCTATAAACCATTTTCTCCTCCATTTTCCATTAGCGTGAACCAAGGAGAATGCTTCCCAAGTTGGGCAGGGTAAAACAGCCTTGCTTCAGGGAACTACAAAAAGTCTCTGTGAATAATGGATGGTGAGATTTGCTTTTCTCCATTAGGGAGAGAGCTAGGCTTTTCATACCCACCTTCTGGGAACTGCTACCCATGAACTTTTTTTTTTTTCTATCTGTAACAGGAATACTCTTTAGCTTACCTTAAATTGGGTAATGTTTAGCCCCTGACAAAATCATGGAGGAGATGACCAAGAGCTGGGAGAGACAGTCTGAGACAGTTGATCTCTAACCAGAATTAGATAAGAGGCTTAAAAAAAGAATATATTACCCGGTTCCACTCCAGATGTACTAAATCAACATCTCCAATCATTGGGAGTTGGATTTTCTTCTTTGAACTTCCATGAGCTCAAATTTTTAATTTTAATTGTTGCTACTCTCCTAAGTCTTCCATGTGGTTTCTGATCTCTATTTTTTAAAATTTGTATCTTTTTAATGTGTATATATCATAATTCCATACTACTTCATATTTTTTTCTGTAAAAAAATGGTGGTGGTGGCAGATGTCAAGTTATAAGTCAACTTGAAAACAGAGTTGTGATGGTTAATATTGAGTGTCAACTTGATTGAAGAATGCAAAGTATTGTTCCTGGTTGTGTCTGTGAGGGTGTTACAAAAGGAGATTAACATTTGAGTCAGTGAATGGGAGAGGCAGACCCACCCTCAATCTGGGTGGGCACCATCTGATCAGCTGCCAGCGAGGCTAGAATAAAGCAGGCAGAAGAACGTGGGAGCACTTGATTTGCTGAGTCTTCCAGCCTACATCTTTCTCCCCTGCTGAATGCTTCCTGCCCTTGAACATCAGACTCTAAATTCTTCAGCTTTTGGACTCTTGGACTTAACCAGTGGTTTGTCAGGGGCTCTTGGGCCTTTGGCCACAGACTGAAGGCTGCACTGTCAGCTTCCTGACTTCTGAGGTTTTGGAATGGACTGGCTTCCCTGCTCCTCAGCTTGCAGATGGCCTATTGTGGGACTTACACCTTGTGATCATATGAGTCAATACTCCTTAATAAACTCCCCTTCATATATACACCTATATCCCATTAGTTCTGTCCCTTTAAAGAACGCTGACTAATACAAAAGGTCTTCTAAAAAATCCTCTACCCAGTAGAGAAGAAAATCACATTCAACATTGTGATAAATGGCCCTCTATCTTTGACTGAAGTCTTTAAGTGAAAAGCAGCACACCACTTTAAAATGTGACTTATTCCATTGTGGGCTACTCTTCCTATGTAAAGTTCTTCCTTTTATTAAAACTCATTGTGCTTTTGATTTGCACCTCTCTGATGATTAGTGATGTTGAACATTTTTTCATATATTTGTTGTATGCCTCCTTTTGGGAAGTGTCTGTTCTTTTGCCCACTTTCTAATGTGTTTTGTTTGTTCAATTAAGTTCCTTATAGATTCTGAAAATTAGACCTTTGTTGGATGCATAGTTTGCAAATATTTTCTCCCATTCTGTGGGTTGTCTGTTCACTCTGTTGATAGTTTCTTTTGCTATGAAGAAACTCTTTAATTAGGTCACACTTGTCACTTTTTTTATTGGAATTGCTTTTGAAGACTTAGTCATAAATTATTTCCCAGAGCCCATGTCCAAAATGGTGTTTCCTAGGTTTTCTTCTAGGATTCTTAAAGTTTGGGGTCTTACATTTACTTTAATGCATCTTGAGTTAATTTTTTATAAGGTGAAATGTAGGGGTCCAATTTCATTTTTCTACGTATGGCTATCCAGTTATCCCAGCAAGATTTATTGAATAGGAAGTCTTTTCCCCATTGCTTATTTTTGTCAACTTTGTAGAAGATTAGACGGCCATAGGTGTGCAGCTTTATTTTTGGGTTCTCTATTCTGTTTCATTGGTGTATGTGTTTGTTTTTGAGCCAGTATTATGTAGTTTTTGTGACCGCAGCCTTATAGTATAATTTGAAGTTGGGTAATGTAATGTTTCTGGCTTTGTTCTTTTTGCTTAGGATTGTTTTGGCTACTTGGGCTCTTTTATGGTTCCATATGAATTTTAGAATAGTTTTTTCTAATTCTGTGAAAAATGAAGTTGGCAGTTCGATAGGAATAACATTGAATCTGTAGATTGCTCTGGAAAGTATGGCCATTTTAATAACATTGATTCTTCTAATCCATGAGCATGGAATATTTTCCCATTTGTTTGTGCCATCTATGATTTCTTTTTTGCAGTGTTTTGTAGTTCTCCTTGTAGAGATCTTTCATCTTCTTGGTTATACGTATTCCTAGGATTTTTTATGTTGGTGTTTTGTTTTTGGTGTGGCTATTATAAATGGGATTGTGTTCTGATTTGGCTCTCAGCTTGAATATTGTTGGTGTGTAGAAATTATGTAATTGATTTTTGTACATTGATTTTGTAGCCTGAAACTTTGCTGAAGTCATGTATTAGTTCCAGGAGCCTTTCGGTGGAGTTTTTAGGGTTTTCAAGGTATAGAATCCTATCATCCACAAAGAGAGATAGTTTGACTTTTCCTATTGGGATGCCTTTTATTTCTTTCTTTTGCTTGATTGCTGTGGCTTGGACTTCTAGTACTATGTTGAATAGGAGTAGTGAGAGTAGGCATCCTTGTTCCACTTCTCAAGAGAAATGGTTTTAGCTTTTGCCCATTCAGTATGATGTTTGCTGCGAGTTTGTCATAGATATGTTCCTTTGATGCCTAGTTTGTTGGGGTTTTTATTATGAATCGATGTTGGATTTTATTGAAATATTTTTCTGTATTTATTGAGATGATCATATGGTTTTTGTTTTCAATTCTGCTTATGTGGTGAATCACATTTGTTGATTTGCATTTAATGATTGGCGTTTGAGGATTTTTGCATCTATATTCATCAAGGATCTTGGCCTGTAGTTTTCCTTTTTTCGTTGTGTCTTTGCCAGGTTTTGTTATCAATACTGATGCTGGATTCACAGAATGAGTTAGGGAGGAGTCTCTCCTCTTCGATTTTTTAAAATAGTGTCAGCAGAATTGGTACCAGCTCTTGTTTGTATGTCTGGTAGAATTCACCTATGAATCCACCCGGTCTGGGATATTTTTTGGTTTGTAGGTTTTTAAATTACTGATTCAATTTCAGAACTCGATATTGGTCTGTTCAGTGTTTCAATTTCTTCCTGATTCAGTTTTAGGAGATTGTGTGTTTCCAGGAATTTATGCATTTCCTTCAGATTTTCTAGTCTGTGTATGTAGAGGTGTTCATAATAGTCTCTTAGGATCTTTTGTATTTCTGGGGGATCAGTTATAATGTCATCTTTGTCATTTCTGATTGTGCTTATTTGGATCTTTTCTTCGTTAACCTAGCTAGCAGATTATTAATCTTGTTCATCCTTTCACATAACCAACTTTTGGTTTTGTTGATTCTTTGTATGGATTTTTGGGACTCAATATTTTTCAGTTATGCTCTGATTTTAGTTATTTATTTTCTTCTGCTAGCTCTGGGGTTCATTTGCTCTTGTTTTTCTAGTTCCTCTGGGTGTGATGTTAGATTGCTAATTTGAGATCTTTATAACTTTTTGAGGTAGACATTTAGTGTTATAAACTTTCCTCTTAACACTGCTTTTGCTGCATGCCAGAGATTTTGATATGTCACATCTCTGTTTTCAGTTATTTCAAATAATTTTATTTCTGTCTTGATTTTGTTGTTTACCCAAAAGTCATTCAGGAGCAAGTTGTTTAATTTCCATGTAATTATGTGGTTTTGAAGAATCTTCTTGGTATTGATTTCTATTTTTATTCCACTGTAGTCTGAGAGTATGGTTGGTATAATTTCGAGTTTTAAAAATTTATTGATACTTGGTTTATGAATGAGCATGTGATCAATCTTGGAGGATGTTCCATATACAGATGAGAAAAATGTATATTCTGTGGTTAATGAGTGGAGTATTCTGCATATATCTAATAGGTCCAATTGGTGAAGTGTTGAGTTTAAGTCCAGGATTTCTTTGTTAGTTTTCTTCCTCGATGACCTGTGTAATGCTGTTAGTGGGTTGTTGAAGCCCCGCTCTGTTATTGTGTGGCAGTCTAAAATCTTTTTGTAGATCTATAAGTACTTGTTTTAATAATCTGGGTGCTTCAATGTTGGGTGCATATATATTTAGAATAATTAAGTCTTCTTGTTGAATTGGATTATTTATCATTATGTAATGCCCTTCTTTGTCCTTTATTCCTGTTGTTGGTTTTAACTCTGTTTTATCTGATATAAGAAGAGTGACCCCTGCTTTTTGTTTTGTTTTGTTTTGCATGGCAGATCTTTCCCCAACCCTTTACTTTGAGCCTTTGGGCACCATTATGTGTGAGATGGGTCTCTTAAACACAGCACATGGAAGGAAGGGTCTTGTTTTTTTAATCCAATGTAAATGGCATTTAGACCATTTACATTCAAGGTTAATATTTACGTGCGAGGTTTTGATTCAATGGTGAAGTTGTTAGCTTTTTGCTTTGTAATTTCTATTGTGTTTTTGCTCCATACAGTCATAGGGTCTGTAGGCTATGTACTTAAGTATGTATTTCTGGCAGTAGGTATCATTCTTTGGTTTCCTTTTTTTTTTTTTTTTGAGATGGAGTCTCACTCTGTCGCCCAGGCTGGAGTAAAATGGCGTGATCTTGGCTCACTGCAATGTCTGCCTCCTGGGTTCGAGCAATTCTCCTGCCTCAGCCTCTCAAGTAGCTGGGATTACAGGCTTGTACCACCACACCTGGCTAATTTTTGTATTTTTAGTAGAGATGGGGTTTCACCATGTTGGCCAGGTGGTTTCAACGTATATAACTCCCTTCACGATCTCTTGTAAGGCTAGTATAGTGGTAACGAATTCCCTTAGCACTTTCTTGTCTGGAAAAGATTTTATTTCTCCTTTGCTCATGAAGCTTACTTTGGTGGGATATGAAATTCTTGGTTGGAATTTCTTTTCTTTGAGAATGCTGAAAATAGGCCCCAAGTCTCCTCTGGCTTATAAGGTTTCTGCTGAGTAGATATTATTCTTATGCTGTCCTTTAACTCTTTAGACATGAGTTCCTTTCTTTGAAAATATTCATATTGGCTGATTAAAACTATCTGTATAATAAGTCCAGTATCTGGACTTCCTCAATTTCTATTGACTTGTCTTTTCCTGTGGATGGCCCATACTTTCTGGTTTCTGTGTGCATCTCATAAGTTTTTTTGTTAAAAATTGGACTTTTTTTCTTTAAATTTTTTTAATTGAAATATGTCTCATACATAATATTTACCCTTTTAAAGTGTACATATAATTCAATGGATTTTAGTATATTCAGAAGGTTCTGGAGGCATCACCACTAATTCCAGAACACTTTCATCAACCCAAAAAGAAACCCCACACCTAGTAATTCAAAACTGGACATTTAAAATAATGTAATGTAGTTAACTCTGGAAATCAGACAAAGTCACATATCCCTTATCCAAAATGCTTAAGAACAAAGGTGTTTCAGATTTTGGATTTGTTTTGGATTTTGGAATATTTGCATATATATAAAGAGATATATTGGGGATGGGACCCAAGTCTAAATATGAAATTCATTTATGTTTCATATACAGCTGAAGGAAACAAAAATATTCCTCTATAAAGTACTGGGGATTTTAGTTAAAGTCTTTTAAAAGGTTTAAACACAGGGGTACACTCTGCCCCTGCTCTCTGCCTTTCCCACCTAAAGATAGGCCCCTGTATAATGCTTGCTTATCAACTGAGAAACAGAGCTCAGAAACAGTGCTACTAGAAGATCTGGAGCAGACTTTACTCTGCTTATAAATTTACTTTCCACATTTTCCTGCCTTTTGGAAGCCTTCTTTGTCTTGTCAGTATATAAGATTTATGGGTCTTTGTGAAAATACTGCCAGAGGCATTGAACCAGAGCAACTCCATCTTGAATAAGGGCTGCGTAAAATGAGGCTGAGACCTACTGGGCTGCATTCCCAGACGATTAAGGCATTCTAAATCACAAGATGAAATATGAGATCTGCACAAGATACAGGTCATAAAGACCTTGTTGATAAAACAGGTTGCAGTAAAGAAGCCGACTAAAACCTACCAAAACCAAGATGGCCATGAAGAGTGACCTTTGGTCATTCTCACTGCTACACTCTCACCAGTGCCAAGACAGTTTACAAATGCCATGGCAATGACAGGAAGTTCCCCTATATGGTCTAAAAAGGGGAGGCATGAATAATCCACTCCTTGTTTAGCATATCATCAAGAAATAACCATAAAAATGGGTAACCAGCAGCCCTTGTGGCTGCTCTGTCTATGGAGTAGCCATTCTTTTATTCCTCTACTTTCTTAACAAACTTGCTTTTGCTTTGCACTGTGGACTCTCCCTGAATTTTTTCTTGCCCAAGATCCAAGAACCTTCTCTTGGGGTCTGGATCAGGACCGCTTTCCTGTAACATCTTTCTGGCAACCACAAAGGGATGATACTGAAGAGACCCCCTAATCTCAACTGAAAATCATCTGCTTGCACCAATTTTGGCTGACTTTGGGTAAGTGGGGTGCATATACCTGGGTAAAGAATGGGATTGGGTTAGAGGCTCAACTTACAGGAGTTAGAGTCTCTCCTAAGACAGAGTGGGTTAGAGGCCCCTCTCGGTAAAGTCCCTTCTGGCTAAGGATGGGTTTGGCACTATGGGATGCTAACTGCTATTCTCTTTGGATTAATCTGTCTTGTACTCTTTGCTGACGGCTGTGGGTGACAGGATCAGGCATGTACGGGATCATGGGACATGGGGAGTGTCTTCTTCCCTAAAAGGGAAAACCTAAGAGCTGATGAAACTGCTGGAAAAGATCCCTTCATGACCAACAAGTGGCTGCCTGAATGTTAGAGCAACAGGGGGATCTTTCTCTGGTCTCGCTGAGCTCTTCGCCTTCCCCACCCTGCCTCAGGAAATGCTTTCTCTCTGTCTCTCTCTATGCTAACCAGTTGAATTAATGGTAAAAATAACTTTTTATCTCCTCTGTAAAGTTCTGATTAATGGAAAAAGGATTTGAGAGGCTAGTGTTAAGCTGTAGCAAATCTGGTGTGCTTTGTGCATTTTTCTGTATTGTTCTGTCATAAAGAGGGGTACCTTAGGATACAGCATGGGCTTTTCAAGATGGCCCAACAAACTGGTCAGTTACAAACTTTGCTGCAGGTCCCTGAAAAAAACTGGATGAGGTTTCCAAGTATGTCCTTGGGAGCTTGACCTTGTAACTATGTGGCTGTGCTTTCTCTTTTCACAATGGTGGCCTGGGTTCAGGGTCCAATTCCTGGCTTAGAGAATGAGTCCTTTATCTTCTGTCTGTCAGTGTATTTATGTGTGTTGTGTGTGTGGTTATATATGAAAGAGCTTTGATTAATTGGCTTAAAAATAAGTGCTTAAATCAAATACGTTGTCAGAAAAGTAGAAAGTGTAATGCCTTTTACATTATGTGACTTTAGTAATCTTTGGGAAATAGAGACAGTTTTTAAAATTATCGGTAAAATCAAAATATCTTCCAAAATGTAAACATTTCTTCTAAATTATGCAGGTCAGATATTAAGTTTACTAAATGCTTTAAGGTCATAAACTGCTTCTTTGACTTTTAAAAATTGTTCAGTTTACCTACTTTGAAGCATTAGATTCTAGATAAGGCCTGGGGACATGTGGAATTAGCCATACCCCATAGCTATGCAAAGAAGTTTATAAAGAAAAGAGACTTTATGTAAGAAAGGATCTTATATGGTAAATTCTTGTCCTAAAGTAAAATAATTGGTTGTTTAAAAAAAGGGATGTTTAGGACTAGTCACAAAGTCAAAGTATGTCGTAGATAGTCTGTGTAGGTCACGCAATTCCCATAGCAGGGAATTTATGCAAGAAATGTATAATTTAAAGGTGATTAGGCCTCCTAAATGCTTCATAGAATACCACTATGATGCTTAACCGTACAACTTGCCTGCTTTACAGCTAGGTAAGGCTTGGGACACGTGAAGTTAGATGTTGGAAAGAGTCAGGACTTATCTGCACTTCTGTGGGTCCTAGGCTCCACACTAGTACATAATTAAAATGGCTTACTAACAAGGCTTTTCACCAGAAGTAAGAGTTGCTAAGAGTTAATAGTGTAACATGTATTTGAGACTATTAAAAAACAGTTTTACATGCAAGGTGTGTAAAGAAAGTGAAATGTGTTTTTGGTAAAAGATTATAAGAAGTCATAGGAATGTGGATTTTTTTATGCCTAAAGTGTTAAAGGATTGTTTTAAGTTAGATAAGGTAAAGCTGAAGATTTCAGCAAGTTGTGGAAGGTTTGTGAAAAATTAATTGTGAAAGAGATTCTGTGTGTGAACATATTGGCTGAAGTTAAAGGGGTATTACTCAGTTTTTCTGTAAATTGAACATTGGAATAAAAGGACAACAGGTTTTTCTTAAAGCAAAAACCTGCTTATAATCTGCTCTTTAATAAAAAATTGTAAAGGGTTATACAAGATTTATGAAAATCTTATCTTATGGTCAAATGGTTTAAGATTGGATAGATTTATTTATAAGGTTTTATTAAGAATTGGGTTTAATGGTAATAGTACACTAACACAAAGGTAAAATTTGCCTTATTTGGTATAGTAAAGTCATACAAGAAGCACTGACAAATATAATAAAACTTATTGTAGGTTATTAATAATTATAATTGTTACATAAAATCACTGTATGCCACAGAGGTAACCAAATTTGTCAATCATGTTTTTGGCTGTGGCTGTCCTAAAACCTTTTGTCATGCAAAAACAATTGTTTTCTTGTTTCAATCCTCTTCAAAAGGTGGTTTATAGTCAGCTGTAGAACTCCAACAGGTGTTCTTAAATGCAGTTTTCTGATAACTTTGGAAATTGTGACATTAGAATAGACGAAACAACTTTCAGAACTCTCATGGAGAACTGAAATGTTCATGAATATCAAACAGGAGAGAAGTTAACTGCATGGAGTAAACTAGTAGAAGTCTAAAGTGATCTTTTTAACTTTTAGGTTAAAATGTTGCTGATTCTTTGTTTTGTTTTTCAAAGACAAGAAAACAATTCTTTTAAGCTATTTACAGCTTTTAACAATTAGGTAAAGTATACTCCTATGAACACAATTTGGAGCATATTTGTTTACCTAGTTTCTCCAGAATTTGGAAACTACTTGTGAGTATTCTTAATTTATGGCAATATAGTTATTTGCATAAGTGCAATAAGAATCTGTTTTCTTTTGTAACAGGACATAATTGGAAAAACTGGTTATTTTACCAAGGCTTTGAGTGGAATGGTGTGTTTTCCTTTAAGGAATTAAACTTGACTTATAGAGCCAATAAAAGCCCCTTGGGAAAACTGGCCTTGTACCTTGTCTACACAGTCCCTGCAAAGGGTTCCTGACATGTCATAAGTAAAGAATGTCACTTTCTATCAGGCCTAGGAGAGCTAAGTTATCTTGGAACCTCAAGAGGAGAGGAATTTATTCAACTTATAGGTATTTGAGGGTACAAACCCATGGCAGGGCTCAGCTCTAAAAAAGTCTTGTCTAAGATTCCTTCTATGGAACAGAGTTACATCAATGCCAATTTAAAGAGAGCTTATGTGAAAAATAATTATTCTTGCTGCACTTTATACAAATAATCAGGCCAAGTAAAATGAAACAAATCAGTCTTACCATGATTTGTCTTAATAAAAATGGGAAACTGGAGAGAGAAAAATTATGTTTCAAGAACTATGGTACACTTGTTATTAAATTCTAGTCTCATCAGTTGTTTATGAGTTTATTTCCTGTAATTAAGACTAATCCTGCTTATCCCTGTGAACCAACTAGTGATCTCTGACTGCTGCTCAGAAGAAACAAGAGGCATGGGTAATGTAAAAATCTGGATCAATATTCTGGGCACATATTGAAATCATCTAGCAACCCCATATCAGCTTGTTTCCAACAGCTGCCCAGTTCATGGAAAGCCTTCTAATTTAGCTTACTTGGGATAATTTTACGTATTTTGCCTTACTATTGTGTAATATATTGCTGTTGTACTCTTTGTGTAGGAAAGAGGATGAGGTTACTCAATGTTTTCTTAAATTGAACACTTATTAATCTTCCAGATACCATCTTTTGTTGGAACTCAAAAGTTATGAATGTCCCTCACCGTACCAATGCTTTCTGACTGAGCTGTTTTATACCCCAAATACAAGAGACTCTAATAGTTAGGCAGGAACATCATCACCCCTATTCTGCCTGAAGTAGTTACAGAAGATAGATCTTCATCCCTCTGCAAACCTTGAAGTTAGGGTTGTCTTTTAAAAGGGAGGGGGGAAATGTCAGAGGCATTTGAACCAGAGCAAATCCATCTTGAATAAGGGTGGAGTAAAATGAGGCTGAGACCTACTGGGCTGCATTTCCAGATGGTTAAGGCATTCTAAGTCACAGGATGAAACAGGAGGTCAGCACAAGATACAGGTCATAAAGTCCTTGCTGATAAAACAGTTTGCAGTAAAGAAGCTGGCTAAAATCCACCAAAACCAAGATGGCCATGAAGAGTGACTTCTGGTCGTCCTCACTGCTACACTCCCACCAGTACCATGACAGTTTACAAATGCCATGGCAATGACAGGAAGTTCCCCTATATGGTCTAAAAAGGCGAGGCATGAATAATCTACTCCTTGTTTAGCATATCATCAAGAAATAACCATAAAAATGGGTAACCAGCAGCCCCTGTGGCTGCTCTGTCTATGGAGTAGCCATTCTTTTATTCCTCTACTTTCTTAATAAACTTGCTTTTGCTTTGTACTGTGGACTCACCCTGAATTTTTTCTTGCCCAAGACCCAAGAACCCTCTCTTGGGGTCTGGATCAGGACCCTTCTCCTGTAACAATACTATTTAAGCAAGGCCCCAGAACCACTGCCTTGAGAGGGAAATATTTTTGAACTGAGGCCTTTCCCTGTGATGGGTACAGCATGCATTACTAAACTTCTACTTGTTTTTCTTCTGTTAATCTTACTTTTGTTTTCAGGAGGGTGTCTCAATTAAGAACTTAAAAAAGAAAGGAAAAGAAATTATGTTTGCTCCCCTACATACTTTATGCACAGAGCCTGAAAGGAATTGTTTACAATACTTCGAATAATTTTGTGCATGAAACAAAGTTCTGATTGAGACCTGTCACATGAGGTCAACTGTGGAATTTTCCACTCATGGCATCATGTCAGTGCTCAACTTTCAAATTTTGGAACATTTCAAGTTTAGATTTTTATATTATGGATGCTCAACCTGTTCCCTGTGTATCCAGGGTTTGTTATTGCTGTTTTGTTGTTTTTACTGTTTGTTTAGTAACTTTCCTCGACAAATTCTGTAAATAAGTATTTCCTTTTATGACTGAAGTCCTACTCAGTTAACTTAGTGGTCAGCTAATGACTGAACAGAGATTTTCTTAAGTTCTTGGAACTAATAAGTCTCTAGCCTTAGCCAAGGGGTACTGTTAGCTGTGTGTTGGGGCACACTTTCAATGCTCCAGTACGACTTCCTGGTTGCAAGGTCAGCCAGAGGTGAGAAGTTAGGTTCCACTTAGGTCTTTCCTGAGCACACACAGCTCTGCCATGTGTATGGCCTTCCAGATCCCTTGTGATATGTTGGAGCTTTTTCAAAGCCCCCTGTGAATAACCCATTCCCAAGATCTTCCTTTTAAATATTTTGCCAGGCTCCCATTTGCCCCAACTGGTATTGCAGCCTCAGGCAGCCACATGTTAAATCATTGCTATTGGTTGTTTTTGACAAACACCCTAGGGATAAGTTTTACACCCCAGATCCCAAGCAATGAGCTGTGAATCAGATCAAATAATGACAACAACATCCTGTGAATGGAGCTTTCCCAGGGAGCTGAAAGACAGGTAAAATGTGACAATTCTAAGGAGATGTGCTTTTGGGGGAGCTCTAAATCCAGGTTATACCTCCAGTGGCTGTAAGGCTGCTCATTTGCACAGCTTCCATAATTGCAGAGCTGCTGTTTTCAAGATTTCTGCAGAGTGGGAGTGAGGAGTACAGGAATAGTGCAAGTTAAAATGTTACAACATTTTGCTATTCTTACCAAGATTCAGCAGTTTTTCTTGCATAAATCCTCCTTGGATTTTTTGCAAGCCTTTGGTTAATTTCCAGAGTTTAAAAAAAGTTGGTTTTTTTTTTTTTGTTGTTTTTGTTTTTTTGGCCACGTATTCTTAAGAGTGGATTTTTGGAAGGTTATTACTTCACCATTCTGGAAGTCTCCAACCTCTCAACCTGACCTAGAGCTGCAATTACCAGTTATGATGTATTAAAGTGAACTAAACATGGCCTGAGAAGGAGTCTGTACTTCAATATTTGAGTCCTTGTGGATGAACTGCAACCTAACTTGATAGGTGGACAAGATTAAAAACCTAATTTAGGAGTATGCACCTGTAACAATAGCTGAGTCTTGGCCAATCCCAGCAGTCATACTTCAACCACTCATATACAGCTGAGTGTTCAAACTGTGTTCAAAAAAGGCAAACGCCCAGCTGTAACCAACCCAGCTGTTTTTATGCCTTACTTCCGATTTCTGTATGTCACTTCCCTTTTTTGTCTATAAATTTGTTCTGACCACTAGGCATCACTGTAGTCTCTCTGAATCTGCTGTGATTCTGAAGGCTGCCCAGCTTGTGAATCATTCATTGCTCAATTAAACCCTTTAAATTTAATTTGGCTGAAGTTTTTCTTTTAACAGAGGCTTAGCAATGGAATTAAGGGGGTGGGGAGGCTGTCCTTTTGGTGAATTTTTTTTTTTTTTTTTTTTTACGGCTGCACCAAATGCTTTTCCAGAAGTTTTTGTCCTCTCTTTGAGCACTTGGAAAGCCTGTGCCCTTTGTAACCACCTGCCAGGCCTTGCAAGGTAGAAAGGCATCTACATTCAGAGAAACCTTCTGAGGCCCTCCTGATACAAAGATAATCCAAGGGGAGTCCCAATGTCAGCCTGAGATGAGAGGATCTTCCAGCCTCTTGGGACCTTCTCTCTGATCAGCTTTCTCAGCGAGGTTTCTCAGTGCCACTAGTCACTCTTCTCCTTGCCTTGATGGTGCCCCACCAATTGGTAGCTATCTTCTCACTTTTGGCCACTCCTCAGGCACTTTTTGTGTAGTTCATGATGCCCTAAGAGATTTTAAACTGTCTGTAACACTGGCAAGAGCTATATCTCTTCACTATTGAAAAATAAGGAAGTCTCAATGACTTTCACGAGAATATTCAGGAATTATAACTAAGGTCTGCAAGTCTGGCTTAGAAGCAACTGCCTTCAGAATGGCCAGTTATTGCTGGTGACCAGTGTGATAACTGATCAGTAGAAACTCCACACCCTTGGATGAGTCATGTTTCCAGGCTGATTACATCTCTTTCACAGCAAACGGCCTTCTCAGGAGAGCCAGCTTAGCATCTCACTGGAGCCAGACAGCCTTGGTATTAGAGTGATAGCATAAGGGATCCTTTCTGTTTGCTATAATAAGCCTCACTTCCTATAAAGAAAGAAGTGGAGAGATTTTGACTTTGCAAGACACTTCTAGAGAAAAATTGGCCCACACAGTAGAGGAGCAGAAGGAGAACAACTTGGATGTATGCATCAGACCTTGCCCCCTTGAAAATCCTGAACCAGAGAGTGTGGCAGATTACAGATGACTGCAAATTCATTGATATTCCTCCTGTTGAGAGGTAGGATCTATGACTGGCCTATTACATTTTGACCTTTAGAGCATGGTCAAAGTGATGCTATGCTAGTTTTAGGACTACAATTTAAAAGGACTGGTCACATCTGCTTTGGTTTTTTTTAGAGCCCTGAGTCACCATTTAAGAAGTCCGACTACCCTGCTGAAGAGATCACATGGAGGGGCTCTGAGACTACAGCCTGAGAGCTGTTCCCACCAAGGTGTCAGGCTTGTGACTGAAGCCATCTTGGATGTTCCAGACTGGCCCAGGTAGCAGCTTAGTACCATCAGGTGACTCTAGTTGGTGCCATATGGAACAGAAGAATCACCCAGCTGATCGCCCCTCAAATTCCTGACCCATGGTATCATGAGATAGAATAACTGTTTTAAGCTACTAAGTCTTGGATTAGTTTGTTATGCAGAGACAAATAACCAGAACAGGGAGCCAGTTGCCCTTCTGTGAGAGTCTGCCTTAGACATGAGCAAGGGACTAGAGGTAGACCCTGACTTTTCTGCAGCTGCATCTAGATGGGGCCCATATAACCCCTCTTAGGGTGTCCTGCTGGTGCATCACTTGATGGGGCTCCTAGGTGCCTGCTTAGTACACAAGCTGATCATACCCAGGTAGGAACCTCCCTTGTCCTCTTGGTGAATAGCAAATCTTGTGCTTATGACCAGCAAATATGTATCTAGAAGGGAAATTACTGAGTCACGGATATGTAAATTTCTAAACTTTTTGATACATACTGTCAAATTGTATTCCAGAAAGATTCCACCCTTTTCCAGTTCCTTCCAAAGTCTATGAGAGTGCTTACTCCCTGTCCCCTCAGTAACACTGGCTGTTATCAACTGTGTGGCAACTGTGATTTTATATGTAATGTCATCCATTTGCATGACCTTGTCAGAGGCCTTTACCAGAGCAACTCCATCTTGAATAGGAGCTGGATAAAATGAGGCTGAGACCTACTGGGCTGCATTCCCAGATGGTTAAGGCATTCTAAGTCACAGGATGAGACAGGAGGTCAGCACAAGATACAAGTCATAAAGAGCTTGCTGATAAAACAGGTTGTAGTAGGCCGGGTACGGTGGGTCATGCCTGTAATCCCAGCATTTTGGGAGGCCAAGGCAGGTGGATCATGAGGTCAGAATATTGAGACCATCCTGGCCAACATGGTGAAACCCCGTCTCTACTAAAAATACAAAAATTAGGTGGGTGTGGTGGCATGTGCCTGTAGTCCCAGCTACTCTGGAGGCTGAGGCAGGAGAATTGCTTGAACCTGGGAGGTGGAGGTTGCAGTGAGCAGAGATCATGCCACTGCACTCCAGCCTGGCGACAGAGCAAGACTCAGTATCCAACAACAACAACAACTATAAAAACTAGGTTGCAGTAAAGAAGCTGGCTAAAACCAACGAAAACCAAGATGGCCATGTGAGTGACCTCAGGTCATCCTCACTGCTACACTCCTATCAGTGCCATGACAGTTTACAAATGCCATGCCAACACCAGGAAGTTACCCTATATAAAAAGGGGAGTAACCCTCAGTTCTCAGAATTGCCCATCCTTTCCAAGAAAACTCATGAATAATCTACCCGTTGTTTAGCATATAATCAAGAAATAACCAAAAAAAAAATGGGCAACCAGCAGCCCTCAGGGCTGCTCTGCCTATGGAGTAGCCATTATTTTATTCCTTTACTTTCCTAATAAACTTGCTTTCACTTTACTTTATGGACTCCCCTGAATTCTTTCTTGTGTGAGATCCAAGAACCCTCTCTTGGGGTCTGGATCAGGACCACTTTCTGGTAACAACCTCAGTTTACTCATCTGTGTATTGAACATGCTTGGTGTAGGGTCTGGAACAAAGAGGGTTCACAACAAATATTTTTTGAATGTATAAGGACTCTAAAGGTTGCACAATCTATTCTTTCAGCTCAAAGTCCTGTCGCCTCTACATTTTTCTGTACACAGCCCACAAGTGCCTCAAGTTTATCATCACCTCCTTCACCTCCAACCCTTCACCTCCAAACCTGCTTCTCCCCATCCTGCCTTGTGTTCCTTATCTCACTGAATAGCAGGTCATCCCCTCAGTTAACCTAGCTAGAAACCTGGGAACCTACCTTTGCTGCTTTACCACTTCCTCTTACGCCCTCCCATTCAACCAATGATCACGTCCTGTCAATTCTGTCATCTTTCACCTATTCATTCATTCTAAAAATATTTATTGACCATCTATTATGTGCCAGGGATTGTTCTAAGTATCGGGGCTACAGAGAACAAAAGATATAAAAACCTCTGCCCTCAAAGAGTGTATACTTTAGTTGGGGAAGACAAACAATAATCAAATTAATGATTGAGTTATACAGAATGTCAAATGGCAATAAAAACTATGGAGAAAAATTAAGCAGAGAAAGTATAGGCTGTGGGGAAGGGGCTGCTGTTTTATTTATTTATTTATTTAATTTTTTGAGGCGGAGTCTTGCTCTGTCACCTGTCACCCAGGCTGGAGTGCAGTGGCGCAATCTCAGCTCACGGCAACTTCCACCCCCTGGGCTCAAGTGATTCTCCCGCCTCAGCCTCCTGAGTAGCTGGGATTACAGGCATGTGCCAATAAACCCAGCTAATTTTTGTATTTTTAGTAGAGATGGGGTTGTGCCACGTTGGCCAGGCTGCTCTCAAACCCCTGAGCTCAGGTGATTCACCTGCCTCAGCCTCCCAAAGTGCTAGGATTACAGGCATGAGCCACCATGCCTGGCCAGGGTTGCTGTTTTAAATAGGTGGTCAAGAAAGGAATCATTTAGAAGGAAAAATTAAAGCAGAGACCTAAAGGAGGTGAGGGAGCAATCATGCTTTTATTTATGTGTTTACAATTTTTTTAGAGACAGGGTCTCATTTCTGTTGCCCTCTGCAGTAGCACGATCATAGCTCAATTCAACCCCGAACTTCTGGGCTCAAGCAGTCCTTCTGCCTCAGCTTCCCAAGTAGCTGAGACTACAGGTGGGTACTACCATGCCTGGCTAATTTTTATATATATATATATTTTTAAGATAGGGTCTTGCTATGTTGCCTGGGCTGGTCTTGAACTCCTGGGCTCAAGCAACCCTGTCTCGGCCTCCCAAAAGAATGGGATTATGGGCATGAGACACTGCACCTGGCCATTGTTCTTTTAAGTATTTCCTGAATCTGTCCACCTCCCTCCATCCGTATTACTACCACCCTAGTTGAAGCCACTACCGTCATTCTCCTTGATCACTGACTAGTCTTCCTGCCATCTGCCTTCCAATCCATTATCCATCTTCCAGGGTGATATTTGTAAAGTCAAAACCCAATACTACTTACTTGCTTAAAACTCCTTAGTGGTTACACCAGATCCCTCAAGGTAAAAACAACAACAACAACAACAACAAACTTATTAATATCTCCTACTCGCCACTGAATTATTCTCCAACCTTATCTCCCCAAGTCCCCAGTTGTACTCACAACTACTTTTAGTCCCTTCAGTAAGCATGGAGCTGAACTTTTAAAAACCTTCTTAAGCTCCTTTTTTTCTCATTCCATCAAGAAAATAGTAGAATTTTGTTTTTGTTGTAGACTATTTTTTATTTGGGTTTGAGATACATTTTAGAGAACTTGGCTGCCTTTAAAAGAGCCATTCATTCAGAAAGGGTAGGTTTTGTGGCAGGATGAAACTTTCTAATCAGTAAGTTAAGAGCTAATCATGCAGATGAGGAATGTTTATAGCTGAACTAAGTCAGGGGCTGCAGCTATACATTATTAATAAGCTATGGGCTGGTAGCATGGCCCCAGCTATTAATAGCATAAGCTGGATGGACTCTAGATCTTGGCGTGATCAGAGTCCAAGGCTCTGTATCCTTGGAGAGGGAGCCTGTTTGGACTAGCATCCGGGGTTAGGTTTTGCGGGCAAGAGGGTGTTTCTGGTGAATGTGCTTAGCATCCTTGTGCTCTGAGGCAGGCTGGGACTGCACCTGGGTCCTGCCTTGCAAATTTGCATTGAAGTTTCCAAGTACATGTGGATGGCTCAGTGCAAACTCATGCCCACAACTAGGAAAGTGATGGTTAGTAGATGTCCTATTGTGGAGGACCAGAGGAACTGACACTGCATCTGAAGGGCAGGGCATTTATTAATGAGGGACAGGATAGCCCAACCGGGCAGCTCCCTGAGAAATGACATCCTTAAAGACCAGACTCAGGCACCTCCTTCCAGAACACACTCTCCAGAGGTGGCTGTGGCAAACCTTTCAAGGGCTGCCATCTAAACAGGAATAGTACTGGAGGGATGGTTAATCAGCATAAAAGGGGTAAGAAATGAATGCTGAAATTGTTCAAGACATGTGGTGGGCTGGTAAGACTTTATGGGCTTTAGCAACTTTTTGCAAATGACTTAAAAAAAAATAAGTAAACCTAGTATTTGACAGCTATGAAACAGCACTCTGGGTCCTCAAGCACCCAGAATGCATGCAGAACTCTGTCTCTAGATCAAACTAGAAGGTGGGTCTGATCCTGCTGACAGAACATAGTTGTGCTTGCCTCAGAGGAAACTTTCCAATAAGGTGCTGGACAGAGAAAAGGGACAGAGAGTGCTTCCTGAGCAGGTTGGAAGAGGATGTTTACGTTCTCTTGCTAATGAATGTTGTCTGTGGACTGCTTACTTTGTAGCACACTTCCTGCTAGCAAAGTTGAGGGGAGGAGTCACATTGCTTCCATCTCTGCTTATGGCAGAAGGCTACTGATGTTTACTAAAGGAATTTGGACAGCAGGAATGTCAAATTGCCCTAGATCAGTCCTCGATGGAGGGTGGGATGTGGGGCGAATGATGTAGCTACTCTTACTTCCCTTCTGAACTCTGTAGGTCTGGAACAGTGTGTAAGCATCTCAGGGGCATCCAGAAAACATGGAAATGAAAATCTAAGAAAATGATGACAGTTAATACAACTGCAAGATGCAAGAAGTTCTATATCCCCTATGAAAATAATTTAATGTTTGCTGTTATCATAGATGAGTGAATTGCTCTTTAACTGCCAAGAGGCCTAGTACCTTGTGCTTTATTAGTCTCTTAAAGCTAGCTGAATTAACAGCATTTAAGTGTTATGTTTCCTCATTTTAAGATTGCAACTTCAAATCTCATTCAAAACCATTAACATTTACATCCACTGGGACATCAGAGAAATACAAGGAACTCTAAGCTGTTGGGGAGGAGGGTAGAAAAATATATTCTTTTCCCCAATCTTTTTCATGTTTTGGTGATTGGGCCTACGTTGTTAGAGGGTAAACACTTACTGCTGAGGATGGGTAATAAATGGTACTGAAATAGAAAGTTCCTAAGGAAAAAGGGGCTGGTCCAGTGAGATAATTAGACATCAGGATTTTGGAGCAGGGATGTGTGGCAACTTGTAGGGGGTTTTAAGCTTTAATAACAGTTAATTATTATAGACAGCAGATTTATAATCTCTATAATATTATAGATATAATATTATATATAGTTAACTATTATAGTTTTTTTTCTGTTTATGTGTTGGATTTACATAGAAGCTTTCCTGTGAGTACTCAGAGACACTGAATTAAGACCTATGTATCTGAGCTCACTAATACTACAGGAGTTCAAATAAATGAAAAAGGGGGGTAAAGCAAAAGACATAAATAAACTGGGGGGATCCAGGATTGCTCACTGTGATGGTTGATGCAGGAAATTAAAGAAAAATCAAATTAAAAAGAAAGCAAAATAAGTTTTCCTGTATTAGGCTGACTTGTCCCAGAGGCAGCAACAGGCACAGCCAGATCCAGGAAAAGTCTTGATAATATTATCTAATGTGCTCTGGAGACTCTCCCAGCACTCCCTCAACATAAGGAGAAGAAAAACAAATTTTCCTTTGTTTTATGGAATGAGTTTATAGATTCCTATTCTCTGTAACTAGTGACTTCAAGTATTCTGTTTTATCTAAGAAGTACAATGAAGGTCATGAGGAGCCTGAGTAGGCCTGAACTACAGCTGCCTGGGCACCATAGTGAAGGTTACAGGATAAGCCTGTGCTCAGACAAACCTAGATAACAGACATCTGGGTTGCTTGGCAACAGTCATGTGCAATCCTGTCTTTGTCCTCCCTCTGTATCCCTGCTTTCATGCCCCTGTAAGCTTGCTTTAAGCTAGCCCACCCCCTTTTGTGAAGTGTGTATAAAATTCAGGTGCGGTCTTTGTTCTGGGCCCAATTTTTTGGAGGTGAGTCAGCTGGGCCTGAGCGCACTCAATAAAGATTCTCCTGTTTCAACCTGAGGTCTCTCTCGTCCTCCTGAATCCCGCAACAGTGGTTAGTTTTATATGTCAACTTGACTGAGCTAAGGGATGCCCAGATAGCTGGTAAGACATTATTTCTGGGTTTGTCTGTGAGGGTGTTTCTGGAAGGGCTTAGCATTTGAAGCAGTAGGCTGTGTAAAGATCTGTCCTCACCAATGTGGGTAAGCATCATCCAATTTGTTGAAGGCCCTGATAGAATAAAAAGGTGGAGGAAGGACAAGTCTTTCCTTCTTTCTTTGAGTTGGGACATCCATATTGTTCTGTCTGTAAACATTGGAGCTCTTGGTTCTTGAGCCTTTGTACTCTGAGACTTAGACCAGTCCCCCACCTTCAACTCCCCCACTGAAAGTTACACCACTGGCTCTACTCGTTTTCAGGCCTCCAGACCTGGGCTGAATTACATCACCAGCTTTCCTGATTCTTCAGCTTGCAGATGGCAGATTAGGGAACTTCTCAGTCTCCATAATCATGTGAGCCAACTCCCATAATTCTGTCTCCTCATCTCTCTCTCTCTTGCTCTGTTCTCTCTATTATACACACACACACACATATGCAGATCCTCAACTTATGATGGGTTTATCAGGATGTAAGTTATGGAGTGTTACTGAATGAATATTGCTTTTGAACCATTGTAAAGCCAAAAAATTTTACGTCCAACCATTGTAAGTCATTGATCATCTGTATATGTAATTCTAGGGGTGCAAAGATTCCATGTATCTGCTGAGTTCTAACAAGGTTAGCACAAAAAAGTGAAGAATATTTGTTGTTCATTTATTGAGATATACATATATATATATATATACAATTATAGATGATAGTTTTTTCTATGTTAGATATATATTTATATATTTTTTGTTTATATGTTGGATATGTACATATATGTTAAAGAGAGATATATATATATGCTATTGGTTCTATTTCTCTGGAAAACCCTGGCTAATACACTCCTTGAGTGAACAACACATACTTGTTGCTTCTGTCTTTTTTTTTGAGACAGAGTCTCGCTCTGTTCCCCAGGCTGGAGTGAAGTGGCGTGATCTCGGCTCACTGCAAGCTCCGCCTCCTAGGTTCACACCATTCTCCTGCCTCAGCGTCCCGAGTAGCTGGGACTACAGGTGCCTGCCACCACGCCCAGCTAATTTTTCTGTATTTTTAGTAGAGACGGGGTTTCACCGTGTTAGCCAGGATGGTCTTGATCTCCTGACCTCGTCATCCACCTGCCTCGGCCTCCCAAAGTGCTGGGATTACAGGTGTGAGCCACTGCGCCCAGCCTTGTTGCTTCTGTCTTTAGGACAGACATGTACTGACTGAGGACTTGTTGGGAAATCACTATCTTTTCTCATCCTTCAGCCTCTAAATTTGGCTCTTATTCTCAATCCTCCACTCAACTAGTTCTCTTTAAAGTCAAAATTTCATCCCTCATTGAAATTCCCTTGCTCTTTCTGCTCTCCTCACTGTGATCAGCCTCTTCGTTGTGTGTATCAGTCAGGATAGGGAGGGTTAGGCTGCAGTAACAAACAATCTCAAAATGTCAATGGCTTTAAACAACAAAGATGTATTTCTTACTTACCTCATATGTCCACTGCAGGTCAGCTGGGGCTCTGCTCTGCATCTTCCTCCCTCTGGAACCCTAGCTGAGTGAGTGGTCACTATCTGGAACATTGCTGGCCATTGTGACAGAGGGGGCACTGAGCTCTGGAGGGTTTCACACAGGTAATTAAATGGCTTTGGTTGGGAAGTGACACCCTTCTACTCATAACTTATTGGCCACCTAATCCCATGGTACCACCCAAACACAGAAGAGCCCTGATATGGTTTGGCTGTGTCCCCACCCAAATCTCATCTTGAGTTGTAGCCCCCATAATCCCCACGTGTGGTGGGAGGGACCCAGTAGGAGATGACTGAATCATGGGGGCAGTTTCCCCCACAATGTTCTGCGGTAGTGAATAAGTCTCATGAGATCTGATGGTTTTATAAGGGGTTTCCCCTTTCACTTGGCTCTCATTCTGTCTTACCTGCTGCCATCTAAGACAAGCCTTTTGCCTTCCACCATGATTGTGAGGTCTCCCAAGCCATGCGGAACTGTGAGTCCATTAAACCCCTTTTTCCTTATAAACTACTCAGTCTTGGGTATGTCTTTATCAGCTGTGTAAAAACGGACTAATACAGGCTCAGAAATGCAATCCTACTATATTCCTGGAAGAGGGAGAGCAAGATATATTGAGAACCTAATGAAAACCTCAGACCTGATTTCATATAATGCACTTATACACCATCACCCCAAATCACCCATGCTGTATGCATGTAATTCTAGAGGGTTCAAAGATCCCATGTATCTGCTGACTGCCAGCAAGGTAAGAAAAAAGAAGTCAAGAACATCCAAAATGTGCCAGGCCTCCTGCTAGGCAGGTTTGCCTTGGCTAGTTTTCATGACTGCACTGTGCTGATCCTCCTCATACTCCTGAGTTTTCTTTTGCTTCACTTTCTTTGCTTACTTTTTTTTTATACTGTGGAGGTTGACAAACTGCATACCTTCATCTCAGCCCTCACATTGATTCTCTAGCTCCACTTGTTTTTCAAGACCATGGTCCAGTTCCATTTTCCCAGTTAAGTTGTATTTGACTAACGATAGTCTACAATCATTATTCGTTTTACTGAGTTCCTCAGAAATGCTCCGTGAGCCTTCAGTGGTACACTGGCTTACGATACTCCATAGTGGATTCGTGTGTGTTGCCCTGTTCTTTCCATGCGACATTCATGTCTTTGAAGGCAGGACCTTGCCTCTATCCCTCCACTTGGCAGTCTAACAGCATGATTCACCTGGGGGCTCCCAAATGCAGGATCCTGGGAGTGGCAGTCGAGACCTGGATGCTGGTCCTGGCTCAGACATGAACTAGGCATCCCCACTCTCCTCTTGGGCCTCCTCCCTTTGCTCCTCTGGCTCCTTTGAAAAATGAGATGGTTGGGACGGAAGCTCTCTCAGGTTCTATCCATTTCTATGAATCCACAACAGGTGTTATTGAGAAAGTAATTGATGCCAACCCCCCACCCAAAATTAGGATAAAAGATTCCCACTGCCACCCTATAGGGTTACCTGGGGATTGCTCTTGAGTCCAGGCTCTCTTTATCCTCAGAAGTCTGGTTAACAAGCTTCTTGTTTCAGGGCAAAAGAAAAGAAAGGGGAGAAGAAGGGAGGGGAGGAGAGAGAGAAAACTTATCTTCACTCAGATAATCCCTCCAGCAGCCTATTGTTTTGAAAGGTCTAGGCCCAGGGAAGGAGGGTTTGCTCTCCCAGTGGCAGAAAGGAAAGAGACTCTGGGGTCAGGAGGAAAGAGGAGAGAACTGCCCAACCTGGAGTGTTGGGTCCCCCAAAGCTGAGAAGAGACAAGGGCTGTAGCATGCACGGTAGCTCCACGACATCCAGCTCACAGTGCCCACAGAGGGCAGGACCTCGTGTCAGGCAACTGTGAGGGATGCCTGTGGTGGATGGACACTGAGGCCTGGAGGTCCCCGGAACAAAGCCTGGGCACACTAGAAAAGACTCTGCCTGTGGAGGGCAGGGCCTGACGACAGCACCAGACAGTGTTTAGAGTCTTCACTGTGTCGCAGAAGGAGCCCGGGGAAAGAGTGATCAGGATGCCCTGATGACGTAGTGCTCACCCCGCTCTCCTGACCTGCTTCAGCAGCAGGGTGTTGGTGCAACCTGAAGGAGGGGAAGCCTCTCACCAAAACCCCCATCCCCTGCCTGTGAGTAAATCACAATGACTGGAGTCGGACTTCTGCTGAGAATGGTTAAGTGGGGGCTCCAAGCCAGATTTGATTTTTAAAAATTAAAAAAAAAAAGAATGTGACATTTTTCTCACCTCAATTTCATAGAGCAATTTGTGAACTTATTAGAAATCCATGGGCTGACATTCCTCAGCCAAGGTAGAAAGAGTAACAGCAAACTCAAACCTCAGGCAGAAGGCCATTACGTCTGTGAAGGTCTGGTCCCTAAAGGGTAGTGGAGCCTTCAGAGTTAATGAGATGCACATAATATGCTGGCAGGCAACGAGATGCAAAACCCTCGCTAATAGCTAAAATGGAAGCAGGCTTAAGGAAGCAGACACTGAGGGCAGTCGGCATGTGTGGGGAGGGGGCTGAAACAATCGTGTAAGATCAGAACGTCCAGTTTCTATGATGAGGATGGATGGTTCTGGGGGCCTTTAGGTGTCCACATACAGCAAGTAACAGTCTTGGGTCCACCCTGCCATAGCCTGGGGCCTTTCTTTGTTGTTTTTTTTTTTTTTTTTTTTTTTTTTTGAGAGGAAGTCTCTCTCTGTTGCCCAGGCTGGAGTGCAATGGCATGGTCTTGGCTCACTGCAACCTCCATCTCCCAGGTTCAAGCGATTCTCCTGTCTCAGCCTCCTGAGTAGCTGGGATTATAAGCACCCGCCACTATGCCCGGCTAACTTTTTGTATTTTTAGTAGACATGGGGTTTCACCATGTTGGCCAGGCTGGTCTCAAACTCCTGACCTCAAGTGATCCACCTGCCTCGGCCTCCCAAAGTGCCAGGATTACAGGCATGAGCTACCATGCCCAGCCTAGCCTGGGCCTTTCTAACCAAGAAGCGCTGTAAGCGGGGCTGCACTCTTACACTTCAACACAGCAGGCTTTCTTGATAGTGTGTCTGAAACTCCTCAAAGAAACAGACAGGATATTATTTGTTATGTATATATAATACTAATGACATGCCAGGCACTGAATGCCTCTGTTGGACAGGAGCTATTAGTATCACTGTTATCCCATTTCAAAGATGAGGCAACAGAGGGCATTTTTAAGCACTTGTAACCACATCAAACCACCTGCAAAGTTGATGGTCTTCAGGACACGCTACTCCCAAATCTGGCACCTTAGCATAGCGAACAGTTTAAGCAGAAGGAATTTGAGAAACAGCATGTTCAGGAAGGTTTCTCTGACCTCCCCTGGCCATTCCTCTTCTTTCCCCTCTGCAGCAGGTCCTAAAACCTAGGAAGACTTTTCTGACCTTCCCCTGAAGCAGGCCTAAGACCCTCCTGTGAGAGACCAGGCTGGGCGATACAGCGAGACCCTGCCTCGAAAACACCATCACCACCACCACCACAAACAGCAGCAAAACCCCACCCAGGTTTAATTACTTCTTCAGGTCTTCATTTTTTTTCATGTATAACTTACATTAAATAAATTAGTATGCTTTCTTCTTCTTAATCTGTCTTTTGTTACAGGGGTTCCAGACAATGAACCTAAGATAGATAGAAGGAAAAGATAAGTTGCCTCCCCTATGAAGGCTAAGGCAACATGTTGAGCCAAGATACACCAGATTCTAGAACCTGAGCATTTAGCTTCAACCTCTTGGGGTTATCTCCAGCCTCCAACTGGTGGGGGGTCAGCCCCTGAACCAAAGGTTTGTGTTTCCAAGATTTCTGTCAATGTACTGGTCACAGGGATGGGCTCAGGCAGCTGTGGGTGGAGGAGAAGCAGAGAGGAGAGTGGGCAATGGTGGCCCCAAATGTGGTCCAGAAATGGTTCCTGCTGGAGGTTACAGGAGAGGACAGGGTGAATGGATGAGTCAGACTACCAGTATCACTTGGGGCTCAAATATAGCATGTGAGAGTCCCTGCCTTTGCCACACTAGACAAGGGGGTTTGGCTCAAAATAGCACAGAGGGGGGTTCTGTAGCAGTGAGAGAAATCTAGCATAGTTGACTCCATCTTGCTTCTAACCCCCAAGCAAACTGCCTTTGCTCATTCCTGCATGTAGGCCCAGCTAACTATGGGAGGAATTTAGTGTATAGCTTAACTTTAAAGCAAGGATGATAATAGGGCCTTCCCCAAACTAACCCCTGAGGAGATAAGAAGGGCATACACCCAAGAACAATGTTATGCTAAAGACTTGTAGGAGTGCTGTGACCTGAACAAAGAAAAAGAAGTTATGAAACTCCCTCAGACTCTTGCTGACACCCAGATGTCTGTGGTCACCTGTCACCTCCTGACCTTAACCCCCTCCTTGTTCCCTTTACCCAATATAAAAAGAAGCTTGAGATTCATACCTTTGAAGATGGTCCTTTAGGACACCAGTCTGCCATCTTCTCAGTTTGCTGGCTTCCTGAAATAAAGTCACTTTCCTTTATTTGGAAAGAATAGTTGAGTATGTCTTGTCTTATTGGCTGTTGTGAGACGAGTGGTATGAGCTTTGGATTTGGCTACGGTTCCAGAATGAACTCTGGTGTTGGGCAGAGCTGGCTCACTTACCAGATCTGGTGCAAAGCCCTTAATCCGAGCCTTAGTTTCCTCTGTAAAGTAGGGATGATAATAATATACATCTTGTAGGATTATTGTGAGGATTAAATGAAATAATGTGGTAAAGCATTTAGCACAGCACCTGATACACATGAAGTGTTCCATAAATGGTGTCTAGAATAACGTAGTAGCAATCATAAAATAAAAACAACCACAAAAACCAGCTACTAATGGTTTCCTGATCTCTCTCACACAGTAAATAAATCCTTGTGTGAAAGAAAACTTGAGCTGGTGATAATTAAATCAGTTTGGGATGAGAAGATTGCTGGGTTTTCTGTTTGGAATCAGGTTCCTGCTAGAGTATCTATTGCAAAGTCAGCAGGAATCTGAGGTCACCTTTCTAAATGAGATCAAGGAAAATGGGAACTGCACTCACCCGAAAACACCTAAGTTCCTTTTATTTTTTTTCCAGTTATTTGTACACACATAAGTGGTCACATACATCTTAATAGTATGCATGTGGCTTTTACAAGTCATTGCGTTCTTAGGTTCCCAGGGACTCTTGCTCCAGGTGTGTAAATGTCCTGGCAATATTTTTAATTACAGACGCGTCTTTGGCCCAGACATGTTAAAGCAGCCTCTCCTCACATGGTGTACGTTTCATCACACTCACACCTACCTCCATTAGCAGAAATTCTTTCCTGGTGTTTGCGTCTTAGTTCACTTTTAAAGAAATTTCCAGCTCAGTTCCAATGGCTTTTGCATCTCATTACACTCTTGATAAGTAGCTCTATCTCATTACACCCCAGTCCAGTTGGAATAGGATTAGTTGTTTTCAGGTGTAAACCTGTGGTGTGCATCTTACTACACCTCTTCAAAATTCCAGGCAGGCCTTCCGCCTGCGCCAAATTAGGACAACTACTTCCAGCTGCGCAGTTCATTACACCCTCCATTTCAGGAAAAACCTCTGCTGTATTTCACATCTGGTCACACGCTTATTAATTATGTACTTCTTATAACAACTGTGCCTAATTAGGACAGGGTTGACACCTTGCCGAGCCTAGTGATTCTTTATGTTTTCTTGTTCGTGGTACCTCATTACCCTCCCTCCAAATTATGTCCAATTTGTTTTACATTCCTGCCACATTAAGACAATCGCTCTCAGGTGTAGGTATTTCAGCACCCACTTTGCTTTCCAAGCAAAATTGTGTTGACCAGGACTCTCCTTGTTTTCACATCCTGCTAGAGGGACAGCCCCTTGGCTGGTCTTCTGATCACATCTGCCCTGAATGAAATGACTCTGGCTTGGAGCTGGCCCCTGGTCTCTCTCATTGGTTACTGTGAAATTTCTGTGCCCTGGTCCTAGGGAGGCAGCCACAGCTACACACCAAAGTAAGAATCCTGAATTCAATGGCCTCAGTCCATTCATAAAGGCTGTGGGGTGGGAATCCATTAGTTCCATCAAGAAATGGTAAAGGGGCCAGGTGTGGTGGCTCATGCCTGTAGTCCCAGCGCTTTGGGAGGCTGAGCCCCAGGGGTTTGAGACCAGCCTGGCCAACATGGTGAAATCCCATCTGTACTAAAAATACAAAAATTATCTGGGCATGGTCTGTAGTTCCAGCTACTTGAGAGGCAGAGGTGTGAGAATCGCTTGAACCCAGGAGGCAGAGGTTGCAGTGAGCTGAAATGGTGCCAATGCACTCCAGCCGGGGCAACAGAGTGAGACCTTGTCTCAAAGAAGAAGAAAGAAGAAAGGAGAAGAAGGAGGAGAAGAGGATGGAGGAGGAAGGAGAAGGAGGAGGAGCAGGAGAAGGAGGAGGAGAAGAGGAGGAAGGAGGAAGGAGAAGTAGGGGGAGAAGAGGCGGAGAAGGAGGAGAAGAGGGAGGAGGAAGAAGGAGAAGGAGGAGGAGAAGGAGGAGAAGGAGGGGGAGAAGGAAGAAAGGAGGAGGAGGAGAATGAGGGGGAGAAGGAGGAGGAGAAGAGGAGGGAGGAAGTAGGAGAATAAGGAGAATAAGGAGAAGAAGAAGGAGAAGAAGAAGAAGAACTGGTAAAGGGTGAACTGCTAGGTGTGCTAGCTAGTGGGGCACAGTGGATCGTGAGAGTCCTAAGCTTCCAGAGAAGCAAAGCTCAGAAGAGAGTGCACAGAGTCAGGCTGAAATTTGAGCTGTCTTCCTAAATGAAAGGGTGGTCACAGAGAATCGAGAGGGGAAATATGGACTCTGGGAAGGGTAGATCAGAGAGGAGTTGTAAGAAGCCAGTGGAAGTATAAGCTTTGTGTCACAAGGGGCTGTTTCTTTTGCCTGTCATTGCCCGACTCCCATATCAACCTGAGCTGTAACAGGCAATTCTATTTGACTGACTGAATGAATGCATTAGTGCTACGAAATTCACGGATATGACTTGACAGTAAGTAGCATTAGGGTTTGGTTGCCAATTCAAGTTGTCTGTATTGGAGTTTTTCCTCCCAAGCTATTTGAAACATAAATAAGGACCGTCGGGCTCAGAAAACATTCAGACAAGAATAAAGTCTTGGAGAGAGGGTGGGGCTTCTTGGAATGGGGTTACTCTGCAGAGGGCAGTAACTGCTGGAAGAGGATCCCACCAGATTAGTAGTAATGTAATAGAAGTAATAGTACCTAAGGATGGGCAAGATACAGCCCCTATATTAGTCCATTTTCATACTGCTATGAAGAAATACCTGACACTGGGTAATTTATAATGAAAAAGAGGTTTAATGGACTCACAGTTCCACATGGCTGGGGAGGCCTCACAATCATGGCGAAAGGTGAAGGAGGAGCAAAGTCACGTCTTACATGGCAGTAGGCAAGGAGAAATGTGTGGGAGAACTGCCCTTTATAAAACCATTGGATGCTGTGACACTAATTCACTATCATGTGAACAGCACTGGAAAAACTCACCCCCATGATTCATTAACCTCCTACCAGGTCCCTCCCCTGACACGTGGGATTATGGGAGCTGCAATTCAAGATGATATTTGGGTGGGGACACAGCCAAACTGTATCAGCTCCTTTCCTCAAGTAGGTCAGAAACAAGGAGGAAAGGTCATGAAAAGCAGAGGCTTTTCACAAGGTTTCCAGTGTGGTGTCAAGAGTTTCAAGAGGATGGGTTTCAAGAGTATGGGCTGTAGCAGCTCAGGCCTGGTCTTACCACTAAACTTGAGCTGATCTGGACATACTAAAAAATAAACTTGTCTTTCAGAGCCTGGAAGCAGGACTTGTCCTTAACCAGCAAGAGCAACCTGAGGAACCAATCCTTGTCTAATTATTGGGATGAAATCAGTGTGGAGGGGGAAAATGTTCTAGTTGGGCAGTAAGATTTCAAAGCCCTACTGTGAGGTAGGAATAAAAACACCGCCTAGGATGAGAGACCCTGAAAGAACCTGTATTAATAGAGCAGGTAGAAAGAAGTGCTTGTGGGGTAAGGGGCACAATATCACCCAAAGAGTAGTTTCATTTATAAATTGGAAGGTATACTGACAGGCAATAATATATAGCTAAAAGTAACCAAAAATATAGAAGAAACCACCACCAGCACTTCCAAGAACACAATTGCCTGTGTGTGTGTGTGTGTGTGTGTGTGTGTGTGTGTGTATATATATATATAAGAGTTGGGTCCTAGCTGATGAACTACCTCTTTTTCAAGGAATTTATTCCAACGAAGGCTAACTTGAAAGAGATTCTTTCAGTAGTTTCTGGGCCCTTGGGTATGGAAGAGAGGAAAGTAATATTTATGATAAGGGTTGCTGTGAGGACTAAATGGGAACACATGCTAAGTACCAGAGAGTAGATAACAGTGTTAGAAGGAAGTGCTCTCTGGGAGCTGCTGTTCTGAGAACCAAGTTGGATGACATCACTCCAAAGCCTTCCTTCTTCATGGTCATGTTGATTTCCCATCTCAGGACCCCTCCTACTCCCGTGGGCCTACTCCATGGCACAGTGACTAGTGATGCAGGCAGCAGTCCACACATCCCTCCCATTTGTACCTCTGTATAAGAATGAGAAAACGGTTTGCTTTGTTTCCAGCACCCCTTCTGGTAAGGCGTATTTCGTTGGCCTTTTTTTTTTTTTTTTTTTTTTTTTGAGACAGAGTGTCGCTCTGTCGCCTAGGCTGGAGTGCAATGGTGTGATCTGGGCTCACTGCAACTTCCACCTCCCAGGTTCAAGCGATTCTCCTGCCTCAGCCTCCTGAGTAGCTGGGATTACAGGTGTGCACCACCACACCAGCTAATTTTTGTATTTTTAGTAGAGATGGGGTTTCACTATGTTGGCCAGGCTGGTCTCGAACTCCTGACCTCCTGATCTGCCTGCCTCAGCCTCCCAAAGTGCTGGGATTACAGGTGTGAGCCACCATGCCTGACCTTTGTTGGCCTTCTTATCTGCAATAGCACACTTAGGGAGAGGTCTTCACACAAGAACATTACGTAACTGTGTATGTGTTTCGTGGGCCCTGTCCTTGGCAGACCCTGGCTCTCTCTAGCACTTTCTGGTTGGTCAAGGCTGTAAACAGCACAACAGCCTCACAAAATACTCCTAAGTAGGACCAAAATGTGGAAATCTTCACTGTGTCCCAAATGCATATAGGTTGTGAGGTAGCCATTGACCACCCACTGAGTGTGTCACTGGCTGTTCTTTACCTGTGGAAGAATAAAGACTGATGTGCCAACCTTCAAAGAAACTTGGATGTCCTAAATGTCTTGGAAGAGTCCCACAGTCCCTTTCCTGTGCAGAATTGCCATTTTCAGTCCCGTCATTGTAAGCAAAGCAGAGATTTCACTTTCCTAAATGTTGCCCCTGAAACAGCTCATCTGCCATTTTTTGGTTGGTTCTCAGGGCTCTTGACATTCTGCTCAATCCAAACCCATGTTTCTTTTTTAGCGGAGCTTTCCACTACTTCCAAGAAAATTAGTCTGAGCACTCTCAGTCTCACCCTGGCTCTGCTGCCATCACTGTCACCACTCCGGGTTCTCCGCCTGGAGTGGACAGGAAGAAAAAGGAAAGGTACAGAATCAATGCTGGGGGTCACGGCCATGAAGCAGCAGCTTAGGCAACCCTAATCTCCTCTCATCCCCCCTTCTTCCACTCCTGCTTCTAGGGTAGACTATTTCTCATGATATCGTTTAGGGCAGTATGTTTTTCCACAGTTGTCTCCTACAGAGATTCAACTTCTTCCCAGTCAGGCCCTTGGAGCCAGACAGATTGACTACATTCTTTCCCACCAGAATCCCCTGGAACCTCCAGCTGCCCACTGAATCCCCTTCCCGGCAGCCCCACTGCCTGACCTGATTCTGACCCAGCCCTGAGTTTGAGCTGTTGGGATTTTTGGCTCCAGTCCAGTTCCCACACTCTTAGATAATAAGGGTGTCCTCTTCATCTATCCATTTGCCCTTGTGTGTGGTAGCATGGAGCACATATTAGGCTTCTGGGGAATATTTGCTGAATAAAGAACACAAGAAAAATAACATGAAACATTTAAGCTTCTCAAAACACTTTTTAATTCTCCATTTTTCCCATCAAGACCAAAGTTGTACAAACAGGTACAAAATCCCCCACCTTCAGGGTGTGAGGCATCACTGTGTGTGGTCAAAGTCCCATCTCCTCCCCTTTCCCTTTCCACGAGTTTTCAAGATGTGGCCCAGTCAGTGCATTGCTGCCTTCTATGACCTATGAACCATGGGCAGCAAGAGGACTGGTGACCGGGGGACATGGTGAGGTCCAGTGTGCCAGGAACATGGTAAGTGCCCACATTGCGGGGGAGGGAACAATTCAGAGACAGGCTCAGCTGGAGGCCGCACAGAGGAGAAATGTCACTCTGTCCCATCTTCCCTGCATTCAGCTGAGCTCAGACCAAGTGAGCACCTAAGAATCATTTACCCCCAAAGGATGTTTCAAGTGAGATGCAATGTTCTCTAACCATTATTCTCTCAGAAATTAGGGGTGGCGGGGCGGGAATCAAGCAGATGTTTGAATTGCCTTTCATTCCTCCATAGTTGTCTAATTGTCTGGCTCTTGGTTTTTATACAGCAGAAATAAAACAAAATGGCAATAAACCAACCTACAACCTGTGTACAAGATACAGCATACAAAACTGTCCCAGGGACTGGGATCAAAAGACTTCTATTCCTAGCCCTAAATTAGAGGTTCTGTTTTGGTTAGGGAAGTTTGTTGTAAACAGCAGCTGAGAAGCCATTTATTTGATTTTGGCAATAGAGACAGACAGCAATGCACATACACTTATTTCATTGAACTGTAAACGGATAAGGTCAGGAGAGGAAAAACCCTACTGTTTATGTAATAGAACCCTACTAAATGGTTTTGGAAGGGACTAAAAGTTAGGTAGCAGCCTACTTTCCTACTTTCCAAGGCTGGAATTATATATATATTGAGTAATAAATCAAATATTAGTAATCCATCCACTTGTTTTTCAGAGTCCAACAATTTGATACCACCTTCCTCCCTATCCCACCCTAGTCCCGTTAGATTTGACTGCATTAAAGTAGTTGTTCAACCAAAACACTCTGTACTGTCGCCTTCCTTTAGCATTTATATGAAAAGCCAAAACCAGAGAGAAAGAATCCTTACACCTCCTCTCCACTAAAGTATCACTGTAGAGAAAACTAAGCTCAGAATATACTCAATAACATACCAAGGAAAAAAGTGAGTGTGACTGAGGGGACCCCCGTCACCAACCGCAGTACGCCCTGCTAAACGGTAGTTATCTTCTTGTCCTTGGTGGCTTGCTTGATGGCAGCCTGCTCGCAGATGATCTCTTTGAGCCTCTGCAGCCTCGTGTTCTGGGTGGTCAGTTCCCCCACCCCAGTCTGGCTGCGGTGCAGCAGGGTCAGAGCGTGGATGTACTCCAGCTCCGTGTACTTCACACCCTGGTCCACCACCAGGTTCAGGAGCTCGTCAGCTGTGTTGTAAAGCATCTCGTAGTACTGCCTGAGAAAGCAAGAGAGAACACTGCTCACTGGCTCCCCACTGGTAACGTCGTCTCGAGGGGACAAATACGCTGTCTATACATTGATTCCTCTACTTACTTCATAACGATTGATCAGCAGGCAGTGTTCTAGGCCCCACCAACAGAATAAAGAACAGGACAACCATAAGCTCTGTCCTTTGGAGCTCATGGGAGCTCTCTTCAGGAGAAGTCTAAGTGAGGACCCAGGGAGGCCGCATACCTTTCTGTGGCTCAGCTCATTCTACATTTTTTTGCTAATTTTGCATTTACCTTGGGAGAAAGGAAAGAAAAGTAGGGGTATAGCCTGAAGAAGGAGAGAAGGCATTGTTAACAGGTTTTGTCTCATTCAATCCCTCATTCATTCATTATTCATTGGAGGTTTTGTAAAATACTGTACATGGTTTTCTGCTCCATAAAGTGGGTTAATAATAGTACCTACCTCTTGGGGTTATTGAAATAGTTGAATTAATTAATACGTATAAAGCACTCAGAATGGTGGTGCTTCATAAAGATTATTATTATTAGAACTATAATGATGCTAATGTGTGACAGTAATGTAATAAAATTAATAGTAGTATATAAGGATGGGCAAGACACAGCCCCTTTCCTCAAGTAGCTCGGAGACAAGGAGGAAAGGTCCTGAAAAGCAGAGACATAAGGATTCCAGTGCTGTTGACCAAGTTCATTCCCGAGCACTGTGCCACTTACCCCTCACTCCACCCAGGGGCTACACCTCCCTTTTCCCAGATACAAAGACGAAAGCACAGAGAAGTTAGAGGGCTTGCCCACATCACAAAGACAGGGACTGACCATGCCAGGATCTGACCCCAGGTTTCTGACTCTAAGTTCAAGACTGTTTTTTCACGGACACTTGACAACTCACAAGAATATTCTGTGTGCCATAAGTGAGGTCCTAGTACCGTGCGTTAATAGCAGAGGAGGAGAAATCGCACCATGCTGAGGGGATGGTGTGGGACTGAGGAAGACTTCCTGTGGGGTAAGATTCTGTCAGGCAGGGCTTCCAGGAAAGAAATTCTAGTTGGAGGGAAGAGCATGAGCAAAGGCATGGAAGAATAATCTGGTTAGACTGGGGAGTGCAGAGCAATAGCAGAGAGTCCTGGGATGAGGCATTTGAAGCCACAGGGTAGAGCCTCTGAACATCAGGCTATGATTTTAGACCTAGTTAAGCCAATAAAGGACTTCCTTCTTCCAGAGAGCAGAGGTGCCATTCAAAATTGTGCTTCTGGAAGATTACTGTGACAATCAAACGCAGAATGGTCTGGCAGGGCATTGGTTACAATTCTAGCAGAAAGAGGAGACTTGAGAGCCACTTAACGGCAAGGCCATTGGCCTGGCTCTGTCCTTTGGTGGAGGAAGACTTGTGCCTGTAATAGAAATATGCATTATAGGGATTCTTCAATGCAGCAGGAAGATGAAGGTGGGAGTCAGGAAGGGGAGAAGATGACCACTCACCATTCTTTAAACCAATACTATGCCACTGCTATCTCTCAGTCTACTGGACTCTGAAGCTGTGACTTCCATGGCCACTCCAAATTACCCAGGAGGTCAAGTTCAACACAGACTCTGAGCCAGGAAGGCTTATCACAGCTTGTCAGCAAAATGAAGAGTGTTACTCACTTCTCTCTGACGTGAAAGGTAACTTTGCCAAGATCGAGGGGACAGAACCAGGCAGTGCACTCAAGGCAACTCTTGGAGACGAAGCAATCTTCCAGACCTAGCAGGATGAGTGGCTCAGAAATCCTGTATTATTAGACTCAGGGCCGTGAATTTGTTTCTTTCTCATCAGGAACATTTTGAAAAAAAGAACCTCCTATGGGGAAATGAAGCTATCTTTGTGGTAAGAAATACATTCTAGGAGCTCCATAATTTCAGGCCTGTTTTATTGAATTGCTGGTACAAGGGGAATGTGGTCAGGAAGAGTTGTGGTGTCTTTTCACACGGTTAGCTTCTTTTCCTCCTGCTAAGCCTCCTTTTCTAACTAACACACTCTTTTAAAAATAGGGGAGAGAATAATCTTTTGTGAATATACTCTAAATAGTGGCAGAAATGGAAAGTGCTCTTTGTAGATTGGTAAGTTAATGAAGCTCTCCTGCAAGCAAATCAGTCAGCATCCTTGTGTACAGGGGGCTAATTTTCTATAGTGGTTTTAAACGAGTGTTCATTTTGGCATCACAGAACCAGACACATAGCAATCACTGGTCCAGGGTGACCCTGAATATAGACAGAAATACTTGGTAGAAGGGGAGATAAAACTCCACTTCCAGGGGTGTGAGACCCCAGTGCCAGATCAGTAAATCTTTTGAAGTTTCATGTTTAGCATAAAACTCACGTGAACTTTGCATTCTACTCCTTAATGTATCTGCTGTAATTTAAACACACTGTTTCTAAGAAAAACTTGATGCTGCAGGAAGAAGCATCATATTAATATTTATCCTACAGCTCTGCATGTCCCCTGGCTCTCACTGATATTGGCCCCTATTTTGGGAAATGATGCCCTATGTCATCTAATTCTGTTTCCTGTAGATGCACAGGTGATGGAGGGAGTTGTCTATTAATGGAACTTCCTAAGAATATACATTTTTAAAATTGCCCAAGAAGAGCTCATGCGTGCATCGAGATTTACCAAATGAAATGAGAGTGAATCTGGGGCTCACGATTCTTTCAAAGCTAGAAGGAACTTGAAAGCTGCGATTTCTAGACTCGCAGTTCTTGAACTTTAGGGTACCTAAGAATTACCTTGGGGCGCCTATGAAAAGTGCAGATTCCTGAGGCCCCATCCCCAGATATGTGCTTCTTAAAGGTTCTGAACCAGCCACGACTCAGTCAGAGTCTGTTTGGTAGACCAACAGTTACAGAACCACTGTCTCCTTCAACCAAGGACCTAAACGCATCAGAGAAGGCTACAGAAGCAATAAAAGGTTTGTGATGCTTTTCACTGAGATTAAACCAAAAGAACTGGATTTCTTTGTATTAGGATGTTGATATTTTTATCATTTATCTTAAGAAGCAACACTGAGCCCATCATGCCAGATGAAATTGGATTTCTTTTGAAAAATCTGATGAATTGTTTCCAGGGATACTGGCTGGTTTTCTACAGAGGCCATTGTTCCACGCTGGGAGCAAACAACAAAACAAAGATGCCTGCATTTCTACTCTTGGATCTTCCACAGTGTGATGAGTGATAAAGGGCATGCCACTTAAGTCCTTAATGTTTCAATATCCTCTGTGCAATGAAGACCTTTATAAATCCCGGAATGACAGTCTGAAGTGGACTGAGAGACTAAAAGAGTCCTCAAGAGCTTCGTATGAACAGTGCCCCTGAATTGCAAAGCTGAGTTATTCAACAAAATTGACAGGTAATTGATGGTGTATTTTCTATAGTTAGAGAGAAAAAATTCCTCCATAACCATGCTGATATATTAGATCATAAAGAATCATAAATATTTAAAGACAGAAGGAAATTCATTTATCTTTCAGAATGGTACCCAGGAGCAAAGATGACTAAACTGACACAGCAACAGTTTCACCTGGAGGTGGGGAAAGGGTGCTACCAGGTGTCCTAAAGAGAAAATAGAAAAATGCCCCAAACTATACCATTAGAATGAGCTTCCATGATAAACACTGTCAGACTGAAATGAAATCATGTCACCCAATAGGGATAAATAATTTATCAGCACTTATTGAGGCCCCAGGAAATTGAAAGCTTGGTCTTCATCATCGAGCATTAAAATAGCAGCCGTGGCTTCCAGGGCAACACATTTTCCATTTGATGACACTTTGCTGGGGCTGCCTGGATGGGATCAGTGAATGCACATTTGATTGAGACATTTTCTGGCTCATGGTTTGTAGCCCTTCACAGACTCTTCATAGCCTACAATATTCAGCAGTCAATTGCTAGATGTACACCAAATATCTTATTCTGGAGACCAAAGAGTTTCAAGTCACCCTGCTGGATGGAACATTCTGGAAGGAGATGTGCACCTTGCTGTGGCTTCTCCTACCCTTTGCTGTGTGCCTTTTTGCAGCAGTTCCCAAAGTATTATAAGCAGATAGGTGAGGGAGTAGAGTGACAGAGAAGAGGAGGTGTGACTTCACAGACTGGTCTCATGTGCAGAGTCTAGAACATAACAATGTTTATGCTTTGTTCTGGTGCAAACAGATCATTTTCTCTTATCTTCCTCATGTTTGCTTTATCAACAGACTGTTCTCTGTGGCTTTTTCTTTTGTGCTTTATTTTAATGGTATTGCACTGCGACTCTTTCTCCCCCATACATTCTGTCTGAAAACATTTCTACCAGGAAGGAAATACAGGGTATTTTGGAAAGGTGGGCAGATCTTTTTAAAGTTTTAAAACAAAATTTTATCTTCCTCTGATTGGAAAGTTAATACATATGCCATATAGAATATATGGGCCATACAGAAAGATTTCTCATAATTTCATCATAAAGATAAACCACAGTTTGGCATATTTTCTTGTAGTTCGCCCCCACCACATGTAGTGTTCTAGCCAATTTCTTTCTTATAGTTGAAATATTTAGGTTGAAACACAATTGGATACTTCAATTGTTTCCAATTATAAAGACTTACTTTCTCATGGATAGATTTCTAAAAACAGAATTAGTTAAAAGATAAGTATATTATTTAGGACACTTGACAATGCTGCCAAGTTGCTTTCTAAAAAAGCTCTATCAATTTATCCTCCTATCAACAACATATGGGCAGCATCTAACTCACATTCTTTTGATTTGCATGAGGTGGAACAATTTTTCATCTACTTATTTGTTTTTAATGTATGTAGGTATGCGTGTATGTATAAATGAATTGTTGATATCTTTTTATCTTTGAGTATTAGTGCTTTTCTGACTTCTCTTTAAGAGCTTTTCATAAATTTTCATAGACAAGAGGCCAGGGAGTTTTCTCATCCCTGGTTCTACCTCCCAAGTTGGCATACTCAGTGCAAAAATTAGTACTGCATCTCTGAAAGTGATTAGAAACAGTTTCAGTTCCCTTCTTTGCAAATTGAGGGAAGAAATACTCACTAACATAAACTATTCCCGCCCATGGCAACTCTTGTTCCTGTACTTGTAGGCGTTCCATAAACTTTGCCTGTAGGGGTGACAGCAAGGCCCTGACTGGGGAACTGTCCAAGGTCTCTGAGGAAAGCTTTGCCTTTTGCCTTCCTTTACTTGGTAGAATTCAGAGTCCTAGATCCCGGAATGGAAACTGTGTTTTAAAATATACAGCTACGTCTCATGCTGGGTTTTGAAATCTGTCTTGATTGTAGAATATTAATAATAATGTCTAGCTTTTAGGTGCATTTCAATCCTTTTAAATAGGAACTACAATTATCTACGTTATACATATGAGAAAATTGAGATCTACAGAGTATTAGTGATTTGTCTAAGGCCTCAAAATGAAAGACTTTTGAGCCCTGTATTTACTCTAAAACCACCTTAATACAAAAATATTTGAAACTATAAAAAGCAAAAGAACTAACTGAAAAGAATATTTTTATCGCTGACTCATTTGAGTCTTGAGTACACAAATATGAATTAAATAAAATTCCCATACTCAGCTCTTTCTTTGTAATGCAATGAGCCAGTATTGTGGTGATTCAAATTCGTTTGTACAAACTTTGCAGTTATATCTGAACAACACTGGATTTGATCTGGGAATTCAGTGCTCTAAACCAAGTAATGCAGTCATGTTGTAAATTTAACACTTAATTTGGGAGTTTACAAGCAAGAGTTTTTGGCTTTTTCATTTTGTCACCTCTTTTTATTTCTTCCCTTTTTGCCCCTTCAAGTTGGTAATGGATGAAGTAACCTTTCTTTCCAAAAGTTGACTGTCCCTCTGATTCAGTACTTTTTTGGGGAAGGGAGATAATTATTTTCATTGTAAAGACTTTCTCTTGTAGTCCTTCCCAAGATAAAGCTCTAGTATTAATGTCAACAAGTGAATTCTGTGCTGAATCTGACTTCTGAAATACAAATTTGAGAGGGAGAAAAATTGAGCTGAATAAAAGTTAGTATTGACTGTAGCTCCCAACATTATTTTTAGCCAATATCTACAGCATTTTGAGCACTTTAATAAAAACCCAATGGTAGATGGGTCACTAAGTTGTCAAGTGAAGCAGTGAACTCCTGTTTTCTCCAGCCACTCAATGGTATCTATGATAATAACAGGGAAATGACAAGAGAAAAAAGAATAACCCATAAACCAGATAATCATCCCATAAATAATTGAGAGATTGTGGTTATAGCAGAACAACTTAGTGAGGTAAATATTTAAGAGATCAACTAAACTCAGATTCTGGTTAAGTCTTTCATTCTTCGCTACTAACTAGCCATGTGACCTTGGGCAAATACCACCAGCTATCTGGATCTATTTCTCATGTCCAAAACAGAAAGGTTACAGTAGATGCTATATAAAAGCACTGGCATTTTTGGATTTTAAACCTTTACAGCGTCCCCTGCTTGGTCCTTCAAAATCATGGGGCTCCCATCAGAATTAGCTGATGTTGTTTTTCTTCAAGCAATGGTAGACAAGACGCAGTAGCAATTGACTTGAAAACACTCTGAACAAGTGTAATCTCAGCTCAAATGGACTTTCCGACCAATAATAAAATGGATGGTAATCCTGTGTGTCAGAAGAATAAATTAGTTTATTAAAAAGTATAATCTAATTGCTCTTATTTGTATTCCCCTTCGAAGAGCTTAAAGTTTATTACAAACATGATTGAAAATTCTAATTTAAAATGAGCTGAAGTTATTTCCATTTTAGGAATGAGAAAACTAAGGTGGAGAAAAGCTAAATAATTTTCAGACAGTTAGTGGCACAATTAGGTATATATTCTGTATCAGGACAGTTTTTTGTTTTTTTTTTACACTTCTCACAACGGATTGTATAGGTTTTTGTTCTGATCAGGACACGCTAGAAGTGAATAATGGTCTTTAGAAAACATATTGCTTATATTCCCTCAGCTGGTGGCAGAAGAAAATCATTCAAGAGGTAAAGATAGCCTGGGAGTCTGTTCTTTAAGGCTTGCTCGGTCTTCTTTGATCGGTCATCTACCTACCTGTTTTTTATATATAGTGACACATGCACGCACCTACCCTTTGTCAATGGCACTATCCTTAAATGGCAGTTACCAGTTACCTCTTGGCCTTGTCCTGATAACCATCACGCCTCAGCAGTACTGCGGGGGTGGGGGTTCTCCTGGGGAGACGCTGAAAGTTAAAATCAGCTGTTTCACTCCTCTCAGGAACGTATCCTGACATTTTTGATAGACAGCAGCAGCCAGAGACTTGCTTTATTTCTCTTCAGATAATAAAACCACTTGAAACAAAGAAACTCCTCCAGGACATTCCCATCACCGTTGAGATGATGACACACTCCTTGGCTCAGTTACAGTCATTGAAATGGGGAGAAAATTTCTTTTTGTTCCCTTAGCTAGCAACTTTGCTCCCCACCTTTGGAACACGTTCTAAATTTATAAATATCTATGGTTGACATGTCCTCTTCAACAACTTAAGGATTCATATGTCACTCTCTGCTACATCAGATAATTTTTTAAATTAAGTTTTCTACAAAAGGGCTGGAGGAAGATCTGCATTTTAAATTCAGTACAATTAAAACTGTGTCTCTTTGGTCTGGCACTGCCTTTGGTCAAACCCCATTTGTATGAATAATTATTCAGTCCATTAAGAAGTCTGCTCAACTCCTTCTCCCATTTTGAAGGTTTTTATAAATATTGATCAGGCACATTTCTGTTTGCACTTGCCAAGGCAATTCTGATGGATTCATCTTCTGATGTTATCAAATAATGAAATATGAAAGAGTGAATAGAATTACCCTCTTGTTCTGTGATTTTTTTATTTAGGGCCTTCATTTTACTTTCATAATTGTGTTTGTCTCATACTTCTGTAAATGTTCTTTTGATTATCAAAAGGTGAGTCCAGGTTAAGGAGTGCTATTCTGAGCTGAATATCACTTTAGAGTCTTTTCAATTTAAGAAAATAGTTCATCAAATATCACTTTAGAGAGTCTTTCTGATTTTTAAAGACAATTTATCTAATATCATAGGGTGATAAAAAGGACATTGTATTATATACTTTAGTGACCACAAAGCTACATATCATTTAACCCAATTAGCACAAGACTCTTGTAGTGTATATTATCTATATTTTTCAGATTAGCAATCTGGGAAACAACTGCTGAGAGGCCCTACGGCTTTTTCAATTTTTAGTAATAAAATCACATTATTAATTTTTCAATAAATAATGCAAAGGATTTCTTCAAAGCAAAACCTAATGTTATTACTAATGCTTAGGAAACTCTAATAACATTTTAAATGTTAATATGATATAGAAAGGTATAGTCCTTGGCTTCAAGAAGCTTTATTTATTTATTTATTTTTAAAATCTAATCCAGGCTCAGACCAAAAATACCCAAGGCATGAAGCAAATGTTTTAATTTAAAGTAAAGCAAAACTAGGGCTTGGCAGTCTCCCTGCCTGCCCTTGTCTCCTGGTACATAAGAAAGGCACAAAGAGTTGGAGTGCCCTGGACAAGGGATAAAAACAATGCTTCTGCTCCAAATGACGACCAGGGTTGGAAATGAGATGGTGAAGTGAATGGGTAATGGGCTTTCTGTATTTATAATAATGGATCTTGCCCTACCTGTGGGTGTGTGAGGAGAACAGTCAGTGGGAACAGGAATGGACTTCATGGCTTTGATGGGAACATATGCTCCCATCAACGAAAGCGTGATGAGCATGATGCCAGTGAGGCCAAGGTAATGGTTGATTCTGGCAGGTGCCAATTCGTTCTATTTTTTGGCCGTTGACTCTGCCCCTAGCCAGCTACCTCACAATGATGTTAAGACAGGGCTGGGGGAGGCTGAATGGAGAGTTCACTGCAACCCACTACAGCCTCTGGGAGTCTTAAGACGCAAGGACTGCTATTCAGCCATCACTTGGTTGAGTCACTCAAACCCTGATTCCTGACCTTCTGGTCCTGGTTAGTGACTCTAGTACAGTTCTTGAAATTGTAGGAGATCTCTCTGCCTTGCTGAGACACAAGACTACTTCTTACAGGACTGAAGGGCCTCAAAGGAAAATGATTTCGTAGAAGAACCAAAAAACTCTGGATTATTTGAGAAGCGTAAACATATGTAAATCAGCAGGTCCCAGTGGCAAACACTTGAGGGTGTATTAACTAAATCCTTAGGTAATTTATGAAAGAGAGAAAACCTAAATAAACCAAAGCTACAAAATGGGCCACCTGAAATTCAAGGACATGTGACTCAGAACAGATGTCAATTAGAAAAATAATAGACTAACTAGAAAGGAGCTAATGGAAATATGAACAATATCCAGCAGGTTTAATTAAAGACCCAAATACTCTGACAAACGTGATGGATAGCTTTGGATAACAATGTGAATTTGGTGGATGAAAAGACTACTGTGGCTGATACGTATTTGAATGTCAGTGAACCGTTTGATGCAGTGCCTCTAGAAAAATATAACTAGCAAAATGAATTTATTCTGAATGGCTACCCTCGATAGGACACAGGCTGAAAAACAAACAGAGGGTAATGAGAACGGCAAGTCAACAAATGCAGAAAAGAAGCATCTAGTGAATTCTAAGGATGCTGGCTTTAGAACTGATCTCACTTAATACCTTCATTAATGCACAGGAAGATACAGAGTGGTGAAAGGGGCCAATGTTAGTGAACGGGGAGGGGCTGTGAATGGCAACAAGAAAGGAAAAATCACATCAAGGACTCCAGGAAATCTGGAATTATGGGAAGCAAGTAATGAAAGGGGAGTCATCTTAGAAAAACCCAAGTGAATTTGTCTAGGAGAAATTCTAACCTCCTATATTCATTCAATAGTTGGGAGAAACCTTAGAACAGGTGGGTGAATGGTCACTGGGTGGCGAGGAGGAGGTGGGTGTGTTGGGGTGGGTGTTAAGGGCCATGGAACCAGAGCATTTCTTATTTCCTATTTTAAAAGTACAAGTTCTGTAATCCCAGCACTTTGGGAGGCCAAGACAGGTGGATCACCTGAGGTCAGGAGTTCAAGGCCAGCCTGGCCAACATGGCAAAACTCCGTCTTTACCAAAAATATAAAAAATTGGCTGGGCGTGGTAGTGCGCACCTGTAGTCTCAGCTACTTGGGAGGCAGAGGCAGGAGAATTGCTTGAACCTGGGAGGTGGAGGTTGCAGTGAGCCAAGATCATGGCATTGCACTCCAGCCTGGGTAACAGACCAAGACTCCATCTTAGAAAAAATAATTAAAAAATAAAATAAATTAAAATAAAAAGTACCAGCTATAGAGCAAGGAAGTGACATTAATTTGTCTTTGTTGTACTTCATAGTTCTTCTTTTGCTTTATACTGTAAGCCAACTGAAAGAAAATCAGAAAAGAGGATCAGATGGGATTAAAGGGACAGGAGGTTGGAGGAAAATAGAAGATTAAAGGAGATTCTGGTCAATTTTTGCTCAAATGTCTGCTTATCAGTAAGTGAGGTTTTCCCTGACCACCTTATTTTAAATGTTACTTGCTCCATCCTCATCAAGCTTTGTCCTTTAAATGAGCTTTAATTTTCTTTTTAGCATTCATCTCCAACTAAAAAATATATTTCCAAAATATATTTAAAATTATATATTTAAATATATATATATAAAATCAGATATACTTTCATCAGCATATACAATGGTTAAGATCATGGACTCGGGAGCCAGTTGCCTGGGATTTAAACCCAATTCTGCCTCTTCCTATTTGTACAACTTTGGTCAAGTTATTAATCTCTCTGTGCCTTATTCTCTTCATCTGAGAAAAGGAAATAGTAACATAGGGTTGTTCCAAGGCTTAAATGATTAAGAGCAGTGGCTAGACAGAGTAAGAATGTAGAAGCATTTAGTACATAAACAAGTATCTGCTTCCCCCTCCTCCAATGCAGGTTCTACTGGAGCAGGGCTGAATTCTTCTTCTTTTTTTTTTTTTTTGAGATGGAGTTTCGCTCTGTCGTCCAGGCTGGAGTGCAGTGGTGCAATCTCTGCTCACTGCAAGCTCCGCCTCCCGGGTTCACGCCATTCTCTAGAGCAGGGCTGAATTCTATATTCAACTTGCTCCTACCCCTTGGCCTAAGAAGACGGTAACTAGTGAATGCTGAGTAAATGAAAAAGAATGAATGAATGAGACAGCTGATAGTCTATACATGTCATTAAGTATGGCATACAATCTAAAAAGCAGTCTATGATTCTCTGACACTGGGAAAAGAGGAACTATGAATGAAATAATTGATCTGTATAAAACACAAAGGGTTATTCTGATGTAACTCCGGGGGGAGATGGTCAGGATAATGGTCGCTAATGGAAAAGGGGGAGACAACAGAGATCCGTGTTTTCACTAGTGATCTGTAATCCTTCTCAGCTTTTCATTCTCTGGCAGATTTAGGCATGAATCCCACATCTTTTACCTAAGATGCATGACTGGAAATTTCTGAACCTGTCTCAACTTCAGTTTTTTCATTTAAGCATGGGATAAATAATATTACATCACATTAGGTTTGAAGATTAATCAAATGATATGATAGAACACCTGCTATGTGATATAATACAAATGATAAAACTAACTGCTAACTTTGTTTGCATCCTCCTCTGTAGTCTGTATTGGCCATTGTTCATGTATATATTATCTCTATGGGTCTCACAATTGTATGAGGTATCACATCCTCCATGCTGACATACATTAAAAAAAAAAAATCAGTCCTTCCCTCTTGACTCAGAAGAAGAGGGGTTTCTTTTCTTTTTTTCTTTTTGTAAGATTAACCCTATGCCTTTGATCCTCACCCCTCCCAATGCTTTCAAGACTCTGCTGGGTTTTTGTTTTATTTTTAACTCTTGTATCCAGTATCTTCCCTTTTCACTGGTTCTTTCATGTCTGCTTCAAACATCCTCCTTCTCCCATTTTGGAAAAACAAATCAAGAAACAAACCCCAAACCCTTTATGTGATCCCATGTCCACTCCATCTCTCCCCTCGTGTCTTTTCTCCTTTTCATTGTTGAATTTCTTGAACAAATCATTTGTATTCACTGCCTGTCCTTTCTAAGCCTCCAATGTGTCTATGAAAAGGGTCGTCAATGACGTCTTCATGGACACGCACAGCAGCTTTTCCTAAGTCCTCTTTTCCTTGACAGTTTTCCATCCTCAACCCAACTGTCATGGAGCCACATTTTTTTTTCTTTCTTTTTTATTGAGATGGAGTCGTGCTCTATTGCCCAGGCTGGAGTGCAGTGGCGTGATCTCGGCTCACTGCAAGCTCTACCTCCCGGGTTCATGCCATTCTCCTGCCTGAGCCTCCTGAGTAGCTGGGACTACAGGTGCCCACCACCATGCCCAGCTAATTTTTTTGTATTTTTAGTAGACACAGGGTTTCACTGTGTTAGCCAGGATGGTCTCGATCTCCTGACCTCGTGATCCACCCGCCTTGGCCTTCCAAAGTGCTGGGATTACAGGCGTGAGCCTCTGCATCGGCCCAGGTAGCCAAGTTTTTTTTTTTTTTTTTTTTTGAGACGGAGTCTCGCTCTGTCTCCCAGGCTGGAGTGCAGCGGCGCGATCTCGGCTCACTGCAACCTCTGCCCCTCCAGGTTTAAGCAATTCTCTGCCTCAGCCTCCGGAGTAGCTGGGATTACAGGCATGTGCCACCACACCCAGCTAATTTTTTGTATTTTTAGTAGAGACAGGGTTTCACCATCTTGGCCAGGCTGGTCTTGAACTCCTGACCTCATGATCCACCTGCCTCGGCCTCCCGAAGTGCTAGGATTACAGGCATGAGCCACAGTGCCTGGCCCCATGAAGCCACATTTTTAAGGCACTTCTCCCAGCTCCCTCTGAGTTTCTTCTCTGATTCTGCTATTGGCTCTGTGTCTGCCTGCTGCAGGTGTTCCTGCCAGTCAGGTGGGGGCCCTCCATTCTTCTCTCTCTGCTTCTGAAAGTCTTATCTGTGCATATATATAATGCTCAGATGTCTTTCTCAAGATCTGGTTTCTCAGTAGATCAAAACGTCATTTTCACTTGTCTGCAGACATTTCTATCAGCTGCCCTTGTCAGGTGGCCTCCCTAGCCACTGAATTTTGCTTAACGGAACTAGCTTGCAAAACCTCAAAATCTCAGTGTCACCTGGAATCTTCACTCTCCTTCATTTTTTTGGTCCAGTTGTCACCAGGTCTATCAATGCAACATCTTTCATATTCATTTCTTCTTTCCAATCTCACTATCACAGATCCTACACTCTTCTCATTGGATTGTTACAGTTGCCTCTTAACTGGCCACCTCACTCACTCACTCCTCCTAGACTAACCCCCAGTTCTTAGTTGGATCATATCACTATTCTGTATTTAATAATAATAAAAAAAAAACCTTGTGTGTTCACTAGTGCTAACAGAATCAAGTCCAAACTTTCAACATTGACATCCAAGGCCTTTTAAAGACTTGACCTGTATTCCACATTTTCTCCCAGTTCTTCCCTGCTTCAACCTGCCATTCAAACCAAATTGAGCTACTCACTGTCCCCTGAATAATACTTAGTACTTTTTGGCTCTAAGTATCTAGAGCCTACTTCATGTTCAAAATCGCTAAATCCTCTACCCTCTATGAAGCTATCCTGAGCAATTTATTTCTTCTCTGTCACTTACTGCATGGGTAACCCACTTAACATTTATCCTGTAGAATCATATCTTTTTTAAAAAAAAACTCTTAATATTCTTTTTGAGCTGATGATACAATAAAAAAGGTTACTAGGGTATTTACTTACTAGTTTTGTGAACTTGGGAAAGTTATTTAACCTGTAAGCCTTCAGTTTCCTCATCTGTAAAATGAGGATATTGATAGCACCTAGCTCATAGAATTGTTAAGAAGACTAAGCAAGTTAATATTTATAAAGTGCTTAGAACAGCGCCTGGCACATAATATTTTTTGTTACGTAAAAAGATAATGGTACAAAATAAGCATATAGCGTAAAGCCTCTCTCCCACCATTTCCTTTCCTAGAGACAATTACTATTACTAGTTTCCAGGGTATCCTTCCAAATATATTTTATACATATAGAAGCAGTCTTTCTTGAATGTGTGTGTGTATATAAACACACAAATATATCTAAGGATAAATGGTGTTTACATACTGTTCTGCACCTTACTTTTTCTACTTAACAATAGAGCCTGGAGAAGGTTCCATTTCAGTTCATATCAACCTGCCTCATTCTTCTTAATGGTGGCAGAGTACTCAATTGTGTGGATGTACCATTATTAGTATTTATTAACCTCACCTAGACTGTAGGCTCCTTGATGTCAAAGACTGTGTCTTATGACTCTTTGTATCATCCTCACTGCTTATATAGTCCCTTTCGAAGTCCTTTTTAAATTTGTTTACTTGCTCAACAAATATTTCAGCATCAATGACAAACCAGGTAGTATACAGTAGATACTGTGGATGCAGAGGTAAGTAAAACATAGTCCTTGTTCTCTGGCGATGCAGAGTCTGGTGTGAAAGTAGCCAGGCACTGTATGTACTTATAGCAATGTGACAGTGGCCATAATAAAGGTCTGGAGGAGATTCTCTAAGATCACAGGCAGGAAGGGCTGTAGGTTTCTGAGAGCAGCCAGGGAAGGCTTAATAGAGAAGGAGAAGTTGTCAACAATGAGGCAAATATGAAGGAAATAAAGTCCTCCACGAGCAAAGGAAACAGAATGTGTGAACTGGGTGGGACAGTAGGAAGAATACGGTATTTGGGGAAAACGACAAGTGGTTTATTCCTCACTGGAGTGCATGGGGTGTGGGGAAGAGCAAGGAAGGGGAAAGGTGGGCAAGGCAAGCTGGGCCTAGAGCCTAACAGACCTGTGGGCCATGCTAAGATTTTGGACTTTCATGGGTGAGTGGAAGGATGAAGGTGAATTAAGCTTTATTTTGCCTAGATTATTCAAACAAAACAATTACCATTTATTATTACCAAGATTTGATAAAAGAAGGTATTTTAACACTCCTTAAGTGGAAAGAAAATAATCTCAGAACAAAAAGGTTACATGTTTTATTGTGTGGGAAACTCAGAAACTTTTAGTCATTATTTATGAGAAACTCACAAAGTACAGTCATTATTTTTCTAATTTTCGTATAGATGAGGACAATCAGTTTCAGTTTACATACACCCTGGAATCTGGAACCAATGACAGGGAGGAATCTGGAAACAGACGATTTTAGAAAGAAGTCACACATGATGACAACTGTTTTAGAAAGACCTTTCCAGCTGCAGCATGGAGGATGGACCTGAGGGTAAGAAAGCCTTCAGACTGTTGGGCAACTTGGCTATTTTTTTTTTCTAGTACCAGACCACGCCAATCTTCTAGAAGGTTTCCTCACAACTCCACATCCCCAAGCTTGTAGCTAAACAAAATCAACCTCAAAGAGAGAAGGATGGCAGCACCTCAGTAAAGAACAACACATCAGGCTCTCACCTCTAGTATGTCTCCTTCAGGTCAAATGTGACCTGGGGCCATTAAAATACACACAACTTTACTGAGATGAGGCCGGTGGCTGAAAGGAAAGAGAAGGCTAGCAGTGAGAACATAAGAAATAAGAGGACACCCTTTACTCAAAGGTTCCTCCTAACCTACTCCTCAACTGGTCTGGTTGAAATGTGAGGGAGGGGGACTGAAACTGCCTTTGCAAAAATTGTAACTGAGAAAGTTATTACAGTGAAAGAGAACCTGACCTAACAGACTCCATCTTGCCTCTAACCTCCAAGGTGTCCTTGCTCATTCCTGGGCATATGCTGAACTAACTTTGAGAGAAACTTAGCTTATAGTTAAACTTTGATGACAACAGCACTTTCTCAAAACAAACCCCTTCCTACCTGGGGACTAGACTGTCTTTGCAGGACTAAAAAATTACCTACAAGATTCAAAATTATGGCTTAGGAGTCATGCAGCTGGAGGCTGTAAAATTCTGAACCTCCCCAAATTGCTCCCGGGGATAACATCACTATTGTTAAACCTAAGATCAGTGCTTAAGATACTTTGCAGACCCTGCACTCAGTGGATCTGCTGGCACCACCCAAATTAATAAACTGGCTCATCTGGTCTTGTGGCCCCCACTTGGGAAATGTCTCAGTGCAAGAGAACAGCTTCAATTCCCTATGATTTCATCTGTGACTCAACCAATCAGCACTCCCTACTTTCTGATCCCTTGCCCACCAAATTATCTTTAAAAACCCTGATCCCTGAATTTCTGGGGAGATTGATTTGAGTAACAACTCCATCTACTGTGTGGCATGGCCAGCCTCGCATCAATTAAACTCTTTCTTTACCGCAAGGCCATGGTCTTTATTTGTGCAGCAGGCAGGAAGAACCTGTCCGGTTAGGTTACAGGACCTAAGAGCACAGAGTATAAATCAGGAGTACAAATATGATCTCATTTAAACTCTTGACAAACATACAAGAAAGGCTTGATAACCTTAATTTGGCAGATAAATAAAGGGTCAGAGAAGGTCACAAAACCTCCTTGTGATGGACACGACTCAAACTCTAGTTCATCCAGTTCAAAAGCTCAAGCTCTGATTCTACTAAAGTGATGGGGATTTGCTGGGGACACTGGGAACTCCTAGAGTCACTGTTACATAGCAGGAGTTTACATTAGATTCTTAGTTGTAGAATGGGGATTTGTGCCTTTGGGGGGTGTCTGGAGTGGAATGACATACAATAGGATAAAATTAACCATAGGCAAATACATCCTGAGAGTCAGCAGAGAAAATCAGGCATTGTAGGAGAGAATAGCAATTTTTTTTTTACGTGGCCCTTTCCATACAAAAAGACTAATACTGAGGCTGCTCCACAATGTGGCTCTCCTAAGTCTACATATAAAGAAAAAAGGCCTTTGAGGGGAAAAATATAGAGAGCATTTGCATTCATTTTTTAGGACGAAAAAGTATCTGATTTGAAAAAACCTCTCAGAAAGGGCTACATTATGAGAGGAAGGTCTTCAGGCAAGTTTAATGCCTCTATTTAAATGCTAATGCTAACCTATAGCTTTGGACCACACAAAAACTAAAGTTTTTCAAAGGCCATAAAGTCAATTTAAAATGAAACCTTAATTTCTTTAAGAAAAGATATTTTATTTCTGAAGAGCCAGCTAACACACATAATTTCATAAGAGCAGTACCAATTTGATCACACCAGTGAGGAGGTAGGCGTGTTAATGGCAGAGGCTGGCCAGCATCCAGTGTGCAGGGGCTGCCTTTGTCACAATTAGGAGTCCTCCTCAAAACATCTGCCTTTGGAGCGCAACATTTGCCCCCAGTTGTCCCTGACGGGGGTTAATGCTCCCCCTACAGCCCGCCCCACTCCCCTGAACTGTTTTTTGTAATGACCTGTGCTGAGAGCTTGCTGGTGTTTAGAAGGACAGCTGGGGACAAAAGCGAGGAGAAAATGCAAAGGCATGGGAGTCCCTGGGTTCAGAAGAAGAGGCCATGGGTCCTGAGTGCTTGGTGCTGCTTTGTTTTCCCTGGGAACCAACATTAACGAACGCAGGTAACTGAGGCCTGGAGTACTGGGGAAAGGTCTCCCGGGCTCAGGGGACCACGTACTTACTACCTGTATTAATAGATAACACAAGGAAACAAACTCAGAAAAAAAAAAAAATCAAATAAAATTAGGAAATGCCTGTGGTGAGGGCCATGACTTAGGAGGGGACCATCTGAGCCGTCTTTTTTTGTTTTTTTTTTTAAGACATAGTCTTACTCTGTCGTCCTGGCTAGAATGCAGTGGTACGATCTTGGCTCACTGCAACCTCTGCCTCCCAGGTTCAAGCGATTCTCCTGCCTCAGCCTCCCAGGTAGCTGGGACTACCCACGCCTGACTAATTTTTGTATTTTTATTAGAGACGGGGTTTCACCATGTTGGCCAGGCTGGTCTCGAACTCCTGGCCTCAAGCGATCCGCCTGTCTCAGCCTCCCAACGTGGTGGGATTATAGGCATGAGCCATTGTGCCCGGCCCTGAGGTGGTTTTAACATTCTGTATTTTTATAGGAGTGATGGTTATAAGGGTGTATTCTCTTTGTCAAGAGGAATCAAGCTGTGTACTTAAGATCTGTGCAGTTTACTGTGTGTATGCCATACTTCGATATAAACACTTTAGCTTCCTTCTCCCCACCCCTACAGAAAAAGGAAATGAAAAAGAGAGCAGGCTGTAGGCCAGGTGTTGGGATGTGTACCTGAGTATATTTTTAACTGTCTCATACCCTGTTATTAAGACAAGTGCTAATTTTATAAATCTTGAAAATATTATGCTAATTGAAACAAGCTAGCCGCAAAAGACTAAATATTGTGTAATTTCACTTCTATGATCTATCCAGAAGAGGCAAACCCACAGAGACAGAAAGTAGATGTATGGTTGCCAGGGGTAGCGTTTGGGGGAAATGAGGAGTGACTGCTAATGGATATGGGGTTTCCTTTCGGGGTGATGAAAATGTTCCAAAACTAGCTGGTGATGATGGCTGTACAACGCTGTGACTATACTAAGAACCAATGAATTGCATACGTTAAAAGGGTTAATGTTTATGGTATGTAAATTATATCTTGATAAAGCTGTTATAAAAATGCAAATCCTATAAACTGGAACCCTGACTTCTTAACTATACAGAAGACATCTGTCCGCAGCCAATACTGTTGTGAGGATTGATCCATTAATTGAGATGTTTGCTGCAGTTCCATGTTCTCCTGTGATAAGTGCACAGAAGATTCTGTAAGCTGACAGATATGGCAACATCTTCACCAGCTCACATTTTCACTAAGTGCCCCAGAAATGTATTAAAGTCATGTCTCAGGGCTCTACGCTTTTGTAAGTTAACTGACCCCCAGCATCTTTGTACTAAATGCCTTTGAACTTTCTCCATCCCTACATACTGTTCTCAAGAAACATTGATAACAACTAGTAATGAGTAACCCTTACGAGAAATATAGGTTAGAATTGGGAACAACTCTACGTATGATAGAAATATAATTCAGCCAAAGATTCACTAATGATTCTATTAATGTTTATTATTAAGGAGGACCATAATTATATGGAACAATTAGCATTTAACACTTACTATATACCAGGTCCTTTCACATACACCTGATTTAGTCCTCACAACCTGAGGCTCCAAAGGCAAAACACCTGCCTAAGGTCACCTGGCTAGTTAACAATAACACCAGTATTGAATTCTTTTATACTTTCAGGGTTAAAGTTTGACTACATAGCAATACACTATCATACCCTACCTCCCACACATCATTCCAGGAAAACTGCTGAGTTAGGCTGTGAGAAAATAGTTCAAATCAGAAAATGCTTGGGGAGACAAAAATGTTGACTCATCAAGAGACTCACTGAAATCATATTTGTGAAAGCCCTATGTCGATTGTAAAGTGCTATGTGAATATAAGTGTCTGGCAAGAACATATTAACAGCATTGGATCGGGGGAGCTGGAAACTGAGGTGCAGATGACTGCTCCAAGTGTGCACATTGTGCTAACGTGTGCTACATTAAAGCGAAGGAGGAGATGCCTTGCATTGTCTGCTCTTTCACAGAGTGGACCTTCAGATCTTTATGCGTGGTAATGGATGACTGCTCAGTTGAGTTGACGCTGTTCTAGACAGCAAGGTGGTGACCAGGATGGCCTGTGATCTCAGCAGATACAGATGTCAAAGAAAATACATGCTGATTCCTAGTAGAAAAAGTAGACACTGTTCAAACAGCAGCAAAAATAGCCTGGAAACCTGAACCTAGTTTTTTACAAATCCTGCAGAAGACGGTGGTAGGCAGGACGCAGCAGAGGTTCCATTTCCCTCACACTTGCTACCTTCAGAATTAGTCTCCTAATTTCTAGTGCTTTCAAAAATCTCATGACCTTCCACATGTGCTTCACCTGTTTCAGTGGGGATGTCAGTGAGCGGGATGTGGCCTTATTGATTACTTCCCTGTGGCTCAGAGGAAGGGCTGCTCTCATGACCTGGATATTGGTGGAGAAAACAAAATGGGAGGAAGGTGGTGACAAGGACTCTTTTGAGCAAACTCTACACAGGCTCCTTTGAGCTCTTCTCCACTAGGCTTCACCCAGTGGCAAGGTGGATTAGTTGAGATTATCCATGAGTCAGAAATAGAGTTAGGGTTCAACCCACTCTGCCTGGACTCCAAACTGCTGATCCAGTTCCTAGACCATGCTCCATCACCGATCAGGCCAGGGCTACAAACCAAGGTTATTTTAAAGGCCCCACTTCCAATTAGCACAACTGTGTTGGAGCTGTAGAGGCTGTGTTGGGGAATGAGGGAAAAGATGAGGAAGAATCAAGTAAGCCTCAGCCTGTCCTTCTCTACACAGAGACTGCCCTGGCCAATCTCCTGCCTCCTCTCTTTACACTTCCTTCTCAACAACTACCCTACATTCACAGCTGCATGAGAGAACAAACTTGCCACCTCCAAACCTCCCCCGAAACCATTGCACTCCTCAATGTGCCCCTAATAGTTTACACCCAAGAAATGTCAGAGTCTACGGTGATGCTGGGAGGTGTCACACATTCCTAGGGACCAGGAAGAAACTGCTATCCCTGGAGGACCCTGAATGCACCAAACCAGGTGGCTGTGGGTGTCCCTCCCTTTCCAGATTTATACTTCTGTTGAGAATCTGTTTTACTGACAAACATTTCTAATGTTTTCAAAGAGAAATATTTCAAATGTGGTGGTGAAGCAAACATTGGTTTGTGACCCAAATGTTTCTGCAAATGTTTTCTCAGGCTGGGGGGTGTAAATGTTTACAAACCATTTGAGCAGGAAAACAGCAGTGATGTGTTTCAGTAATAGTTGCTTGGGGGAAAAAATCCCACCCCTACCAAATGCAGCCAGGGTGTCATTAAGAAAATAATTATCTGCTCCTTTATGTGCTGTGTGACAGCACAGACATAACATGACATCTCTGAGGCATCTATTCCAGTCCTTGCCCCAGCACTAGCTAACTAGTGATTACGATCATGCCACACAATCCCACTGTACCTCAGTTTCCATATCTGGAAAAAAAAATGGAGTAGACTAGAATATATGACATTTAAAAACCATCCGAACCCATGAGGGAGACTGCAGTGGGGGAAGGGGCAGCATTATATTGATTGATTGACTGATTGAGACGGAGTCTTAATCTGTCACCCAGGCTGGAGTGTAGTGGCACAATCTCGGCTAACTGCAACCTCCACCTCCCGGGCTCAAGCAATTCTCCTGCCTCAGCCCCCGGCACCAGTAGCTGAGATTACAGGCATGCGCCACCACGGCCAGCTAATTTTTGCATGTTTACTACACACGGGGTTTTGCCATGTTGGCCAGGCTGGTCTCGAACTCCTGACCTCAGGTGATCCACCACCTCAGTCTCCCAAAGTGCTGGGATTATAGGCATGAGCCACCGTGCCTGGCCAGGGCAGCATTACTGATATTATTTCCATTTTCCAGGAAACAAGATTTAGGTGTGGAAAAGATGAGGTCCAGGTCACACAGCTAATCAGCAGCAGGGCTCTGACTTAAATCTGCATCTCCTGAGCCCAAAGCCTGTAACCTTTCTATTACACCACACAGGCTCTTGACAATTTATCCGGTTCCCTGGCTTCCTCAGGCCTCTGTCGTAATCGACAGTGTGCCCAGTCGTAGATGGCCCATATTTGTCATGTGTCCTTTCACTTTCCTTTTTTTTTTTTTCCTAGCATGCTCTGTGTCACTCAATCTGCAATGAAGAAAAAGTGCTTTTGACAAGAGCATTGAGCACACTGGCAAATGTGGTTGATAAAGCTTTATTTCCAGGCATATTCAATTGAAAGTAATAAAGGCTTTATTGTATTAAAAAGCTTTATTGTGCTTTGTAATGAAGACACAAAGCACTTAGTTGAAATAATAGTCTTTTAAACTAATATGCTTTATACTCTATAGCAGAGATGCAGATACAAGGGAATCCAAAAGTGATTTCTGCAAAATGATTACTTAAAGTCGCTGTATCTTTTGAGTGGAAGCCTCAGTTTTTCCCAGGTATCCTCCTGGGCTAGGGTTTCTTTCTTTTCCCTTTTCCTAAGACATTTGTGGCAGGCGCTCGCTGAGCTTTCTCAATGTTTATTCTGCTTGGGAGGACTAGATAGACTTCCCCACAAATGCTGCTACATATTATATGATCGCAATCAGGGTACACAAACCCTGTACTACCTACCTGCACATATGCCCAGCAGAATGTAACACAGCTGGCTCAGTGGGAGAAGATGGAAATGAGGATTTTTAAAGCCTTTAAATAAAGATTGTAACTGTTGTTGGACTGCACAAAGATAGAGAGTAATTAAAAAGCTCTTCAAAGAATGGAATAAGCCCTTTAAATCCAGTTAAATAATTTTTCAGAAACACTGCAAGAAGCATTCTTGCTGTTTCCTTCTCTCACAATGAACTGAAGGAAGAATATCTCATTTTCCAAATGGAACTTTATGGAGTTTTCAATAAGCCCCCTCAGCACTTATCTAAATCTTTAATTAGTTCTATAATATACTGATGATATCAAGCCTAATTAAATTTATATAGATAAGGTGCAATGAAATTCTAACCAAGTGATCTGGAAAGCATATATTAAATAGTAAATTTAATGGTTCAAGCTGATAACCACAATTTTATATAAAAAATTAAATTCAATTTACATGTTGTATTCAAATTGATTTTGAGTGTGCAAATTATTGGAAAAATCTCTTAAATATATCAGTAAAATTGCTAATCTGGACTGTTTAAATATCAGTTATTAATGTCTACATTTGCAAATAAGCCACACACATTTGCATTTTTACTGCATATAGTAAAAAATTATCTAAACCTTATGCCATTTTTATTAAGAATATGAAGTAATTTTTCTTTTGGCTTCATGCATAAATTAAGGAGGTAAAGAAATGACTACTGGGTCTAAAGAAGAGAGAGTCAGCAATTCAATATCTACCAAGGCAAAGATGATATATATATTTTGCTGACTAAAGCAGTTTATGTTACGCTTTGGGAACAGCAGTTACAATGGTAAAAGTCTCCCTTATTTAGGATCAACTCAAACAGAACCATCTATAAACATCTGATGCCATAATCATGGGGAGAGGAGGCTATATGCAAATTTGGTGGGTTTTACCATCAGTTTGGGGAGGGGAAGGAAAATGCATGGTTCGGCTTTATTAGAGGGTAGAGGTACACACCAGCTGATCATGTGTCACAGTTCAGCCAAGGATTAGGCTTGGGAAGCTATATTAAATATTCATCTGATTAGTTAAAGAGAAGGCCCGACCACCTATACCACATATGTTGACCAATACTAGTACCATTGATGATAGTACCACAGGTGATTGACTATCCTTTAGAAGGATCATCCTGAAACATGCTTTGCTTACATATTTTTCTTTGCTGACATGCAATATTACAAATATTGTTAATTGAGCTTTAGTTACCTCAGAATTAGCTACATATTGCTAAAAATTTGTGCACTGATTACTTTGCCATTATCACTACCTGCTTTCCCCAAGACATGCCTTTATTGCTCTTCAATTCCATTGGTTGGAAAACTATCTTTGAAATGATCAAATATTTATTAAATATCTGTTTTACGCCATGTGCTTCATTATGGAGGTTTCAAGTAACATGGCAATGACTTCGGAAGACTGAAAAATGAGGGTCAACTGGAGCAGTCAATTATTCCAGAGGAGGGGTGGGAGTGCGATGTGTTTTGAAGGCTGGGAGTTGAAGAATGAATCAGAACAGCCAGAATAAAGGCATGGAGGTTGCACCGTGAGTCACATGTAAAGAAGACTGTCAAATCAGTGGGAACATAAGTTTAAATAATGAGAGAAGATGCTGGCCAATTAAGAAAGAACAGTTATCAGGCAAGTTTTTCTTTAACTCTGACAAATTTGGGCCAAATAGTGTATTTATAAAAAAGTCACTCTAAGGATTGGGCAAAAAATTCAGAGAAGCAGTATCTTGGGATGATTAGTCTATCTACATCACAAAGGATGGCTGAAGGGAAGAGACCAAGAGACATGAACATCAGCTGTGGGACTGTCGCTTTATTCCAGATTTGGAGGAAGAAAGAGTCAACAAGTCTATGTGTTTAACAGGATATGAAGGGCTGACAGGACAGATGGGTGAGCCATAGAGAGGTGTTGGCAATTTGTGTAATGTGAAATCTAAGGTTAAGGGATGGAATATGGAACTAAGATTCAGATTTGGCAGATCTTGAGGCTACTTTCACAGAGAACCAAAATCCAAGTTAATGAAGCTGTTAGTCTGTTACTAATATCTGAAAACTTGGAAGTAGAGTTGCTAGGACCAGATACAGATGAGGAAAAAGAATCAGGAGTGAACAACCATCCAAGACTTCCCTCCTGAATGAGAATGCTATCAAAGTTAGAAATGGGGACCTGCTGTATGAGAGAAGATGATGAGCTTTGCATGTAAACTCTTCAGTATAGTGAAAACCTGGGTATCCTGAGACTGTATTCCCATGGTTGCTCATTGTACTGGGGCAGCAAGGAAAAGCAATATGACCAGCTGGGGGTAGAGGTCAGCTCTGAATGGAGGACTATGATGGAGGGCAGTGGTGAAGGAGACAACACTAGCAGACCTGGAAATATGATTTTATTTCAGCATTAGTATGTGTGATTGCCTGTTCTGATCCCTAATGTTTTGTTCAGAATTCTAAGAACAAGAAAGTAAATACAGCCAGCCAAAGAGAATGGATTTAGAATCTCACAGCACCTTTTCAAAATTTGGTAAAATCATGGACTATCTTGCCAGAAAAAATTCACATCTATATAAACACAGATTTTGCATATAATTTTGGGGGTTTATGGACTCCCTGAAGCTTTATCATGCACTCCAAGGTTTATTATGCACTCCCTGAAGCTTTATCATGCACTCCAAGTTAGGAGTACATGGTTTATACTCCTATACTCCTTACGTAGGTGTATACCATACCTACGTGAGTACATATACATTTATCTATTATCTATATCTATTGATCATTATGGCCTCATATAGCAATCTTTCACCCATTTCTATTTCTGATTAAGCAAGATGTCAACTCAGACCATACACAGAAGCAGGAGAGGGGAACAAAGTAAAGGTGAGTGGACCTTTCCATGTTCCCCCAAGGAAAATGAAGGCAGAAACCTCAGGATCTCCAGAAGTGGGAACACAGGTTATGGGATTTACCATGTAGACACACATGGGTATCTCTTTACATGTGCATTTGGAGTGCTTTGAGACTGCTAGGTAAGCAAACTTCCATTCATCTTGATTCTCAGCATCCTGACCTAGACCTAGTCAAGACCTAGGAAGAGCTTGTTTCCAACTGATAGCTCAGGGATGCTCCAAGAGCCCCTAGTTACTGCCAATGGTAAGTGACACAGACTGGGAGCAGCCTGTGGTGTGGCTGCTCTGCTTGGTCTAGGCCTCAAGCACTCTCTGGGAAGATGAGGGCATGGGGCCGTGGAGGATAGCGAAGGAACATAAGGTAAATAAACAGGAGAAGTAAAATAAAAATGAGAATGAGTTAGAGGGTGGAGACTGGGAAAGAGATGAGGAATCAGAAGGAAGCAATAGAGAATAAAATTAGTGTGTTAGAAGTGATTTCTCAAAAAAGACTAATTGACCCACATAATGAAGCTCAGCAGTCTAAGGCAATTAAAGGATATATAAAAGAAACGAGAGTCCAACAATCCCTGAATATCTGACTACATGGAGTGGTTCCCGAAGAACATAAATGTTAAGTATAGGTGCCTAGAGTATCAATACAGCACTTGGGAAAATATTTTTATTCTGTAATGCCTAATATATCCAGGAATTCATAAAGACTGAAACCTTTTTATGTGTTCACTGGATCTCCACAGGAGAAGTTGGGCTGCATGTTAAAATCCTCAATTTGCCGTGTGAAAGTTCAGCAATGCCAATCCGCCTGATGCAGATGCCTCTCAGTTGAATGAGTTCAGACAGTTCCCATCTGCCAGATATGCTAATCCTTATACAATCGATACTGCGACTCCTTAGCCCATGCTTCTCAGACTAGCCTCAGGAAATGTGATGTCTGTTCTACTGAGTGGTCCATAGTAGGTATAGGGGGCCTAGATTGCACTGGGTCTTGACCTTTTAAAGGTAAACAGTGGAAGATAAGTTATCTATGTTTGCACCTTGTTATTCACAGTTCTAGGCATTTTGAAAAAACTCCCCGGGATCAGAATCAGAGAACACCTGAGTTGGTGAGTAGCAAGATGCTGAGGATCGCTATCTTATAATTGGAATACTAGAAAGAAAAAAGGTCCTTTTTATCAAGAACTCCTGGGACATCACTGGGAAATAAGAACTTGTAAAAACTCATAGGAAGTCTTCAGTTTCATTGTGGCATTCTGTTTCATGAACTGTTTGAACCTAGAGCAATTGCTCGAAGGGGATTCAGAAGGAACTGGAAAGATGACACTTCTACTCAAGGACTCTCCCTGAGGAGGGATGCGGATAATCCCCTTCTAAATTGTGCCTAAAATGTTCACGTTCATGTTTATAAAGCCACGGGTACCAAAGCTACAGGAACATTGCTCCGGTCTCATGGCCTGGGTAGGGTGTGAAGAATGGAAAGCCTAACACAGGGCCCCTCTCCACCAATGTATGCCGAAACGAATTCAGATAATACATCTGAACTTCTCTGAGCCTCCCACAAGGGAAAAATGCTAGAGAAATTCAATTATTATTGAATTATAATCATATAACATATTTCACCCATCATCTCATGCTTTTTGATCATCTGATTTCTTTTTATAATCAAAGTGTTTCAGTGAAGAAATAAAGTCACCCTGGTCTCCTTCTGTGAGGAAACCATTCCACTGAAATCCCCTTCAATGGAGCTCTGTAGGATCCGGATCTGGGCAACGTGGGAGCAGCTTGCAGTCTTTGATTGAGAAAACTTCGTCAAAACCACTGATATCTTGTACCTTCGGTCTTTATCCTTGCTGCCTTTCATCTCTCCTCTTGTTACTATATTGCTGTTTAAAATGAGAATTAAATTCCTCTGCCTTGCCCCCTAATTTGACTCACTTTTCAATAACATGAAGCTACTATCAAAAATATAAAAACTGGGAAACTAAGTGCTAGAATCCTCTTACACATTACAATAGGAAGAATAAGAATGAATAAATAATCACTAATCTCCCCCTTCTATTTGTACTGGGCATTTTACTTGCAGTTTCATTTTATCTACAACCACCCTAAAGTGTAAAGAAATCATCTCTATTTTATAGGTAAGGTAACCGAAGTATTAAAAGGTTAAAAACTACTGGGGGCTAAGCAGCTACTAGTAAAATGTGGGATTCAAGCTCTAGTTTGCATTCTGTTTCCACCTCACCAAGCAAAACAAGGAAACTTTGAGAAGTGACACAGAAACCTTCTGTCTCTACAGAATATCTACATATGTAAATGTAAAATCTATAGATTTGCAGAGATGAAGAAACTTCTAGAATCTATGAATTATATAAAGCTGTTTAATCCAAGAAAAAATTCATTCAGCAGTTCTGAGAATTCTCTCTCTTTTTTTTCTTTTGAGACAGGGTCCTGCTATCTCTCCCAGGCTAGAGTTCAGTGGCATGAACATGGCTCACTGCAGCCTCAACCTCCCAGGCTCAAGGGATCCTCCCACCTCAGCCTCCTGAGTAGCTGGGACAACAGGCATGCACCACCACACCCAGATAATTTTTGTATTTTTGATAGAGATGGGGTTTCCTCATATTTGCTGGGCTGGTCTTGAACTCCTGAGCTCAAATGATCCATCCATCTTGGCCTCCCAAAGTGCTGGGATTACAGGCTTGAGCCATTGCACCCGGGCAGCTCTGAGGATTTTGGTATGATACATAAGCTGGAGAGAAGGATGCTCTCTTTCTATATCTCAAGGGAAAATTACTGATCAAGGAAACTAGAAAGTCACCGTGGCCTTTTTTTCTGAATTACGTTTGTCATTAAACTCATACAGGGGCAGCACAGACAACTTGTCTGTAATAGGTCTACTGGTATGAACACTTATCAATTAAGGGAAAGGTGAGATTAACAGTTGTCACGTTTAAGTCTTAGGTTCATGCTGAGATACAAATTGCTATTTCCAGGGACTTCCACCAAATCAAATCTGCTGAAGAGTGGCCGTAAGAAAGCAGCTCTCCATTTCCGTTGCCAGTTACTAGTTTAGGGGGAATGTGTGATCAAGTTCTGGCCAACAGGACATGGGAGGAAGTCAGCTGAGGAACTGCTAGGAAATGTTTCCCTGCTGATGAAGATAAAGCCCAGAAGGAAACACTCTTCTTCCAATGTGTCTCTGTGATGCCTGGAAACTCAGCAGGCAACCCTGTACCACAGGAGTAGCTTCAGAGGATGAAGCCAACACACCTTAAGGAAGGAAGAGCAGAGAGATGGCAAGAACGTGGGTTCTTCATGACATCAATGGGCTACTGAATTAGCCCACCCACAAGCCACCCTACCTTGGGACTTCATATTAGATGAGAGAAAACTTGAAAAAAAAAGTTTAAAGTCACTTAAGTCAGTGTTTTCTGTTACACGCAGTTAAAAGTATCCTAAAAGATAAATCTCCTGATGTGGAAGACAAAGATATGGCTCATCTGTAATACTGCTCTCCTTCTTCTAGTATTTTATGGTTATATTTTAGCATTTTTGTGTGAAAATGCTGTTCTTTGTAATTTAAATTAACTACCTAAACCACTATTTTTACTTCAACAAATCTCCTGCCTACTCCCACTTTTACGATGACACTATTAATGACCCTTTTAAGAAAACTTTTTGGCCAGGCGCAGTGGCTCACGCCTGTAATCCCAGCACTTTGGGAGGCTGAGACAGGTGGATCACCTGAGGTCAGGAGTTCAAGACCAGCCTGACCAACAGACAGAAACCCTGTCTCTACTAAAAATACAAAATTAGCCAGGCATGGTGGCGCATGCCTGTAATCCCAGCTACTCCAGAGGCTGAGGCAGGAGAATGGCTTGAACCCAGGAGGTGGAGGCTGCAGTGAGCCCAGATCATGCCACTGCACTCCAGCCTGGCCAACAGAGTGAGACTCTGTCTCAAAAAAAAAAAAAAAAAGTAAAGAAAAGAAAAAAGAAAAAAAACCTTTTTATCTCCTTCTTTACCCCAAACCATATTTCTGTCTCTCACCTTCTATTTTCTCTCAGCTACATTCTTACTTTTGCTGGGTGAAGATAAACATTTACATACTATCCTGCAAACACAATGGAGTCTTTCATGCTTTGTTTGCATGATGATTCACGAAAAACAATAAAAAGCATTTACGCCATCACATATACACAAATAGTGCTTGGCCAGTGATGCTAAGGATTATATTTCCTTCTCTATCAGTCACTTACAACCTGTATTAGTCCGTTTTCATACTGCTATAAGGAACTGTCCAAGGCTGAATAATTTATAAAGGAAACAGGTTTCACTGACTCACAGTTCAACATGTCTGGGGAGGCCTCAGGAAACTTACAATCATGGCAGAAAGTGAAGGGTAAGCAAGGCACCCTGTTCACAAAGCTGCAGGAAGGAGAAGTGCTGATCGAAGGGGGAAGAGCTCCTTATAAAACCATCAGATTTCATGAGAACTCACTATCACGAGAAAAACATGGGGGAAACTGCCCCCGTGATTCAATTACCTCCACCTGGTCTCTCCCTTGACATGTACAGATTATGGGGATTACAATTCAAGATGAGATTTGGGTGGGGACACAAAGCCTAACTATATCACAGCCTTGAGGCCTCTCAAAGAGGGTGCTTCTAGAAGTTCACTTTGCATGCAGGCCACACATTTCCTGTATAGTTGCTTTTTTTCCTAAAAATTTCCAATTGCCTTTCCTTTCTCTTGTACTACTTGAGTTTTTCACATCTTAGGTTCTTTTTCAACCTCTCCATCATACTACCTATTTTCTTGAGTCTTTTCCCACCCAGAGAACTTTCTCCAGAACAGCTGTATCTCATTATCCCAATTTGGACTGGTTCCTCTCTAAGCCTGCTTCATGGTTACCTTTTCACTGTTCTGAGCTGGATCAAGTCTCTTTTAGACACGACGTTTTCTGATTTTTGTGGTTTATTTACTCGCTTTGCTTAAATGCATTCTCAAAAAGTTCCCTAGAAAGAAGAGCATGAAAAGTCAACTTTCCAAGTCTTTATAAATCTGAAGATGCCCTTATTGCACCCTCAAAATTGGCCGATACACTGTTTGGATGTCTAATTCTAGGTTGAAATCATTCTACCTTGGAGCTGAGAAAGAATGCTTCATTATTTCTTAGCACTTAGTGCTATTGATCATAAGTCTGATACCAGCTGACTTTTTTTTATGCCCCTCTCTCTGGAGCTTTTATAAGTTTACTTTTGGCATTCTGAAAATTCATGAGGCTGTGTTTTAGGTGAGGCTATTTCTTCATTCACTGAACTGGGCACCCAACAGGCTCTTAATATGAAGACTTGGGCCCTTCCTGAGTTCTAGAAAAGCATTTTTACTAGTTCTTCAGTAATTTCCCCTCCCCTTCATTCTCTGTTCTCTTTTCCTCGGACTCCAATTGGATCTTGGGCCTCTAAGTATAGGCAAGATCATGTTTCTAAAAAGGTTCTTAGAGGGAGGGAGTTCCTGGGAGTGTTATGTGGGGTGGTGCAGAAGGTGCTAACAGGTGGGTTTCTCTTTAGGATGAGCAGGTGGGATGCCAACTGTCAGGCTGGGACCTCTCCCTCCAGTGCTAAAATGAATGTTTTATTCTGGTCCTCTGACATCCACACCAGAAGTCTTGACTTTCCCTAAATATTTCCTAGGATGGCTCTTTCAAGAACAACTTCTGGATACCAACATTTTGGAGGGGTGAAGAAAATAGTCCTGTAGGATATATATTTTTATGTCTAGAAAATTTTCATTAGTCTCTATTTTCGGTTTCTCTTGGCACTCTGACATTTTTTTTTTGAACTGCTGATTATGAACATGGAACTTCTCCAAGGTCCTCGTTGCACATTCCAGACTGAGGGTTTCCTTTTCCCCAACTACTTTATCCATTAACAATGTTCCATCTTCTTCCTATCATCCAGAAAGTTGCTGTCATTTATTTATTGGTAAATCCTCCTATTCTTTCTCAGTTGTGGATTTATTCCTTTTTGTTTCTCTGTGAAAGTACAGTAATGAGTCTGCCATCTTATACCCTACACATTACCTAAACCTTACAAGCTTTGTTAAAAATATTATAGCTAATTGAGGACATTTAAAAATAACTTTCAATGCATGGCATTAATCTTTGCCCAGTGGTCAGGAAGGGGCAGAATATTGCTTATTTGTTACCTATGCAGGCACATGGTGAGGAGGAAGCTGTTGGTGCTGTCCACTCTCCTAAACAGAATAATTTTCTAATTGCTTTCATCTCCAGTAACCAGTACAGAAGAGACATGCTGGGGCTCTAATGTGCTGACCCCTAAAAGTACAGAATTTTTTGAGTCCCCAGGTCCAGTCTGAGAGGCCCAGCTGCTTCTGCAGGCAGAAAGGTGGCCACCGCACTCCCTTCACCAGTGAGGCCCCCCAGCTCAGGACTGAGCTAGTTCCTGTTGGCTTCACTGCTGTGAGGGTGATAATGAATGGTGGCAGTAAGAGGTGTCAGATGGCTCTGAGCCTGGCAGGGGAAATAGCTCCTGCACCTTGATGTGGTGTGGAGAGGTGCCAATCAGTCCCATTAGCAGCAGGAAGATGGTGGCAGGGGCAACAGTTTGTGTGTGATGGTGATGACAGCAGCAACAGTAAGAACAGGCTTGCAGCTGTTCAGACATGAGAGAAGCAGCCACTGGACAGTGACATCAGCGACAACTGCAGGAGAAACTGTTGACAGACTTAGGGCAATACACACTGAATGCTTTAGTGTAATATATTGAAAATCACTTTCAATATGGAGGATGTTGCTTTCTAGGTAATGTAGTTATAAGAAAAAACTTCAGTATGCGTTAAGATGCCTATGACAAGAGGCCTCTTTCTCATATCAAGGTCAAGGAACTTATAAAAAGCCTTTGTCAACATCTCTGAATCACTGATTGCTAATTTCAGCTTTCAAGAAATTAATTTGTTTCTAGAAAGGCTAGTATTTCCAGAAGGGCTGTACTCTTTGTTGTCATCAGGTGGCAACAAAGAGTCATGATTTACAATCTCAGATGCTTGGGGTTAATAGGGAGATCAGACATTTAGTATTTTAAACCAGGACTTTACAAACTCACTGCTTATTAAAATAACCACAACTGAGAGAGATTCAGCAACAAATGAAAACTTACAAAAAAAACTTTGTTGCAAACAAAATAATTCTGTATGCTTCTTTAGCTCTTCTTAACTTCATGGGTTTATAATGGAGTCTTAGATTCACTTGCATAGAAGTTTCCTTCTCTTCTTTGGATGCATCCATTCTAACTTTGGAATTGCTATTTCTTCAGTAGCTTATGGCAGCATAGTTCCTTTTCTAGCATAAGCAAGTCTTCTTCCAGCTGGATGGAGGTGTCAGATTCTGAACTAGTAATACTTGTCTCTACCCTCCCAAGTGTAATCTACTCCTCCTCTACCTGGAAGCTCCTTAGTCCTAGTTAGCTCCACAATCAACTCTTAATAACAACAGTGATGATAGTAATGACACTAAAATCACCAAGACTACCAAAACCATTTCCTTACTTCCAGGCAGGGTTATAAACCTTGCGTCTGTCTTTCCATAACCCATAAAAATGTTTCCCCTTTTAGAGAAACAGAGAGAACAAAAACAAAACAAAACCAAAAACTCTCTGCTATTCCCTACCACTGCTCTCAGTTTTTGCTCTTATTTTCTTCTTCAAAAAACAGCTTTATTGAGATATAATTCACATACCATACAAATCACCAATTTAAAGTGTAAAATTCAATGGCTTTTAATCTATTTACAGATATATACAACCAGGACCATAATGAATTTCAGAACATTTCTTCACCTCAAAAAGAAACCCTGTATCCTTTAGCTGTTATCCCCTTCCCCGCTATTCTCCATCAAGCCCTAAAGTGAACACTAATCTACTTCTGTCTCTATAGATTGCCCTATTCTGGTCCTTCATATGAATGAAATTGTAAAGTGTGTGGTTTCTTTTGACTGGCTTCTCTCATTTAGCACAATGTTTTTGAGGTTTACCCGTGTTGTATGTTGTAGGAGATCAGTCAGGGTGGTGGCAAAAGTTATAAAAGTTATAGGGAAAGATGCAAAACTTCTTGGAAGGCCAGGAGGTTTTGCAAAAGCTTCAAAAGAAAATTTGGCTGAAGGCAGCCAAATTCTCTTATTGGGAGCCTGACAGCAAAGGGTCGATAACAAAGGACTGTAAAGAGACTTATCTAGATAAATTTGTTTACTCTCTCCAGAAACCAACCTTTGATCAGTCGTGTGCAGGACTGCTCTCTACTCGGGGCGGGGGGGTGAGCTGGGGGGGCAGAGGGGGGGTGCGGGTCAACAAGGTTTATTACCCACAAAGTGTATTTGCTCCAAGCCTTTGTCATTAAATCTGTACGAAATAAATGCAAGTGTCTCCACCTTATGGGGGCTGCTGTGGCTGCACTGCACTCTCATCAGCGGTGCTAAGCTGTGGGGTCCTCTAGCCGCATTGTTAGGCAAAATACCTGTGCCAGTGAACTTCTTCCATCTGTCGCTTGGCCAGAGTCTGCAGGACAGACTTGGCAGCATGTAGCACGTATCAGTACTTCAAGTCCACTATGGCCACATAATATTCTGCTGCATGGATATACCACATTTTGTTTATCCACTCATCATTGATGGACATATGAGTTGTTTCTACCTTTTGGCTATTATGAATACTACCTACTGCTATAAACATTTGTATGTAAGTCTCTGTGTGGACACATGCTTTTCATTTCTCTTGGGTATATACCTAGGAGGGCATCTTACGAGGTTTTAACCTCCTTTCTTACCTTAATGCTTTCCCTCTCTTAATTCTTATCACAAAGTTCTGCTCCCATTACTGAGGTCTACTGTGCTATACTGTGTAAAAATAGGAATCATATTTTTATCTTTGTAGCTCCAGGAATGACTAGCTCTCACATTTATTCAATAAATATTTGATGTATGAATGGAATGACTGACCCCTTGCCAATCTGTTATAACCTCAAGCAAGTGACTTCTTTAGGAAACGTTCCAGATATTGAAACAGTTTAAATCATATGCTTGTACATGGCTATTCTCATTTTAGAAAGCAGTGGAGAGAAGCTCCCAATAGTGGATGGTTCCAAAGATATGTAAGAGCCTAAGAAAAGGCTACTTTAAAAGGGCCACCAGCCAGGCATGGTGGCTCATGCCTGTAATCCCAACCCTTTGGGAGGCTGACACTGGAGGACTGCTTGAGAATAGGAGTTTAAGACCAGCCTAGGCAACATGGTGAGACCCTGTCTCTTCAAAAATTTTAAAAAATTAGCTGAGAGTGATTGTGTCTGCCTGTGGTCCCAGGTACTCAGGAGGCTGAAGTGGGAGGATCACTTGAGCCCAGGAGGTGGAGGCTGCAGTGAGCCGTGATCACACCACTGCACTCCAGCCTGGGTGACAGAGTAAAACCTTGTCATTCATGAAGCAATAAATAAAATAAAAGCAATCAATCAATCAATCAATCAATAGACCACCAAAAAGAAACCCTATATCCTTTAGTGCTCATCCCCTTCCCCGCTATTCTCCATCCAGCCCTAAAGTGAACACTAATCTACTTCTGTTTCTATAGATTTCCCTATTCTGGACCTTCATATGAATGAAATTATAAAGTGCGTGGTTTCTTTTGACTGGCTTCTTTCATTTAGCACAATGTTTTTGAGGTTTACCCATGTTGTATGTTGTAGGAGATCAGTCAGGGTGGTGGCAAAAGTTATAAAAGTTATAGGGAAAGACGCAAAACTTCTTGGAACTCCCACAGTGAGGAGGAGGCATAATGTAAACAGACAATGAAGACATTAGAATGTTTTGGATACTGAGGGTACGTCATCCCTCTGCATAAGAAGGATAACCCACTGGGTGAACATCTTGGCCTCGACAGGGTCAGCTTCCTTTATCACACTAAGAGAAAACCACCTGGGTGGGTGTCTTATCATCACAATGGCTGGTTCCTCCTGACTCCTCAGAAAGACCCCTGAAGGGGCCACCTGAGGATCCTTTCACATCTCTTTGCTAGATCTGCCAGTATAGCTGAGAATGCTCTTTCAAGGCAGCCAGTAGGTGTCTAGATTAGACCACATTCCTCTCAGCGAAAAAGTGAGAAAAAGAAGATTACGTGTAAGTGGCCCCAACACTAAATCTCTGCTTTCCTCCAAATTGGTCAGAGGTATAGAGATTCTCTCTTATCACTCCACACTTTAAGGGCACATGATGACCCTAAACTCCTGGGGCTCAGTAGAAGAACCTGTGCACACAAAGGAGAAATCTTCATTGGAGGCAGAAGACTAGTTGGCACTTAACAAGTTAGGTGAAGACACTCATCTTCCAAGCATTGGCAATGGCACCATGCCCATTGCTAGCGACAGAGAAGTCCAGCCACCCTCCACACTGCGGCTACCTAGTAACTCCATGCCTTCTTCCAAAGACTTCACTTTACGCATCTCAGCAGCAGGAACAGTTTCCCACATGTTATTCTCACATAATTGCGGTTCTTATATTTTGTTTCGACTTATAGTTTAGTAGAATTTTGATAGTAATTGTGTTATAATTTCTACTTTAATTTCCTTACGAAAAAATAACCAAGTTGATGTGGGCAGAGCAGGTCTTCATAGCTAAGAGAGAACATGACAATTTCAATATCAAAGGCTAATAAAACTAATAATCTTTCTGCATTTACTTAGCAACAAGGACTTGAGTATGTGAACAGAAGTCATAATTATCATCACATAGTAATTTTTGTTTGTAAAGATGTGTCCACAGCAATGTTACTCTAGTATTAGAGAAGGTGGATATTATGGTTAATGGGGTTAACATGATACTCTTAGGATTGTATCAGAAACACACCACAAAATGACCCTCCTCCTCCAGAGGATTCTAGTAATCATCTTCCTGGGTTGCCTATCGTTGCCCTAGGGCATCACTCTTCCCAGGGAGAATGTGAATAAGGCTGAGAGCTCCTGACATGAGTCTGTAAGGGGTGTTGAGAGCTCCAGGAGGGAGCCCAGAAAAACGAGTTCAGAAATCTGGGTTCTAGCCCTATCTGGATCATTTGTGGCCAGTTACTCCATCTCTCAGAGCAAGTCTCCAGCCTGATAAACGAAGGGGCTAGAAGATACCATCTCTAAGGTCCTACTCAATTAAGACTTTCTGAGCTTCTGACAGTACGATCTAGTGATCTGAGCCAACCAGGACTCTATTCTTACCAAATTCAAATCCCGTCTCTGAGCTCTGCTTCTTTCTCCTTCACTAACCCCATGAGAACTACAAAGTCAGCTCAGCCAATTCCTTTTTTTTTTTTTTTTGAGATGGAGTCTCTCTCTGTCGCCAGGCTGGAGTGCAGTGGCGTGATCTCGGCTCACTGCGACCTCCACCTCCTGGGTTCAAGCGATTCTCGTGCCTCAGCCTCCTGAGTAGCTGGGATTCCAGGCATGCACCACCACACCTAGCTAATTTTTGTATTTTCAGTAGAGACAGGGTTCCACCATGTTGGCCAGGATGGTCTTGATCTCCTGACCTTGCGATCTGCCCGCCTCGGCCTCCCAAAGTGCTGGGGTTACAGGCATGAGCCACGGTGCCCAGCCAGCCAATTCAGTTTTTGCTGCTTTTTTCCTCATATTCTCAGTCCTTCTTTCACTGTCTTTCTCAGACAGAAGTGCGGATGGGGTAGTTGGGAATATTTCGCTTCTGTTTCCTCCACAGTTCATGAGAGTAGAACCAAATTAATTTACATTTATGGAAACCTTCAGATTCACAGGAGGACTATAAATACAGATTACTGTTATTTCTGGTAATTTCAGCATCTACTGTTAAAGTGACAAAGGACAACAAAAATGAATATACTATATATTTTTAAAGGAGTTTTCTTTTCCTTGATAGCAATCACCTTGATAGTTTTATTTTTGTGTGAATCCCCCCCCTTAATCACTAAAACACCCATTTGTCATATACAGGTTAAAAAAAATCTTTTTGGAACCAACTAAATCTGTAACTATATAGTTCAACATACTGTAACAACCAAACTCTTGATTTTCTTACATGTATAGTTTCAGAGGATCAGAAACATCCTAAAATTATACTCTGTAACCTTCTCTTTTATTAACACCATTTGTTTTTTAAGAAAGCAACGTTGCTCTGCCTATAAAATCCTCCTTCCTTCTAAATCTTACCTTTTTCAAAGTACAGTTCAAAAACTGCTTCTACAACATTTTCTCTAACGATTTCAACCCACTTTGAATAATGTTCCAGCAGCACTTCTACCTCTTTCCATAAAAATATCTTTCCATAACAGCATTGTTTTTAAATGTCTATCTTCTTTGACACCTAATAAACTCAGTATGGTAGTGTCTGCACCACTCATTTATAAGCTACATTTTATTCATTCAGCAAACTGCTATTGGGCTTAGGGATTATCTCGTTTTTGTTTATCTAGTATCTATCCCTCTTCTTTGGTAACCAAACCTTCCTTTTCTCTAGAAAATGTTCTTCTAGATCCAGATTACACTGAGCAACTTTTCACCACAGGTGCAGGTGGGTGATTTGAAATTGTCAAATCAGAATGCTGCATTCCTCTGGGCCACAGGAATTGGCTCAGAAATAGACAGAGCCCATCAAGAGTCCTTCCGTGGATTCTGGAAGAGAGATTTCCCTTTCCCTAAGATTTCCAGCTATGAGTATAAGTCTGGGCTACTACTTTGCCATCGTGGGGAGACAGGCTATGTAGTTATAAAGACAAGCAGATGCAAATAGAAGCAGGAGTTGGAGGAAGAAAAGAAGCGATCTTGCTGATACGGTCTGAATCCTTGGTTAAAGCAAGCCTAAAGCCAACCAGCCCTTGAAAGTCTTAGCTTCATGATTCAAGAAATTTCCTTTATTGGCTTAAATCATTTGAATTAAGTTTCTGCTCCTTGCACTGAAAGCATTCTGACAAATAGATGGAATGTCTACTGTATGAGGCACTGCGTTGGGTGCACATAACTGGAGGCTGAAGTTTAAGTATAGTGGTGACTAAATTCCAAAGATAACTCCTAATGAAACATGCCTCCCGTCATTCATGCCTCTATTTAGTCCTCTCCTACATTAAATCTGGGCTAGCCCTGTGACTTGCTTTAAGAAAGTGACAGAAGTGATACTATGCTCGTCCTGGGTCTAGGCCTTAAAAAGGCTTGATAGCTTCTACTTTCATGCTTTTGGGAGCCCCAAGTAACCATGTAAGAGGTATGCCTACCCTGATGAAGAAATCACATGGAAAATCTACATGGAGAGGGGGAATCTCTGAGACTACACAGAAACAGAGAGAGGAACTGAGCCATGCCCATCTCCCAGCTGAGTCCAGGCTTCCAGTTGTCCCCACCAAATCACCAGACAGATGAGGCAAGCCATTCCGGATGCTCCAGCCCTAGCTGCCATCCCACTGCAGCCACAGGAGAGAACCCAAGGCAGTCCAGAGAAGAACCTTACAGCTGGGCCCCAGTCAATCTGCTCAACTAAGAGAACTCATATAATGGTTGTTGTTTTAGGTACTGCGCTTTGGGATGATTTATGGGAAACAAATGTGTAGATCCAATAACTAACTTTTCCCAGATCTGGGTAGCCTTGCTTCAGGGCATGCAATCCAGTCAATTTTGCTTTTTCTTTAAAAAATAAAAACTCTTGATAGACAGTTAAGTTTGTTATATAATTGACCAAGATAAGTGATACAATGTGGGTTGAAACTTCAATAGTAATAATAATAATGTAAGACTCCAAACTTCACTGTGGACTGCCAGAATTAAAAGCTAAGATTAACAATTATTACTAGATTTTACATAAATATATGTATGTAACAATCAGGGTTCAAAGTTGCAGAGAAGGAATTATTGAAAGGGTACTGGGCAACTCCAAGATGAGCCAGGAAGGCTGGAGAATGAGACTTGGAAAGGGAGCAGAAATAAACAAAGCTAGACAGCAGCTGGGATTGTGGCCAAAATCTCTCCAGAATCACTCTTCAAAGATAGTTTTGTGAAGATACCACCACAGCTGCTGCTAAACACAGAACACCAGGTCTTGCTCTGCTGCCAGCAGAAGTGGATGTTGGCCATACCACTGCCACTACTACTGCCGCCACCTTAGGTAACCAGAAGTTACCACTGCTGCTGAGGGAGCCTTCTGTGGTGCTCTGTCACCCTTGTGCTTGGAGTCCTTAGCTCCCCGATCAGAGTTCAGAGTGCATGCATCTGATGGGCGAAGCTGAGGTTGTCCCCCACACAGTAAGCAAGCTTGGGCTTTTGTGTGTTTATGATGGAAGATGCACTTTGTTTCACTCCAAGACCAGGTTGTGGGGAATTCCTTAAACATAGATTTTAGAGGAGGGGTAGCCAAAAATGGACAAGTGTCAATAATATATCACTACTTTTTCTTTTAAAATGACTGGATTTTCTATTGAAATAACAAAAGACAGAGCTTCTTGATTTCTCCTCCTTTGTGAATATTTTAAATTAATTAAAAACATACTAGCTTCTTTTTTTTTTTTGAGATGGAGTCTCACTCTGTAACCCAGGCTAGAGTGCAGTGGCGCGATCTCGGCTCACTGGAAGCTCCACCTCCCGGGTTCACACCATTCTCCTGCCTCAGCCTCCTGAGTAGCTGAGACTACAGGCGCCTGCCACCACACCCAGCTAATTTTTTGTATTTTTTAGTAGAGACGGGGTTTCACCGCGTTAGCCAGGATGGTCTCGATCTCCTGACTTCGTGATCCGCCTGCCTCGGCCTCCCAAAGTGCTGGGATTACAGGCAAGAGCCACCGTATCTGGCCACTAACTTTTTAAGAGCTATTTTAAGACACTTTCATCAGTCACTGTGGTACCACCCTAGGTAGGAGCTCTACTGATACTGTGGGAATTGAGGTTTGTACTTGGTGGACTCATTCTCCCTGTAAGGTGTGGTCCAGCCTTCCTCCTGGATTTGGGCACCCCTAACACTGCTGCCATGCCAGGTCTCTCTGAGGTCTTACACCACTTCATGCCTGTGTTGGGCCCATCAATGACTGTGGTCATTCCTAGACAGGCCTTAGGGACTGTGCTAAAATCCTCCTTCATCATCTTCTTGGGTCTTCTTTTGTTTTACCCTGCAGGTCGACTATACAACATCTCCTTTCAGTTCCTCTCTGGGAAGATAAAACACTGCCATCCCTCCTTTAAGTTCTTTTGACTAGGAATACTGTGCAATACAGTCAATAAGAACATTGAGGCTGTGGTACATTTTCTTGAAATACTAATGTATTACATTGTCATAAGCTGTATAGCGCAATGGCTAAACTGCAGATAGACCTGACTTTGAATCATGGTCTTGTCATTTACCACAGTGTAGAACCCGGGTTACTTAATCCTTCAGAGTTTGAGTTTTCCCATTTGCAAAATGAAAAAGTTAATTCGTAAACATACTAGGTTAGTATAAGGATTAAATAAGACAATGTGTGTAAATCACATAAGTTATACAAAATAAATACTCAATTCATAGTAGTTATTAATATTAAAAATAATAAAGTAATATAAAATTATTTTAAGCAGTTTGTCATTACTACCTAGTCTTATGGAAGAAATGAAATGCTATGACAATTATAGAGCTATAAATACTCTACGATGCAGTATGAAAAGAACATGAGGGGTATTTTTAATCAGATATTCTTGCTTATTCTCAGATATATCATATTGAGTTACTGATTTTTCAAAGACAGAATACAGCAAAATATATATAATGCTAACTATACTAATTGTAGTAGTATTCTTCTTTGGTAATGGATGGGATATTCTAGACTCGGGCAAACATCATGAATCCCAATTATCACTGCAATGTAAAAGCACAGAGTCCTAGTTTAGCACAATTTTCCATACAGAGGAATTACTGATAACCAGTTCTTACTGTTCTTATATTTGGTTCTAAATATAAATAATAGTTCAAAGAAAGAGGTTAACATCGAATGGGGAAAACATTGTTTTAAGAGGGGCAGCTTGGTATGGGAAATTAAGCAAACCTTTGAAATGCAGACTAAGGATACTTCACTGATCAGGAATGAACAAGAGAGATTAGACAAAATAGAGAAACAAGATTAACATGAATTATTTGAGTTGAAAATACATGTGAACAATTCCTATTTTGAGGAGTGAGCTAGCCTTAGTGCAGACAGAAGGAAATTGATGTGTGATAATATGCCATGCTGGCCAGTATACAGGCCTCACTATTCTGTCTGGGCAAGGCTCCCTGTTAAAACAGCTGCCAAAAGGAAATTTCTCTCTCTTTGTCCAGGTGAGTCAACATAGAGGTTGGTATTATCCAGGCAGATCTTTACAGATCTTACTGGAAGGCAAGAACCCCAGGCAAGGAGCTGCAGCTTTTAATAGAAAAAAACAGATTTTTTTTTTTAATTTGAAAAAGGGGAAAGAGCTATTACAGACTCTTTGGCTTGAGGGCCCATAATGTAAACAAGTGCTATTGGTGGAAGGAGCCTTAAAATGCCTGAAAGCCAATTCTTCCCCTCTGTACAACAGACAGTAAATATTTAAGACCCATTAGAAAACTGGCAAATAGCTGATAGCCAATAGCTACGAAACTTAACTAAAGCAATCAGCTTCCTCACACACATGTGCTTCCCTTGTTCAAATGCTGGTTATGTGTCATTATCATTTCAATACCTATATCCCTGGAGAACTATGCACCAAGAAATGAAAAAAGCAAAACTTCTGAAAACTGAAAAATACAAATTCTCATATGTTGTATAATTAAAGTTAACAAAAGAAACAGACTGCCACACACATAGAACAGAGAAAAGCTGAAGCTTCAAATGACTGATTTACCACAGCAAGTAATTACTTTATGTTTTTCACAAACATTTGAAACCTATTATTACTTTCACAGCAGCACACATCAACAGAAGACTGTCACCTAAGGGAGAAATGGGGAACTGGGCTGTAATTAATTTCTGGTCAAATATATCATGAAGCCTTTAATGTTGTCAATAAAAGGCTCTAGCCACTAAAAATCCCCAACCTCTCCCTCCCTCCCTCTGTCCCCAATACCCCAAATGTTTAATCAGTGTCTCTGCGAAACAGACTGCCTGAAGGAGAATGAGATGCAGTGTTAATGCCTGCTGAAAAGTTGAGGCAATTGATCCATTCCTTCCCCTGACCGTGTGTGTCAAGAGAAAGAAGTCAATCAAGAGCTGGCCTCTCCTACTCCACTTTTTTTTTTTTTTTTTTTTTTTTCTGGTTTGACTCCATCTGCAACTGAGAAAAACAGAAGGTGCACAATTCTTTGGAAGAATTTAAACATGTAGATTCCAGGCAATGGAAATCATCACACGGCAACTGAAGCCTATATTGTTAAAGGTTAGAACACGGAGATTAAGAATGCCTCCAGGAAAAAGAGAAATGGCTGATCTGAATAAAACCTTTCCATCAATTGGAAAACTACAGCACAGCAATGGAGATGAAGAGCTAAAGCAGATGTGACATTTATGTTTTTGAGTACCTACACGTTTACATTTTGAATTACTGTTCAGAGCCTTATAAGACCTTTATAGGTCATGCAAAAGCAGTAGCCAGCGTCTAGATCTGTTTTACTCTCCTGTACGTGTGGTGAGCAAATGCTTTAAGCACGATCTTGACTATGAAAAGAAACAGGCCTACAGTACTTCCTTCCTCATTAATTCATCCATACACACAGGCATTAGTTTGTCCAATCAACAAATATTAAAATGCCTGTTATATACTGCATATCTCAGACATGTTTACAGTATCTTTATGGAATTGGATGGGAGCTAATTTGTTTCCTCTTAGATAGCTTTCCTGTGATAGTCTCTTTTGAGAGCTAGGAGTTGAGGCAGGGCTCTAGATCTCTCAAACCGCTCTCTGGCTTTATGTCATGGAACTCTAGGCAAGTCCAATCTGCAAGAGACCCTATAGTTGATCCTCTAATCAAACCCTTCATATTTTTTTTTTTTTTGAGACAGTCTTGCTCTGTCGCCCAGGCTGGAGTGCAGTGGTGCAATCTCGGCTCACTGCAAGCTCTGCCTCCTGGGTTCACGCCATTCTCCTGCTTCAGCCTCCCAAGTAGCTGGGACTACAGGCACCTGCCACCGTGCCTGGCTAATTTTTGTAGTTTTAGAAGAGACGGGGTTTTACCATGTTGGCCAGGCTGGTCTCAGACTCCTGACCTCAAGTGATCCACCTGCCTCAGCCTCCCAAAGTGCTGCCATTTCAGGCACAAACCCTTCATTTTATAGATGAGGAAACTTCAGCCAAGAGAGCTGAAGTGACTTACTCAAATTCATGCAACAATTAAAGGTTGATTTATTAGCCAACTACTAGGTGAATGAAATGCTATTTAGTTTACTCCCAAATTTCCAAGAATACAACCCGACTCTGCCTCAATGTCTACACATGTTAACTGAGAGTAATAATGGTGACCACCTTGTGTGTCATTTTAATAATTTAAAATAATCTAGAAAAGTGCTTTCAAGTTATTTTTACTTTTGCTGCCTGCAGTAGGAGATAAGAGTAAAGGGGACTAAAGGAGAAACATGAGGTTGAAAGACGATGGCCTGGATATTGCATGAATCTCAAAGAAAACGAGGTCAGGGCCGGTATTTCTGCATGATAATCTCCTGAGCACTTGTTAAGCCGCAGATGCCCAAGCCCTACCCTCAGCCTTCTAAATCAGAACTTTTAGGGATGGAGTCAAAGAGTTTCCACTTAAAACAATTTCCCTGCAAGAGACCCTGTAGCTGATAGGGAAATTCTTATACCTTCTAGTCTTTGGGAAGCACTTGGTTTAGCTGCTTATTGTCTTAAAAGCACAGGTGTATGCATTTGGATTAATGATGGTGCTGCTCAGTGCTGTTGATGACGTGCTAATTTGTGGTGAGATTCTGAGAGAGTGGTCTCGGGTCTAAGTGTTGCTCCCCAAGGACAGTTGTTTGGAAGGCCAGCAGAAGACCCACAAGCAGCATGAACACCTGACAGCTGAGCAAAACCAACCCCATAACACCACCAAGGTAGGAAGAGTCTGCAGACCCCTCTGCCGTCAAACTGCCCATTAAAGCTGATTAAAACAGTTAGCAATCAGAGCTCAGTGGAAATCAAGGGGGAAAGACACCCAACCAGAGAAAATAAAGGAAAAAAGAAATGTTTGATAGCTAAGAGAATAACTGAAAAATAAAATCATATTTTAATATAAGCAAAAGAGAGACCCAACATTGACCAAAATGGTAGCCTTACTTCACGTAGTTAAGAGCATACATAGACTTTGGGGTTGGATTGACCTAAGTTTGAATCTGGCCTCTCTTCTTATGTAAACTAGGAATTTACTTAACTTCGTTAAGCTTTAGTTTTCTCATCTTTTTGCAGCAATAGCTAAATATAGAGTTTCAGGGACATTCAGTGAACCAATGTAGGTAAAGCATTTACTAACGTTCATGTCATGTGCTGAGATCATTATATAACAGTAATTATAATTACTCATATTATACTTGGAATATGTCATCATCATCATCATCATCATCATCATCATCACTGAGAGAAAGTCACCAATATAGGCCTCTAGGATGGTTTGTAAAAAAAAATCACATGTCTTGCAGGAGCTTTCCTTGTTTTAGAGAAAGTAGTTTAAAGTTAAAGGTCTGTAAAGCTAGGTACAAAAACTATTTCTTGGTAACCTATTTGTATTTAGCTACAGATGCTCTCTAAAACATACATCGTGGCTGGGCGCTGTGCCTCATGCCTGTAATCCCAGCACTTTGGGAGGCTGAGGCAGGCAGATCACTTGAGGTCAGGAGATCGAGACCATCCTGGCTAACATGGTGAAACCCCATCTCTACTAAAAATACAAAAATTAGCCGGGTGTAGTGGCGCGTGCCTTTAATCCCAGCTACTCAGGAGGCTGAGGCAGGAGAATCGCTTGAACCTGGGAGGCGGAGGTTGCATGAGGCAAGATCAGGCCACTGCACTTCAGCCTGGGTGACAGAGCAAGAGTCAGTCTCAAAAAAACAAACAAACAAAAAACAAAAACAAACATACATCGAAAGTAATACATATCAAACATATTTTAAAACCCATATTATTTTCATAAATACTTCAGATTGCTGACAGGTAGTCTATTACAGAGAAGTAAAAGGGGGAAAACCACCCAGAAACCAAATAAACAAAATACAATCATGGTAACTAGTCACAAGAACTTTATAATTCAGTAGAGAGAGAACATGTTAATAAAAATTAGATGAATAAAATATTAAAAGATGGGAACAAATGAAGAACAATATAGCACATAATGAGGTATTAATTTTAGAGTACAGAAAATTAAAAAAAAAGGATTATAAAAAGAGCAAGTGATATGGGCCAGGCACATTGGAGAAGGTTTCAGAGAACAAAAGGTCCTTGAGCGGAGTGCTGGCCACAGAATTCACTGTGGCCATGTGACCTTCCTTCAGTACTCTGATCTTTTTCTGTTTGGATCAGCAAAGGGTGTTCAGTAAAGCAGGAGGTGGGAATGAAGAGAAGGGCTTTCTTCCTGTATATGATAAAGCAGGTAAAGGGAGGGGCAGGATGGGAAGTCTGGCATGATGTGGTTTACAGGGGCTGTAGCTCTGCTTTTACGACAGCGATTGTGCCAGTTTCCTACTTTCAAGCATCAAAATTTAAACACTACATCTTTATTTAGAAAACAAGAAAGGTCAGCTTCCAGCCTCAAATTTTTCAGTGAGAATTCTAATAGAGTCGGTAAATGATCATTCTTGGGCTTCAGTCACAGAACAAGCTTAATATCTTTTCAGTACAATGCAACCCTTCCCTGGCAGAAAAATAGCCTCCCTGGGTGGGTTAATTAACTAACTATGATGAATACAAAGGTACTGCAGAATATATAAACAGCAGGATTCGATGACAGATTCTGGACAAGTCACTTCTTATTTCTGTTCCTTGGGATCTTTACTGGATAATAATAATACTCGCTATCTATGCTAATCTCTGAATCATTCCAATTCCAGCACATGTGCTACAAAGGGAAGAGTGTCACTGTCTGCCAGTAATCTCGAGGAACCCTAAATTATACATTGACAATATATATATACAAAATATGGTGACACTAATTGAGCATAATCAAAAGAAATCTTACTTAATCAAAGCCTCACACATGAGATATGTTTATGGGGAATCAAACGTCAGTTACTGAGAGATTTTTTTGAGAGGCTTAGAAGTATTTATTGCTCTGAAGTGCTCTGTGAAGGATATGCAGACCAGTAAGGCATGCTCACCCGCATTCAAGGAGTCCTAATTAAATGATTAATTAGAGATCAATTAATTGTTACAATGCACGGGACCTAATGTAAATGTAAAAAAAGGGAGATCAGAAAAAAGCGGCATGGTCAGAAACGGGACAGCAAGGTCAAATGAAGGTTTAATTGGAGAGATGTAATATTATTTAAATCTATTTATATAAAGATCTTTAAAAAGTCCATCAGATCAGGCCGTACAAGATTTGGTTTTATTACTGAATTTTATCAACTGGTATATTTCTTTCTATCTGGCAGTGGAAGCCATGTAAACCATCGCATTTCCCAATTTACTCTGGCCCCTAGGAAAATCAGGGTTAGCTTTTTATCACTATTAAATTTAAGAGATTTAACAGCATTTTAAGGGGCATCATCATTAAAAAAAGAATTTTTTTGGCAGCAGACTAGTCTCTTCTACAAAATTAATCCCAAATCTACACGGCTAATAATCTTGAGTCAAAAATCTGGGGTATTAAAGGCAAATCTTGGGAAAAGGATAGGTGCCCCTAGAATTGGGAAGGCAAACAAGACCAATGGCAGAATAAAGCTGGGAAACGCAAACAGAGAAAAGGATGTGACAAATATTGTGCTTCTTTCTCAGAAACAAAATTGTTCTTCTAGCAAAGCAGTCAGATAAATTTTTATTTGATAGGTGGGGCATTTCACATTTTCAAGCCAAGTCACCTTTGAAGTCCGCTTCAGGGGCAATACCCACTCTTGATTCAGAAGAGTGAGGGGAGATTTAGGAGACCACAGACATTCTCAGTCTGGCTGTCTGTGGGCAGTTCCAGTAGGTGGCAGCATGTCATTGCTAATCCCCTTCTATCAAACTACACTTTGGTCATTCCAAATAGGAAAACTCACAACCTTTCCTGCAGAAAACAAAAGTAATGTTCCCGGTGCAACAGGTTTGTAGGAAATAAATTTATGTAAACAGCTCCCCTGGGAGGAATTCAACATTCTCAGCTATGCCAGAGATCATTCCTGGCCTTAGTGAAGGTACAAGGTCAAGGATAAAGCAGGGGTCTGAATCTGTATGTTTAGTTGCTAGGCTGGCTTTATCACTCTGTCACTTGAGGAAAGTATCTGGACAGTTTAATTAAAAGAGTTGGAGAAGTTAACGTGAGAAAATGCTTCCATTTATTGGGAAGAAGGATGCTCTATCAATTTATGGTGAAAGTAGCATTTCTGTGCAGGCAGCTATGTGATCATGCACTCTCTTTGGTCTTCATGAGCTGTGTTCTGTCCTTGTGCTATGAGACCATTCCTTCCCTATCTTCTTCAGGGGCTCCTCTTCCTTCTCATGCCCTTTTGGGTCTTCCCCAGGGGATTACTCTCCATCTACCTACAGCCTTGATCTCCGTTAATGGTTTTAAATAGCTCCATGCTGATGATTCCCCATATCTGTTTGTTCACTCCCGGCCTTTCCCTCAAGCTTCCAGTTTACATATCCAGTTGCATGTTAGATGTCTCCACTTGGAAGTCCCACATCCATCTTATACTCACCACAACCACTGATGATCTTCCCTCCATCAGACCTACTCCTCTCTCCTCCTGTATCCTTATCTTACTTGACTGTAGTGTGATCTGGCTAGACACTCATGTTAGAAATTGGAGAGTCATCCTTGACTCCTTCACTTTACCCTCACTATTCAATCACTCTCCAAGACCTGCCAATTTTAGCTCCTTCACACTTCTCAAATATGTCTCCTCCATCCCCACTCCCCCCACCACCAAGCACTGATACATTGTTGAAGCCCTACACATCACTTTTTTTTTTTTTTTTTTGAGACGGAGTCTTGCTCTGTCTCTAGGCTGGAGTGCAGTGGCGTGATCTCAGCTCACTCCAACCTCCGCTTCCCAGGTTCAAGTGATTCCCCTGCCTCAGCCTCCCAAGTAGCTGGGATTACAGGCACGTGCCACCACACCTGGCTAATTTTTTGTATTTTAGTAGAGACGGGATTTCACCATGTTGGCCAAGATGGTCTCGATCTCCTGACCTCGTGATCCACCTGCCTCGGCCTCCCAAAGTGCTGGGATTACAGGTGTGAGCCACCGTGCCTAGCCCCCTACCACTTTCTTAGCAATCACCTTCCAGTTGATTGGCAAGGCCTCCAGTTTTATCTTCCTCAAATCCAAGTCCTATACTGCTGCTGAAATGATGTACTTAGAATATAAATCTGACCATCTCACTCCTCTGCTTAAAATCCTTCAGTTACGTACAGGACAAAGTCCAAATAACTTTAACACCCCACAAGTATTTACTGAATGTCTACTACATACCAGGTACTGGTTTAGGTCCTGGGGCTACAGCAGTGAACAAAAAAGAGTCCCTGCTTATGGAGCTTACATTCTATTCAGTGTAGACAGGTGAGGAACAAATAAGTAAATACGAAATATGTCAGATATACGCTTTTTAAAATCATGGTAAGGACAATAGGGAGTGCTGGTGGGGGAGGAAGGCATGTTTTGAAAGTGCAGGAGAGAAGGCCTTAATAAGGTGGCATTTGTGGCTTACCCAAAGCCAGCCCTGACTTCAGGCCTGATGATGACTCAGGTCTCTTCTTTCACCACCTCCTTCCTTGAACATCTTCTCCAGTCCCCGGAACTACCCTTTCTCTTCCAAATGACTTTCTCCCTATTCTGGATAATTCCTATGAAGACTAATATGAAGTATCACCTCCTTCTCCAAAAATTCTTCCTTTATCTTCTACCTCTCAGGATGGATTAGGGAAACTAAAAAATGAGCCAAATATTTCCTTTTAAAAGTTTCCCCACTAATGGGAGGATAAAACTTTGGCTCCTCATTTCCTATGATGAATGATTTAATTTTTCAAGTCTTAAAACTCAACCTCTTTTTTTTTTAAACTCCTTCATCGAGATATAATTCATATACCATATAATTTTCAGACTTAGAGGGTACAACTCAAGGACTTTTAGAATAGTCACAGGGCTGTACAACCATCAGCACAATCTAGTTTAGTGCATTTTCATCACCCCCCAAAGACTCCTCTATCTATTTCCCCATTTCCTTTCGACCCCTACTAATCTATCTCTATAAATTTGACTATTTTGGACATTTCATATGAATAGTGTCATACAAAATAGCTTTTTGTTACTAGCTTCTTAAATTTAACATAATGTTTCAAGATTCAGCACATCATGTCTTTCTGTGGCCAAATAAACTCCATTGTATGAATGTACCACGTTCTATTCATCCATACGTTGATGGATATCTGGTTGTTTGTACTTTTTTTTTGAGACGGAGTCTCGCTCTGTCGCCCAGGCTGGAGTGCAGTGGCACGATCTCGGCTGACTGCAAGCTCTGCCTCCCAGGTTCAAGCATTCTCCTGCCTCACCCTCCCGAGTAGTTGGGACTACAGGCATCTGCCACCATGCCCGGCTAATTTTTTTGTATTTTTAGTAGAGACAGGGTTTTATCGTGTTAGCCAGGATGGTCTCGATCTCCTGACCTCGTGATCTGCCTGCCTTGGCCTCCCAAAGTACTGGGATTACAGGCGTGAGCCACCGCGCCCAACCTGTTTATACTTTTTGGCTATTATACATAATGCTTGCTATGAACATTTGTGTGCGTATTTTTGTACGCATGTATGTTTTCATTTATCTGTGTATATACCTAGGAGTGAAATTCCTAGGTCATACCATAACTCTATGTTTAACTTTTTGAGGAAATGATGCAGCTGCACCATTTTACATTTCTACCAGCGGCAAATGAGGGTTCTAGTTTCTCCATAACCTTGCCAACATTTTCATTGTCTTTTCTTTTTTTTTATTGTTACAGCAATCCTGCTGGGCACAGACTGATGTCTCATTGTGGTTTTAATTTGCATTTCCCTAATAACAAATGAATTTGAGCATTTTTCATGCTTAATATGAATTAGCCACCTGTATATTTTCATTGGATAAATGTTCTCTGAAATACTTTGCCTAATACTTTTATTAATAGACTTTATTTTTAGAATAGTTTTGGATTCACAGAAAAATTGAGAAGATAGTACAGAGTTCACATATAATTTGTACCCAGTTTCCCTATTATTAACATCTTACATTAGTATGATACATTTGTTACAATGAATGAACCAATATTAACACATTATTTTAACTAAAATCTATAGTTCATTCAGGGCCTCTTGGTTTTTACCTAATGTTATTTTTGTTCCAGGACCCCATCCAGGAGGTCAAAGTACATTTTAGTCATCATGTCTCCTAGGCTCCTGTTGGCTGTGATAGTTTTTCAGACTTTCCTTGTTTTTGATGGCTTTGACAGTTTGGATGAGTACTGATCAGGTATTTCACAGAATGTATCTCTATTGGAATCTTTCTGATGTCTTTCTCATGATTAGATTGAGGTAATAGGTTTTGGTAACGTGCCATTTTCATCACATCATGTCAAGGGCACATAGACATACTGTCAACATGATTTATGCATGTTGATACTGACCTTGAGAAAAGAGAGGCTGCCAATTTGGCCTTTCATATAGCACACTAAAAATACTCTAATTGCATTTTTGTTTTGCCCTGATGACATCAAACCCTACCGTAGACTTGAGGAGTGAGGAACTTATTCCCAAATATATACATTTGAAGCGTATTCCTACTTTAGGTAAGTTGTGTATGAAAGATAAAGGAATGCAAACCAAAGCATTTCAGGCCTCTTGTCAAGCCCACCAGTAGCCAGTTCTCTGTCTTGAGCTAATTTAACCTATCAACAGCATTTGACACAGATGAAGACACACTTCTCTTAAAACACTTCCCTTGACTTCTGGGACAACACCCTTTCTTAGCTACCTTCCTATTCTGTTGGCTGCCTCCTCAACTTCCTCTGCTGGTTCTTCGCTAGCACTCCAGCGTCTCAACAGTGGGGTACCCAAGGTCCAATTCTTGGACAGCTTCTCTTTTTCATCTACTTGTGCTCCTATTGAGATCTCACCTCTCAGCCTTTCTCATGACTTTAAATCCCACCTATATGCTGATGACTCCAAAACTCTCATCTCAACTCCAGGTTGTATTGCCGGCTCCCTTTTTATGTCTATTCTGGTGCCTAACAGGCATCTCAAACATTTCTTGTTATCCCCTCTCTATCTGAACCCCCTCTCCGCCCTCCACACACTTCAATAGCCTCTCCTATGGTCTGGTTCACTTTCATTACAGTAAATAAAAACTTCATGCTTTGAATTGTTCAGATCAAAAACTTTGTAGTCTTTGGTTCACTTCTGATTCCTCAGCAAATCCTGTTAGCTCAACTTTTAAAATATATCCTCATCTGACCATATCTCATCCTCTCCAATGCTACCATCTTGCTTTGAATCACCACTACCTTTTACCTAGAAGATTATTGCCACAGTTTTCTAACAGAGCTTCCTGCTTCTGCCTTTGCCTACAACCTCCCCTCCCCAACTAACAACTGTGATGTTAGTTTCAACATCGCGGCCAGACTGATTCACATTATGTAGCACTCTTCTGCTCCAAACCTTCTAATAGCTTCCTACCTCATGCAAAGTAAAACTCAGTGTCATTACAATGACTTTCCAGATCTCAGCTCCTTAGATCAAACCTCAGACTTCATCTCTTACTCTTCCCCTGCTCACTCACTTCATCCATGCTGGCCTTTCTGCTCTGTTCTTCAGATGTTAAGTGTATGCCTCCCTCTGGCTCTTCACCCTTAGACGTTCTTTCCTGGTACGCTCTTTCCCTAGATAGCTGCATGGCTTGCTCCTACTCTTCCTTTAGGTTTTTCCTCAAATGTTACCATCTCATTAAGGACTTCCATTAACACTCTAAAATTTCGGATTACCTCCATTAGACTCTGGCACCCTCTGGTCCCCTCCCCATGCCTACTCTTTTTTTTTTTTTTTAACTACAGCATATATTATCATCTGAAATACTTTATATATATTTTACTTATTTATTACTTTGCATCTTGCCCCACAGTAATGCAAGTTTCATGAGGCCAGGACCTACAGAGAACATACGCTGAATAAATATTTGATGAAGGAATGAAGAAATGAAGGAATAACCGGGCGAGGAATCTGTCTTGGGTGTTACAATTTTTCGCCCTACCGCTTCCCGAATCGTAGCTTTTGTTTCCTTACCTTGTGCAGGTTTAAGAATGAAAGATACCAGTCCAAAAAAAACCAAAATCAGGGGAAAAACTGAGGAGCAATGAAACCTTGAAGGAGGAGAGCAGGAAGTAGAGCTATTGGAGAAATAAAGGAGAAAAAAGAGACAGCTGAAGAGGCAGAGAAAGAAACAAAATGGGGTAAAGAGGGGAGAACTGGGAAGAAAACTCTGGGATATTCTTTTTGAACAATGGCGTCACTCAAGCTAGAAAGGTTGTCAGATATATCTTGGGGACTCCAATCATCGTTCGTTCAGACCTCTCTTGTTATGCTGCCACCATCTGGACTCCTAGGTGGCTTCTGTGACTCACATGTGGAAAGGTGCATGACAGCTCAAGTTAAGATGATCTGTGATGAAAGGAACTAAAAAAGCACACTCATAAAGCCCTTCCACCTTCTAACTCATCTACACTGATTTTCCTGGATAAAGTATCTTTTTGACTCTGAAAATTAACAGGGGGGTTAAAACCGTAAGAGAGCTTAAATGATCATTACCATAGAGGACAGAGGCTCTCTGTACTTCTGGTAATGTTACAAGTTGTCTGGTTCCTTTGCTCACCCAAGATCTACCCTCATTTAGAGATTAGTTAGAGGGAAGGTGTGCATGAAAAGAGAGAGACAAGATAACAATACTATGAGTAGAAGAATCAACATCAATGGAATCCCTCCAGATCCTTCATTTCTTTATTACAGAAAGGTGTTATATTTTCCACTGGCCAGGAAGGCTGAGAAGGTAAGAAAACTACAAGCACTTTGCAACTTCTTGTTAAATAAGTTTTCTGACACACGGCAACTAGTGATTAATTACTGTGTTAGAAGATAACATTCCTATAGAGATTTGCTGGAAATACAGATGCTGTCCATGCTTGATTAAACATTGCTTAAGGAATGCTGAGGTACACTGCTGCAGTCTATTATTTCTGGCTATTTTGGTATTGCTGTTTTATGTATTTTACATAGCTTCAAATATGGTAGAATTGATGGAGCCCCTTTCACAAAACCTGTCCCTACCAAAAACAAGAAGCGGGGGAAAAATAAGGCTATAAAGTGTGTCTGTATGAAAACAAGAAAAAATGAGAGGGAAAGAGACTATGAGTAGTAGGGCTACAATATGGTTTCTGTTTTACAAAGAACGAACTGCAAGGAAGATACGCTTTTTCTTACAAGCTTATAAGAAAACTGACCCATGCCGGCTACTTTAAACTTTCAGGCAATTAAACATAAACTGACCTGTCAATATCCAAGGTCTTCATCCACACCAAAATTAGCCTTGATTTGATATCTTTTCATTCATTCAGTACATACAATTAACACTTACTTTGGTAGAGGCACTGAGAAAAGAGTCTCGGCCTCTTGGAGCTTAGTCTTAGTAAGGAGATGTCTTCTAAAGCAGAATCAGAAGAACAGATTCATCCAGTGCTGTATCTTTATGCTAGCCTATTTCCTGTCAAAAATCCATGTCAGAATAAAGAATAATAGTAGCAATACATGTCCCAAGTGGTCACATGCCACTTGTACCTACTTCCTGGGACACAATTCACCAATCCGACTGTGAAAGGCAAGGCGTGGTTGGGACTCAGTTCCTGAAGAAATGCTTCATCGGCACATGACCTGCTGATGCCAACTTCAATCCTGCCCAGTCAGCATTGCATTATTCAGATGCCAGGTTTTTCAGGCCCCAGACTGTCTGCCAAAAACTGTGTTAATTTACTTATTTCAGCTAAATAAAAAAAATCATTTAAAATAGGATGATTGAATTTAGGAATTATATTCCTTAGAGCATTAGTAATGGGTTTTTGTATCCCTCAGGCTTCTATGTTCTTAACTTCTCCTTGTCAATGTTATTATGACTAGACTAATTCAATAATGAGATCATTCCCCATAAGAGCGACCAAATAAATGCAGCATTCAGTCACACCTGGTTTCCCTAATCTGAGCAAGGAAGGCTTTCCATCAAATTTAGCCTAAAACAGGGAATTTAATGAAAACACACACACTCACTCATTCACTTTCTCTCTCTCTCTCACTTTCCCACAAATAGAAAGAAAGAGACAGGGAAGGAGAAGGACAGAAAAGCAGAGGAACAGGGTAGCAATGGAACAAATGGAGTAACAGATTGAGGAAGAAAGGTTAAAAATGAACATATATGGTTCATACCCAAAACAAAGATCACAGCATATTGTCTTTACAATTGTTGAAGTAATATAATATTTCATCATCTCCATAAATTGTTTCAAATTTTCCTGCACTTCTCAAAGAATCAAAAAAATCAAGTGAAAAGACCACAGAAATACTAAATCTCAGGCAGAAACATTGGGCATTATTAAAAACAAAGGACTTCCTAGCCATAAAGGCTTTGGAAAATAAGGGAGTTTACGGAATAATCCACTCAGGTATAAACGGCAATAGAGCATGAAGATAACATATTTATCATCTATCATCTTCAAATTGCTTAAGCTTTTATTAAAGCACCAAAGGTTTGATATTCTAATTAAGGTTTAGATGGGGTTAAGACAAATGAAGAGAGAAAAAAATTAACTCTCAAATCTTGAAAAACTGTATTGTACAAAAACATTAAAAATTGAGATCAAGGCCAGGTGCAGTGACTTATGCCTATAATTCCAGTGCTTTTGGAGGCTGAGGAAGGAGGATTGCGTGAGGCCAGGAGTTCAAGACCAGCCTAGGCAACATAGTGAGACCCTGTCTCTATAAAAAAAATATAAAAATTAGCCAGGCATGGTGGTGTTCGCCTTTAGTCCCAGCTCCTCGGAGGATCCCTTGAGCCTAGGAATTCAAGGCTATAGTGAGCCATGTTCACACCACTGCACTCCAGCCTAGGTAACAGAGCAATACCCTGTCACTTAAAAAAAAATTAAGATCAGAAAACTTAGAGAAGAGAAAGGATAGTGATGAGTTCTCACTTTCCTCCCAGTGAGAACAAGAAGAGATGGGTTTCAATTGGAACAAGATGGAAGAAATGAGAAGTAGGTTCCTGTAAAAATACAGTAGATACATGTTATTCACAATGAGAGAAAAAAAGGGAAAAATTCAAATGTTCAAAAATTTGCAAGTGATGAAAAAATAAATATGGCTCATTTATACCATGAAATATTTATTCAGGCATCATTAAAAGTAACGTTTTCAAGGAGTATTAACGAACGTGGAAAAATTATGTTTTCAAACAACGTTATTGATAGGGGAAAACAAAATTAAATTAATATAAAATTGCATTAACACAGTTCCAGTTTTGGAAAAAGGGCAATCACATGCTTGAATATGTGTGAAAAGTCACATAAACAACACAGCACATGCAAAAAAGCCAGGAGAAAATATACCAAATATCTTAGCCTCTAGATCAAAGGTTTATATTCTTCTTTGTATCTTATCTTATATATTTTATGCAATGAGCATGTATACTTTTACATGCAGAAAAAAAGAGTTATTCAAGTATTGTAGTTAAGAAGAACTTGGGTTAGACATCAGGAAAAACTATCTGCCAAAGTAACAAAATTCAATAGAATTCTGTGGAATTATTTTCTCTATAGGACCTAAAAACATCTATCTGTGCTTCTTTCTTTTTTTAAACTAAGCTTTTTCTGCACCAAGAGTCTATTTTTAAAAATGACTTCACAGGCAACGAGGTCTTAGCTTTGGCATAAGAAACTAAACCCAGTTTTCCCTCCTACCTTGCAAAGTCCAGGTCTGCCTCCCGCGACATGGTGATGTTGGTCAAATTCTGCTGAAGAACAAAAATGTTCCTACACATTTTCTTGATGCCAGACTCACTGATGCGCCTGAAGTACTGGGCACCATTAATGAGGATGCAGGAGATCAGGTGGCCCAGGCCTGAGGGGTCAGCACAGTGCGGGGCAAAGAAAACGGATGACAGATTAGAGGCATTCCTGCAGAAACTTGCACACAGAATTGCTGTCTTCTAATCCTCTATACATTTAAACGACCAAAGAAAATCTACCTCTGATGGTTGCATCTGCTGATCTGACAATAATTTTAGGGTATTTCTACATTGTCCTAGTAGTTACAAATGAGTGGACTTCATGTTGGTGGCAAAGCCTGGTAATAGCCACATCTCCAGCATTGCCATGTACACCTACTGCCACCATGCCAAGGCCTTAGAGAAGAGGCCAGGTTATTATAAACTGTTGAAGTACACAGGAAATCCCGCTTTTCTTTATACACAATTGGGAAGCAGAGAAGACCACAGGCATATACAATGACCCTTTTGCCTCTCCTTCCTCCTACAAAGTAGAGAAGGACACTTTGGGCTCAAAAGTTGATTGGGAAGCTACATAAATAAAATCAATATGACACTGGGCATTGGCAATAATGTTAATATATTTCAACATTGCCAAGTAAAAAATAAATCAATAAGAAATTGGGTTATTGGCAATAATGCTAATATACCTTAACAATGGCAATGGGTGTATAAGACACAATTAGAAAAAAGGGTGAAGGAAAAGCAGATCATACATTAACTGTTGACTTCCCGTGAGACACCTGTGGACATTTTGGGGCCCCCCCACAAGTAGTTTGCTCTTAGGTCTGGAGGGTTGTCTTATGGTCTGCAAAATTTAGCAAAGGGCAGCTCAGGACATCAGCAAACTAATAAGTCCTCCTCAGGATATCCCATGTAATTAAGTTGAGAGACACTGGTTCAGAACAACGTGAGGCACATATGGGTTACTATTTTTAAAAGCTGGATTTTAATTCTAAATGGAATTCAGTAAACGTTTCTTCCTTCTTTCTTATTCTTGGATGCTAGCAGGACATTTTCCTTGGAACTGTAAACTGGTCTGACTAGTTGCAAGCCATTTGCTATTGGTTGTTTTCCTGTTCTGAAGTCTAGTCCCTTCCCCGAGACTCTGAGGTTTAGATCAGAGTGCGGGGCTTATCTTTAGGTCCATGGCTCCCCATGTCTTCAAAATGAGTTTTCCCTTGATTAAGGTGAAAGTAGAAATGAGGGAGGAGATGCATTCAGGTCTTGCTTCAGCTACACTCAAACAACATTGCTTCAAGACCACAAACTTGTATGTGTTACTATTTGAATATGAAGAAAAGTTTTTATTCAAAGAAAAACACAACTGCAGATTCTACATTTAAAACTAGACAACTTATTTATATGAAAAATCTCTGTAGGCCAAGTTTTGGTGTCATTCTCTCAAGTCTGTAACTTTAGGTACAGTTTTTGTTTGTTTGTTTGTTTGTTTGTTTTTGCTGCCACAATATAACGTGGTCTGCAAGACTGGGCAATGAAGGGGTATGCTGTTTGTAGAGAATAAGAAATAATAATATATTATAATAAATATATTAAATGCATTTTGTAATAGGAATAAAACAAATGTTGATATGCAGGGGCTGGGAAGAGCCACAGTCAAGAGCACAGAGGAAACTCGGTGTAATAACAGAAAAGTGAATTCTCAGGTAGGCACTGCAGCTGAAAGCTGCAGAATATTACAGATGCCACCAAACTCATAGTGCCATGGGGTTAACTGCCAGCTAACCCTTCAATCACTTACACTTTTTGGCTAAAGTCTTTGAGAGATATACCCCAACAGAACACATCTCTTTATAACTCCATATACATTTAAGGATTGGATTTTGGGGGGCCCAAATTTGCTGGAATATAACTTTCATAAAGCAAACATTGGCCATGTATTGTCAGTTTGCCACAATCCTTTGGACAATGTACCTTCTTAGTTGTTTTAAATAATACTAGTTTAATTCTGTGAGAGAACACAGATACAAGTTTTCATACAAACAAACCAAAACATGGACAAAGGGAACATAATGTGGAGTCCTAACAGGGATCCTCTGGGTGAAATTCACCATGAAAAATTATTTGGGTGCCATCACATTTTTTCCAAATTGTGAAGGGTAATGTCTTTAGATGGCACTTCCTGTCTCTCACACCCTTCCTTGCCTGCCCCTTGGAGGCATTTATGGACACGTCCTTCCTAAAAATTGCCTCTAATCAGAGGCTTCTGTTCTTTCCAGATGATTATAACATTCTGTGAGAAAACTTCCCGTTCCAGTGATAATTTTAGCCAATGAGTGATCTTTCAGGATTCTCTCCTCATTGTGTATGTGTGTTTTCTTTTTCTTTTATAAGCTCCTCTTGAGTTAATTTGTGGCCCAGTCTGCACATTCTCTCAAATCTCATGAATGGCATGTCAGGGAGGCAGCCATCTGCCTTATCTTGGATTAAATCTCCTTATCAACCCGGAGCAGATGGCGGCCATATTGTTGTCTACCTAGTCATACACAAAGAGGCTAGGTATTGCAGATTTAGTTCAAACAAGCAAGCAAGCAAACAACTCTTTTCTACAAGTCTTGAACTTCAGTAATACAGAAAATCAGGAAAACTTTCATCCTTTCTTCCTCCCAAACTCCCAGAGACAGAAGCAGGGTCTGACCTTCGAAGATATACTGGAACTTGTGCTGCTGAAGGCTGGCGCTCATGGCCTCTTCAATGGCGCTGATATCTTTGTTGAGCTTGACCACCAGGGGGTCATAATCCATACTTTCCACATTAGCCACAATGGCATAGTTCCCCTCCTTTGCAAGAGGGATAAGATAGTGGAAACAGTGAACCCTGAAAAAGAGAGAGATAGGGAGAGCAGTTAATAATAAATCCTTCCAGGGAGGGCAATGATCTTGGGACAGAGCACCAAAATAACTAATAAATTATCATTAATAAATGTAAGACTAGCCATGATAGCCAACACTTACTGTGTACCCTATTTGTGCCAGACACTATGCTCTACACTTAATATGAAGCAGCTGTGGCCTTGTACATTTTAATGTAAACACCCTCCCCTCTTTTAACCAGAAAGCCATCTTAGTTATTCTATAGAACAACTGAGTGATCTGGGGCAAGCTGGCTGCTATGATCATTGCTTGTTTAATCTATACAGTGTTGGGAAGGAGTTCTAAAATTCTCTTCAATGCCAGGGTTGTAGGCATACTGTGAAAAGCATTGTAATTTTCAACAGATATTGTTGCAATGAAGATGAGAGGCCGAGTTTATAGATCTTAAAAGTGTAAGGAGACTACTTTGGCTTCAATCACCAGCTGTATGACTTTAGGCAAGTTACTTTATCTCTCTATCCCTCAGTTCCTTATCCACGAAATATGGGTGAAAACAACACCTGTCTCATAAGGTGCTGTGAGTAACTACTACATGTAAAGTGTTAAGTATAGCAGTGTCTGGCACAAATGGCGTGCATAGTAAGTACTGGCTGTCATCACTAGTCTTATATTTATTAACAATAATTTATTAGTTAACTAAATCATGTATGGAACCTCTATGAATTTGTAAGAAATTGTGCTAGGCCCTGGAAATATAAGACAGTTTGTATCCCTAAAGACCCATAACCTAGTGGGGTAGATTAAGAAAAAAATGACTAAAAGAGAACAGCATCTCACTCTAAGCACATCCATCCACGTGCCATGGAAATGTGCCACGGGGTATCAGGAAAGGGTCCTGACAGAAGGTGATGCTTGAGTCTCACAGAACATATCTGACAGCTTGAGGAAGGAGGGCATTTCTGTGTGAAAATGGCCTGTGTCAGTCTGGTCACACACAATTCTCAGGTGCTTTTTGGCAGATATTAGTAGCTGCTGAGGAAGTCTGAGGTGGGTATGGATTGGCTGCACTGCCACAGCCTTTTAAAGTTGTAATCAAAGTGTTTCAGTCCAAATTCTGCCCTACATGCAGGTATTTGTTTTGAATCCCCCACCGTAGCAGAAAAAAAAAAAAATCCCAAACCAATAGTATCCCTTGGCAGGCAGAGTTCAAACAGGCTGTTCCATAAGCCCAGTCTAGTCCTAACTCTGTTGTTTTAGGTGCTCTGTCTGACCTTGCATGGAAGGTTCACCGGAGGTAAGAAATGATGACATAATCCAGGGTCTATGTTCTGTTACCTTTACAGTTGGCATCAAGTAATAAGAAATATTCCCAAATGAATGGCTGCAAAAGCCTTGGGCATTATTATCTCTAATGATGCGACCACGCTTTGCCTGTCATCTTTCTTTAGTCAGGTTTATTGAGAAATAATTTACAAACAGTATAACTCCCCCCTTTTAGTGTACAGTTCTATTAGTTTTAACAAACATGTACAATCATATAACCACCACCAGAACCAAATTACAGAACACAAACATCTCCTCCAAAATTCCCTGTGTCCCTCTGCAGTCAATCCCTACTCAACTCCCAAACCTTTGGCAACCACTCATCTATTTTTCTGCCCCTACAGTTGTCTTTTCCAGGATGCCATATAAATGGAATCATACAGTATGTAGCCTTTTGAGTTTGGCTTTTTCACTTAGCACAAAGCATTTGATATTCACCCATGTTGTTCATTACTTTTTATTGCTGGGTAGCCTTCCACTGAATTGGATGTCCCACAGATTATCTATTCGCCCATTGATATTTAGATTCTTTCCAGGTTTAGGTGGTTGTGGATAAAGCTACTTCATGTACACATTTTTGTGTGCATATAACTTTGCATTTATTTCTCTTGGATAAATACCTGGAAGTGAGATTGCTAGATCTCACTTATGGTAAGTGTATGTTTACTTTTGTAAGAAATTACCAATTGCTTTCCAAAGGAGCTGTACCATTTTGCTTACTTACTGGCAGTATACAAAAGTTCCAGTTGTTCCACATCCTCATCAGTACTTGGTGTTGTCAGTTTTAAATAAAAATTTTTGGTCATCCTAATAGATGTAGAGCAGTATCTCACTGTGGTTTTAATTTGCATTTTCCTAATGACTAATGATGTTGAGCATATTCTCATGTGCTTATTTTCTGCGTGTATATCTTTGATGAAATATCTGTTCAAATCATTTGCCCAGTTTTAAAAATTGGGTTTTTTGTTTTCTTATTATTAAGTTTTGAGAGTTCATTATATATTCTGGATACAAGTCCTTTATCAGATATGGACTTTGCAGATATTTTCTCCTGGTCTTTGGCTTGTATTTTAACCTTGACAATGTCTATCAAAAATGGTTTTAATTTTGATGAAGTTCAATTTATAACTTTTTTATTTTTGGATGGTATTTTTAGTGTCACATTTCAGAAGTCTTTGCCTAAAAAAGATCATAAAAATTTTTTCCTATGTTTTCTTCTAGAAGTTTTAGAGTTTTAGATTTTACATTTAGTTGAATGATCCATTTTAAGCTAAGTTTTATATGGGATGTGTCATATTCTTATAAGCAGTTCATCCAAGAGAATCCAAGTATCTTGACTACTGCTCATTTTTACTGATAGATGCTCATCTTAACAGTTGCTAATTAACTAATGACTAATTTCACCAATAAAAACTCATTCTGATATTCAAGTACTAATTGGCACAAATGTATAATTTTGATAAGAATACCAGTAATGGCACTGGTTGTAGCCTCCTCTGGAATGTGAGCTTTCTGACAGAATGAAAGTTGACCAACTCTGGAATGGGATTCATGACTAGCACACTGATTGCTACTGTGGTTGAAATTTAAATGAAGTAGCACTTTGTTGAAAATAAAATTAAAGCATCTATGCTAAAGTATTTTTAAAGTAAATGACAGACATTATGACTCCAGGCAATGAGAAGACCATGTAAAATAGCATGAGACTATAAATGCAGGATGTTCTGAGGACTGGTGAGCAGTTCTTTTCTGCTGCACACAGATCCCACATTACAGGCACTCCACGAGCTTGGGGAGATGGGCACAGGCCAGGTCAGCACAGGCTCTGAAGGCCATGTAGGGAATCAAGCCTTTATCCTAGAAGCCATAGGGATCCTTAGGGGGATTTTAAGTGAATAATATAATCAGACCTGAGCTTTGGCAAGATCACTCTGGCACAGTATACAAGTGGATTAATAGCAGAGAATGGAAGCAACTGGAAGTAGAGTGACTAGTTAGGAAATTCTTATGAACTGGAGGTGAGAGCTTATGAGACCTTCAAGCTACTGGGGGAGAAGACATATAACCTTTCTTTAAGGTATTATCTTCTTCCCAAGTGATTAGAGATTAAAAAAAAAAAAGAAATTAAAATAGTCATCAGCGAATGCCAAATTCAAATAAAGTATTTTTTTAAATTTAAATTCTGGCCTGTTGTTGCTGACCTTACTATGACTTTGACATTAACGTATTCTGCAAACACTGCTGATTACACAGTGGGGTGGATGATTTTCAGAGAGTGCACACTTAGGATCCCAACAGTGATAGGCAGTTGCTGTTGAACCTACTTAGAGCCCTCCTGATGGTGAGAAAAATCAGCTGATAAAGGTGACATTCTTGGCATCTTGGACTCAAATGGCAACTTAATTTTCTTCTTCTAAAGTTCAAATAGAAAAAACAAACCTCAATAGTTTTTAATGGGCTCACCATGTCTTTCATCTCTTGGGGGTATCATTTGCTTTATGCTTCAAACTGTGGAAAGGGGCTGCTTGGTGGTTAAAATGTGACCTACAATGACACAGGTAAAATGTCAAACACTCCTTAGATGGATCCTTCAACACAGACTGCGCTGGATTGGAAAACAGTTTTTGGTTTGAATTTTAACAATGTCAAAGAAAAATATGGGCTATGGATATAAAGATATTTGGGGGAACAAGACCAATTTTTGGCATCTGAAGTTGTTCTGGACTTTTTGCTAGCATATCCCATTACTTTTTTCCATGAATTGTTTTCTTCTATCTGTACTATTACAGTGGTTTCTTGGCTAAAAGTGCCAGAGACAGGAGCTAACCAGCCACTTTTTCACCACACCAGCTCCTGGACAACCGGGCCTACGTTCTAATTCTTTTTTTACAGCAGGATGGGAACAAAACAAACATTAGTTGATGAGAATGATATTGGCCACACAGCCTCTGTACCTCTTAAGATAATGCAGTGGACTTACAAGTGGACTGCTATGTAAAAACAGAAACTGCAAACCAATTCATTTTCTTTAAAGACAACAGGTTTTGTTTTGTAAAGTAGCCCTTACTTTATCTGGGTTTGGTTTCAAACCAACTAATTCTTAATCACATTTTTACTGAGCACCTTATATACAGCAGGATATTAGGTTTCAGGGCCAGCCATCACAATGAACAAGCCACACCTGGAAGAGCTGCTCGATGGTCTCTACCACAGTCACGCCCCCAGAGCACTTAGCAGACACCTCTATTCTAGCGTTATTATACTAGAGTGGCATGAAATCTGTCTTTTTCATTTTGTATCATCACTGTGCAAACTGAAAAAAAATTGTTAACGTGACCAGGATAGAGTAAGTGCATCTACATTCACTATCCGAGCCTTATGTGGTGTATTCTGCTAGTTGTATCTACCTTACTTTAAAAGGAACAAAGACAAAATGGAGCATACTCATTAGAAAGCAACCTGAGTGTTGGAACCATGTTACATGAGGAAGTGAGGAAATTTAATTTAAAAAAATCCCATGCTTCGTGTTCTGAGTTAAATTCAAGGAAAGATAATTCTACATCCAGGGCTCTAAAATTCAGTCTTTTTTGATATTCATTCTTAAAAATGACATTTTTCTGTTTTTAGACTAATGTTGAAGAAGATATGGCAACCAGTGCTATAGCACTGTATAGTTTCTTGTAAATTAATGACTAAAGCATGTTCAGTATTAAGAAGAGTATTGCCAAGATGTATCAAAAGGGCAGAATAGGGGTTAAGGATTTAAAAGATCTTATTCAAATGTGTTGCAAATATCCCACTTGGAATTAACTACACATAAGTAAACAATTCTGAATGTAGAATATGTATAAGCACACGATCAATAGTATAAATTCCAGGAATTGTGATAGTAACTAATTTGGTATTCCCTTGTTTTCCTTTGTAACTCAGGTAACAGCGGCATTAGAATATTACTTGGTATTTTTCATTTCCTTCCATCTATTGCAAATATTTGTTCATAGAAAACACCTGATTTCTCTGTCCGCTTGTAAATAAAGAGATACCAAATATGAAAATTATTGTAAAACAAATCAGAAAATATACAGAAAGAGCTTTATTTCTGGACAGCTTAATGTGAGAAATAACATCAGGAATAATGCCACGTAACACAGATTCTAAATCTGCAATGTTACTTCTCTTGTTCCACTCACAAGGCTCTCACAAGCAATAAGGAAGTAACTCACTGGGCAATGGTAATGAAGGATAAAAAGCAAGTAGCACACACAAGGAGTCACCCTGGAAAGAAATCCAAGTTCTAACTGGAGTCCAAACATATTCCCAAGGGTCACCTATCAAACAAAGTCCTATTTACATTTTTAAAATCTAAATCTAGTAAAGACTTCAAATGAAAAGAAAAATATTCTATCAATGTTAATCATGTTCCAAAGCAATACAGAATAGAATGTATTACCACACCATGCACTTTCTGATCCTGATGTTTTGACATTGCTACCTAGTTGTTTAATAAGCATCCCAAACTGAACATCTCTCAATGGCATACTTGATTTCCACCCTTCTCCTCCCTCAGTGTTTCTCCCCTCAGTTAATGGCACACAGTTGCTCTGGCCCCAAACTAGTGGTTTTCCTTGAGTCTTTCCTCTTATTGCACCAGCCCCTGTGTCCAATACAATCTGTCAACAAACTTCATTAGCTCTACCTTCAGCATATGTCCCAAATCCTATGCTTCTCATATCTCTACCTCTATCACCTTGATGCTCAGAGTTGTTTTCAACTGGTCACCCTGCTTCCATTTGTATTTTTCCCTGCAATCCCTTTTCCATACAACAGCCAGAGTGACCTTTAAAAAATGTTAATTAATTGATATCTCTCCCTTTCTTAAAACTCTTCCATGGCTTCTATGACATCTGAATGATTCACTTGGTCTGTAAGACCCTGTAATGTGTCAGGCTTCATGACTCCACAGGATTGGGCTCCAGCCTGTCTCCTGTGCCTTATTCTTTCAGTCCTCCCCACCCAGCTTGTTCATCAGCCTACAAGCATATCAGCCTCCTCTCTGCTCTTAAAACCGCCAAGCTTGATTTTGTCTCAGGACCTTTGTGAGTGTGCCTCCTTCTGTCTGAAACTCTCTTCCTCTAGGTCTTTGTACAGACTGATCATTCTTGTTACTTTGTCACATTTCTTCTGACCATTTTATCTTAAAGAAAAGAATCCCATTCCTAGTCAGCCCCAGCCACTCTTGGCAACTGCCCACTATGCTAGTACTGGGCACATGTAGCTACCAAGCACTTAAAATGTGGCCAGTCCAAATTGTGATGTGCTGTAAGTACAAAATGTGCAGATTTCAAAAGCTTAGTGCAAAAGAAAATGCTGAATACCTCAATCACTTCCATTGATTGCCTATTGAAATGCTGTTTTGGATATACTGGGTTAACTAAAATATATTAGTATAATTCTTTTACCTGTTTCCCTCTACTTTTTCAAATGTGACTCCCTTCTTGACTAGCAGAGCACTTTAGTAAAAATATCAATCACAATAAAGTCACCACAATAGCAAAGCTACCATATTTTGAGCACTTACTTTGTGGCTGACATTGTGCTAATTATTATTTCATTTATAAAATCTCTATAAGTTAGAAACTATCATTTCCATTTTTAAAATAAGGAAACTGTGGTTTGTAAAGTTAATTAACTGACCTAAGATCACCTAGCCAGTTGATAGTGACATTCCAATCTAGGTGACCTGATTTCATAGATCATGCCAGCTCTGAATCACCACACTCACAATACACTGTGCGCTCAAATAATCACTGAATACAGCTAAAAATCACTTTCAGTGTAAAAAGGGATAACATCAATAATATGAGCCAGAAATTATGGTGATACTGCCTGGAAATAAGCAAGTGATTTATGAACCGCAGTGCATTCAAATTGCAAGGTCCTGGGCTTGGCTGTATCATACCTCACTTCCAGATGTAAGACAAGCAAGCAGCGGTCAGCCATATCCTGGAACGATTTGGCAAGTTCACTGAGAGTCTGCATGATCTGCTCTGACACTGGGGGGAGATCCGTGTTCGTGTGGCTGTCTTGAGCAGGAGAAAGCACTGAAAGGTAAGGATAAAACACCAATCATTTCATTAGATGCCTACAGATTTTTCTGAAATGACATATTATTTTGCTGTTCATCTTGTTTTTACTAGCTTGGTTAACACTAGTGTTGGCAGCATTAGAAGTCCAAGACATGATAGACAATTTCTATATTTGATTACACATAGAAGTGCAGTGGCTTATCTTGAATCAATTCATATAATAATATTTAGGTTGGTGCAAAAGTATTACTTTCAATGTCAAAAACCATAATTACTTTTGCACCAACCTACAGAAACAGAACCTCAGAGTTGGAAGAGGCCTTCACTGTCATGTGGCCCAACCATCTGGTCTGTGCCTCCATCTTCTGTGCACCTTCAAGTGGCTGTCCACATTCTGGCTGCACACTTACACAAATGCTGGCGAAAGGAAACTCAATACCTTTCAAGGCAGCCTGTTCCATCTCCGAAAGATTTGACCATCTTACATCAAGCCAACATCTGCCTTCATTAACTTCTAATCATTGGCTCTAATTTTACCTAACTTTGTAATCCTTCACACATGAGTCAGTACTACAAGTATTGAAGATACCTATTTTGGCTTCCTTGAAGTCTTCCCTTTTCTATGCGGAATGTCCACAGTTCTTCACCCATTCTTCTAATGATTGAATTAAATTATAATTCTCAAAATTTACCTACCAAAACATTCCAATTTTTCTCTATTTCCCTTGAAATGTAGAACTCAGGACAAAACAGAATAAATACTACAGAAGGGGCTGACCAGTCTAGAGAGAATGATCAATTCCCTTTTTCTAGATGCCATGACGCTTTACACCTCCCTAAATTCTGGGAGGTGGAAGTGGTAGTGTGCTGTATTCCACTTCAACTCATATATAGCTTATGGCCAACTAAAAGCCCTAAGAAGGTCTTTTTGGAAAATTTGATAAAGCTACCTTCTATATATTTCCAAAACGATTTATTAAAATATTTAGCACCACTTAGACATTTTCTTCAAAAAAAAGCTGAACAAAAACAAAAAACTACATCTGTTTATCTCTAAACTTCTATTGTATCCCCATGTCCTCACAATTTCTCAAAGATTCCCAACCAACAATAATTTGGTGATCTCATTCAAAAGTTTTCTTAGCTCTCTAGAGCCTCAAAGTTTGGCTTTAAGTCCTGGCTCCAACATTTACTTTATGTGACCAAGAGCTAATTATTTAAATTTTCTCTGCCTTATTATTTTATTTTGTAAAGTGAGGGTAATAGTATCTATATCATGGGGTTAAATGAATTAATGTAGGCAAAACACTTAGAATAACAACATATAAAACTTAATATAAGCAAGAAACATAAGCAATTATTATTATTCTTTAGCAAGTGATTTGTCCAGGTTAGGTCTTAAGCTTAATGGTTGCTGTAGCAACCATATACTTACAAAATAATTCCATCAATCTTTATTCAATTTCTGATATGTTTTGCTTTTCTGTATGAACATCCTTCTCTTTTTCAAAGAGTCCTTTGGAAGAAAGAGGCTCTCTGGACTTAGGGAACATGGGAATTGGTGAGGCATCACTAACTCAGAAGGTCATTCACCTTATAGGGTAGAGAGCCAACATCTTGCTGTAGTGTGTAGTGTCTACACTTATGACCTTTCAGCACTATATCCATTCTTAAACTTTGCTAAGTCCAGAAAAGGGCCTGGATAGACAATCCAGGCTTCTAACATGTAAGGCTAAGTTCTCCTCTGTGGAACCAGACTCTAATAAATTAAAATAACATGGCAAACATAAAAAAAAAGAATGTAGTTCAAGGGAACTGATGGGTGAGGAGGAAGGGAATGTAGCAATGTAGATTTTAAATTATTGCCAGCCTTGGTATCATCCTAGATGTTTACTAACTTGATCTGCTGGAGCCTAGATGCATGACATTGCATCTCCTCTCTAACGTTAGCATTAATCATGTTGTTTGATCGCCAAGACAAGATCACTGCTTTTGCAATATTTTCATGGAACAGGCTAGAGGGAAAGCAACTATACAACTATGATATTTCAAAACATTTTAGGGCTTTTCAGCCCTTCAGTTCCTCTATTGGGTGATAGTGACTGTAGCATGGAGAGTTATCTACGTATCAATGAGAAGAGGCAGAAATTGGACTTTGAAGTCTCACTCCTAATCTGAGGTCCAAAGCTATACTAATAGACCAAATTCCATCAAAGGCATTCTGGACAAATCCCGCCAAGAAACTTAAAAAATTTGCATTTCTTATTTTGTAAATACATTATTTTATCATGTGGCAATTGACCACTGTCAAATTACAAATTAAAAAAATATCTAAGTTGAGTAAGTCTATGGCAAGATTAGCTGCTGAGGTAAAACTTAGAATGAGTGAGGTAAAAAGTAGTTTCAGGTAACAGCACACTGTACATTTCACTTGACCATAATCTATGGCAAAAAGATAACATTTTATTAAAGCAACATGAAAAATTATGCCCAGAGCTCTACTAGAAAGTTGGCTTGTGAACTCCTCAGGGCTTACTGAAACTTACAAAGTTTTCTTAACAAGAAAGAATATACTGAGCAAAGAAATACTAAGCATGGCAATCTAAGACACCACAAAAGCAATTAACTAGCTCTTCAATGTCAAATGAAAATCTATAAAAAAGCAATGCTAACACAATCTGCTTGGGAGGTTACAGTTAAGGTATGAGATTACTAGAAACACACACACACACACACACACACACACACAAAACCTTGTACATACCCTTTAAAGGCTACATTGTTGTATATTTATCTATAGTATTACCCTTCATATCAGAAGAGCCCACGCGTATTGGGCTTTAAATATGTAAGTGCTTGATCGCTTTATGAAGACATGCACTTTGAGCTGTTTTCCTAATACTAGGGATGGATGACATCAGATCATTCCTAGTATGTCTGTTCCTCCTGTGACCACTGCATAAAGCATGCCATCTTTTATTTTTATTTTAGCTTACTTTAAGTTCTGGGATACATGTGCTGAACGTGCAGGTTTGTTTCACAGTTATTCAGGCGCCATTGTGGTTTGCTGCACCTATCAGCCCATCATCTAGATTTTAAGCCTCGCACGCATTAGGTACTTGTCTTAATGCTCTCCCTCCCCTTGCCCTCCTCCCCCCGATAGGCATGGTGCATATATGCCACGGAATACTATGCAGCCATAAAAAAGAATGAGTTCATGTCCTTTGCAGGGACATCGATGAAGCTGGAAACCATCATCCTCAGCAAACTAACACAGCAACATAAAACCAAACACTGCATGTTCTCACTCATAAGTGGGAGTTGAACAGTGAGAACACATGGGCACAGGGAGGGGAACATCATAAAGCATGCATCTTTAAGTCACCTAGTTAGCTGTTTGTGGCAGGATGATTGTGGCTTTCTGTACTACATAAACATTGTTCCACGAAAGGAAGCTGAACATTGGTCTTTGGAGCAGACACTGCCTTTTTGGCGAACCAACAGTTACTTCCAGTTCCATTCTCTCCCTTGCTCACTCCATTACAGATTCTGGAAGGCTAAATATTTGTATTCTCAGCCCTATTTGTTGCTAGAGGTGGTCGTGTGTCATAGTCTGTCCACTGACCCCCTAAGTAGAGTCTTTTGTGGCTTTTGGGAAGTCTTTTGTTTTTCCTGATAAAAGGAGAATTGAGGCTGTGGCCACCACTTGCTCCCACTTTCCCTGCTTTTCTGATTTGATTGAGGTATCTGAAGTTGCATCATCTTCCTATTAAGAGGAAAAGACCAAGAATCAGAGAGGTGCTGGACTAAGTATTGTTGGACCATTGGCCAAAAGAAGCAACTGCTTGACTTCAGACTTTTTGCTATATTAGAAAAACAAACACCTCTTTAAATCACTGCAAATTAAAAATATATATTAATAACTTGCTGCCAAGTTAAATCCTGTTTTCAACCTCTGAAATTTTAAATTCTAGTATCATATTCTCAGATCAAAAACTTTTCTTCTTTCAACTCTCTCCCACCCTCATTTCCATTATAACTTTAATGCTGTAATCCCTTCATTTTCTCCTGGTAGAAAAAGTCCCTCTTAGGATCCTCAGCATGGATTGCATGGTTGATTCCCTGAGCTACTCTTTGACCATAAACCTCAACTCCCTTGAATACTTTTCTTTCACTATAATTGTCCTAAAACTCATGTAACATTGAGTCAATTCTACAACTCATCATTTGACAGGAAAACAAAAGAACATATTGTTCGCTGATACCAAAACTAGACAAAGTGAAACAATAAAAAAGAAAACTACAGGCCAATATCCCTGATGAATATAAATGCAAAAATCCTTGACAAAGTGCTAGCAAATAGAATTTGACAACACATTAAAAATATCATTCACTGTGATCAAGTGGGATTCATCCCAGGGATGAAAAGATGGTTCAACATATGCAAATCAATAAATGCGATACATCACATCAACAGAATAAAGGACAAAAATCATATGATCATTTCAACAGATGCCAGAAAAAGTTCTTGATAAAATTCAATATCCCTTCATGATCAAAACTCTCAAGAAACTGGGTATAGAAGGAACATAACTCATCATGATAAAGGCCATCTATGACAGGCCCACAGCTAATATACTGAATGGGGAAAAATTGAAAGCCTTACACTAAGTTCTGGAATAAGATAAGGATGCCCACTTTCACCACTTTTATTCAACATAGTACTGGAATCCTAGCCAGAGCAATTAGGTAAGATAAAGAAAGAAACGGCATCCAAGATAGAAAGGAAGAAATCAAATTATCCTTGTTTGCAGATGACATGATCTTATATTTAGAAAATCCTAAAGACTCCACCCCAAAACTCTTAGGACTGGTAAATGAATTTAGTACAGTTGCAGGATACAAAATCCACATACAAAAATCAGGCCAGGTGCGGTGGCCCATGCCTGTAATCCCAGCACTTTGGGAGCCTGAGGCGGGCAAATCACTTGAGACCAGGCGTTAGAGACCAACCTGGCCAACATAGTGAAACCCTGTCTTTAATAAAAGTACAAAAATTATCCGGGCTTGGTGGCGGGTGCCTATAATCTCAGCTACTCAGGAGGCTGAGGCGGGAGGATCACTTGAGCCTGGGAGGCAGAAGTTGCAGTGAGCTGAGATTGCATCACTGCATTCCAGCCTAGGCAACAGCGTCAGACCCTGTATCAAAAAAACAAACAAACAAAACAAAAATCCAGTAGCATTTCTAGATGCGAACAGCAATCAATCCACCAAAGAAATCAAGAAAAAAAATCCAATTTACAATAAGAAAAACCTACGAATAAATTTAATCAAAGTAAAAGACATCTACAAGGAAAATTATAAAACACTGATGAAAGAAATTGAAGACACACACACAAAATGGAAAGATATGCACACTCCTGGATTGAAATAATAATTAATATTATTGAAATGTCTATAGTACCAAAAGCAACCTACAGATTCAATGCAATCCCTATCAAAATACCAATGACATTCTTCACAGAAATAGAAAAAAGAATCCTAAAATTCAAATGGAATCACAAACGACCCAGAATAGTTAAAGCAATCCTGAGCAAAAACAAGAAAGCTGAAGGCATCACACTACTTTGATTTCAAATTGTACTACAAAGCTATGGTAACCCAAACAGCATGGTATTGGCATAAAAAACAGACACATAGACCAATGGAACAGAATAGAGAACCCAGAAATAAACTCACACACTTAACAGCCAATTCATTTTGACAAAGGCACCAAGAACACACATTGGGGAAAGGGCAGTTTCTTTAATAAATGGTACTGGAAAAACTGGCTATCTGTATGCCAAAGAATGAAACTAGATGCTCATTTTTTAACTTATTAAAAAAGTCAACTGAAAATGGATTAAAGATTTAAACATAAGACCTAAAAACTATGAAATTACTAGAAAAAAGCATTGGGGAAATGCTACAGGACATTGATATGGGCAAAGATTTTTGGGTAAGACCTCAAAAGCACAGGCAACAAAAGCAAAAATAAACAAATGGGATTACGCCAAGCCAAAAAAGCTTCTACAAAGCAAAGGAAACAATCAACAAAGTGAAGAGACAACATATATAATGAAACAAATTATTTTCAAAGTATATACCTGGCAAGGGATGAATAACCAGAATATGTAAGGGACTCAAACAACTCAATAGCAAAAACAAAAAACAAAAAACGAAAACAAAAAAAACAACAAATAATCTGACTATAAAAATAGGCAAAAGACCTGAATAGACATTTCTCAAAAGAAGACATACAAATGGCCAACAGGTATATGAAAAAAATGCTTAACATCACTAATCATTAGGGAACTGCAAATAAAAACCACAAGGGGGCATCATCTCACACCAGTGAGAATGACTATTATAAAAAAGACAAATGCTGGTGAGGATGTGGAGAAGGAAGAATGCTCATACATTGTTGGTGGGAATGTAAATTAGTATAACCATTATGGAAAACAGCATGCAGTTTCCTCAAAAACTAAAAATAGTACTACTATATGAGCCAGCAATCTCACTGCTGGGTATATCCAAGAGAGAGGAAATCAGTATATCAAAGAGACATCTGCACTCCCATGTTTGTTGCAGCACTATTCACCATAGCCAAAATAGGGAACCAGCCTAAATATCCACCAATTCATGAATGGTGGAAGAAAATGTGGTAGATATACACAATGGAATATTATTCACCCATAAAAAGAATAAAATCCTGGTGGGGCACAGTGGCTCATGCCTGTAATCCCAGCGCTTCAGGAGGCCGAGGTGGGTGGATCACGAGGTCAGGAGTTCAAGACCAGCCCGGCCAACATGCTGAAACCCTGTCTCTACTAAAAATACAAAAATTAGCTGGGCATGGTGGCACGTGCCTGTAATCCTAGCTACTCAGGAGGCTAAGGCAGGAGAATTGCTTGAACCGGGACCCAGGAGGAGGAGGTTGCAGTGAGCCGAGATTGCGCCACTGCACTCCAGCCTGGGCTACAGAGTGAGACTGCATCTCAAAAACAAACAAAAAGAATAAAATCCTGTCATTCGAGCAACATGGATGGAACTGAAGGTCATCATATTAAGTGAAATAAGCTAGCACAGAAAGACAAATATCACACATTCTCACTCAAATGTGGGACCTGAACAGGGAATTTCATGGAGGCTGAATGGTGATTACTAGAGGCTGAGAAATAAAAAGGGGTGGGGGGGGGAGGGGAAAGTTAGTTAATGGGCACAAAAATACACTTAGAAGAAATAAGTTCTAGTATTTGACAGTACCACACGGTAATTATACTTAACAATAATTTATTGTATACTTCACAATAGATGGAAGAGAATTGTGATGTTCTCAACATAAAGAAAAGATAAATGTTTGAGGTGATGGATATCCCAGTTACCCTGATTTGATCATTATACATTGTATACATTTATCAAAATATCACATGTACCCCCAAAATACGTACAGCTATAATATATTAATTTAAAAAGACAAAAATGTATAGATTGTTGCCACTAAAACGTTCTGGATTTTAATTTCAAAAGAAGCTTGCGGTACCACTTGTCAATCCTTTCCCTGGTGCTTGGCTACCTCCTTCCCTTTCTCAGCAATTTTTCCAAATTCGCGCTGTTCTCCTCAGGCCCTTTGTCCTACCTGCTCCCTGTTAGTCCTCAACAAACACTTCAAAAGAATCTCAACACTGACTTTCTCCAGTCCCACCTCCTATTAACTCTTCAGTGTGCCACAATCTGACTCTGCCCTCACCTTTTTATTCAAAACTTTTCTGGTAATAGCCATCAATGATACTGTAATTGCCAAATCTACTGGCTGCTCTTCAGTCCTCATCTCATGCAGGCTCTCTGCTATCTCTGAATTCACTGGCCCTTTACTTCTTGAAATCATCTTCTTTTGGCTTATATGGCATACTCTTCTGGGTGTTGTTTTCTCTCTCTGGCATTTCTTCCATAGTTTCCTTCACTGAATCCCCTTCCTTTAGTCCATCCATAATGCCGGTGTTTCTGGGGACTTTTTCCTCTAGTGGTATTCCTTACTTGCCAATATGTTCTGAGTGAGCTCATCCCTTTTCATTGTTTACACTATTATCCATGAAATGATGGCTCCTAAACCTTATTTGATTAATGATTTGCAAGATACTGCTACCTGTATATCCCATAGGCATCTCAAATGCAATGTGTTCAAAACTAAACTCATTATCTTTCTTTAGCATCTGTTCTCTATCCTGAATTCTCTTTTTATAGGTGATACATCAATCTGGGAATCCCAGCTGCAAACGTGAGTGTAATTTTTGACTCTCTCTAGCAAAGAAAAATTTGTACCAATTTTATTTACAAATATTTTCTTAATATTTATTTTTTCTTTTCTGTTATCTACTGCCACTTTCTTGGTTTGGACCCCATCTCTTCCATGGACTACTGCAATAGTTACCTGACTGGTGTCTCTGCTTCTTACCTGGCCCCCTTTTATCTAATTAAATATGAGTCAGATAAGTTATTTACCCAAAACACAAATTTGACTATGTTAATTTCTTGTATAAATAACATCAGTGTTTCCCAAGGCTTATATGATCAAGTCTAAGCTCCTTAGCAAAGCTTTCCAAGATTTTTTATTTCTGTCCAACCCTCCAGATTTTCTCCATCTCTTACCACTTTCTTTTTTCTCTTCAGCGTATCCCCTCTCCAACCCTGGGCCGTTTGATTTACCACCTGTCTAAAGCAAATTTCCTAAACATATCATGCTGTCTCATGATTCTACACCTTTGATGGCTCTTACTCCTCTTTCAAAACTATTCATGCCTTCTCTGGCTCAGAAAGTCTTTTCTGATTCCCCAGGAAGGGTCAATGGCTCTTCTGGATGTTCCCCTACCCCTCTCAATTCTAGAATAGAAGGTATATTCCATTAACTATGTCTCCCTTCCAGATCATTAATTACTTCAGTGAAAGAATTATGTATTATATATATTTTCCCCCATTCAAGGCCAGCAGAATAACTAGAGGCATTACAGAAGCTCAATCAATGCCTTTTTAATTAAACTGACCAATGCAATATGACAAAGAACATAATAACAGATTGTTAAAGAAAAATCAGAAAAAAGAAGGAGCAACTTGCCATTTACAACTCTAACTTTCTCCTTAGTTTTCTGAGTATAATCTAGAGAGAGAGTAGGGATGGGGAAGTAGTTCATTATAGCCTGTTTCTGGGGATTCAGGAATCTAACAGAAATATAGTTTAAAGCAATTCTGGTGAATCCCTATACCCCAAGTTCTTTCCCTATAAATCATGCTGCTGTTAGAAGCCACTTCAATTTCACGAGTTGTCAGTGCACTTTGCTGCAGCCATGACTTGGGGTCTCTCTTTACGATTGACATAAAAATGCCTGGCATTAAGTACCCAGCATCTCTCAAGGAAAGTCAACATACAAACTGTCATGGAGAAGTAATCAGACTAGGACATTAGGATGTCTCAAGTGGTTCCACATCCTAATATTAACCAGACTGAAATCTGTTTAGGTCTTAAAATTAGTTAAAATTGGACTCATTCAGACCCAGAAGAGCATCTGCTTTCAAGGATGCAGCTGCCACACTTTCAATGGCAACTCACTGTGACTTCTTTAATTGATTCATATGAGGATGTCCTTGTGCATCTGCAATATTATCTAAAATTGTTACAATATTAGCTTAGACTGGTATCAGCTGTCAGGCAAGTGAGAAATTGAAAAGGGAAAGATGGTTATCTCGGCACGAAAGGAAAGGTTAACACTGTGAATTCAAACTTTCTAGAAGATAGAAAAAGACAGTGAAGAATGATCCCATGAGATTTTCTCATTGAAAACATTTTAGAAGATCAAATTTTGGTATAATAATGATTTCCAAATCCTCTTCCTATTTGTACAGAGGTGAAAGACACCACACAGTTTTCTACTCTAACTTGGGATAAAATAAGTTCTTTCCTTTCCTCTTCCTTCTTCTCTCCCTCCCCGCTTCCCTCCTTTCTCTCCTTCCTTCATTCCTTCCCTCCTTCCATCTCTTTTCTCCCTTCCTCCCTTCCTTCTTTTCTTTCTCTCTCTTTTTCTTTCTTTCTAAGACAGCAATCCTCCCACCTCATCTCCCAAGTAGCTGGGATTACAGGTGAGCACCACCACGCCTGGCTAATTTTTTAATTCTTTTGTACAGAAAGGGTCTCGCTATGTTGCCTACGCTGGTCTCAAACTCTTGGGGTCAAATGATTTTCTCACCTCAGCTTCCCAAAGTGCTGGGATTACAGGCGTGAGGAACCTTGCCCAGCCCCAAAATATTTAATTTTTAATCTTCAGTTTTCCTATTTAGAAAACTATTAATAGTACCTTCCTAACTTCTATAGCAATATGTTACCAGGTCTTAAGACAACTCTGAAATCCTTTGATGTTGTTGCCTGGACAAAACTAAATACTTAAAAAAAAATAAAAATAGGAATGCTCATTAGGTCTGTGATATTAAGGATTCACGAGGCCTACAAAGTCAGTGGGGACAGTGACAGGAGCCCCTCCATCTAACTTCTTTCCTCTCCTTAAATGCCTAAGGGATATGCTGCTATCAAGCCTAACACTGGGATCACAGTTGAGTGTCAGACACCATAATACTCCAGTTCCAAGCTGGAGCTTTAATGCCAGCTAATTCTACCCCCAGTCTTCATAATTTCTCTGTACTACTGTCCCTACATTTTATTTATTGCCTTGAATTATTTGCAAACCTGTACAAACTAATCTTTCCTTACCCCAGTGCTTTGTACACTGTAGGCACTAAATACATGTTTAAGAAATAAATTATTTATTTATGAAGCCTACCGGTTTTTGGAACAGAGGGGTGATCTTCACATGCTAAAGTACATACCAGCTTATTAACATTTGATTTGAACTTTCTTGGAATAGAGATGTCCTTTCTTCTTGAACTAAGTCATTACGCCAAACTAAAATTTCATAGTAACTATTTTTGATCACTCTTTTCCTGAGTCCCTTTTTCCAAAGCTACTACTCTTTTCCCAACAGTACTTGGCTTCTGCCACTACTAGCAATTCATGTATTTACTTGTTCTTTCCCATCTTCCAAACCATCTATAATCTAGTTTTAAGTTCTTTTGCTATGTTTCTACATAAGGATGGGCCTTATCTAAGAAACACATTTGGAAAGCTCTCTTCATTTTGCTTCCTATTTCAGAAGCAATAGTTCTTCTGCCTCCAAGTAATAACTACCTCTTTTCACAGATCCCAGAAATTTTAGGTTTGAACTATTAATAGCAAAATCAATTAATTTTGAAAACCACCATGCTCATTGATATTCTGATTGCAAAGGATGGGGACATAATGCACATTAGTCAGATTAGGTCCTATGCATGCATACACATGTGTATAGCCAGATGTGGAAATAAAGCCTACGCTCTGAAGCACAACATCCAACCAATGAATCCTTTTACATCTCAATAACGGAGCAATCATTCCCTGCCTTTTCACTGCTCTCTCTCTTTTGCCCACTTTTACAGAAGAAGAAGAGAGATGAAAGGGATTTATTAAGAACTGGGATGGAGAAAAGTGGAAGAAATTATCAGGAAGGAAAAAAGGGATAAGAATGAGGGAACTGGAGGATCGGGAGAAGGTGTCTTAATTATATGTGCTGTTCTATGGTCTAGTCACATAATTGGTAATATATTTATATTTAAAAAATGCTTCCTGAATATGGAGGTGTTGAAGTCAGACAAAATATAGAGATGAATGTCTAAATTTAAAGTATTTTATTTGGAAAGTAAGAATTGCAATTTGGGGCATACACAGAGAATGGGTGGTTTGTGACATGTCCAAAGAACAAAGAGAAGGTTAAGAGTCTTACGAGAAAGACAAATATTACATATTGTTTAAAAGAAAGCTCATTGGCCCTAGAGGAGCTTCTGGTAGCTGTCAAGCTCTGACTGGGAGTGATGGTGGTAGATAAAAGCAATCTTAGAGTCACAGCAGGTTGTTTAAGCAGCTTCTAGGTAAAACTGGTCTTAGAGTTACAGCAGGCCATTTCAGCAGCTGGGCTTGTGGAACATTTAATTCTTGGAGCAGGTGTAATGTACACAGAGTGATTTTACCTGTGGCCTCTTGAGTTTGATTCAGTTGGGGATGACAAGAATGACCCAATTTGTATAATGAACTTTCACAGAGGGGATGTTTTATATTTGGGTATAGGAGGCAGAGACCTACTTTCTTTTATGCGGTACCATTTGTTATTTACATGATCATGTGTTACACCTTCCCCCAACCACTGGTCATAAGACTATGGACAATATAACTTTTTAGTGTTTCTTAGAATGCTTCCTCCGAAATATCTTATATTACCCTAACTACAAACATTAACTCTTGGGGGAAGAAAAGATATACCTGTTCCATTCACTGCCCAGCTTAATGTCTTAGATGTCTCAACATTCGCTTGAGAATATACTATTATGAGCCTCCCAAAAAAGAGTAAAAACCAAACTCTGCTGCTTAAGAGACGTTTTCATCTCTATGAAACCATACTTTCTCCTGCTGCTTCCCAGAGGAATATAATTTATTCTTGCACTTTTTATTACCTCTAGAACAAATTTCTTAACAACTCTAAGTCTCGTTTTCCTCAAATACACAACTTAGGGAGTTGTTGTGAGGACCAAATGGGAGATGTGGCACCTTGCACTGTGCCTGCAACAAAGCTAAGGGCCATCCTTCGAGCCCTGGTAACACTCTGCCTCTCTCCTACGGACTTAGCACATTTCATCTTGCACTGTATTTGCCCACAGCATTCCTAGTGGATTGTGAGATCTGTGATAACAAAAACAATAACTACTTCTTCCTGGCATCTCTCAGTGTATAGCTCTTCCTTACTCTCAGTAGACTGCTGATAATGTTTGTTGAATTTTATCTTCAAGTTAAGGACAAATCAAAGAGTTTTATAACCATTTTTTTCATTATATTTTCACAATGCCTTTAACTTAATGTCTTCCAAATAGTTCATTCACCTGGAACATTATTCTGTTTCAGGGTAAGAAACTAAAGCTCCAGGAAGGATATGAGCGTCTGAAATGGAAGAATTGTTCCAAATATCAAACTATATAGAAAGAACAAAGGAGATTCATGGAAGGCTCATTCTGATGAGCAAAACAAAAATAACAGCCAAAGTAGAAATGGATAGTCGTTCCCTTAGGCTACCACAGGATAAGAGGCCAGTCGTGAGCCAAGAGTACACACTACACACTGCACAGCTCTGCAGAGAGAAAATTGCATCTGGTTACTCAGGAAACAGTGCTTGATGGTAACAAGTCTGAGCAAGCCCTAGGTCCCCAAGGACGTTTAGCTTTGGGGTCCTATCTGCATACAGTGCAAACCAGCCTAGACACATGTTTTTTATACCTTGTGATTGATAGTACAGACTTCAGTGTCTTTCAGTCCTGGGGAGAAACATTACGATTGATTTTTCCTTTATTCCAAATAATCCTCCCTAAGGCTTGGTAAAAAAACTCATCATTTGCTAAAAAAGCATATGGTGTGGCCAATTCAGCTCCTGCCGGATATGAAAGAGAAACAGGGTGGGTAGGGGAGTGGGGGCTAATGAACAGCTCCTGTTCTTCTGTTGAAAAGCAGTATTGTGGTGCTGTATTAGATTTCCATGGACTTTTGTAAGCCTTTTGTATTTCTGTAAAACCCTGCATCAAAGAGCATCTAAAAGTGTTAACCAATACTTAACAAGGTATTTTTGGATGAATAAGGGACACAGATTTAAGCTTAGCAGAATTTTAGAGGCAAAAATATTACATGGCAGAGAGGTAACATTTGTCTATGTGTTCAAACAGGATCCTTCTAGCTTAAGTATATGTAAATCTTCCAAAGAGCCTTAGGGAACGGCTTATTCACTGGGTAAATTGGAAACATTAGGACAATTTAAAATTGGTGAAACTGAACCAAACAGAAATAAAGCATACTTCCCAATATGACACAGCAAGTAAGCGGAAATAGAACTAAAGCAGTTGAATTGGAAGTCCCATATGGAGTTCCTCTTCAACTTAACTTTTTCCAGTTGCTTTATTTCATGGGTTTCTTTCTGAGGCAGCTGCATCACTCATAAATTTGGATCTAAGTTGAAATACTCATTACCTTCTTGATATAGTTTGGAAAGGTGTCCTCTCTAAACCTCATGTTGAAATGTAATTCCCAATGTTGGAGGTGGGGCCTAGTGGGAGGTGTTTGGGTCATGGGGGAGGATCCCTTAGGGCTTGGTGCCATCCTCACAATAGTGAGTGAGTTCTTGCAAGATCTGGTTGTTTAAAGCGTGTGAATATCCAGCCTCTTGCTCCTGCCATGTGAGATGCCTGCTCCCCTTTTCCTTCTGCTATGACTGGAAGCTTCCTGAGGCCTCCCCAGAAGCAGATGCTAGCACTGTCCTTTCTGTATAGCCTGCAGAAACATGAGCCAATTAAATCTGTTTTCTTACAAATTACTCAGTCTCAGGTATTTCTTTATAGTAGTGCAAGAACAGACTATCATACCTCTTAAGCAATAGCAGGTACAACCTCACTTTTATCTTTGTATCCCTAACACATAATGTGTTTTCTGAAACCAGCAGGTAAGTACCAAGTATAGTGAACAGGAAGGTGGTCCTTTGGAGGCGGACTGACCTGAGTTCATATTTCCGACTTTCTCATATATTATACTATTTGGAAGAAGTTCTCTGTAACAGATTTGCCACTTGTGAAAGGAGGATCATCCTATCTGACCCATAGGATTCTGATGATTAAATGAGAAACTATATAAAGGCTTAGAACAGCGTTTGACACACAATTGCTAATACATGGCAATTCCTCCTCCTCCTCAATAAAGGTGTTGAATAAGTAACAAAAACCCAGTATCTTTTTTTGTTTTGTTTTGTTTTGGAGACAGAGTCTCACTCTGTCACCCAAGCTGGAGTGCAGTGGCATGATCTCGGCTCACTGCAAGCTCCACCTCCCGGGTTCATGCCGTTCTCCTGCCTCAGCCTCCCGAGTAGCTGGGACTACAAGCACCCGCCACCACGCCTGGCTAATTTTTTGTATTTTTAGTAGAGACGTGGTTTCACTGTGTTAGCCAGGATGGTCTCGATCTCCTGACCTCGTGATCTGCCCGCCTCGGCCTCCCAAAGTGCTGGGATTACAGGCGTGAGCCACCACACCCGGCCCGTATCTTTTTAATTTAAACCTTTATTTTAGGCTGAGGGGTACCTGTGTAAGTTTGTTATATAGGTAAATTTGCGTCATGGGGGTTTGTTGTACAGATTATCTTGTCACCCAGGCATAGGCCTAATACCCAGTAGTTATTTTTTCTGATCCTCTCCCTCCTCTCACCGTCAAGTAGGGCCCAGAGTCTGTTGTTCCCTTCTGTGTCCATGAGGTCTCATCATTTAGCTCCCACTCATAAGTAAGAACGTGTGGTATTTGGTTTTCTGTTCCTGCATTACTTTGCTAAAGATAATGGCCTGCAGATCCATCCATGTTCCATCAAAAGACATGATCTTGTTCTTCTTTATGGCTGCATGGTCTACCATGGTATATATGGACCACATTTTCTTTATCCAATCTGCCATTGATGGGCATTTAGGTTGATTCCATGTCTTTGCTATTGTGAACAGTGCTGCAGTCAACATTTGCATACATATATATGTCTTTATAGTAGAACTATTTATATTCCTTTGGGCATATACCCAGTAATGGGATTGCTGGGTAGAACGGTAGTTCTGTTTTTAGCCCTTTGAGGAATCGCCACCTGTTTTTCACAATGGTTGAACTAATTTACACTCCCACCAAGAGGGTATAAATGTTCCCTTTTTTCCACAACCTTACCAGCATTTGTTATTTTTCTGACTTTTTAATAATAGCTATTCTGACTGGTGTGAGATGGTATCTCATTGTGGTTTTCATTTGCATTGCTCTAAAGATCACTGACTTTTAGCTTTTTTTTCTTGTTGCCTGCATGTATGTCTTCTTTAAAAAAATATCTGTTCATGTCCTTTGCCCACTTTTTTATGGGGTTGTATTTTCTTGTAAATTAAAAACCCAGTATTTTTCACTCCATCTACAGTTTTATGTGGGCACTGAAACAATGACACTAGCTTTATACATTTGATCGCAAAATCTGAGAGCCATCGAGACTGCAGAGGAAAATAGGCAGAATCTTAGAAGCCATGGCCACTCTGACTGCCATGTGGATAACATCTGGACAACTGATTTATCTGGAAGAAGAAGCTGACCCTGCCACCAAGTACATAGATCATCACCATGAGTAGCTGTGTAATTGGTGGGGGCTCCTCTGAAGCATGTTAGAAGTAAAAAACAGAGAATTAACTAGTTGACACATGGTACAGACTTTGCAGGTGTAAATCTTGCTAAGACAATTTCTACTCAGTGAGGACAAGTGTGGCCACCTCTCAGCATGGGGTGAAGATAATAGTTAAGTACCTCCCCTTTAATCTGTCTGGTGTCAGACAGTCCCTGTGCAGGCTGATTGATGAGGTGGTGTGATACACATATTGACTAATGCTTTGTGAAGGTTAATAATATATGACTATATTTCTGTCTTTATACGTTAGTAACACATGAATACTATTCACACATCCATTCCAGTTTTGCCACATAATCCCTAGAATAATTAACAGTTCATATAGATGCTTCCAGAATCAATTTTTAAAAAGTAAAAGATTAATAATCAATCTGTGTTTATGCCAGTTGAGAGTAAGCTACATGGAGAAGCAATCATCTCTATCAGTTGACTACACAATTTCAGGATATTACTTCAAAATCTAAATATTTTTCGCTAAGTAAAAGGATATGAGTATTCTCCTATTAACTAAGAACCAAATTCTTACATACAACACTTCTTTTGGATTGACAACCATTTCTTTTTGATTGGCCCAGAAAGTAGTAGTTACATTATGATTCAACCACTTACTAACTGGATAACCTTGGGGAAATCGTTAAACCTGTTTATTGAAGTGACTACATTTTCAGCCTCAAAGGGTCATTGTAAGGATTCAATGATATAAAACACATGAAGCATTTAGAACAACCTTCGGCACACAGTAAGTGCTCAGCACATTGAAGTGATCTTTATTGAACCCCCTGGTGAGGATCCTGGAAGAGTGAGATTCCTAGACTCATCCTCTCACTCCTCGAAAAACCTTGCAAGAAATCTGACAGCTGTGGGCCTAGTTGTTCATGTGGCTAATGGCCAGAAAGAAAATGATACATTAATCCATTAAACATACACACTGGGTAAGATCATGACATTTTGAACTTAAAATAAGGCATCATAGAAGTATGAGAACAGCACAGGATTCTGGCAATGTTTAAATTAGTGAAAATACGCAGGAGAGAAAAGGGATTAAGGCAGAGGGCAGGTTCAAATTTTATCTTTTCATACATAAAAAGGGGAGAATGCCTTTCTCCAGTCGCCAGTTCAGTGGTAGAGATGGCCTTCAGGCATGAGGTAGGTGGTAGATTGGTAGGAAAGCCAGGAATGATGTTGAGGAGCAGCGTGGGAGGAGATAAATCAGTGTTTTTAACATTATTTTGAAGAATGACAGGCATCTCCCTTTCCAAGGAAAGGATGTCTGCCAAGCTAGGTTCTTTAACGAAGGCAATTTAGGGTTTTTTTTTCTTTTTTTTTGAGATGGAGTCTCGCTCTGTCGCCCAGGCTGGAGTGCAGTGGTGCGATCTCGGCTCACTGCAAGCTCCGCCTCCCAGGTTCACGCCATTCTCCTGCCTCAGCCTCCCGAGTAGCTGGGACTACAGGCGCCCGCCACCATGCCCGGCTAATTTTTTTGTATTTTTGGTAGAGACAGGGTTTTGCCATGTTAGCCAGGATGATCTCGATCTCTTGACCTTGTGATCCACCTGCCTGGGCCTCCCAAAGTGCTGGGATTACAGGCGTGAGCCACCGCACCCAGCCGCAACTTAGGGGTTATTTTAGGAATTCAAAGAATATTCACCAAAGCCTGTAAATTGTTCATGTGATTGAGAGATCATGTCTGCCTTACTCAAACAGGGCCTGGAGTCAGCATTTATTTCCTGACCGCCGTTTATTTCCTTTCTACCAAAGAGGCACTATGAGAAGGGAAGAAGATTACTTGAGTGTAATCACACTCAAGTGTGATTACCTTTACCTGGTGGTAAAGGTAAGACAGTAATGATTCTGAATCTAAACAGCCATTATGATACCTATGAAGTTTTGACCTCAAATGATAGAAATTGTGTTATATTCACCTGAAGAGACAGAAATTGGATTATAAATTATTTTAATATATACATAAAAACACTGACAAATCAGGTTTTCCACTAAGGCTTAAAACAGCTGAATCAGGATTATTTTGGAAAGATGCTTTTTATATTTACTACCACAGGAGACTTGTTATTTTATCTGCTTTCTTGGAAATACGTTCACCTTCCTATTACTCTAGACTAAATTTACTGTACAGAGTGAAATGGGAACATACCCTTGTGCTTTGTCTGTTGTCAACTCAGTGTCACCTCTAGCCACTTTCCTGGAAGCATAGGAACATCTACAACTTCTTGCCAGTAGGGGTTTTGGGTTTGGATTCTGCCATTGAGATGTACTCCCAAAAGCTGTGTAAGGCAAAAAGAAAGGGAAGGCAGGATTCTCTTCTTACAGTGGCAGAAAGATGCTCAGGCAGCTGGCAAATCAGAAGCTTGCAGCAGCTTCCAGAAGAGCTCCTGCAGACAGCTGCTTCCTCGCAGCAGGAAGGTGAAATCCCCGGCTGCATTTCCTGATTATCCTGAAAGGCAGCAGCTAGATTCCTTGCTTTTTGTATCCTTCCAACGGCTGTCTAAGCCCTTTCAGCAATTTCTAAAACATCGTATTCCCTACATTAAATTCCTTCTTGCTTGAAATACCTAAAATGGTTTCTGTTCTCCCAACTGAGCCTTGATGAATGAATGTAACCTTCTACTCCTGAGACATTTTTGAACTATGGCACTTTAAATCTCAGAGAAGACTGGACCAGGAAGTAGTGAGATGAAGGGTCACCAAGGATCTCTGGGCTACCTTTAATGCAATGCTGCAACCTCTAAGGCAAGGATTTTTGGAAAGTGCCCTGCAGAGTTCCTAATCTCTGTTAAAAGACCAAATTACAACAAACGTAGATCTCAACTGGCTTTTATTTGTGATTCTAGAATAGTGCAGCAGCCCAGACCAAAAATGGTTCAGAATGCTCTGCTCTACCACATGTGTAGATTATATTTATAGCCAGAGAAAAGGAAGTGACATGTAACGGGAGGGATGTACAAAGGATGCATACTTGGTTAAAGCTCAGTGTTTGCCTCATTTGAACCTGGGTTGAAGAGTTGGCTGCCTATCACTGACTGAAGCTTGGCTGCTGTGACTGGCTGAGACTCAGCTACCTGTTACAAGAGTAAGTTCTAGTCTGTTTGCACATCAAGTTAGGTTACAGTTCACTATGTACAAAGAAACCTTTTGGTCAAACTTAAAACATGTACAGAGGCAGCTTTGGGCCAAACTTAATTCAATTTAACATTTTTCAGTCTCCATTCTCTCCATCTTGCCTTCCCTGCTTCCTTAGTCAGAGAGGCTCCACTTTGATTTGTTACCCAATTCAGACTTTACAGTAAAATTCTGCTAGAAGAAAGGGTTCTGCTGCTAAAACAAACAAACACACACACACACACACACACACACACAAAACAACAAAACCAACTCAAACAAAAAACCACACACACAAAAACAAACAAATAAACCACAACAACAAAACAAACCAACCCAAAGCAAAGAAAAAACCAGCTGCTCGCAAACCACTATCTTTGAAAAGGAAAGATTTGGTCACAGCAAACAAGTTCCTACTGCACTCCACTCTCTAGCTGTGAGCCAAGGCAGGGATAGAAGTCAAACATTCAAATTATGGCACCGTTCCTATAGGCTGAGGACGAGTGGGAGGACAATCTATATAAATAATATTTATTTGGAAGCAAGTGATTTGCTTTCTCCTTTCTCTTCATTATTTTTGCTACATAAACTCTAGTATCTTTTTTTTTGGATTTAGTGAATACTGAACACATTATGAATTGCTCTTATTCTCAATAACACACACAAGATGCCCTTGCAAAGAAGATTCAACATTCCTTTCAGAAAATGTTTCACAGGACTATTTTACTTTTTAACTTTTTAGAAAAGTATGCCATGGGTTTCTCTACTATTTTCTAGAATCCCAGGTTAAAGATGTAGACCCCACCAAAACAGACTTCTTAGCAAGGTCACTCAATTTGGAGCTGCTTTCAATTATTCTGTAAAAGCTTCAGCTTAAGACTGAATGTATCTTCCAAACAAAGTCCATGCCCATGAGCACACTCAGTGTGTTACAATTTCTGGGCTCCACAGGTTAGACCACCAAGCCTCAAGCAAGCCTTTGGCAATTAGGTTAAAGGTATGAAATTGAGAAGGAACCACCTATCAAGGCAGAAAAGCTTAGCTCTCTTTGTTCTAAGGCTCATTCATCAGAACATTCACTTTTAAAAAGTGAAACTTAAAGTTTTGCATGTTCCCTTGCTGGATTAAGTCAAATTTGATTTTCAGAGAAACAGTGGGCTGATACTGGTAAACCTTGATTTGTTAGGACATAAGAGCTAAGTTAAAAAAATACATATTCATACCAATTTGTAAACCAAACAAAGGTATTTGAGACTGTGGCAAGACTTGGTCTCTGACTGGTAACTACAAGGACATATGCATAGTGCCCGTGTTTCTTCCATGGTAAGGCCTGTTCATTTTCTTTCAGTAGTCCTTGGGCACCTATGATAGTTTTTCTCCCTCTTGTGAACCATGTTGGCTCCTGGCACTCATCATATTCTTTTCCATGTGCTAACTATCATATTGGTTCACTATCTAACATTAATCTGTAGTTTCTAGAATTTCTTCTTCACTCTGTTTTGAGAATAGGAATATCTGCTGTAATCTGGGTATTCTGTCACCTTTTACATGCTCCACAATTTCTCAAATTCAGCAAATTTCCTTAACACCCTTGGATTTGATCTGTTTAAGTTCTACTCTAAAGAAGCCAGATGCCATCTGACGCTTTCCTCACAGCTGTTTCTTATCACAACTTGTCTTATCCTTACATTTGAAGAGCAGGCCCCTTTCTAAATAAGACAGAAACAAAAGAGAGGTTAGAGTGGTTCTGCTTTTTCTTAACATTATATTCACTACTTCACCAATCTGTGGACCTATCTGTTTGATGTTCTCTTTGTGCCTAAACATAGCCACACACTGCATTTTGTGGTCCTTAACATCTCTGATGACCATTAAGTCATTCTAGGCTTTAGTGTCTCCAACACTGTACCTGCAGGCCCCCCGGACATTTTGTGTGCTTGCTATATGCACTCATCTGTGATTGACTGCAGGGCTTTTCTTTCATTTTTAAAATACATCTTCTTCTACGTGACCTCATCAGAGAGTTCTCTGAATGCTACACAATAGTGTGGTGGTTAAAAGCACAGGCTGTGAAGGCATACTAAATAGGTTCAAATTTTGGCTTCACCATTTAATAGCTGTGTGTCCTTGTTTGAGTTATTTTACTCTACCTGTGACTCAGTTTCCCAATTTGTAAAAATGAAGATTATGATATCTACTTCTTGGGTTATGGTGAAAGTGAATAGCGTGTGTGTGTGTGTGTGTGTGTGTGCACACGCATTTTAGAATATACCTTGTCATTGAATGTTTGCTATTATTTTTTGTTAAAATTACTTAGCATTTTATAGTTCAAATGTTATATTGTATAATCTCCCACCCCTCATCATAAATTACACTCCCTTTGATAGGTTTCTATTCACGAGATCATACCTACATTTTCTCCAAATGTCTAAAAATTTAACTTTCTTAAAACTAAACATCTAGCTATGCCTAGTGTTTACTTTCTTTGCTGTGTAAATTCCAATATGATATGATAACATTCTTTAAAGATTATAAATTTTTACTTTCCCATGAATTCTTCCTTTTGGTCAGAATTATGCACAAAATGTTGAGTCTCCAAGTGTTTCTCTCTGGAGAAGAAAAATCACCCAAAAGATGAGTTAAGAACTTATCTAGTATTCTAGTTTGGCTGAATTTGACTTCTGGAAATGTCAAGCTAATTGAAACCATCCCTACTATCCCCATATCAGTGTCATCATTTATGTCAAGAAAGCATGATCCAGACCCTCTATCTGAGTGAATAGTATACTTTTATGAAAATATCACTTGCTTCTTCCTTCTTCACTTATTTTAATCTTCATTTGAATATTTTTTCTAACTTCTCAGAGAGGTGAATTTCCACAAAATATTTCCCACACTGTACTTATAAACAAGGATGGTGAATAAATATTTGTGCTTTCCTCCATATGCGATACAGAACTCAAAAAAAAAAGGTATAGGAATTTATACAGCGCTTGAATTTACTTAGTTGCTGCAAATGGTCCATCTGGTACTTTGCCATAATTTGGGGTGAAAGCATTATACACAGAGCAAAGATGTTGATTACTACTTGCAAAATCAATAGATTCAATTCTCAGTGAAACTTACACAAGAATTCCATAATTTTATTTCAGTTAGTACCATCAACTTTTACTTTCATTAAACCATTCACAATGACTACTAACAAGCTGAGTTACTTTAGGGACATTCAAAAGCTTATTGCTTAGGGTGAGAATCACCTTCCTTGCCTTTGTGTTTTGAACTATTTTAGGTTGCTTAGCTGCTTATAATTCTGCCTGTTAACCCCAAAACAGAACTCTTGTTTCACTCTATCTCCCGAATGGGACAAATACAGGGCACGAACAAAATGCCATTCAAGTGAGTCCATGTTGCTGCTTCTAGTAGGTATGTCTGGAGAATAATATCTAAGATTAGATTTGTGTACTACCGATCAAATAATATTACTACAAATATCTTTATACTGGAAGAGATTTCTATGAATCAACAGTATATCCTAAGGAAAACTGTATAAAGTTCTAGTTCAACTAAATAATTTGGATAGTTTTCTTTAGTTGTTTGTATTTAGAATTAAGCTGTAATACACATGTGTGATGTGCAGGTCAAGTTTCATTTTAATAAATGTCATTTTAACATATGGTTCTATTTGGCATAGATGATTCTGCATCCTAGCACAGTGCTTAATATAGCCACAGTGTGACTAGTACAGACAAAGAACTTGGAAACACTTTTGATGCCCGTTTCCTGTACTCCCTATATCATTCTTTCTTAATATCTCTTGAATCCAACCCCACTATCTCTGCCTTGGTATAGTCTGCTATGGTTTAAACGTGTCCCTCAAAAAGCATGGGCTGAAAACTTAATCCCCAATGCAACAATGTTAAGAGGTGGGACCTTAAAGAGGTGACTAGGCCTGAGGGTTCTACCCTCATGAATGGATTAAGGCCATCATAGCAGGAGTGGGTTAGTTATGAAAAGGCTGAGTTTGCGGCCCCGTCCCTTTTTCTCTTGCCTTTTCATCTTCTGCCTTCCCCCTTCCACCAGGGGGTGATGCAATAGGAATGCACTTGCCAGATGCAGGCCCCTCAATTTGGGACTTCCCATCCTCCAGAACTATAAGAAATAAATCTCTGTTCTTTATAAACTAGCCAGCCTCAGGTATTGTGTTATAGCAGCACAAAACAGACTAAGACAAATCTTTTGCCATCTATCATCCATGTTAATGCATCAGGTTTCTAAATAATCTCTTACCTTAAGAATTATTCTTTTCCAATTCATTACCCTGTATTCTTACTGGAGAAATAATTCCAAAACACCATCTGATCATGTCTCTTTTAGTCTAAAATCTTTCAATAGCTTGACATTGTCCTCCACATAAAATCTCAACTGACCTTGCCTACCTCTCTAGCTTCGTTACTTCTTGCTGCTCCCCTATAGTAAGCCCTGCAATGTAGCCCTACTGAATATGTGAATTACTCTGAACTCACCATATTTTCTTCCACTTCATAGCCTTTTCTTTCCTTTCACTTAGTTTACCCTCCATAATGTGACTTCTATAATGTAATAACAATTTAACATAATAAATAACCCCTCTTTGTCTGGCTTATTACTATTTACCCTTCAAGACACAGATCAGGTGCCATCTTCTCCAGAATGCCTTCCTTGATACTTACATTCCCCTTAAGATGTATACATCATATATTCCAATTATATGTTGTGCTTTTTCCATGGTCGCCGAATCATATTATGGGGTGATTACTTTCATGCCTGTATTTTCCACGACTTTTAAACTCCCTGTAGGCAGAGGCTGGGTCTTGTTTATCCATGTCCCTGTAGCCTAGGGACAGAGCTGGTACTGTGTTATTTGTTAAACTGAACTATCCACAAATACTTCCTGAATAAATGAATATCTTCTCTAATGTCCTCATAAGATAGTGCACCACTGATTTAATTTCTGTTGGAAAAATTCCCCAGAACACATGATGTATGAATCCCTGTCTATGTGTGTAACAGTTGTGGCTACCCAGCTGATTGACTATGTATCTGTCTGTTCCCTCAGCAGGGGATGCCTACTGGAGAAGATGGAGAGTGACACAGGGGACAGACCCAGGGAATATAATATGGAAGTCAGAGATCAAAGGCAAAAACAGGGAAGCCAAATTTCCTTTTCCAAGTGAGACCACTTTCAGCACTTCCTCATGCTCTATAACTCAAAAAACCCACAACACACAAAATTACCAAAAAATTCTCTAATGTAGACAGTGAAAATTTCTGGGGTTTTGTATTTGCAATATTTATCTAAGCATTGCTTTATTTCAATATAAAGATATGTAAATGATCCTCTCTTTGCATATTCCTACCACACTATATTTTCAAATTTACTTTGAACTTAATAAAGCAATTCTGATATTTTAAGTTTGTTATAATGTCATTATACCTATTTGTATTAGTTAAGAAAACAACTTAAAAGATAAGGAAGATAAGTAACGAACTCCCTAATCCAGAAAGTTAAAGTATGTCCAAGAATCACTGAAACACATTTTCAGAAGAAAAGACACCTTTGCTTTGTACTTCAGATGACGGATTGGTAAAAATTTTTCTGTCACATGAGAAAGTAGAAATCATAAATATAGTGGACAGACTAATCATTTACATGAGGGGTATTGAAAAAATGGAAAATAATGAATGTAAGAAGGAGAAAAAGAAGCAGGGTAAAATTTCTTGTTAGTTTAATAAAAAGTAATGTAGCTCTCAGGTTAATATCCCAGCTCTCTCATTGGTTAAAGATGGTTCATACCTTTTATACTTCAGTTTTTACATCTGTAAAACAGGAGTAAAGATGGTAGTTTTCTAATTAGCTCAGAAAGTGGCTGTGGGATGACTACAGCGTAAGGTACCATGTACAGGGCTAGAGTTTTTGCTTGGGATGTATCAGAAAGTCAAGAGAATGGGAAGAAAATTTAAAAATGGACACAATAACTTCATAGCTTCCTTGAGACCCCTGGATTCCTCATTTCAAAGAAGTGAGGAGGGATGCCCCATGTAGCTCTGAAAGTGATGTAAAGTCATCTAAGATGAGCTGTGATAAGCAGGCCTGACTGCGGTCTCCATCAGCTCAGTAAACACTAATGATGGAGAGACAGTGCAGACTGCCACTGGTGATAAAGAGTCAGCTAAACACTCTATTAGTTTTTCATTTTGTGAATTAATGTCCTTCTTGGTGTGTGTACACTAACCAGTAATGAATTGTCTCCTTCGAACTGCCTGGGGTACTCCTCACTGCCTCTGGAAGAAGGCATAAATTTCACATGGAAATCAGCACTTTTAAGGAGGCAATTACTCCTTTAAAAAAGGTTTGTTTTCCATTAGTTTCTGCAAACATCCTGCCTTAAGAAAATTCACCTCTTGATAGAAAAATCTATTTAATAAAAAATAAGAGGTAAGACAATCTTCTATAAGAAAAAATATATTTATGTATATATGTGTATATATATTCACATATTCTCATAAGAATACACAATACATATTCTTACATAGAATACATATTCTCTCTCTCTTTCTCTCTCTCTCTCTCTCTCTCTCTCTCTCTCTCTCTCTCTATATATATATATATATATATATATATACACATTTTCCCCACATTTCTTATAAGAGCCAAGGTTCAAGGAGCTGGGAATATTTTTTTTAAAAAACCAACAACTCTGAAGCCCTACTGGTCTTCGTAACAAAGAGAAATCAATCTCTTACTCGTCAAGTCCTGCACATTAACCCTGATGATTAGGTTTTCCTCCATTTGCCAAGGTTCTCTAAACCTTCTGTACCCTTGCAGAATCAGAAAGTCAAGCCCGGGCCTCTGATGCACATAATGGTATTTCATTTCTCTGGAGTTTATAACCTCTATATCTCATGAAGGCACTACAGTTAGGGCTGAGGTTCTCTCTTCAGTCTTTAACCAGCTTCTCTGGGGGTTTTTAACTGAGAAGACATTTCTCAAAGACTTAGAAGCAATTTGGGAATCATTTTTCAGGGCTGAGAAGTCAGTAGATGAAGAAAAGGAAGGCAGGTCAGGGGAAACCATTTGGAACCTGCAGTTTCCTGGTGACTCTATAGCTCACCATCTTGAAGCAGTGAAGTTTAAAAACCCAAGAGAAGGGTGGCTGGCAAGATGGCTGAATAGGAACAGCTCGGGTTGGTAGCTCCCAGCGAGATCAACGCAGAAGGTGGGTGATTTCTGCATTTCCAACTGAGGTAACCAGCTCATCTCATTGGGACCGGTTAGACACTGGATGCAGCCCACGGAGGGTGAGCAGAAGCAGGGTGGGACATCATCTCAACCAGGAAGCGCAAGGAGTCGGGGAACTCCCTCCCCTAGCCAAGGGAAGCCGTGAGGGACTGTGCTGTGAGGTATAGTGAATTCCGGCCCAGATACTATGCTTTTTCCACAGTCTTTGCAACCTGCAGACCAGGAGATTCCCTCTGGTGCCTACACCACCAGGCCCTGGGTTTCAAGCACAAAACTGGGCAGCCATTTGGGCAGACACTGAGCTAGCTACAGGATTTTTTTTTTCATACCACAGTGGTGCCTGGAATGCCAGCGAGACAGAACCATTCACCCCCCTGGAAAGGGGGCTGAAGCCAGGGAGCCAAGTGGTCTAGCTCAGCGGATCCCACCCCCACGGAGCCCAGCAAGCTAAGATCCACTAGCTTGAAATTCTCGCTGCCAGCATAGCAGTCTGAAGTCGACCTGGGACACTTGAGCTTGGTGGGGGGAGGGGTGTCTGCCATTTCTGAGGCTTGAGTAGGCAGTTTTCCCCTCACAGTGTAAACAAAGCCACTGGGAAGTTTGAACTGGACGGAGACCACCACAGTGCCCCAAAGCCTCTATAGCTAGACTGCCTCTCTAGATTCCTCCTCCCTGGGCAGGGCATCTCTGAAAGAAAGGCAGCAGCCCCAGTCAGGGGCTTATGGATAAAACTCCCATCTCCCTGGGACAGGGCACCTGGGGGAAGGGGCAGCTGTGGGAAAATTGTAAGTTCAGCAGACTTAAATGTTCCTGCCTGCCAGCTCTGAAGAGAGCAGCAGATCTCCCAGCACAGCACTCAAGCTCTGCTAAGGGTCAGACTACCTCCTCAAGTGAGTCCCTGACCCCCGTGTCTCCTGACTGGGAGATACCTCCCAGCAGGGGTCGACAGACACCTCATACAGGAGAGCTCCAGCTGGCATCTGGCAGGTGCCCCTCTGGGACAAAACTTCCAGAGGAAGGAACAGGCAGCAATCTTTGCTGTTCTGCAGCCTCCGCTGGTGATACCCAGGCAAACAGGGTCTGGAGTGGACTTCCAGCAAACTCCAGCAGACCTACAGCAGAGCGGCCTGTTAGAAGGGAAACTAACAAACAGAAAAGAATAGCATCAACATCAATAAAAAGGACGTCCACACAGAAACCCCACCAGAAGGTCACCAATATCCAAGAACAAGGTAGATAAATCCACGAAGATGAGGAAAAACCAGCACACAAAGGCTAAAAATTCCAAAAATAAGAATGCCTCTTCTCTTCCAAAGGATCACAACTCATCATCAGCAAGGGAACAAAACTGGATGGAGAATGAGTTTGGCGAATTGACAGAAGTAGGCTTCAGAAGGTGTGTAATAACAAACTCCTCCAAGGTAAAGTAGCATGTTCTAACCCAATGCAAGGAAGCTAAGAACCTTGAAAAAGGTTAGAGGAATTGCTAACTAGAATAACCAGTTTAGAGAAGAACAGAAACGACCTGATGGAGCTGAAAAACACAGCATGACAGCTTCGTGAATAATACACAAGTAGCAATAGCCAAATCAATCAAGTGGAAGAAAGGATATCAGAGACTGAAGATCAACTTAATGAAATAAAGCGTGAAGCCAAGATTAGAGAAAAAAAATGAAAAGGAACGATCAAAGCCTCTAAGAAATATGGCACTACGTGAAAACTCCTAACCTAAGTTTGACTGGTGTACCTGAAAGTGACAAGGAGAATGGAACCAAGTTGGAAAACACTCTTCAGGATATTATTCAGGAGAACTTCCCCAGCCTAGCAAGAGAGGCCAACATTCAAATTCAGGAAATACAGAGAACACCACAAAGATACTCCTCGAGAAGAGCAACCCCAAGACACATAATTGTTAGATTCACCAAGGTTGAAATGAAGGAAAAATGTTAAGGGTAGCCAGAAAGAAAGGTCGGGTTACCCACAAAGGGAAGCCCATCAGATTAACAGTGGATCTCTCCGCAGCAACCCAACAAGCCAGAAGAGAGTGGGGGCCAATATTCAACATTCTTAAAGAAAAAAAAAATTCAACCCAGAATTTCATATCCAGCCAAACTAAGCTTCATAAGTGAAGGAGAAATAAAATCCTTTACAGACAAGCAAATGTTGAGAGATTTTGTCACCACCAGGCCTGCCTTACAAGAGTTCCTGAAGGAAGTACTAAATATGGAAAAGAAAAGCTGGTACCAGCCACTGCAAAAACATACCAAATTGTAAAGACCATTGACACTATGAAGAAACTGCATCAACTAATGGGCAAAATAACCAGCTAGCATCATAATGACAGGATCAAATTCACACATAACAATGTTAACTTTAAATGTAACTGGGCTAAATGCCCCATTTAAAAGACACAGACTGGCAAATTGGATAGAGTCAAGACCCATTGGTGTGCTGTATTCAGGAGACCCATCTCACATGCAAAGACACACATAGGCTCAAAATAGAGGGATGGAGGAATATTTACCAAGCAAATGGAAAGCAAAAAAAGAGAAAAAAAAGCAGTGGTTGCAATCATAGTCTCAGATAAAACAGACTTTAAACCAACAAAATTCAAGAAAGACAAAGAAGGACATTACATAATGGTTAAAGGGATTAATGCAACAAGAAGAGCTAACTATCCTAAATATATATGCACCCAATACAGGAGCACCCAGATTTCATAAAGCAAGTTCTTAGAGACCTACAAAGGGACTTAGACTCCCACACAATAATAGTGGGAGACTTTAACACCCCACTATCAGTATCAGACAGATCAACGAGACAGAATATTAACAAGGATATCCAGGACTTGAACTCAGCTCTGGACCAAGTGGACCTAATAGACATCTACAGAACTCTCCATCCCAAGTCAACAGAATATACATTATTCTCAGTACCACACTGCACTTATTCTAAAAACTGACCACATAATTGGAAGTAAAACATGCCTCAGCAAATGCAAAAGAACGGAAATCATAACAAACCGTCTCTGGGACCACAGTGCAATCAAATTAGAACTCAGGATTAAGAAACACACTCAAAACCACACAACTTCATGGAAACTAAACAACCTGCTCCTGAATGACAACTGGGTAAATAACAAAATGAAGGCAGAAATAAATACGTTCTTTGAAACCAATGAGAACAAAGACACAACATACCAGAATCTCTCAGACACAGCTAAAGCAGTGTTTAGAGGGAAATTTGTAGCACTACATGTCCACAGGAGAAAGCGGGAAAGATCTAAAATTGAGACCCTAACATCACAATTAAAAGAACTAGAGAAGCAAGAGTAAGCAAATTCAAAAGCTAGCAGAAGAGAATAAATAACTCAGATCAGAGTAGAGCAGAATTGAAAGAGACAGAGAGACGAAAAACACTTCAAAAAAAAAATCAGTGAATCCAGGAGCTGGTTTTTTAAGAAGATTAACAAAATAGATAGACCGCTAGCCAGACTAATGAAGAAGAGAAGAATCAAATAGATGCAATAAAAAATTATAAAGGGGAGATTACCACTGATCCCACAGAAATACAAATTACCATCAAAGAATACTATAAACACCTCTATGTGAATAAACTAGAAAATCCAGAAGAAATGAATAAATTCCTGGACACATACACCCTCCCAAGACTAAACCAGGAAGAAGTCAAAGCCCTGAATAGACCTATAACAAGTTCTGAAATTGAGGCAGTAATTAATAGCCTACCACCAAAAAAAAGCAAGGACCAGACGAATTCACAGCTGAATTCCACCAGAGGTACAAAAAGGAGCTGGTGCCATTCCTTATGAAACTATTCCAAACAATAGAAAAAGAGGGACTCCTCCCTAACCCATTTTATGAGGCCAGCATCATCCTGATACACAAACCTGACAGAAACATAACAACAACAACAAAATTTCAGGGCAATATCCCTGATGAACACTGATGTGAAAATCCTCAATAAAATACTGGCAAACTGAATCCAGCAGCACATCAAAAGGCTTATCCACCATGATCGAGTTGGCTTCATCCCTGGGATGCAAGGCTGGTTCAACATACGCAAATCAATAAACATAATCCATCACATAAACAGAACCAATGACCAAAACCACATGATTATCTCAATAGATGCAGGAAAGCCTTCGATAAAATTCAACACCTCTTCATGCTAAAAACTCTCAATAAACTAGGTACTGATGGAACGTACCTCAAAATAGTAAGAGCTATTTATGATAAACTCACAGCCAGTATCATATTGAATAGGCAAAAGCTGGAAGCATTCCCTCTGAAAATGGCACAAGACAAGGATGCCCTCTCTCACCACTCCTATTCAACATAGTATTGGAAGTTCTGGCCAGGGCAATCAGGCAAAAGAAAGAAATAAAGCATATTCAAATAGGAAGAGAGGAAGTTAAATTATCTCTGTCTGCAGATGACATGATTGTATATTTAGAAAACCCCATCATCTCAAGCCCAGAATTTCCTTAAGCTGATAAGCAACTTCAGCAAAGTCTCAGGATACAAAAATCAATGTGCAAAAATCACAAGCATTCCTATACACCATTAATGACAAACAGAGAGCCAAATCATGAGTCAACTTCCATTCACAATTGCTGCAAAGAGAATAAAATACCTAGGAATCAAACTTACAAGGGATGTGAAGGAACTCTTCAAAGAGAACTACAAACCACTGCTCAAGGAAATAAGAGAGGACACAAACAAATGGAAAAACATTCCGTGCTTATGGATAGGAAGAATCAGTACTGTGAAAATGGCCATACTGCCCAAAGTAATTCATAGATTCAATGCTATCCTCATCAAAATACCATTGGCTTTCTTCATGGAATTAGAAAAAACTACTTTAAATTTCATATGCAACCAAAAAAGAGCCCGTATAGCCAAGACAATCCTAAGCAAAAAGAACAAAGCTGGAGGCATCATGCTACCTGACTTCAAACTATACTACAAGGCTACAGTAACCAAAACAGCATGGTACCGATACCAAAACAGAGATATAGACCAATGGAACAGAACAGAGGACTCAGAAATAACACCACACATCTACAACCATCTGATCTTTGACCAACCTGACAAAAACAAGCAATGGGGAAAGGATTCCCTATTTAATAAATGTTGGGAAAACTGGCAGCCATATGCAGAAAACTGAAACTGGACCTCTTCCTTACACCTTATACAAAAATTAAGTCAAGATGGATTAAAGACTTAAATGTAAGCCCTAAAAGCATAAAAACCCTAGAAGAAAACCTAGGCAATACCATTCAGGACATAGGCATTGGCAAAGACTTCATGACTAAAACACCAAAAGCAATGGCAACAACAGCCAAATTGACAAATGGGATCTAATTAAACTAAAGAGCTTCTGCACAGCTAAAGAAACTATCATCAGAGTGAACAGGCAACCTACAGAATGGGAGACAATTTTTGCAATCTATCCATCTGACAATGGGTTAATATCCAGAATCTACAAAGAACTTAAACAAATTTACAAGAAAAAACAAACAATCCCAACAAAATGTGGGTGAAGGATATGAATAGACACTTCTCAAAAGAAGACATTCATGCAGCCAACAAACAGATGAAAAAAAGCTCATCATCACTGGTCATTAGAGAAAAGCAAATCAAAATCACAATGAGATACCATCTCACGCCAGTTACAATGGCAATCATTAAAAAGTCAGGAAACAACAGATGCTGGAGGGGATGTGGAGAAATAGGAATGCTTTTACACTGTTGGTGGGAGTGTAAATTAGTTCAACCATTGTGGAAGACAGTGTGGCGATTCCTCACAGATCTAGAACCAGAAATACCATTTGACCCAGCAATTCCATTACTGGGTAGATATCCAAAGGATTATAACTCATTCTACTATAAAGATACATGCACATGTATGTTTATGACAGCACTGTTCACAATAGCAAAGGCTTGGAACCAACCCAAATGCCCATCAATGATAGACTAGATAAAGAAAAACGTGGCACATATACACCATGGAATACTACACAGACATAAAAAAGGATGAGTTCATGTCCTTTGCAGGGACATGGATGAAGCTGGAAACCATCACTCTCAGCAAACTAACACAGGAACAGAAAACCAAACACCGCATGTTCTCACTCATAAGCGGGAGTTGAACAATGAGAACACATGGACACAGGGAGGGGATCATCACACACTGGGGCCTGTCGGGAGGTCGGGGGCTAGGGGAGGGAGAGCATTAGGAGAAATACCTAATGTAGATGACCGGTTGATGGGTGCAGCAAACCACCATGGCCCGTGTATACCTAGGTAACAAACCTGCACATTCTGCACATGTATCCCAGAACTTAAAGTATATAGAAAGAAGAAGAAAAAAAAAACTCAAGAGAAAAATATGGTTGGTTCTTCAACTTAGCTGGCTTTGTTTTGCAATATAAAAAATTGTGACTCTGACATAACGAACTGGACAAGGAGCCAGGAGGTCTGAATTCTATGACTGGTTCTTTTGCTGATTTTTCTAAGGAGGTTTGGGGTTTACTTTCTTCCCCAAAGACTTACACACTGCCTATTTTTCTAAGAACTTAAAGTTCTTTCTCATATATTACCTCATACTAGCTTTGCAGATTTTAATTAAAAAGATTTCACAGGGGCATACATACATAATAAAAACATTCTCATAAAATATATAAGACAAGTCCCTATTTCTGTACTTAACATTCTTAACAGTCATCCTTTCAAGATGAACTACTCCTTTCTTCTTTTCTCCATAATTGTCTGTATTTCCTAGGTAACCACGTTAAAAATAAAACAGAAGCCTCTGCATTAATTTAACTCATGTCTTATGTAGATAATGGCCCCATTAGGTTGTAATCCCCAAAGTGACACCATATCTAATGGTCAGTGATGAATGCCCCATGCCTAACACAGTCCTGGGCACAGAGCAGGCTTAAAGGATTGAAGTAACAGAATGAATGAAAAGACAATATACTTTCTTACTCAGTGCCAATTTCACGTTCTTCTCTGCTTTCATGGGAATTCTCAATTCTTTCCTTTTTGACACTTTAATATCATGGATAACTCTCTAATAATTTAAGCGTAAAACCAGTGTTTCCCCCAAATCCTTCACACTGCAGTTATTTCATGGGGTTCTGAGGCCCACAACATCTATTTGTCACTTTCCTTTCACTCCTTGCCTTGTCAGAAACACCCTCAGGTGTTGGCGTTTCTTTTGCCTCCGGGCTGCCTTTGGTCTAAAGAGAAATTCCTGAGGGTTCAAAATGTGTGTGTTGCACTGTGGAATAGATTTTCTAGTGTATTACAACAGTACTTATGCGAGGCTGATGTGTACCCTAAACCCTTAATGTATACCCTAAAATGTACTCTACAACTAAAAAGCATTCACTGAGTTTTTAATTTATGAGCATTTTTACAGTTCTGAGTACTACAGATGCCTCCCCTCTGCCCCACCAAAACAAAAATGGGAGCACCCCAACAACCTTTCTGTGATACCTGATCTAGGGAAGTGGGACGAGGCACAACTGCCGTGAGTGATTAGCAAGGGCTACCTGGTGAAGTGCGGGGACAGGGAAGGCAGCCACAGGCTGCGGTACTCCCTTCCTTTGCTCGGGATCAACTCCTGTTTTTATCATGCTGCCACCCTGTATCTCAAAGCCCTTCCTACATGTGCAGCATGTGAAAACATATTGAAATCCTCTTTGGATCACAATACATCTGTTCTAAGAGGCTGAATGAGAGATGCCAGGGGAACATTAACTCCGAATTTCCTAACTTGAGTGCAATTAAAATCTCAGCCACAGTGTGGAATTAACGTAGCCCTTTGCATTTTAAATACATATTTTAATTAAATGACACCCATCTGTAGAATATGAGACTGCATTTTTATTGAGGATTTCAAATGATATAATCTGTTCCTATGAAGCGTAAATGGCTTGGTTCACGTTTCCAAAAACCTCAAAAGAATTATACAGATCTGGCATAAGCACATGTGGTGACACTCAATTTTGCTTAAATTTAAATCTGTTTAACTTGCATGCTAAATGTTGTTTGTGTGGTAAGATTTAGATAGTATATAAAGAGTGACAGAAAATAAGAGCACAGCCTTTTAAATGTCTTGGGGGTACATCTCCACAGAGGCTGTCGAAGGGAACCAGAGGGTCGAAGGTGGCACATCTCTGCCCGGGCTGAAGCTATGTAGCCCCAATGATCATCTTTTAATTAATTTAACCTAATGAGAGTGTCATCTACGGTAAAGGGTATGTTAATGAGCCCAAGTAACAAACATAGGCAGGACAACTACTTGGAAGTTGCACAATTAGCTGTGACAGAAAAGCTCAGGGGTATGTGTAAAGCTTCTCAGGAAATTAAACTACACTAACAAGAAGGAGAGAGCAAATGCATCACTGTCTATTTAGAGCTGTTATTTGGTATCTCTGTTTGATGCGGAATTTTCACCTGTATTTCCACAGTAAGTATGTTCTTCAAGAAGACAAGGCCCTAGATGAGACAAGAGTTAACCTGGGTTCTAGATCTGGCTGTGGCAGCACCTTGATGTGTGACCTCAGGAGAGAGTCAGACATCCTGGCTCGGTTTTCTCATTCATAAACTGCTAGGAGATAGCAAAGAGGTGTTGAGATTAAGTGCGTGGGCACTGGAGTTTGACTGTACAGCTTTAAATCCTGTTTCCACCAAGCTTGGCCTCAATTTCCTCCTCTGAGAAATGAGGGCGGCCACCACCTTCCCCCATAGGCTGCTGTAAGGACTAGATGAGGTACCACATTAGAGTGCATAGACCACAGCCTGCTTCCTACCTGGTTGGTGTTCTACAAATGCCAACTATTACTGCTGTTGAAAGAGTCTGGTCTAAGAGTTACACTGGCCTAGGTTCCAGTCCTGCCTGTGCCAGTTACTTAGTCATGGTTTTTGTAAAGTTACTCAATCTTTGAAACTTAGTTTTGTCATCAGAAAAATGGAGGCATTAATACTTACTGTGTTAGCTTCCCAGTGCTGCTGTGACATTACCATGTACCTTATGGCTTAAAACAACATCCATTTATTATCTTACAATTCTGGAGATTAGAAGTTGGATATGAGGCTGGGCACGGGGGCTCATGCCTGTTATCCCAGCACTTTGGGAGACCAAGGCAGGCGGTGGATCACCTGAGGTCAGGAGTTCAAGACCAGCCTGGCCAACATGGCAAAACCGCGTCTTTACTAAAAATAAAAAAAATTAGCCAGGTGCAGTGGCGTGCGCCTGTAGTCCCAGCTTCTCGGGAGGCTGAGGCATGAGAATTGCTTGAACCTGGGAGGCAGAGGTTGCAGTGAGCCGAAATCATGCCACTGCGCTCCAGCCTGGGCAACAGAGCAACACTCCATCTCAAAAAAAAAAAAAAAAAAAAAAAAGTTTGACATGAGTCTCATTGGTTTAAATAAGTGTCAGAGGCTCTAGGGGTGAATCCATTTACTTGCCTTTTCCAGCTTTGGGAGGCTGCCTGGCTCCTTCCTCATCTTCAAAGCCAGCAATGAGGGTTGAGTCTTTCTCACATTGCATTACTCTAATCTACTTTTCTGTCTCCCTATTCCACTTTTAAGAGCCCTTAAATTACACTGGGCTCACCTGCATAACCCAAGATAACCTCCCTATTCTCAGGTGAGCCGAGAACCTTAATTGTCATTTGCCTCACATTTTTGTAGGTTCTGGGGATTAGGACGTGGACATCGTTGGGGAGCCATTTGTTCTGCCTACCAAACTTACACAGGATTGTGAAGATTAGAGACGATATCCTAAAATCTGCAGTATAGCATCTTGTGTATCATAAATTCTCAATAAATGGCAGTGCTTGTCATTGCAGCTGACTACTGGCTGAGGTTCTGTCAAACTTGCAAGTTCTGTGATCTTATAATCAATCGTACAGCAATATCCCTGATGAACATAGATGCTAAAATACTTAACAAAATACTAGCTAACCGAATCCAATAACATATCAGAAAGATAACCCGCCATGATCAAGTGGGTTTCACACCAGGGATGCATAAAGGGATGCTGGATTTTGTCAAATGCTTTTTCTGCATTTATTGAGACGATCATGTGATTTTGGTTTTTAATTCTGTTTATGTGGTGTATCACATTTATTGACTTGTGTATGTTAAATAACAAGCAGTGAGATTGAAATGGTAATTTAAAAATTACCAACAAAAAAAAGTCCAAGACCAGATGGATTCACAGAATTCTGCCAGACATTCAAAGAATTGGTACTAATCCTATTGACACTATTCCACAAGATAGAGAAAGAGGGAACCCTCCCTAAATCATTCTATGAAGCCAGTATCTATCACCCTAATACCAAAACCAGGAAAGGACATAACCAAAAAAGAAAACTACAGACCAATATCCTTGATGAACATAGATGCTAAATTCCTTATAACAGTTTTATTCGTTGTTTAAAGTACTCAACTCCAAACTCTCTTATGATGGACAATTTTTTTTTTCAATAAATCCTAACACATTAGGTATTCTAATCAACATCCTGCTCCTCCACAAAGCTCTCCTGAGAGATCAGCTATTCCTCTCTGGGCTAGCTGCTTCCTAGGCCTGTGGCAGAGCTGTTATCTTGGCATATCCTGTCATGATCACTCTGGAGATCTTTCTCTTTCCGTAACTACTCTAGAATCCCCATTTCTTGTAGCCCATGTTTTCCTATTTTTATGTAAACTCCTTCGGTTTGGTAGATTCTATGGAAGACTGCATGGAAGATAAGTTTTCTGAGAACTTGTATGTCTGAAAACGTCCGTATTCTTCCCTTACATGGAACTGGTAGTGTGGTTAGATAAACAATTCTAGGTTGAAAATCAATTTTCTTAGAATCTGATAGTTTTTTTTCTTTTTGTCACCTAACTTCCTCTGCCACTTTTGACAAATCATTGCTTTTCTGCTTCTTTTCTAGATGTACTTTCTAGAAAAACTTTTATTTTTTTTTTCTTCTGACAGTTGTAGGGTTTTCTTTCTAACTTGAGGGTTCTGCAATTTTGAGATGACTGCCTTGGTGAGGATGTAGGTCTGTTTTCATCCACTGGGTCCTTTCATTTTGAGAATTCCTGTTTTCCATTTTGGGAATTTTTCTTAATTTTTTTTATGGCCCTCTCTATTTTCTCTCCTTTTTTTCTCTGTAGACCTAAAATTCAGTTATGGAATATCCTGCTGCTTCCTAGGGTCCTTTTTCTTTTTTGTCTTTTTTTTCCACCTTCATGGATATTTCTTCAGTTCTATCTTCTGAGATTTTTATTTCACTTTATTTTTTATTTCTAAGAGTTCTTGTTTTCTGAAAGTTCCTTTCATATACTATACTACTCTTGTTTCATGAATACAATATCTTCTCTTATTTCTTCTAGGGATATTAATTTTCATTTTTTAAGTTTTTCTTAATTTCTGGATAATCCCTGTTTCCTCTAAGTTGCTTTTCCTGTTTGTTTTGGTCTCTGTTTCCTATTATAAGGTTTCCTCAAACATTACTCTTCTTGGCTGTCTGCTCATATTTAAGTGGGGCTGACTGGAGTTTTGTGTCTGGAGGTAAGGCTGATGCATTGTAGTTGTCTTTGTAGGTGATCTGGCTGGTCTCTTTTATTGGAGAACCACTGATGTTAGTGTCTATCTCCCGCCTACACCTGCACCATCCTGGTGCTTATCAGATTTTTCAGAAAAGACTTTCTAGTCTTTTGTCTGAAGTTATATTCCTGGATGCCAGCCAATAGGAAAAAGAACAGAAGTGTCAGCAGTCATTAATGTAAACTTTGCCTGATTTCAGAATAACAGCCCTCACACTCAGCTATGACTTATGTCCCTCAGTCCAAGGAATCTCTATTTTACCATTTTCAGAAACTAAAACTCCAGTGCTCAGCTGCAATTCTGATAGAAGCAGTGGCACAGGTATATGAAGTAAGAGAGAAAAATCTGAGGGTAAATATATCCTAAACAGACTTTTAACAAGTCCTCCTGTTTTTAGCCTTATCTTCATTTCCTCTTTCAATGTCAGTAGCTATGCCAATTCTCTAACTTTTGGGTTAAAAAAGAACTTCTGGAATATAACAGTGTTTTTTGTGCCAGAGTAGGTACTATAGGAAAGATTGTTTAAGAAAAAGAAAGAGAAGTCAAAGTAGAAAGTCAGAGAGAACAGTTTCAGTAAATAAAATCCACATTTAGCAAGGGATAAAATAGGCATATAATTAAATATATTGCTTTAAATATGTATGTTAATGACCAAAATACTGTGGAAATATGTGGAAATAGTAATCATACTATTTAATCCTAAGAGAAATTCTTAGCAGAGATAAATGGATGACTAGAGAGGAACGTCCCAGTACTATAAGACATTAGTAATTGTTACTATCAGTTTTTGAAATGTGAGGGAGAAAAAAAAAGGAAAAGAAATGATAGTACTTGCAAAAATAAGAAAAATGGTTGATTCATTTGATTAAGTAGCCAATTTGGCAAATAAAAGCAAGGTAGAAGATTTCAGGCCCTCACTGGAAGCATTTTGTTAATTTAATTCAATTTGATAAAACATTTACTAAGTGCCTGCTATGTTCAAGGAGTTATGCCCTGAACTAATTTCATTACTGATACTGGCCCTGTCAACATCTAAATTAACAGGAAGTATCACGAGGCCCCATGCAGCACACTCAGATTGGCTGTGATTTCTACCTGGTGCTCTGGTTTATGATCTAAGTCATAATATGAAGCATTGCTGAGGAAAAGGAATCGTAGTGCTAACTGATCTGGCAATAGTGGCTGGGTTAAGTAATACACATGACTAATTCAGTGTGGAAAGTAGAAAATTAAGGAGATTGCAACATGGCTAATTAACCCCTAATGAATTTGAGTTAATAGCTATTTTCACTATTCTTGTTTCCTAGGCCTTCTGAGTATATTACTGGGATGCATTTCTCAACTGTTTAGATGTTTCAAATGGTTCTGCTGAAGCGAATAGAAGCTCCTGATAATGAAGCCTTTTGTTGTTTCATGATGTATGTGAAACATATAAGGATTAAGAAATAATCCTTATAAAGGGTGGGTATACAAAAGAAATGATGGAGTAATCCATTATCCAAATGGTCAACACAGGAAATGCCACATTAACATTTAAGAATCTTGACTTTCCAAAGACCAGAGTGGCTTGTACTCCTTAGACTCTATCAGGAAAATCCTAATTTAGACTAAGTTGTACTTTGCATCAGGATTTTACTGAAGACTAAAGACTACAGTTATTCAAAAGTAAGTGCTTGAAAGTTATGGTAGATATTTTAATTAATGTATATTTACTCTAAAATTTCCAGCATATATGGCATTAAGGAAGTATCAGTATTCTGTACACCTTCCTAGAACTATTCAGGGTCACTTAGACATTTAACAGTCTATAATTATTCTGCCTTTCTAAAATAAAACTATTTCTAAGAGGTCTAACTGAAAAACAATCACTGTGAACAATCCATTCAATGAGACATGCTACAAATTAATCTCTAATGAAGAAATGAAGAAAAGCTTTGACTTTAGGGAACACTTGCATTGAAAACTTAATTTAGTTAATTTTAAGCCATGAATATAACGATCATTTTGAGAATGCCACTGAGGAACACTGAAAAGATGCATCATTTCAGTTGCACATTTTAGCCTCTCTATATAGTTCTCACATTGACAAAAAAAAAAATCAATGGTATTATCACGTGGAAAATACACTTTTTATAAGGAAATGCATAGAAAACATGCTCTCTGTACAGGCCAAAGTGATTAATTATAAATATCTTTTTTGGTATTGTTTCTTCCTAATTTACCAGTGTGGTGGAATAAGTATGATCACAATTCTTTGCAGCTTTTCCCCATTAAGAAATAGAGTCTTTTCCTCACCTCTTAAATCTTGATTGGCTTTATAGCTTACACTGACTGATAGGATATGGCTGAAGTTCTGTTATGTGAGTTTCAGAATCTGGGCCTTAGCTATTCTAGCTTCAGTCTTTGCCTTCTTGGAGCTGCCCTGAGACCTGTGTGCACTGAAGCAGCCCAGATGAAAGGACCACATGGAGAGAGGCCCCCAGTTCCCCCACATGATGCAGCCCCCACTGAGCTGCCAGCTGAGCACAGCTACTTGAGGAGCTCTGGCTAGAAAAGCTGCTCAGTCAACTCACTGAATTGCGAGAAGTATCTGGGCTGGTTTGTTCTAATACTAGGTACAGATAACTGAAAGGCCAAGTTTCTGTACACTCCAGCATTGGCCATTATATGCTTCACTTTGCAATGATTAAAACAGACAAAAGAGCTTCCAGGGAGGAAGAACTGTTGTTAGTCTGCTTGTCTGTCAGAAAATCCCATCCTATTTGAGCCGCCTCTATCTTTTAACACTTACTTTAAGTTTTATGGAAAGAATCTGGAGACTGCTAAACTCCTAATTATGTCATATTATCAGCTACAATTCACAGTGTTCATCTAAAAACAAAACAAAGAAAAAAAAAAGAACATAAAAAGCAATGGTACTACTGTCCCTGTGGTCCCATTACAACTTCATTTGGAGACAATAGTGTCTAAAGCAATTGATGGCCCCCAGTTGCAGCTGCGGACCCAGGCCTCCCTGTGCTCTTGGGGGCCAGGAGCAGGCAGGAGCCCTGCCCTCCCAGGTGCAGCTGCTGCCACCCAAACTGGAGCTGTGGACCTGGGCATCTCTGGACTCTCAGGGGCCTGGGAAGCCCCCCAACTGCCCCTGAAGGCTCAGAAGTGCCTACTCTCACTGCCTGGCTTCTCCCTGCTCCCAGTGCCCACTCTGATCTCAGAGCAAAGTTGAGGCTAAGCCTGGGCACTGTTGCAACCTGGTCACGTATGCACGCACTCAGGGAAGTGCTGACACGCCAGCCCCTTCTGGCCTTTGGGTGCTGGCTTGTCAGGAGGGAGGCAGATGGGGTGCTGAGGGCAGCATGGTGCAGGCCTGTAGGTGCCCCTTGGCACAAACAGCCTGGGCACCATGAACAGCAGCAGGAGGCAGACAAGCTCCAGGGCAGACAGGGCCAGGTCCCCGGTGAAGCCCCACCTTTAAGTAAAGAAAGGTCTGAAGCCTGGGGGCCAGGCTGCCAGTCCCATGGACCAGAGTGGGAACTTATGTTACTTTTTCCAGGCTCACCCATGGACCAATCAACACACACTTCCTCCCCTCTGAAGCCCAGAAAAGCCCCAGACTCAGCCAGACTTAAGCACTCGACAGGATGACCTGCCTGCAGAGAGGAGCTACCCACTCCAGGGTCTCCTCTCTGCTGAGAGCTGAACACTTGACGGGACAACCAGCTGCAGAGAGGAGCTACCCACCACAGGGTCTCCTCTATGCTGAGAGCTGAATACTCATTGGGATGCCTTTGCTACAGAAAGGAGTTACCCACTGCAGGTCTCCACTGAGCTGTTTTGTTGCTCAATAAAGCTCCTCTTCACTCTGCTCACACAACACTTGAACATGTAACTCATTCTTCCTGGATGCAGGACAAGAAATCAGGACCTGCCGAATGGCAGGGCTAAAAGAGGTATAACATAAACAGGGCTGAGACACTCCCCTTGCTCACCAAGTTGCAAGCAACAAGGACAGAAGAGAGGAGAGAAGAGCTGCGGCCCCTTGGGAAGCCCAGATGTAGGAGCTCCCCGAGCCAGGGCTGTGACATCCCCTTTGGGGCTCCGCAGTTCCTGGTGTCTCCAAACTTCCGTGTACCACCGTGTTCCCTGGTGCCAGGTGTGGAAGCTGCTTGTGGTATGCCTGGTTTAGCTGCAGCCTCACAGACAGCTGGTGCCTATGCTGGTCCCTGGAGTTGTCCATCCCACTGCAGCCAGTGTATCTGGCTGTGAGCAGTGGCTGGAGCCCATGCTCACTTGCTCACACCCCTCTTGCTGCTCCACTTGCCCTTGACAGGCATGGGATCCAGGCCGGTAGCACAAGCCAAGCCAAGCCAAGCACAGCCTGCCAGGTCAAGTGAGCCCAGTGGTCCTGAGCAAAACTCGGGCAAAGGCACCAGTGGCCACAGAGGCTTCCTGCTGGTGAAGGGACACCCCAAGGATCCAGTAACACAACAATTTCCAAACCTCTTTGATTATATATTCCAACAGCGAAAAATATTTGTGTCCAGATTAATAGTAAATGTACATTTAGTTATTTATATATACTGGTACTAATACATTATATAAGTTTAAAAATATAACCAGAAAAGAAATCAATAAAAAGTAAGCTAAAGATGAAACAAGTGATATTCTTAAATGTCTTCCTAATGATTACAGCTTCAACATGTATTAGCTAATATTTCAAGGCACACATACACTTAGAGCAAGGTTCATGTTAATAATTGTAGATGTAAATCCGTATTCCAAATAATATCCTTGACAAGTTCTTTTGCCAGTTTCCAGTCATCTGATAGATTATTACTGCTTAGATAATTATAATGTGACTGATGAAGATCCCCACCAGGAACAGTGACAATGCCAGTTCTGCCATTTTCTCATGTTCATTTTTGCTTATAGTGTCAATCCACAGTTTCCCTTTTAAGTCACTTATCCATTTGGGGAAGGTAAGTTTAGTAAAAACTAGAAAATGTAATCCATAAATCTACTTCACCTGGAACATATTACAAAATGTTGAAAATTTTTAAAAATGGCAGAAGATTGAGCCTCTCTCTGCTGAGGAATCCTTGGGGTTCCTGCAGGATTCCTCCCATATAGTACTTCACATATGGCTCAAATGAGGGCTATCATGTCATCTCTTATGTTAAATATTAGTAAAACTTGCAATGTTTCTGATTGTTTTACTTTTAAAAAGCATACATAAATGGTCTCATGTTTCCTTCCCATGCTTCAATGTATTGTTTTACACAATTATTGGGGGGCATATAGCCAACATTGTAAACAGCTGATCTAGAGAACAAGACAGTAAGCTTAAATTTCCATTGTAAATTTTGAATTCTCTAGGAGTGAAAGGAGGGTACTATCTAGGGCTTTTACATTTTTTTCTTTTCTTTTCCTTTTTGAGACAGGGTCTTTCTCTGTTGCTGGGCTGGAGTGCAGTGGTGCAATCACACCTCACCGCAGCCTTGACATCCCAGGCTCAAGCGTTCCTCCCACCTTAGCCTCCCTAGTAGCTGGGACCACATGTGTACATGACCATGCCCAGCTAATTAAAAAAAAATTTTTTTTTGTACAAATGGGGCCACACCTGGCTAATTAATTTTTTTTTTCTTTTTTGTAGAGATGAGGTCTCCCTGTGTTGCCCAGTCTGGTCTCAAACTCCTGGGCTCAAGAGATCTTCCCACCTCAGCCTCCCAAAGTGCTGAGATTACAGGCATGAGCCACTGCGCCTGGCCACCGCCTGGCCAAATTTTTTATTTTCTATTTCAAGAGGTGCTAAGAAGTAATGATTGATTTGAAGGCAGCAAACTCTTGACCTCAAGTGATCCGCCCACCTTGGCTTCCCAAAGTGCTGGGATTACAGGTGTGAGCCACCGTGCCTGGCCAAGATCTTAGCATATATTATTATCATATCTGAGAAAAAATGCTGAACTTTCCTTCAGAAGACGTCACTTATATAAGCAATCAGAGAGTTGAGAAGAAGTAGAAAGACGTGCAGTACATCTAATCTCAAATGACTAATTTCCACAATTTCACTTCTGGGTATATACCCAAATGATCTGAAAACCAGGACTTGAACAGATATTTGTCCACCCATGTTACAGCAGCATTACTCACAATAGGCAAAAGATGGAAGCACCCTAAGCATCCACTGATGGATGAATGGAGAAATAAAGTGTGGTACAGCCATTCAATAGAATATCATGCAGCTTTCAAAAAAGAAGGGAGTGCTAACACATGCTTCAACACGGATGGACCTTGAAGACATCATGCTAAACAAAACAAGTCAGTCACAAAACAACAAATACTACATGATTCCACTTATATGGGCCACCTAGAGTAGTCAAATTCATAGAGATAGGAAGTAGAATGGAGGTTGCCAAGGGCTGGAGGGAAGGAGAAATGAGGGATTATTGTTTAAGGAATATGGAGTTTTAGTTTGAGAAGATGAAAAAAGTTCTGCAGATGGATGATGGTGATGGCTACTCAATAATGTGAATGTACTGAATGCCACCAAACTGGACATTTAAAAATGGCTGAAATGATAACAAAAAAGAACACAAATTTCCATTCCTAGCTAACACTCCTAAGATCCTAGCAGAACTGAGACTCCCAGAATTCCTGTAAGTGTGTTATTAGGCAGCAGAGAAGGGGTAAGCAGCTAACCAGATCATTGTCACCCCTGTGGAGGATGCCCAGCTGAAGCTTGGGTAGATCTTAACTACAGCTATTCCAAAGCCCACTTCAATACAGACAGAATCATTCCCTTGATGTTAAAAGGTCTGAGTCCCAGAGCTACTGTGGGCTCTGAAATTAGCTGGTCTGCCATTTTTGTTATAGTTTTTACTGAAGCCACAATTCAACAGCTTCTTTTTTTTTCTTTTTTTTTTTCTGAGACACAGTCTCACTGTTGTCAGCTCGGGCTGGAGTGCAATGGCACAATCTTGGCTCACTGCAACCTCCACCTCCTGGGTTCCAGCAATTCTCCTGCCTCAGCCTCCTGAGTAGTTGAGATTACAGGTGCCTGCCACCACGCTTGGCTAATTTTTGTATTTTTAGTAGAGATGGGGTTTCACCATGTTGGCCAGGCTAGTAACTCCTGACATCAGGTGATCCACCTGCCTTGGCCCCCCAGAGTGGTAGGATTCAGGCGTGAGCCACTGCACCTGGCCAATTCAGCAGCTTCTTCATTGCCATATTTCTCGATATGCTGACATACAAGTTCACAGAGGAAGTCATTTAATGAGATCTGGAGGTTAACCTTAAGTTTCACTCATTGTGGCCCTGAATAAATACGACCTTACCCTATGCCTGTGTTCCCAAGCCATGTGGATTTTGGAAGGCTGTTAAATTTAAGAGCTCAAAATCTAATTTCAAATGCAATACAGCAAAGATCTTTTGAGATGAAGTTAAAGTATCAGGCAGAATGGGCAGAATGACCCAGCTATCAACAGGAAGGACAGGAGTAGGGGGAAATAAACAGAGGGCAGATTTGGGCATTTCATGTTGAGTACCACTATGGGCAAATATTGGTAGCTAAATGAGAAAGCAAGAAATAAAATAGTCTCAGGAAGACTAAGAATGAGGAAAAGAGCTTAAAAAAGAAGGAGCAGAAGAAACTACTATTTATCACGTGATCACTGTTTGCAGGCATTGTACCAGGTGTTGTGTATACGTTAGTTGACCTTAGCCTCCAAATAACCTATGAGGGATTTATAATACAGACGACATCATCAGCAATGTCAAGTACCTTGTCCAAGGACAAGCCCATACTCCTCTATTGAGTTATGCTGGTGCTGAGGAATAGAATTAAGGCAGGAGTGTAACAGATGTTGAGGTTGCCTTGGTATTCCATGGGTAGGGCTGGGTCAAGGGAGAGAAAGTCCAGGCACAGCATTCAAGAAAAGCACCCCTCCTCATTTGTTTTGCAGGAATGGGAGCTGGTGGGAGGAGTTTCTGGCCGCTGGTGGCGCTTGTGGCAGCCATCTGTCTGTCAGTGACCCATGCTCCGCTTCCTGGAGAGAGGCAGATACAGCAGCATATGCAAAACCTTTTTGTGGGGGTGTTTCTCTAGCACACTTCCAAGATTTCTGTGAAAAGCTAAAAGGCTGTTGGCTTGAACAAATGCGTTAATTGGACTTGTGGTACCATTAAACAAGTAATAAGATGGTGGATTTTTAGTCACACTCCCTCTTTTAGAAGCAGACGTGACAGGCATCTCCTGTCTCTGGGTAAAGTTTGAGCAAATATTTTTCTTTGTAAAGCCAATCCTAAAGGGCAGCCCTTATTATTAATGTATGAAGACTGACTACAATGCTATTTCTGTTTGATGCTTACAACAATAATCCACAAATCTTAAAATGAATATTTTGGTGAGATTTTCTAACACAATCTTTTTCAGCATTCTGATATCACTATTGAAAGACTGTACCCCTAAAAGGTCAAAATCTTATCATCAAACTTCTTGAACGAAGTTCTATACTTCCCTGAAAATTGGGAGAGACTCTCTTGGACAGAGGAGCAGACCCTGAGGCCTAAGGAGAGAGTTCCCAATGACAGAAGATGCCCTGAGGCCTAAGGAGAGAGTTCCCAATGACAGAAGATGTGTGGCTGTCTTATCGTGGTCCAAAGCTTGGGTAAAGTATACAGATCTTTTAAAATCTTTCAGAATCACAGCTAGTAGAATTTTTTCAGGCTTAAAATAGTTAAAAATTTCAATAATGAGCTATGGATAGAAAGAGATGTTGTTTGAAGTGGCATGTATCCCTCGGGTGTCAGGATAATGACTTTATCATTTTCCTTTCAGGAAGTTTCTCATATAAAGACAGTCTATATTTACTGAAAGATCTACTTATACCATTTATCACCACCTTTTGGAGGTTCTATAATATAATAGTTCTGATAATACTCTCCTTGCCTTGTCTTCTAACTACATCAGGCTTCATAATACCTCATCTTTGCCATACACTGTGTGTTTTAGCAGAATGGGGAGTTCCAAAGAGATAGAGAATACATACACATGTATTGGAAAAGAGAAAGAATAAAAAAGAAGAAGGGAAGACCCCAGTTGCAATTAAAATGCAATAGGCCTTACTGCACATCCCAATGCTAGTTAATACAGACATTGCCAATAACTTTAATCTTTTAAGTGGTGATTGTTAAAAAAAAATCAAGTTTGCGTTTCTTAAAAGACAAGAGAGAAGAAAATGACTTGTCATATCTGGCTGGTTTGGAAATATAAAATCCAATTCTGAAGAAGTAGAGATAAGAAAAGTTGGTGGAAGTGCCATCAGCTTAGCAAACACTAAATAATGAACAATGCAGAGACTGTCCGGCATGATAAAATACTCTATTAGAGGGACTGTTTTTAAATTAGTGATAATTGTGGCACATCCACAGTGAAAGGTTATTGAATTTTTATCTGTAGCAAGAAGCTTTTGACAGACTTGCTGAAAAGTCACCTACAAATAGTACCTTCTTTAGATGAATTTGACCAAAGGGGTTTTCCAGCATCATCTTTCTGACATTTACAGGATTTTTGCTTCCTTGAAGAATCTGATCAGATATTCTTGGCTTCTATAAAGACACTTAGGTTTTTCATCAGTCTTAGAGAAAAGTCCTCATTACTCTTCCTTTCATAAAAATTGGATTAAAATGTTGGTTAAGAACTCTAGTCAAATCCACCTAGGATTCAACGACCAGAGCTCAAAGATGTTAGTACACAGAATTAACTGCTATTAATAAGGAACACTGTGCCTTAGAGACCTATACCTGATCTATCTCTGTACCCATATGAAGGAAATCTTTTATTGTATAATTTACAATATTTAATATAAATCACAGTATTGAATTTAAGATAATAAGAGAACCTCTCCCTGAATGCATGACTACCAAATTTGGGTCCAAAATAGGTCCTTTGGGGGTAAGAGGTGCAGCTTTTACATCTCAGCTTCTGAAAGAGAGTCAAATAATGTTAAGCTCACTTTTCTCCACTCCTCCTTTTAAAGTGTATTATTAAATACCATTTATATTAGGCACACAGCATTGCATTCGCCTTGCTGCTGTAGCTTTGGGAGATAGCTGAACAACAGCATTGCCTCCGTGGGGAAACAAAGGCACGCTGGTTTGGTGTGCTTGTAACTCTGTCACTCGTAACTCGTAATAGGTGATTATGTTGTTTTTCCAGACACTCTGGTCTGCACTCTGAGAACAGACAGATGTGGTCTGGATTTTTGTCATTGACTGATTTTGACCTTGGGAAACTGCCAAACTTTTGCATTTCATGCTCATGCCTTGTAAAACTGAGAATATAAAGGCTGGTCTGTCAACTACGGCTTGAGGCAGGGATAAGAGATTAAGAATGAGTGGTTACAAAGGTTCTTGAAAGTCTGAAATGTAATCTGAATGTTGAGTCTATTATCATTACCGTAGTATCCTTTGGGGCTGTTACACACATACAATTCGCACATCTCGCCCCTTTGCTACATTTTCCTGGGCTGTCTGGAAAAAGTCTTTATGCACTATTGATTAATAAGGAAGCTGTTTGAAAAAAAGCACATCCAGTTTATATTTAGAACATTTTTCTAAAATCAATCCCACCAAGTAATGGAGAGTCCTTCCATGTCACTTCAGCCAGCCCTCCATCTTCTTTTGGATTTCCCTGTCAGGATCTGTCTCCCTCACCCACTGCATTTTGTAGATCTAAACTTAGTTTCAAGGGTGAAGAATGGAAAGACACACTCTTTCTCTGGTGAGGAGTTCATTAAGTCATGATTTCACACTGGTTCCTGGGCTTATCCCAGGTTTTAAAGCACCCAAGTGTCTAAGGGTTTTTCTAGATAAGAGGCCAGATTGAATAGCACAATCAGCGCCTTCAGGTACAATCTTCCACTGCTCCTCATTGGAACTCGTGGTTCTGTGTGGCAACCAAATCAATCCACTCAGATGTCTTGTTCAAGTCACTCTGCTGCAGCAGCCGCTCCTCCTCTCTGCTGTGCTGGGTGTCGGCTCAGGCTCTGGTGATTCTGCATTTCCACCATCTTCTCTGTCTGGCTTTGCAATTTCAGCATGCCATTTTAGAGCCTTCTCTTGCTTTCTAACTCCTTCTGTCTCTCCTCTTTCCCAGAGATTCTTTCATATCTTGTTGTTTCCATTTTATAGTTTTGCTTGAAGATAAAATCATTCAGCTGGCAGCTTCCAGCCACCACACTTAAGCATCCATGATATTATCATATTTTAATAAAATATTTCCCTTATGGGTACAAATGTTGGCATTTCCAAAGAAACAGCCACATAATTTTTTATGGGCAAGTACTTAGAACTCCATAATTACATTGAAATGCCCACAGCACTAGCCTTCTGTAGCTCCACAGTTGATAATCACCTCCTTACGGAGGGGGGTGGGGTACTGCTTTCTAATCAGCACAGGACAATGAACTCTACTAACGACCAGCTGATTGACAGAGGGAATTGTGGTTGGGTTTGGCATGTTTTTCAACAATAGCTGAGCCTTGTTTTTGTAGTTTTGAAGAACAAAAGGTGCCTTTTTCAAATTCAACCCTGGCTTCTCAGATGAGCACCTGTAGGCCCTCCAGTGCAGGCCCATTCTCAGACACACTTCCATGACCTCAGAAACATTTTGGGAGCTCTGGTGAGTGAGAGCCATGATTTACTGGAAATGATTTAGGAACACACATATTAACAGTTTTGAAAGCAACCACACAACTTGAGATAAAAGAGAAGCCTGAAGGGGCAGGAGGAAGGGGAAGACCCAGTACAATGAATGAGAGCTCCAGGGATAAGATTCATGGTAGGAAGCCCAGAAACCCCATAGTGAGCCCCACTGTGTATCACACACTGCTAAGAACTTCAAGTTCATCAGATCATTTAATAGTTAGAGCAACCCAATGAGTATGCATCATTATTTGTATTTAACAGGTGAGAAGACCTATTTAGCTCGGACAGGCCAAATAGTTTCCCCCTGGTTATACCCTAACTTGCCTGATTTGTCCTTAAGTTCGTCAGACTTCAAAGTCAAATATGTGCTATATGTCTCCTAGACTAAGGAATAAGAATGACAAAGACTCTATGAATTAATAGGAAGACAAGGCTATGTGAGGAGAGTCAAAAGTAACCATGATTGGGGAGCCAAGGGAGGACACTCAATGACAGGAAAGGGAAAACCAGAGTAGATGTGTTTTAAAAAAGGGGTAACTCTTGTGTTATCAGCAATTTCAAATATGCTCAAAACCAAGGAACACGGGGAACCCCACTGGGGTCAGTCTGAAGCTTGCACGATAAACAGAAGGAGACAGAGAGGTCTAGATGGTATTCCTTAGAAAATAAAAGAACAAGCAGCATCTCCATTCCTAGTAATAACGTAGATTTCAGAAGACAGCTAAGAATAATCAGGTGAACACGCTAAGCACAGCGGCTTTCCACACAATTCTTTCTTCATTATGATAAGTTTCAACGAGTTTGTAAATATAAGCAGAGTACATTTAAGACTGAAAATGAACAAAACTGGATCATCATACAATTATCAGTTGGTGCTTTTGTTCCTACAAAACATTAGTTGAGACATTGAGCACAACATGGAAATATATTTGGACATTATTTTTAAAAGAGAGAAAGGCTCAACAGAAGTACAAGTAATGTTAATGAGATAAGGCCAAAATATATTTAGAGTCAGGCAGGGGGTGGGAAGCTCATGAACAAAATACAATACCAATGGTAAATTAATTTTCTTAGTCAACAGCATGATCATGAAATCAACCAATGGCAATGAGTTTGGAAGGTATCGTCAATAAAAGAAGAATGACAGAAATGAAGCCACAATATGAAAGTCAGCTTAGGAAAATGACAACTACTAAGAATGAAAAACGATGAAGGGCACGGAAAGTCTAACCATAGAAAGGTGATTAGAGAAACTAAACATGTAAGGTAGGCTGAGGAGGAACTGTCTGATAACAGTCAACAAATATTTGAAACTTGTAAATACTGAAGCGAGAGAGGAATTACCACGCATAGAGTTCTAATTAAAAAGAATCAGATGAAATTATGACAAGGAAAACTCCGGCTTAATGGTCTGACAAAAGCAAACCTGAAACACGACAGATTCCCAAGAGATCTTGGGTAGGGAAATTTTTATTTTCATTTGTGCCAAGGCAGAAAAACAAACAGCTGGAGGATTTGCATTTTATTTTTCATTTACTATTAAGGCACAAAGAGTCCATGATAGTGAGCTCTAGCATGAGAATATTCACATTCCATCTCATAGAAAATATTAAGTCACCATCGGGAATGCATAAAAAACATGCTGGAATATTGCGCAACTGTGCGGTTGGGGGATGGGGGTGGACCGACACCTCGGCCTTTTCCATTTATTTTCAATGACATATCTACATTCATTCCATTGGTTTGGCAATTGCAGCCTTTTGTGTTGAGAGACACAGATTCCTTGTGCCCTTCTCATTTAGCTGGCTTGAAAAGTGTAAGAGGAACATTTTTGTTGTTAATCAGATTTGGGTGACAGTTTAGCTAACAACTGCTAAGCAAGGCTGTGGTCCCGACTCTGGCATGGACACGAAGTACCGTATCTCCATGCCTACAGTTCTTCTCTGTAAAATGGGAAATCACGTTAATCTCAAGCTCCAGAGGATAGAAGAACTGGCAAAATAATTACAAAGCATTTCCCAAATATAGAGAGTGACAGAAATTAAAGAAGAAATTTTTAGGGGCTCTAAATCAGTGGTTCTCAACCTTGGTTGTTTGTTAAAATTGCCTGGGGATATGTTAAAAAGCACAGGCATTTCTAATGCGATGAGGCTGAAAACCACTCCTTTACAACATAGGTTTCTCTGCCTCTGATTTGATTGGTCTGGGGTGTAGCCTGTTGCCCATGTCATACCTAGGAACAATTACATCAAAATCTCTACATCAGTATTTTTACAGCTCTCTAACTGATTATAACTGATGTGCAGCTCGGTATTATGAGGTATTCTACTCTAAAAGGACTTATCTCAGGAAGCGAGTTCCACTTGTGAATGGGTTTTGAGTCAACAATGCACATTACAGTTTAATTAAAATGGGTTAAAATAAGACTTTATTTTTAGTGAAGAAATTTAGTTAAACTCTTTTAATGTCAGCATGGTTTTGTTTGAAATTAATATGGTTGTATACATTTATTAAGGGATGTTTAGCACATGTAGCAACCCAAAAGTAGCTACAGGCCTTAGTCAAGTGGCTCAAGGTATTAAAAAACAGCTCCTCCCACAGAGTCTTTCAGACCCACAAGATTATAATCCATTATCAACTGCATAATTGTTTAAGGTAGACAACCATTTTTCTTAGCAAGTATTCAACTCATCCAAACATTGGGCTTATAATAAGATGCTTCTATCATGTTAAAAAAATAGCCACTAGAAAGATAAGCAATTTGTAGTCAGAAAGTGGAGAGTCAATCCAAAATTTGGAAGGAACTGCCTAGAGAGGACTACACAAATTGGAGGCACAAAGTCAATCCCAGACATCATCAGTAATCAGTTACACTGATGATATGTACCCTTGATGTGATTTCATGAGAATGGTACCTCCCCTCTGTAGTTTTCCTTTTGAAAACCCACAAGCCCAGTCTAATCAGGAAAAGACACCAGATAAACCCAGATTGAAGAAGATTCTACAAATACCCAACCAGAATTCCTATAACTCTCAAGGTCACAAAAAACAAGGAAAGTCTAGGAAACTGTCACAGTCTAAATGAGCCTAAGGAGACATCACTATGTGATATATGTGATAACTGTGATATGGGAAAACTGTGGTATAAATGTGATATATCCTGGATGAGATCCTAGAACAGAAAAAGAAGATCAGGGAAAAACTAAGAAAATCTGAACTAAGTATAGACTTTCATTAATAATAATGTATCAATATTGATTCATTACTTGTAACATATGTATCATACTAATATATTAACAATAGGGGAACTGGATGAGAGAGATAAGGAGATTATCTGTAATATCTTTGCAACTTTACACTAAATCTAAAAATATTATACAACAAAATTTTTATCATAAATCAATCCCAGGACCCCCACCATGGATACATTGACATTATTGCATGAATTGGGGTGTGTTATAAAATTGCAGCTAGAATCTTTGAGAATTGTGAGAAAAGCACAATGACTGGAAAAGGGTCACTATAGCAGTAGCCAAGCCTGAAACAGGCGGAAAGGGAAACCATGGTTATTTTATATTGGCTGACTTGAACATTTCTAAAAATCACTAAATGAATCAAATAATCAAATAACCAAATTGCAAAATAAGTCATCTGATGGTATGCAAATTTGCCAATAATATGAAATTAAGTTCCCGCAATAGTGGAACATCTGCCCTGAGCCTGATGGTGCCGGGAGAAATAAAATATTCTAAACAAATTACATAAATATAGCATTGGGCAGTGTCACCCAGAAGTTGTTTCATGGATAAAAAGCCCCGTGAGATACGCTGGGACAACAGAATTTCACTGAAAAGTAAGTTTAAGAAACATTCCACTGCTGTAATTATCTGGTTAATATAGTAAAGATTTTAGAGGTTTTCTGGTATTGAATTATATTTAATGTGCTTTAATATTTTCCAAGTCTATTTGATCACAAAACCTTTTCCCTTTAGCATTAGTTAACATCAATAGGAGAAATTTTGATAATGCAGAGCCAAAAACATCAACCTTCATCAGGAGGGTACATGTGATCTGAGGCTGGACAATTAAAGTAGTTCACCATGTTTTGATAGAACTAGGTAGGCATTTCAAGTATCTTTCAAAGGCTAAGAATATGGACTGGCATTATTTTTAACCTTTATCAATGACCTCAGTGATGATCTACAGCACTGGCCAACAGAACTTTCTGTGATGACGAAAGTGTTCTATACCTATACTGTCCAATATAACAGCCACTGAGCATTTGAGACATGGCTAGTATGACAGAGGAACTACATTTTTAACTTTAATTAATTTAAATTTAAATAGCCACACAAGGCTAGTGGCTAATATATAGGGCAATGCAATATCTAGAATATATTACACGGCATGATAACAAGACAGATGGAGTTTCTAACTTAGAAAATACTTGCAAAACAAAAATAGAGAGTGGCAAATTACAGAAATGTTTTATTGCAACTAAGATGAAATTCAAGAGGGGTTTGTACAATAATTCCATATATTTAGGTGTAGAAATTCTGTTTAGGCACAAGAAAATGATCAGAAATGACCACAACTTGCTTGTAAGCATTAAAGTGCTTCCATTAAAACAAAATATGCCAACCCTGCTGGAATGGTTTAATAGGAATACGGCATGAACGGTCCAATTAGTGGCTCTAACTGACGTAGTAGAAAGAAAATTAAACTGGGATTCTGAAGACCTGCTCCATCTCAGTTTGGCACAGACAGGTGATATAACCACCCTGAGACCTTAATTTCCTCATATGCAAAATGACTGAGTTAGACCAGATGATTTCTAAGATACCTAACAATAATTTACCTGTAAGAAATAAGTATATAAATAATTGTATAACTAATACTGCAATTCACAAACCAATTCTGGCAACCAAAACTATGAGATTTATTTGCCCAAAAAATTAGAAGAGGCTACAGAAATATTTTTGGATGCATTACAATATTTTATAGAGAAAATAGTCATTAATAGTAATTATTTAATTTCTGAAGAGAGTACAAAAGAAGAATGAGGTTTAGACTGAAGCACAGGGGCTTCACTTAAAAAAAAAAAAGACTTCCTAGATGGTATGGAGTAGAATATATAATCAAGGAGGTTGTAGAATCTCTAATCCCAGAGATTTTTACAGAATCCAAGATAGAGAGAAGGGCCTCCCTAAGGAAGCCATGGTGACAAAATAAGCCCTTGAGCCTCCTTCAAATTCTGTGTAGTCTATTTTTAAAAACAATCCATCTTTAAAACAAGAGGATAAGATGCAAAAGAAAATCACTACTGTTAAACTGAAAAATAGTCTAACAATTTTTATGTAGGTCATATATTGTTCTGAGAATTTTCTTAATGATAACAATTTTGGAGTCTTTATTTAGGGATCTTACAAACAGCAGGCATTACAAAGAGCCAGCATTATTTGTGCCTTTATTACAAGGTTGAAATTGTGATGAATGCAGGAAAACATGTAGAAACTTAGATCCGAGAGAGAGAGAGAGAGAGAGAGAGAGAGAATCTGTAAGCATGCCTGGGACCTGACGATATTTTGGGAACCTCTGGATCCAGCCACTCTTGAAGTCCTTTGATTTATCTGCTGTATGAGTCAATGCATTCTTTTTCCTTCAATTAAGTCTGTGACTTTCAACTGAAAGAATCTTAAGCAGAAACAGTGTCAGAAAGACTGAGGGGAGAATACCAGAGGAGAAGGAACAGGGAACTGTGTACTGTGTGGTAGGGGAAATGCAAGAGTGGTACCTTTGGTGTGGTCAGGAGCTAGATACAACCAGGAGACCCTTTTATGTGTAAAGGAGATAGAGAAACATTTAGGCAAACACTAAAAGAGATGAAAAAATTACCTTAGGAAAAAAATAATTAGTTTTAACCTCCTGAACAATGTATAGCCAGCCATGCTCTGCAACTAAAATGTAGAACTTTTTTCTCTACTTTCTTCTAAATGTAATACCTGACATGAAATGTTCAGGTGGATGAGACTCCTACTGTCCTATCTGAAGAGATATTCTACTATGAAAATAATTTTCGGCCAGGCGCAGTGGCTCATGCCTGTAATCCCAGCACTTTGGGAGGCCGAGGCGGGCGGATCACGAGATCAGGAGTTCGAGACCAGCCTGGGCAATGTAGTGAAACCCTGCCTCTACTAAAAATACTAAAAATTAGCCAGGCGTGGTGGTGGGCACCTGTAATCCTAGTTACTAGGGAGGCTGAGGCAGGAGAATCGCTTGAACCTGGGAAGCAGAGGCTGCAGTGAGCCGAGATCGCGCCACTGCATGAATCCATCTCAAAAAAAAAAAAGAAAAAAAGAAAGAAAATAATTTTCTGCAAACTTTTTCCACCCTATCACAGCAATAGCTTCTTAAGCTTAATAAAACATGGCCTTTACCATACCAAATAGTTAACAGAATGTGGAACAAGAAATAAACTGAAGATCTTCTTGAGTTCTTCCCATCCTGCTGAGCATTTTCCTCATGTTCTCTAGTCTCCAGACTTGGAAACACTTTTGTTGCAGTAATCATTTGGTTCACTTTTCAAAAAAAAAAAAATAATAAAAAGCTGTCCCCTTGTTCCCTTTCTAGAGTCACATTGACATAGGGCAATCAAAGTAAGCCATTATCAGAGAATCCCCTGCTTTGTTCAAATTATAAACATCAATGGGCATCTCTCCTGGGAATTCAAAGAGCACATAAGTGGGGGTGAGCCAGGCTTGCTGTTAGTAGGATAAACCAGGCTTGCTTGATGCTTTGTTTTAGCAGACACCATAAGTAGTGATTACAGTTCACTTGGGTTTTGCACTGATCCTCAAAATGCTGACAGTTACTTAAATCACTCACTGGGTGGAATAATCACCCTGCAAGGAACTGAGAGGGTACAACTTATATTATAAAATGGAACTGAGCACATGAGGCAAAGGATTAACAGGCGTGGTAGATGAGATCTTTGTCAGAATAACAGAGATGATTATAGGCATGAATTAGACATCAACTTTACTGGGTACTTTCAGTGACATGAACACAACAGCTAAATCGTGCAATTACAAAGTTAAGCATAACTCAGAATGCATCTTTCTCCTTTTGAAAACAGTTGATGCCAGGTTAGCCTGTGTAAATCACTCAGTGGCTTGCTACACAGGTTATGTACTATCTTGCTTTGTGAAGCCCTTTTAGAATGGGCAGAATAGAAATCTAGAATGGTATGTCATTAGAAATAAGAGATTGTAGCATTAAATATTAGATGCTAATGACATACTAAATGAGAGCACCCCTTCCAAACATTACTAAATAAACTACCTAAGCAGCTCTGCATTTGCAAGTCAAAGAAAACTAGGAAAAGAGGCAAGTGGCCCCTTTTTTAGAGCTGCTCATTTTGCAATTAGCAAAGAAAAAATTAGTTCTTTCTGACTTTTTCTAGAGGGGAGAAGGGAGCAGAGTGGGTTTGGGAGACAAAATGGATAATTTAAACTGCTGCTTGTAATAGAACTGCCTGATATTATGGGATTATAAAGTTAAAGGGGCCTTTACGGATACCTCCTTATGTAAAATCTGCTCAAAAGTAATACTGTGCCCAAACTATCCTTAATTGGTAGACACATTTTCTATTCTTATAGATTTCTGAGAATAAACTTGTATAATTTCATCATCAGATAAAAAGCAGTCTTTTAGAGTTGGGCATGGTGGTGCATGCTTGTAGTCCCAGCTACTTGGGAGGCTGAAATGGGAGGACCACCTAAAGCCAGAAGTTCAAGACTAGCCTGGGTAATACAGCAAGACTGTCTCAAAAATAAGTAGTATTTTCAATAAAAGACGTAAGAATAAAAGTATAAATATGCAGTAATATTTTAAGGAGATTTCTGGTGCAGATTCTATGATCTCCCTCTGAAGCCCACTGCTTCAGTCCCTTCTTCCCACCCTGCATTGGCCCTTGGGATAGGCAGAGAATCAGCATGAGGCCATGCAAGTAGTGAGCACTCAAGGGGTTCCTTAGACTCTTAGAGGATAAGCGAATAATTTACTCTGTGAATTTAATCCACACCTTTCCATCTCTAGGCTGGAAACATGGTTAATCAAGTAATAATACCTTCTCAAATGACGGTGATTAAAAAAAGCTCACTCTGACATGTACAGTCCAAATAATGTGTTTTCTTTCTAATAACTGTCTAATAGCCCTAATATTAAATTCAGAGGTGATTTTGCTTCCTTATCCTTCCTGCTGTTTCTTTTGCTTTTTCTATCCTGTTTCTATCTCTCCATTCACACATCTAAATCTGTCTTTTGGTCTGGACGTGCTTGCTCACGCCTGTAATCCCAGCACTTTGGGAGGCCGAGGCAGGTGGATCGCTTGAGCCCAGGAGTTTGAGACCAGGTGTGGTGGTGCACACTTGTAATCCCAGCTACTCGGGAGGCTGAAGCATGAGAATCGCTTTAACCCAGGAGGCAGAGGTTGCTGTGAGCTGAGATTGTGCCACTGCACTCCAGCCTGGGCAACAGAGTGAGACTGTCTCAACAAATAAAGAATAAATCTGCCTTTTCCTTTATGCCTTCTTCATATCATGTTTTCTTTGTCTCTATTTTAACTGTGTTATACATACTCCTGAAGTAATGCTTTAAATATAATTTTATAGTTATTAAAGTTTATGTGCCCTAAAGTTTTCAAATTATTTTTCTCTAAGTCACTGGTCCTTCATAGAAAAAGAGGTTCCCCCTAATTTCATGTTCTGTTCCTTAATTTCTTTGAAATCTGTAATTGCTATCTCTTAGCCATCTTTTTTCCAGAATAATTGTTGTCTTCATTGACTCTATTTTCTAGCACCTTAATCACTTCTATGACTAATAAAAAGATTAGCTTTATGTCAAGTAAAATGAGAATGTCAGCTGTGCATACAGCCCTGAGCTCCGAGACAGTTTCTGCCCTTGAGAAGTTGTTGTAAGGAGGAAAAAAGGTATTGCTTTCTGTTCTTGAGACTTAATGGCTCAATCCTAGATGAATTTATGTTTCTAAGGCCATGTTAATATCAAGCCACATTAACATGGGCCTTTCCTGGATTCCCACATTCCACACAGGGAAACCAAGATTAGTTCCTTTCCCAGAATCACAAAGTACAAGAGGTGCAACACAAGCAGAATTCTAACCAGGATCTTCTGACAGCTTGGGACACGCCCCCATACGGTGACCAGTGTACACTCTCATCTTTCAATGAATGCATTCAGTCTAGTTCCTCAACTGTCCCCACAACAGCTTCCTACTAGATACTTACTCTGGGATGTAGAAAGATTGGAGAAAGCTGACTTTGTTCGACTTGCCAACCATTCCAGGCTTTCATGCATGTTGGCCAAGGCTTTGAGGTCACTGACGTCACGAAGGATGTCTTGTGGAGGGATTAATTTATCACCCAGGTTCCCAATAAGAACTTCAGACTCCTTGCCAAAAGCTGCCCTGAAAAGCAAATCAGAAACACACTTCATATATACAGCATGGAAAAGGTAGGACCGGGCAACACTGTTTTAGGCACACCTAGCACAAGGACTGACATGAGCACTATTTTACAGCGTGCTCTTTTTCCTAGGTTTAACTTTGTGAGACAACTATCACATGCCTGCTTAACATGATTCTGATAAGGGAAAAAGTTCTTGGAAGAAGAAATAAGTGACTCCAATGATTGTGCCTTCAACAGGGACCAGTATGGGCCTGATTTATACAGTGACGGTTCCTGGGGATGGCGTCTATACTGCTCTCCTGTAGGTGTTTTCCTTGCCTCTTCTTATGCTATAGAAGTTGATAAACAGCTTAGGGTGTTAAATATGTACATGGTTTAAAGTTTATTGTAGTGAAAATAAAATAACCAAGTTAATCTGGCACCTAGAAAATATTGAATAATGTTCAAAAGCAAAGACGATCCAGCCTCTTTAAAAGAGGAGGTTACAACTGAGATGGATGACAGGCTTCATTTATTCATTTACTTAGTTGTTCTAAAAAGGATCCAACACACATAAAGTATAAGTATTAAGGCATTTAGCATTTGGAAAAAGAAACCAATTAAAAAAAATCAATGCTGGGATCCTTTTACTGACTGGAAAAATATAATCTAGTGGGTTTCACGCAGAGCCCAATATCTTCAAAATGTTTTGCAGGGGGCAGGGCGGGGTTGAAAAATCAAGTTACAGGGGGTTACAAAGGATGAAGCTGGAAGGGACCTGAGATCATATAGCTCAGCCACTGCAGAGATGAAGAACTGGAGGCTCCAACAGTTAACTGTTCTGCCTACATGACACATGAGTGGCAAAGCTAGGACTCAGGCTTCCTAATTTCCACAGCTCTCTTTCCTTTTAAAAAGGAAGAGGGCTAAAATTAGAAAAGATGACTGAAGGCCGGGCGCAGTGGCTCAAGCCTGTAATCTTAGCACTTTGGGAGGCTGAGGCAGGTGGATTGCCTGAGCTCAGGAGTTCGAGACCAGCCTGGGCAACAACAGTGAAACCCCGTCTCTACTAAAATACAAAAAATTAGCCAGGCGTGCCGGCATGCACCTACAGCCACAGCTACTAGGGAGGCTGAGGCAGGAGAATCGCTTGAACCCGGGAGGCGGAGGTTGCAGTGAGCCGAGATCGTGCCACTGCACTCTAGCCTGGGCAACAGAGCATGAGACTCTGTCTCCAAAAAAACAAAACAAAAACAAAACAAAACAAAAAAGATGACTGAGAATGTTAGGGGAAAAAAATCAAGAAAGTTACACACAGGTGGGTAAGCAGAGCTGATGCTGGAGGAGGTTGAAATAGGCACCTGGAGAGTTTTCTGTAAGACCCAAGGCTTTTAAAATCTCACACACCTTACCTGAGAAGAAGCAAGGGCTTAATTTAACTAGAACAAGCCAAATTAAGTTTCGAGCATGCAGTGATTAATAAAAATTGTTGACACATAGAAAGATGCTTAATTGACACATAGGTGTTTAGTGCCCAGCACTACAGCAGATGCCCAATGTTGAAAGAAACAACTGCTGTGAATCAAATCGTTATCTAAAATGTTTATCCTACCAAGTAATGAGTCACGACTAGCCTCCTTATTTTAGCCGAGGGTTATCTTTTTTAAAGGAAACGTCACAGTTGATGTTGAGGCAATGAAGAGCAGTGAACCGAGCGCATGGAATGTGGGTGTGCACCAATCTGATCTGAGGGGCTTGGAAAAGGTCTTGGGGTGGGGCCCTGAATTCTGCATTTCTAACTGATTTCCAGGTGATGCCCAGGCTGCTTGTCTGAAAAGTGTTTTCCTTGAGTGGCAAGGGTGGGACACAGACTTCAAAGTGAGATAAACCCAGGTTTGAATACTGAATCTGCCACTTGCTTGTTGTGTGACACTGCTTAACTCCAAGCATTATTATCTGGAGGTAAAAGAACTGACCTGATATGAAGTAATGTAAGGATTAAGTGTGATTTTTAAAGCTTTTCATTGGGAAAATTTCAATAATTATGAAAGTAGAAAGAAGAGTATAACAAACCCCCATGTAACTGTCTTCCAGCTTCAACTATTAGCAACTCATGGAAGTCTTATTCCATTTATCCTTATTTATGCCTCCCCATCACCACTTTAGAATATTTTAAGGCAAATCATTCAGGGGATGCTTTTAAGTGCATAACACAGTGCAAACAGTTTTTACTTGGTAAAAACTATTGTTGTTATTATTCTTAGGTCTGTTGAGATGGCTAGTTTATTTAGTGGGATGATGAATGAATTTAGGTAAGAGTGAGCAGGAGGAAGTATGTTACATATCAAGGGCTAGTTTTACAAATACCAACCACAGCGTCTTACAGCCCAGACTTTCATCAGAATTTTCAAGATGTTAATTATTGTGACAGAAACCATTAGCTGCCTACCCAGTATCCATTATCCCATGCGTTCTTGGTAAAAGTACCCTGATGTTGTTGGGGTCAGCAATGTGCCCAACTTAAGATGAAACAAAACAAAAAACCCCACCAAGTTTTCCTGCCCTTCTTGCAGATGTGGTGGCCAGTGAGATGTAAACTGAAATCAGTAGATGGGCATCAAGGAAGCTCTCTTAAGCAATCTTAGTTGGCAGAGACTCTTTTGCCTTCTCTCTTCATGGAATGAAGCCACGGCAACTGGGGCTGCAGTAGCTCTTCTCAAACATCGGGTGACCTTGAGTATGGAAGCCAGTGCTGAGCATAATGGAGCCCAAAGATGGTGGGGCAATGGTGCACTGATGCCATCATGGAGCAATAGTGCAGTCCCAGACAATAAAAATGCTTTTGAGCTTCATGTCATAGCAGAGAAAAATGAAACCCTACTTCTTTAAGCCACTGCTATTTCAAGTTTCTGTTAGTAGCTGCTAAATGCAATTTCTAGCTGACTCATTTATCTAATTAGCATACGAGATGTCATCCCAAGAAAACTTTCTCTGAATTTGGATAGCTCTAAAATCCACTTACTAGGAAAAGCAAAACAATGTCTCCTCCGTGATTTGAGCCCAGAAGACATTTACAGTATTTCCCTTGGCTGTCACTCAGTCAGGTTGTAAATATTTAGTTTTCTTAATCTGCCCTTATATATCAACTCTTCGAGCCCCTTAATCATCTGTGATAGATATAACACAAAAAATGCCTCTGAGCTGGGTGGTGAAAAAGCAACAGCGGGGGGCAAATGGCTTTGAAAACCAGGCTTGGAGCCATTTTTATGCATATTAGGTGTAGCCCTAGGTGGAATGCGACAATTAAGACAAATGTATTTATGTAAGAAGTCTAATCTGCTTGAGTGGGGATCTTGGGCCCTGGGCATGTCTGCCGTGTGCTGCCAGCGCTTGATGCCTATCCCGTTTCCCTCTGGCTCACTGGGATTTGCTTAACCTCCTCAGACAGGAGAGCAATAGACTGAGAAAAATACAAACTGCTTCATGTTGAATACACAGCAGACATCTCATTTGACAGGAATCCATAATCACCCCCTAACAACCTGAAAAGAGCACAGAAACCATGACACAGAGAATAAGTGATTGACAGCTATAACCATTTCACACAAAAAATCATTCCTTCGAGGATTTGTGTGTGTCAAAGAGCTTGGTGGAAGGTTTTTATGTGTTAGAATAACTTTAAAGGGATGGCTTTAGCTGTTTGACTACAGATTTTTTTCCAATCCCTCTGATTTATTAAATTATGATCTATCTATACTATGGAAAACCATGAAGTCATTAGGAATTATGTATATAAAAAACTTGGTAACACAGAAAAATGTTTGGTGTAGCTTATTTTTCATTATGATATGCAGTTGTGTAAAATAAACTTATACAACTATAGGTACTGTATGATATTAAGAAAATAAATAAATATATGAGCAGAAAAAAGGTTGGATATCTATATGCCAAAATGTCAACTGCAGAAATGTATCATGCTTTGTGCTTTTCTATACTGTCCATATGTTCTCCAAAAAACAACTTCACGTTTTAGTGAAGAGAAAAACGGAACGTCTCACCACATATGAGAGAACTTTCAAATGGGCACGCCAGGAATCCCAGCACATAAAACTGGAGGACATTGGGTATTAGTTACTTGTGCCAAGGTGGGAGGCAATGGGCGCACTGGCCTGAAGCTGGTCTGGACTGGTGGCTCCAGGCTTGCGGAAGACACAGTCACTTGTCCCCTGCAGAAGACCTCGCAGCCAGAATGGCTGCTGCCTGGCAACTGGACAGTATTATTTCCACTTTCTAGGCCTGAATTTTTATGTACCCTTCATCTTCTGCTTATTATGATAACACATTATTTAATGAAGACACTATGTATTTTTGAGTGAAACAGGCAGCAAATTAACATTGTCTTCAGAAGGTGAAGTAACAGAAACTCAGAGGTAACAGGCACTCAGCAATTGCTCAAAGATGATCTGACACAGCCAGGAGCAGAAATCAGAACTCAAAACATGAATGTTTTGGGTACTGGATCCCATCTGAGGACTTGCCTTCCAAATCAGTTGGCCAACAGGCTCACATAGAAGCCTATGAAACTAAAGAAGAATGTTAAACCTGTTAAGCCTAATTTTTACCACATAATTATTGATAATCTTTAAAGAGCTCTATCTGACAAGAATTCATTTAAGGTAATTTTGCCAGGAGTGTTAAACCTATTTAACTTAATTTTACCACACAATTACAATCTTTAAAAAGGTCTATCTGACAAGAATTCATTTAAGGAAATTTTGCCAAAGATGCTCAAAATTGTCTCCATTTAGTCTTTAAAGAATTCTGTTAGCTACTGAAAGGAAAGCAAAAAAGAAAAAAAAAAAAATCTGCGCTTTCAGCAGACCTGATGCAATTATGAACGAAACATTACAAAAGGTTTCAGGGATTGGTCTGCAGACCTGTGCTGTATCTGATCACATTTTATTTATTTTCTCTCCCTCTCTCTCTCTCTCTCTCTCTCCTGGTCCTATTCCCCAAATCTTTCATCACCACTTCCTATTGCTGAGCCCAGACCTGAGATAACTGCCCTAAGAGCCTAGGAAATGCTGCCTGCAAAGTCAGTTCCCCTGTAATAAAGAACAGAGCAGGGGAAAGGTCAGGACAGACTCAAATGGCCAAGACTATTGACAACAGTGGTAATTGGTTACAAGGCCGCAACATAAAACTAATACATATGGTAATGATATGGGTACATAAGAGAATGTCTTTCTTCTTGGGAAATGCATGCTAAAGAGTTTAAGAATAGAGGCCATTATGTCTGTGGCCTACTTTTGAATGGTTTGGCAAGGAAATGTGTGTATATATTTGGAGATAGTATAGAGTGAGTATAGCAAGATGTCAGTGGTCAGGAAATCTCAGTCAGTATATGGTACATATGCATTCACTGCACTGTTAACTTTTCTGTGGGTTTACTATTTTTCAAATTTCTAAAATAACAACAAAGAGTTAATTAAGCTCAGGGAACAAATAAGAAGTGAGAAAAAGAATTTTTTGTTGGGTTTTTCAAAATCAGTATCTCTCCTACTCCTGTCCAAAATAGTTCCTAAGATGGTGAGCTCCTGGGAATCACTTCCACATAGACCCCTTGACAGTGCTCTTTAAGTTTCTTCCCAGCGTGCTGTTTCTGGAAATGAAGGTTTTACACAAAATATAACATGTACGATAAGAAGTTAATGCACCAATTACAAACTTAAGCAATATTACGAAAGCAATCAGAATCCCCGCAAACTGTCTCTGCCATTTTAATTTCAGAACTGGAGAGAGAAAATTTAGAATGACAGTCAGTTACGTTTTGACATGTTCAATCCAGGAACGCATAAATGCATAGTTTCTTCTGTCAGTCTATCTTTCTGTCCTTGTGTAAGTATTTTGGAGTGGTTTATGTGCTGTGTTCTTAAGGCTGAGCACAGAAAAACTATTATGCATAATTTAGCCTCTTCTAGAAGAAGCAAGGTTAGAGTTACCAAGGCTATGGCAGAGGCAAAGGTCTAGAGAGTAAATTGCAGACACCATTCTGCTAAGGCAGCTTTGCCACCATGCAGGCTCCTGGTCTAAAAGAAAGACACAAACACATCACCCTTATGGAGGCTGGGTTGGTAGCAGAACACCAGGATTCGAACAGCTTCTCCAATTAGAGGCCAAGATGTTAATCACAGGTCAAGGTGTGTGATAAGTTCAAATGCATTAGTATGAGAGATTTATTATGTTTTGAAAACACCTGTTCCTATTTGACTCAGCTCTATATAACGTGTATGAGAAGAAATTCTTTAAAATTTCTCTATCATTATACTTTTAGTTTAAGTTACAGTTTTTCTTTCCTAGCAGCATAACTTTTGTTCTTTTGCCTATATTATTAACAATATATTCTATATTTTAAATAGTTAACTTTTTTATTTCTGAGTAATTTTCAATTGCCAATATAAAACTGCAGCTCAGAATTTGGGCAAACAATTAAGTCTTTGTACTCCATATTCTGAGATTCCTCCTACACTATCCTTTCTCTTATTTGAATCCATTACTTATATATCAAGTAGCACATGAATACAGACATACATTCATTCAACAAGTATTTATTGAGCCACTATTGGGTGACTCATATGATGTCTGTCATTAAACACTTAAATTCTAGAACAATAAAACCGGCTAGGCACCCTGGTCATTAACCTTATGCCTTTGATATCAGTGTTGAATCCTGAGTTTATCTAAGAACTTGATCCTTTCAAAAGCAATTACAGGCAGCTTTTGGTTGTATGACAATGTTTTTCTGGAAACCTCACTGGAAAATAGTTAATTATCAAATAATTGACCAAATTTTCTTTTAAAACAGCTTTACAATTGAAGGTTGTGTTTCTGAGACATCAAATAAATGACGAATGCTTGAAAAAAAAAATGCCATAAATGTAAACTAGAACCTGAAGTAGTAACTAAAAATAGTACAATTATATTCAAAGTTCCACAAAATGGGTAGAAATATACTAGGTGATTACACAAGGGGTTCCAACCTACTCTGAAGCATAAATATCTGGCTTAAAAACAGAGCTTTACTGGATGTTAAATAAGACCTAACAGGCTAGTTAAAACAAATAAATACACATAAACACATACACACACACACAAACATCACTTAAGAAAAAAATAGCCAATAAGTTGGAGACTCACAGGTTGTCGTTTACAGAGGAAGAGCTGGAGGTGCAGAGGAGGAGGGGATACACGGGGAGTTAGTGGCACAGAGGGCAGGAACCCAAGGCTCAGTCCCAGGGTTTCTCCACGTTTTGTATCCCCGTTTTTGGTACCAAGCAGAAGAGTACACTGATGTATCAGTGGGTAAAGACAATGAAAAAATTCCATGAAAACTGATACTAGAAACTAAGCAAAAAGCTAACTGCAAAGCAGCATGTTACTTTGATGCTGACAGCACCAGCTCAGAGTTATGATATGTAGACTTGGAACACAATTGCATGGAAATGCTCTATGAGTTTGGAAAAAGAATGCATCTTTCTTTAGCTAAGACACTCAAATAAGCTTGGCCACTAACTTTGCTTCATAGATATTGTCAAGCAACACTAGGTATAAACAATTAGGTTCATGTTTTTTCTTTAGGCGCTAGGACTTCTGTAGGTATGCAGTTTTTCTGCCAGGAGTCACTGTATAACATGCATGATACAGTGCATAATTATAACAGTAACTTTCCAAAAAGAATTCCTGAACTTCAAAATAGATTACCAGGTGATAGGAGTAAAATAACCAATAATCACTTATTATAAGTTGAACACATTATACTCTGATTTTTCCACTACTGAGTATAGGTTTAAAAGCCATACTTTATATAGCATTGAACTCCTTCCCCTGAGTATACCAGCTTATTGATTATCCTGGTTATTTCTCAAATTGCCATATGATTTCCTCTTGAAGAATTGAAATCTGTTCAGAGCAGAGACATTAAACAATTGACCTCAGGCAAAAGCAAGGAGGTGTCAGGTAAGGTTTCTCTTCTCTTGGAATAGAGAAGAGAAGGGATGAGGAATGAGCAGGGGAGGGGGTTTTAGGAGGAAGGAAGAGAGAGATGTGAACCTTGGCAGGGGCAAAATGAGATACACATTGACGCAAAGAAGGGAGCAGTAGACATGGGACTACTTGAGGGTGAAGGGTAGGAGGAGGGTTAGAATCAAAATACTACCCATCGGGTACTATGTTTCTTAACTGGGTGACAAAATATTCTGTAGGCTAAATCCCCATGACATGCAATTTACCCATGTAACAAACCTGCATACACACCCCTGAATCTAAAATAAAAGCTGGAAAGTAAAAAAACAGAGATACTATAAAGAAGAGTAAATGCTTTGTGTAAAATTGGCAAAAAAGTGAAAATGGCTTAAGATGATCCATTTTTTTTTTCTGGGATAGAAGTGTTAGAATGACAGTGTATTTGGGAGCAGTAGGTAACTATCAGAGCAGTCACAGGGTTTGAGGATGTGTGGAGAATTGTTTTTAAAACAAATAACAATTCTAAACCAAAGGAATAATTACCCATGGTTAAATAACCTACACTAATCAGTAGTGACCCCACTGTCCTACCACTCCCCAGTCTCAGTCTTGTGCCCCAGAAACAACCATATATAACTGTCTAAAAAGGTACTACTGTAACCGGGCGTGGTGGCTCATGCCTATAATACCAGCACGTTGGGAGGCCAAGGCGAATAGATCACGAAGTCAGGAGTTCAAGACCAGCCTGGCCAATACGGTGAAACCCCATCTCTACTAAAAATACAAAAAATAGCCGGGTGTGGCGGTGCGTGCCTGTAGTCCCAGCTACTTGGGAGACTGAGGCAGAAGAATCGCTTGAACCCGGGAGGCGGAGGTTGCAGTGAGCCGAGATGGTGCCACTGCACTCCAGCCTGGGCGACAGATGGAGACTCCGTCTCAAAAAAAAAAAAAAAAAAAAAAAAAAAAGGTACTACTGTTTCTAAATTCTTCCAGTAGTTTTTCACCATCTCTCTAAAGAATCTGTTGAAACGGCTACTTGTTGATGTTAATTTTAGACACTGTCTTCTGACCTCTTGCTTGATGGATGGGTGAGGACCCCCTCCTCTGAGCTCCAACTCCATCCCCTTCCTCTTTCTAATGCTTTTTAGTTCTCTGGCCTCTTCTGTGTAGGTTTATCCATATTTTTCCCTCCAGCAGTAGCACTCACCACACTATTAAGGGTCTGCTTACTGGTTTGACTCACCCACAGACTGTGAGTGAGGGGAGGAGGGTGCAGCGTGGAGCGGGAGGAGGGTTTCTGGGAGGAGATGCTGGAGGAGTTGATACCTAAGCTGAATCTTGATGGCAAAGGTGAGTATGAAAGAGGATGGTGGACTAGGAAGTGGAAACAATTCAACAGGGAGAGAAAGACAGATGTGAGGAGGCAAATGGTCCTTCACCCGCTGGCAGGGAATTTCAGCTTGCAGCAGAGAACAGGCATCAGCAGAGACAGAGTGGGGCCAAGATTACAGCAGGCACGGGCTTTCGGCAGTGCTACTAGAGCGTCTCACCGCTTGCCCTTGTCTCAGGAACACTTCTGCCTGCAACCTACCCAGGCTTGATCACAGGCATCCTGCCCACCACCACAATGGCACAGGTGACCACTGCCAGCCTGACTTTCTCAAGGGCTAAGTGGGACTACCTTGGAAGAATTGCATTTTTTTCTTTCATTAAGCCTCAAATGAAAGAGGAATGGTATTAAATGTCCACCTTAATGGAAAAAAATTAAATAATTATATCTAAAATTAAATAAAAATGAAATTTAGAAAACAAATTAGTGACACTTTAATGATACTAACAGATAATTATAATTCTCAAATAATTGTCCAAATACACTAGCATTAATGTGATGTGTAGGGGAGATTTTAAATTTTGTTTTCTTCCATTTACTGCCACTCTTATGCTAACAAGAATGGTATCATTTTCATATAATAACAAAATGCCTAATTCAATCATCTTGAACATTAATTGATATGTTTGCAGCTGAGTCTCCAGTTAATGACCTGTCTTTTCTGTTTAGTTTTGAGATTTAAGTCAGCTTCTCATCCAGACTTGCCTGGCAGCGTTCTATATCCATCTATGACCTTCATCTCATTTAACTGCAGCAAAGAAAATATTTTAGTAAAGCATTTTTTACTCTTGCACTTATTTAATATATTCATGTTTTCTGATTTATCTTTCCTTTTATAATTATATTTTAAAAGTTATATTAAGCATCCAGAGATAATGAAATAAATGTCTCCAATTTATGAACATAAATATGAACACTTTGTTCAAGATAGCTAAAGTCTTTTTTTCCTGCTTCGCCCCTTTCATTTACTCCTTCAAACTTATCTGAAGATTCTTCAATAGCTATAGTTAGCTGGAAACTTTTAACAGCTGTTGCTTATATTACGTTGAGAACCTTTCAAATTCCCAACAGGAACTTTTCTGAAAATCATTTATGCTCTACTTTATTCATCTAATTTCCACATCTAAACACATTCCTGGCTCTGCTAGATTTCTGCATCTCTTAGAATTGTTTAATCTGAATTGGATGAAAAAATTGAAGAGGTATAAAGACCTACTAAGGACAAAAACAAAACAAACTAGTTAATGATGGTGCTGAGGACCAGAATGTAGGCCAGTGGCTTTCCAAAGGGAATTTCTTACTATGCATGTAACTTTCAGAGAGTTCACTGAAGGCTGAGGCCTCCCCATTTTTTTTTTTTTTTACATTTTATTTCTTTCATTTGAGGAGGGGCTGATCCTTCTCATTCATTCAACGTTTACTGAGGACCTATGGTACGAGGACCTCTTAGCATACTAAGAGGATTCCACAGAAGAAAAGTAAAAGTGCAAACCTGCTTTCTGCTTTTATTCCTTTTTCACTGAACATTTAATATATGACTCGTGCCAAATAATAACTTAAGATCAACCATCTTGCTTGCTGGAAATGAATATTTTGCTGTTAATCATGTTGACTTCCTAATTTCATAAAACCACAAAAGGTAGTCATAGTAAACATACCACTCATTTGATTCTCCAGATAAAATAAAGAAGTTATTTTCTAAATAACTCAATAAGTAAAAATAGCTACAAAATGTCCTTTAGTCTCTCTTCCTGATTCAGGACTGCATCACCCTCTACCCAAAATCTATGTAATTTATTTTATATCATTTTTATGTTTCATTCCCCCATCTTCAACAACGATTATTATTTTTTCTTTGCATTGATTAGTCAAACATATAAATCAGAGGAAAATAAGACAAGCAGTTTTAAAGCACCTATATTCAATAGATTATTTTTCCTCCAAGTATAGCTGGATATTCTGTTTAACAACCTGTTATTGGAAAGGAGAGAACCTGTAACAATATAATACATCAGGTATAATATAATGAATACCAATGATAACAAAATCTAGAGTCAAAATGCTTATATGATAAATGTCTGTGACATTAGCATAAAATGACTCAAATATCAGTCAAGATTATGATGATCAATGAAAATAAAGGAATAATTCAAATGTCAAAATCCACAAATTCCTGATCCATTTTTAGGCTGGTCAGCATAGTGTGGTGGCTCTGGAAGTCAGAGTCAATTACCTAGAGTCAAATTCTAGCCCTGTCACTTAGTGGCTGTGTGAACTTGGGGAAGTCATTTACTTCCTCTGCACCTCAGTTTCCTCATATGTTGAGTAGGAATAATAATTCCTGAAAATTCGTACTGCTGCTATACTGTGCCAGGCACTGACCACTCTTATTGCTGTGACTGCTGGAATAAACTGCATGATCTTAGTTCTTTTCTTCTTTTTTTTTTTTTTTTTTTGAGACGGAGTCTTGCTCTGTTGCCTAGGCAGGTGTGCAGTCAGTGGCGCAATCTCGGCTCACTGCAACTTCCGCCTCCTGGGTTCAAGCAATTCTCCTGCCTCAGCCTCCTGAGTAGCTGGGATTACAGGCACGTATAACCATGCCCAGCTAATTTTTTTTTCTATTTTAGTAGAGACGGGGTTTCACCATTTTGGTCAGGCTGGTCTCGAACTCCTGACCTTGTGATCCACTCGCCTCGGCTTCCCAAAGTGCTGGGATTACAGGCACAATCTTAATTCTTTATTGTGCATCTTTCAAGACTAATCTGTAGGTTTTATATATTGCTTGACCTTTATCACCTGAAAATTCTGCTCCAGGTCCTACCAATCACACCTATCCACTTAAGAATTTTCAAACCAGGCTCCAGAGAACTGATTCTTCTTCTTTCATTCAGGGTATGAATGAAATGAGGGTAACCATTTGGGGTGGGGGCTGTTTTTCTAATACACATGGCCTCCCTAGCTCCTTCCCTGTCCTCTTTGCTTCCCCAACACCTTATCCCTTCTGTTAATTACATCTCCAGAAAGCAGGAATGCCTTTTATCAGCAGATAATCATTGATCTCAAAAGGATAAATATATACATATATATGGCAGGTGCAAAGACAATGGGCTAGAAAGCCTGCTTTCAGCTTCTTTGGGAATAAAAGGATATTTGCTATTTTTCTTTTTTCTATGAAAGCCCTTGCGTGACCTATTTTTCCTCTCTCCATTCAAAGTTAAGCCTGGAAATAATACATTTTATTTTTTAGTTAAAAAACAAGAATAGAAAAGAGCCTCATTTAGTAATGAAGGGAACGTAACCTTTATTCAATGCAAAGGGCAATGGATTCTATATTCATCTATGTGCCAAGCAGCCCTCTGAGCTTTAAAAACTAATTATAGGGGGAGATTGTGACTTTTCAGTCTTTTTGGCTCATGCCATATTCTATGGTACTCTAAAGTGCTAAATCAAGGCACTCTGTCAAGTCTACCACATTGGAATATCAATGAAGAGTGTCCTCTTCTACTTAACTTTGCTTTCGACTTCTAATTGGGATAGAGAATGTGACAGGTTAAAAGGAAAGAGTCAATCATATACCAAATAGACCTAAAAGTTACTTTTCTTTTGTTAAGGCAAATATAGTTTGTTTTTCAAGCCATCTCTACATGCAAAAACATGGATAAATCCTTTAGGCATAATGTTGAACAAAATAAATTGGATGCTATGATTAAATTTATATAAAATTCAAAGACAAGTAAATCTAAACTATGGGATGAAAGTGAGAATAGTGGTTACTTTGAGAGCAGGACTTTTTGGGATACTAGAAAAATTGTATATTTTGATCTGGGATGGTATATAATGAGATATAACATTACATTTAGTTATACACTTAAGATTACACTTTGCTTCATGTATTAAGAAATATACATTTAATTTGTTTTGCCTTCAAATTTAAGATAGAAAGTGATACAACTCAGTGAGCAAAATAAGAATAAAGAAAGCCAGGACCTTGATTCTAGCTTTTTTAAATCAGAAGCATGAAGGGTAAAAATTCATTTCTTTGGATCAGTATTCTCTTTTCTGGAATGAGGCTAGAAAGCATTCCCTTCAATTTAAGCTATTGAAGATACCTATAAGACTGATGGAAAATCCCATTGTCAAGCATAAAATACAATTAAGGAGTTACACAAAAATAAGCTGAGGAACAAGAAGAAAAAGATATTTAGTCATTTAAAATAATCTGTAAAGTTGGGAAAAAATAATTTTTCTTCCAGAAACTGCTTGTAGCGCAACTATTAAGGTTGACAGCTGTAGTTAGATGAGTATGCTTACGGAGAACGAGTGGGGACATGTTCACCCAGGCATCTTCAAAATCTGGCAGTGGGAAAATATTATGGTAATACTGTGAAAGAGTGGAGCCTTGTGGCCTGACCTTTATCCTAAGGTCAGTTTAATTATTTCTACTCAGGGCTCTAACCAATCGATCTCTCAATCATTCTTTACCTGTCTTGATAGAAAAAAAAACCCTCAAGTTACTCTCTACACTATAGTCATGACAACATGATGCAAATGAAGGGAAGAGAACAGGTAGAGGAAATAAAAATGTAAAAGCTTATCATTTATATCAGATGCAGGGGGAAAATATATTCAGCACAATAAAGGTTTTAGAAGAAAACATCTCTGTGACTTTGGTAAATCATAGATTTCTTAAATAGGATTCAAAATGTCTTGTCCATAAATAATAACAAATTAAATTTATTAAAACTTTAAAAAGTCTGTTTAGTAAAAGACACCATTAAGACAGTAAAAAAGGTGGCCTGTACAGTGGGAGAAGATCTGTTGGTCTATCTGTCTATCTCAAAGATGTTACATCCAGATATGCAAAGAACTCTTAAAAATCGCTACAGACAGACAAGCTAATTAAAATGGGCAATAGATTTGAACAAATATGTTACAAAAGAGGATATTCAAATGGCCAATAAATACGTGTGCATAAAAAAGTGTTCAAGTTCATTGTTCAAGAGATAAATGCATATTAAATGATAAAGAGATACCCTTACAAACCTACTGGGCTGGCTAAAATAAAAAAATAAGTGCTGGTGAGATATGGGGCAACTAGAACTCTCATACAACACTATAAGGGAGGCCGAGGTGGGCGGATCACAAGGTTCGAGACTAGCCTGGCCAATATGGTGAAACCCTGTCTCTACTAAAAATACAAAAATCAGCCAGGCGTTGTGGTGGGTGCCTGTAATCCCAGCTACTTGGGAGGCTGAGGCAGGAGAATCTCTTGAAACCAGAAGGTGGCAGTTGCAGTGGGCTGAGATTGCACCACTACGCTACAGCCTGGGCGAAGGGCGAAACTCTGTCTCAAAAAAAAAAAAAAAAAAAGTGTAAACTCTTACCACCACTTTGGAAAATTATTTGGCAGTGTATACTAACACTCAACATATGCATACTGTATTACCCAGAAATTCTACTCCTAGGATATACCCAACCAAAATGCACATATATGGTTATCAAAAAAAAAAACCCAGGATATTCACAATAGCACTATGTGAAATAGTTCCAAGAGCCCAGCAGAATGATGAATGTATGAATACACAATTACATGTACACACATACACACACACACATAGAAACACACATGTATAAATTTTTTTTTTTTTTTGAGACGGAGTCTCGCTCTGTCGCCCAGGCTTGAGTGCAGTGGTGCAATCTTGGCTCACTGCAAGCCTCGCCTCTTGGGTTCACACCATTCTCCTGCCTCAGCCTCCTGAGTAGCTGGGGACTACAGGCACCTGCCACCACACCCGGCTAATTTTTTTGTATTTTTAGTAGAGACGGGGTTTCACCGTGTTAGGCAAGATGGTCTCGATCTCCTGACCTCGTGATCCACCCGTCTCAGTTCTCCCAAAGTGCTGGGATTACAGGCATGAGCCACCGCGCCCGGCCATGTATAAATTTTTTAAAAACCTTGTTGTAGTGACATAATGAAATACAATATAGATTATGAAGTAGTGAGAACCTATATACAGCAATATGGATGAATCTTGCTCACATAATGTGGAAAATAAGAAGCCAGTCATAAAAATAAATATATATATATAATTGCATGATTCCATTTATATAAGGTCCAAAAATAGATTAAACTAGTCTAGTAGTTACAAGTCAGCAAGGGTAACTTTTGAAGAGGCAGGCAGTAACTAGAAAGAAGGAGGACGAGAAGGCACTTTGTTGCTATGTTCTTATTGCTAAAGTTCTGTTTCTTGATCTGAGTATTGTTTACAAAAGTGAACAGTGTAAAAATTGGCACAGTTGTGACTTTGATATGTGCACATTCTCATATATTTATTATGCTTCATTAAAAGTATGTATATATAATAAATAGATATCCAATAAAAAGCAAACTACAGGTAATGTAAGAAGAGATGAAAACTCTAAGAAAGAATCAAGAGCAAATGTTAGAAATAAAAAACACTGTAACAAAAATGAAGAATGCCTCTGATGGGCTCAGCAATAGACTGGATATGGCCAAGGAAAGAACTGGAGACACTGAAGAAATGTCAATAGAAACTTTCAAAACTGAACCAGAAAGAGAAAAGAAGAATAAAACAACAGAATATCTAAGAACTCTGAGATAGTTAAAAAACATACAATCCAAGAACTATAAGACAGTTTAAGAAGGTATAACATATGCATAATGGGAATATCAGAAGGAGAAGAAAGAGAAAAAGCAACAGAATAAATATTTGAAGCAATAGTAACTGAAAATTACTCCAAATCAATTAGAGATACCTCACTACACTACAGATCTGGGAGGCTCAGAAAACACCAAGCAGGATACACACCATAAATTCTACACCTAGGCATATCATATTCAAAGTATACAAAATCAAAGACAAAAAAAATCTTTAAAGAAACCAGAGGAAAAAAAATCCTATAGAGGAACAAGGATAAGAATTATATCAGACTTCTCTTCAGAAATCATGCAGACAAGAAGAGAGTGGAGTAAAATATTTAGTTGTTAAAAGAGAAAAAAAACAATCCTCAGTTGTGATGTTTAATTTTATATGTCAGCTTGACTGGGCTAAGAGATGCTCAGATAACTGGTTTAACATTTCTGGTGTGTCTGTGAGGGTGTTTCTAGAAGAGATTAGCATTTTAATCAGTAGACTTAGTAAAGAAGATCCTCCCTCACCAACATGGATGGGTATCATCCAATCCATTGAGGGCCTGAATAGAACAGAAAGGTGGAGATGGGTGAATTCATTCTCTGTATGCTAGAGCAGGACATCCATTTTCTCTTGTCCTCAGACACTGAAGCTCCTGGTTCTCAGGCCTTCAGACTCCATGACTTACACTAGCCCCACCCTCTAACCCTGTTCTCAGGGCTTTGGACTTGGAATAAATTACACCACTGACTTTCCTTGTTCTGCAGCTGGCAAATGGTGGATGGTGGATGTTCTTGGCCTCATAATTTAATGAGCCAATTCCTATAATCAGTCAATTAATCTATCTGTCTATCCCTCCCTCCATCCTATTAGGTCTGTTTCTCTGCAAAACCTTGACTAATACATCAGTCTAGATTTCTGTACCTAGTGAAATTATCCTTTAAGTGAAGAAAAAATAAACACTTTCTCAGACAAATAAGAACTGAAGGAATTTGCTGCCAGTAGATCTGTCTTGCAAGATGTGTCAAAAGAAGTTCTTCAGAGAGAAGAAAAATGATACAGATCAGAAACGTGGATCTACATTGAGAAAGGAAGAGCATTAGGGAAGGAATAAACAAAGGTAAAAATAAACCTTTTCTAATTCTTACTTGATCCAACAGTTTGTTCAAAATAATAACAATAACATTGTAGTCAATGATTCTAGCTTATGGATAAATGAAATCAATGACAGCAATGTTACAAAGGATAGGGAGGAAGAATTGGGAATACTCTGTTATAAGGTACTTACACTGCCTGTGTAGTGGTACAGTGTCATTGAAAGCAGACTTGGATTAGTTATAAATGTATACGATGAATGCAAGGTGTAAAAAAAAGAAGTATAACTAATATGGTAAAAGACAAGAAAAAATGGAACCATACAAAATAATTAAAACAAGAGAAGACAGAAAAGCACAAAAATATGTTGGACTTAATTAAAACTTCTCTGCAAAAGACATCGTGAAGAGAATGAAAGGGCAAACTACAGGCTGGGAGAAAATCTTTGCAAAATACTTATCAGATGAAGGACTGCTACCCAAAATATACATATAACTCTTAAAACTGAACAAGAACACCCATAACCCAATTAAAATGTAGGCAAAAGATTTGAATAAACACTTCACCAAAGATATAGAGACAGCAAATAGCATATGAAAAGATGTTCAACATCACATGTCATTAGGAAATTGCAAATTAATACAATGAGATATCTCTACACATTCATAAGAATGGCTAAAATCCAAAACACTGACAGCATCAAATGTTGGCAAGAATGTGGAGAAACAGGAGCTCTTGTTCCTTGCTGGTAGGAATGTGAAATGATACAACCACTTTGGAATACATTTTGGCAGTTTCTTATACAACTAAACATATTTTGCCCTTATGATCCAGCAATCACATTCTTTGGTATTTACTCAAATGAGTTAAAAACCTGCATCCACATAAAAACCAGCACACAAATTATTTACAGCACCTTTGTTCATAACTGCCAAAACTTGAAAGCAACTAAGATATCCTTCAATAGATGAGTGAATAGAGTGGTACACCTATGAAATGGAACATAATTCAGAGATAAAAAAGAAATGAGCAATAATACCACAAAATAAAAAAACCATGGAGGAAACTTAAATGCACATTGCTAAGCAAAATAAGTCATTCTCAAGAGGAAACATACTGTATGATTTCAAGTATATAACATTCTGCAAAAGACGAAACTATGGAGACAATAAAAAGATCAGTGGTTGCCAGGGGTTCAGGCTGTTGAGGGAGGGAGGGATGAATAGGAGGAACACAGGAAGTTTTTAGGGCAGCAAAATTATTATTCTGCATAATACTATAATGGTGGATGTATTCCTTATACATGTGTCAAAACCGATATATTTAGAATATGAAGAGTGATCCTTAATGTAAACTACAGACTTTAGTCATTAATATTGTATCAGTATTAGCTCATCAATTATAACAAATACACCACATGAATGCAAGATGTTAAAAACAGAGGAAATGGTTGGGGGAGGTGTAAGGGGATCTATGGCAACTCTGTACTTTTTGTTCAAGTTTTTCTGTAAACCTAAAATTGCTCCTTCAAAAAATAAAGGTGGGGAGAGAGACAGTTTTCTTATATAATTAACTAGCTAACAAGTTTCTTTCAGATACTGTGAATAATAAGGAAGAAAAACATAAACAGGAAGAATTTAGGTTAAATTACACATGCACTTTCAAGAATCATGGTTTTGAGAAAGTTTAACATGATGCTACAGAAAATTTTCATAATAAAAAGTTCATAAAAATATGGCACTGTAGTGTATGATTATAGGTTAACTTTGTGAGCAGTAAAGATTTGTCTACAGTTGCACAATTTGAGAGAGATAAGAACACAGTTCTGTGATGAATGAAAACATGGGCCCTTATTCCTTTTATTCCTCTTCTAGTCTTTGTTTCTTTAAAATGCTTTTATTTTATTTTTACCACTTATTCATTCACTTAGGCAAAAGAAGATAATATTAATCCCAACTTTGATGTGACAAAGTATTACCACCATTGTTTTTCTACTTTACACAGCTCTATAAGTGACAGAGGTGAAAATGTTTCACTGTGGCAAGCCAGCCATATGGAAATGAGTAGCTTCATCAAATTAGGCCACACTTTCATGGCTAAGTAAATAATTTAAATTGAACAAAGGCAAATGTTGAGTGATAAAGTTAAAAGAAAGACTCTACTTTTGTTGAAACATAGAAAACAATCACGGATAATACAATGTATGTGAACACACACACAGGAAGCACATTTGTATTTTCCAGAAAGTCCAACTGACAGTTCTATGGACTGGAGAACATGTTAAGAACAATCATAACATATTCTGTATGGACAGAAACATATTCTGTATGGACAGAAATTTATCTTACTCTCATGTTTGAAAGGGTATGGCCCATATGGGGGCTACAAACAACTTTGCTGAGTGAATGAATCACTGAATTCTATTTTTCCTCTAAGAGGAAAGAAGAACCTATAAATTAAAAGATATTTTAGGCCGGGTGTGGTGGCTCATGCCTGTAATCCCAGCACTTTGGGAGGCCGAGGCAGGTGGATCATTAGGTCAGGATATCGAGACCATCCTGGCTAACACTGTGAAACCCCGTCTCTACTAAAAATAAAAAATTAGCCGGGCGTGGTGGTGGGCACCGGTAGTCCCAGCTACTTGGGAGGCTGAGGCAGGAGAATGGCGTGAACCCAGGAGGTGGAGTTTGCAGTGAGCCGAGATTGCGCCACTGTACTCCAGCCTGGGAGACAGAGTGAGACTCTGTCTCAAAAAAAAAAAAAAAGATATTTTAATCCAATTTAGCAATGTTCCAAATTTGACTCACATTAATTTTTTTCCTTCTAAAGTTTTGAGCTCAAGGCACACTTGCATGGGAAATGAGGTGAGACAGGAGGAAAACATATTTTACTAAGTTCAAGTAATTGCTGCTTGATTTTTAGAATTTGCCTAAATTTCATGTAAAAAAATATTAGCTAAACAGATGTGCTTCCTCCCTATGTTTAGGACAACTTAGAAAATGGACCTTTTACCTTATGAAATCTTCTTCCTCCTCTCTTTTTGGCCTCAGCTGTTTGGGTTGAGCCATATTCATCCAGTTTGGTAGAGATTTCAAGAGTCTGCTGATATCATCATCTTTTGCCCAGGATGCACTGATGACAAGTTTTTCTTCTGACTGGACAATACCCCTAAACACAGCCAATAGAAAAGAGACACTGTAGCATGATGCCTGGTATTCAGTTAGCATTTTCATCTACCTTTGCTGCAGGAAAAAAGAAATCACACTCATCTCTCCTTTGAACATAATCCATTATCTAAGTTGGAGTCCATGATACCCATTAATAGGTCACATTACTGGGAAACAACATTTCTAGATTTCATTCTTAGTTTCTTAGTTGTTGAGTAATCGTGACAGTTGAAAAAACTAATTAGCTCCTCTTACCATATTTGATCCCTTAGGATAAATAAAAGCATATGGTATGTTTTGGGGGGGACCTTTTAAGAAAATGTTGAATAAAAAGTGGGATAACCATGTAAAAGAATGCTATTAAGTGACAACATAACTAGTACCTGAAAGGTGACGGAAGTGTTACAAAAGGTTGTACTCTGGACTCCTTGGTTTAAACTATCAATTAGTTCTAGTTGAGGGTATTGCTTGAATCATGGACACCCCTCTCTTCACAGCCAATATACCATCATTAAGAAACCCTCAGCCCCAGTTGTCAGGCAGAAAAAGCCTTTGATTACTGCCATCTCCAGTGGGCTCTGACTAGTGACCTAGAGCTGACAGGCTTCAAGTCTTTTCATAGGGCCCATGGGTTAGCTATTAACACTGCTCTTACCAGAATGTTACCTGTAAATTCATCTTAAATGTTCAATTTCAACTTAATTAAAAAGCTTTTCTTTCGGTTCAACATGTGTCACTGTAACTAATTTCAACGATCTAAATATCCTCGTCAGCAATACTAGGTGACAGAAATGACATTTATTTATGAAAGGAGTGCCAATTAGCTGCTTCTCCTCTGGGGCTGACCAAGACTCCAGGAGATTGCCCCATCATAGGCAGGAATCTCTTTTAGTACAGGGGTCACTCTGGGGGGCATTATGCACTTGCAAATAAACAATATATATGGCATGTATGTATGATACCTCCTTGACCCAACAGACAATTAATGTTTGTAGACAAAAGAAGATGGAGCCTAGGCCAGATGCAGTGGTTCACATCTATGACTGCAGCACTTTGGCAGACTGAGGCAGGAGGATTGCTTGAGGCCAGGAGTTCAAGACTGGCCTCGGCAACACAGATTGACCTTCTCTACAAAACAAAAACAAAAAGTTGAAGCCTACAAACCTTGATTCATGACAGACTGACTTAAGGTAACATAGTTTCATGTTGTAGGGCAGGGGTCCCCAACCCCTGGGCCACGGACTGGTCCTGGTCCATGGCCTGTTAGGAACTGGGCGGCACAGCAGGAGGTGAGCAGCGGGCCAGTGAGCGTTACTACCTGAGCTCTACCTCCTGCCAGATCAGCGGTAGCATTAGAGTCTCACAGGAGCGCAAATTCTATTGTGAACCGCGCATGCGAGGGATCTAGATCACATGCTCCTTACGAGAAACTAACTAATGTCTTATGATCTGAGGTGGAACAGTTACATCCTGAAACCATCCCATCCCCTTTTTCTCACCCAAAACATCACCCCAGTCCCTGGTGCCAAAAAGGTTGGGGACCACTGTTGTAGGGAACAATATTACCCTGGTTCTTTTAAAATAAACTAGAATAAATAAGAGAGCTATTTATTTGCTCTCTTATTCTTCTAAAGTTTTGAGCTCAAGGCACACTTGCATGGGAAATGAGGTGAGGCAGGAGGAAAACAGATTCTAGAATTCTTCTAATTCACTATAAGCAAATGTTTTCTCATAGTAACCATGGTCAGAGACACAAAAATTGGATTACAGAAACTTCTTCCCTCCAATCTCTCATATTACTTTCTTACTACTATTTTCTATTCCCTCTTTTGTTATTTCCTTGCATCTTTTCTGTAATATTTATGGACTAATCCAACAATCTAACTTTTACAATCTTATACTTGCATTGCTAGGTGCAATCTTATAGCATGGTACCACCTCAGATAAGAGACTGTTGCAGGTGTACCCCTCAATGTTCTCTGACATTCTTTATACCTGTCTCTGATCAGGTTCATCTCCCCATTTATCTTAGTAGCTATTTCTTTAAAAAAACATTTGCCCTTTCTGTATCTCCTCATTGCTTACCGCCCATATCCTTCTTATCTGACAGAGAAGGAAGGGATCTAATTACATACTTTCAAATATTTGACCTCCTACCCCCAACAGAAATATGTTCAAATCTGCTTCATCCTCATTAATTTCCAGTAATTCCTCTAGTTAGGCTCTTGGGGATCTTTTCTCCCCGACCTATCTCCCCTTTTTCCTGTATTTTTACTCTTTCCACTATATATTCCCTAATCCTCTGTTATTTTAAAAATGAATGAATGAATGAATGAATGAATGAATGAATCTCTTCCCTGCATTCCTCTCTAACAAAGCTGCTCCCTCTCCTTCAAAGGCAATCATCAAAGGAGCAGCCTGCACTAATTGACTTCACTGTCTCACCTCTCATTCATGAAATCTCTCTCCAAGGTCTACTTTACGATTTAACCCATCTACTGCTTTTTGAAAAATTTGCAGTTATTATATTTTTCATTTCTAGATTTTCTATTTGCCTCTTTTACAAATCTACTGGCTTTTCCCTTCCAAACTGTCCTGCTCTTGTATCATGGAATCTGTTCTTTTCTTTATCTCCTTGAATGTTTTAGAAATCCACAATTTTTAAGTTCCTTCTATGAAGTGGCTTTATATTCTTTGGTAGTTCTTGTAGATGTCAAGTGTCCTGTTTGTTGCATTTGCCTTCTTTTCTCATGATGGTGTATTTCCTCATGTGGTCTGCTACTTTGTTCTGGAAGCTCTACTTCAATGGAACTTATCCTCTGTAGGAATCTTGCATTTGCCCAGAATTTTCAAGATATCACTGTTACGTAGTCTGCATTTGCCTCTTCTGGGTCCTATGAGTTACACTGGTTCCAAATAGGTTTGTAATTTTTTTTTCCTTTTTTTTTATTTTTTATTTTTGGCTTAAGGCTTTTTCTCCCTACGCAGGTAGTACAAATTGAGTTCTTACTTGCACATATCACATGAGGTGTGGGATTCTGATTTCTTTTAGGGGCTACTTTTCTACTCCAGGTTGGGTAGCTCCTTCTTAAGTCCCAAGTTTTCTTGGTTCCATTCATGAATGAACTAAGAAATATGAATGAAACAGTTCTTTGCATAACTTCTGCACAGATAAAGCTCCCTCCCTGCCTGGAAGATGTCAAGATGCTAGCCTCTATTTGACCTCTATATGTGGTCCTGAAACCTCTGTAGCCCACTCAACTTCCACATTTGTCTGTTTCTGGCTTTTAATTCCTCTTTCATTCATGGCATCTGGAGAATTCTCTTTCATCCTTTTGAGTTTGGTTACATATTTAAAATATTTTTAAAGTTATAATTTTTTTATCCAGAATTTCTACAAGTTAGAAACAAGAAAAGGGCTTTTTAAATCTATTCGCACCAAACTTCTGACAGGAAATCAAAATCCAGTCTTAAATCAACTGCAGTCAGGGTTCTAGAACCATTACTCCACTGAAATTGCTCCACCAACCCAAGAGCACTTTTTATTTTATTCTTCGCACTCTTTGACTATTCTAAAGCATCCAACACTTTTGATTACTCTCTTCTTGAAATACTATTCTTTTGCTTTCCGCATCACGTTCTTTACCTACCATCCTAACCTTTCTTAGCCAAACTGATGGCTCTTTTTCTCCATCCATACTTTAAATGCTGTGTTCCACAGAATTCTGCATTGCTGACTTGGGCAGTCTCATCTTCTTGCACAGCTTGAACCATCTATATTCTGATGACTCTGAAATTATTATCTCTAGGGCAGCCCTCTCTTCTAAGTTTCCAGTCTGCATATCCAAAGGCTTACTGTAGAACTCTACTTGAAAGTTCCATCTGCATTTCAAGTTAAAATGAGTCAAGAGGAACTCAATTTACTAACTACTTCTCTCTCTCTCTCTCTACCACTGAGCATCTAATGTTCCCTATTCAAGCCATCCTGTTATTCAACTCAGGAATGCAGAGTCATCCTAATTACCCAGTCACCACATCCTGCCAATTCTATCTCCTTAATATCTTAATAAATCTGTCATTTCCTGTCCAGGTTCACTGCTATTAACCTATATTTAAACCCTCATCTTTTTTCACCTGGACTTGGCAATAACCTTGTAACTGGGCTTCTCGCCTGCAGCTACAAGACCATCAGTTGAACTCACCACATCAGTCAGATGAGTCATTTTTCTAAACTACACATCCAATCATGTTATAACCCTTCCTACAAGTCTTCAGTGACTTCTAATTCCAGGTAAGACCAAGGCTAGACTTAGCAAGGCATGAACATCTATCTTTTCAGCTTTATCTCCTGCTATTCCTTTTCTCCTTTGTGTCTGTTCACGATTCCTAGCCAATCTCTTGCCCATGCTGGTTGAACACACTACCCATGATGAGTATTCCAAAGTTTTCCAAATGGGATCTATTATTTCCTGTTTCTGTGTGTCATCTCAGCCTAGAAAGCCTTTTTCTCATCCTCCTTGTTTGCCTCTACTTGTCAAGCATTGCCCCAGCTCCTCCCTTGGTACATCTGAGTCCTCTTTTTTTGTGCCTCATCACCCCTATACCAGAGGTTTTCAACCTTGACTAAAGATTAGAATCACTTGGGCAAGCTATTTTAAAAACCAGATGCCCAAGCCATACCCAAGACCAAGTAAATCACAATCTCTGGGCTGCGGGACCCAAGCAACAGAAATTTTTGGAGTTTCCCATGTGATTTAAATGTGCACTCAAGGGCCACAACCTTTGCGTTTGCCAACGTCTATTTTAACTGGTCCTACTACACTTTTTTGCAAGCTGGAATCCCATATTGGATGATGAGTTCTATGAGGACAGAGTCGATTTCTTCTTAGTTTTTCTGTCCCTAGTGCCTACCACAATACCTGGTATTTAGAAGGCATATAAGAACTGAAGTAGAGATAAAAAGAAGCCCTCTTCAATTTCAAAAGTCTAGATAACTTATTACACTAAAAGCATCTTAATGGTTTCCGTTTTATTCTCTGCTCTAAACAACTTTGATGAGCTGTCAAGTCATTTGGTATTTAACCAAATCAAAGATCACTCTGTGCCATGCCCTTCACCATGCCTCTCTGGATTCAATACAAATCAGGTAATGAATACAGGTGTGTCCCTCTTTGAAAAACCCCAATGTAAAATAGTCCTGACTCATAAAACAAATGAACCAAAGAGCGATTATTGACAAGCCTTTCCCTTCTACGCTACTTATTCCTAGGTGGCCTATTATTGGAAAGTCTCCTCAAAAACTCACTTTCTCTGTGAAGAATTTGTTGACTATGTCAGCCTACAATGATCTCTCCCTTTGGAAACAAAACAAACAAAACCCCTCCTTTTGCACTTATCCATAACTTCCCAATTAGCACTCTGTCTAATACAATGGGGTGGGCAAACCATGACCTGTGGGCCAAACCTACCCATCAGCTGTCTTTGTATGTCCTGTAAGCTAACAATGGTGTTGACATTTTAAAATGGTTTTTAAAAAACTAAAAGAACAATATTTTGTGACATGTGGAAATTATACAAAATTTCAATTTCACCATTCATATCTAGAAAGAATCTTGGCTGTGGGAGATTTCACCATTCATATCTAGAAAGAATCTTGGCTGTGGGAGATTTCACCACTCATATCTAGAAAGAATCTTGGCTGTGTGGTTCAATTCCTCTTAGACCCACACTATAGGTCAAATTCTGTTCCACAGAGTGAGAAGCCCAAGCCCAACTCATTTTGTCAGCATCTACGTCTTTGAGCGCATCCATGCTGGCCCATATCTGCCCTCAGGTTCAGGAAATAGTTGGATCTGTAGGTGTGAGATGGTACCGTACATTTTGAAGGGCTAGAATTTTCCATTTTAGCATTAGCTGAAATAAAAAAATTAGGTTAGGTTGGATGACATTAAAGGTACCCACATTATTTACTTACATATTTTTAAAGGACTGGATTAATTCAGTAATTCAAGATTACATTATCTCTAATATGCATCGATCCCATTTTATTAAAAAATAGTCATCCAAATGAATGAAAAGGCTACTAACATACTGCCCTCAACAATAAATATGTTAGTACATTTGGAATGAACACCAATCCCAAAAGTAATTCCAAATATTCTAATTTGAAATACTGGCATTGATCAGCAATAAACAATTACCCTAAAGAAAATTTTTTACTCAAGTGGCAAGTCCACCCTGACTAATTGCATTTATTTGTTTTTGATTTTCTGGTAAACCAGATCATGTGGGTTACAGAATTCCAGGACATATCCAAATAGCCTCAAAAAAGGAGAGCTACATGTCCAAAAATTATTCCATAGGAGAAGCAAGGTTAATCATCCCTACCAGAACCATAATGTACTCATTAATTCACAGCTCAATGAGCCACAGACAGAGCCAACTGTGTAACTATTTGTATCTGTTTCCAAGAGGAAGAGGAAAATAGGTGTACCTTTTGGTACAGGTGATGAGGCTGCCAAGAGAAAGGTCCACCCTCGAGATACAGCTGAGTGAATTTCATTCAGAAAACATCTGCTGGTGTCGCCTGGCTCTGATGTGTACCGCTTCCTCTCTGGAACAGTTGGGAAGTGCGAGTGTGCATGGTCCCTGGACACAGCTGGGGTGCTGAGTCTTTCATTAGGTAAACAACCAGGTGCAGGTGGGGCTAATTGGATTCAATTGTTTGGTGACAGCCAGGGCATGATGTGTACTTTCCCAGACTGAATCTTTCAAGATACTTCAAAAACTAGGAGCCAAGCTCAACAAATGAACCTTGGACAAGACTGGTCCAAAGTAAAGTGCCGTCGTCCAATTTAGACTGTGAATGACTGGACCTGCAGCAGACGAAACCGCAGTGAAATGTCCAGCAACACAAGTGATAATGACAATTAGGGATGCAAAGATAATAGTATTATGCTGCCAAATAAAACAAAACAAACACAAAAACAAAACCAAAAAGTCAGTTAAGATGGAGCAACACACATAGGAAAAGAGGAAAGAAACATCAGAACATCTTTGACACCATACTCAATGCTGGTCAGAGAGCTTTATGATAGTGTATATGTCTACCTGAGAATGACAACTTCTGATAACTCTGGAGAAGGCCCATGGAAAACAGAAACCATCCAAGAGGACCAAGGGAAAAAGGCTTTGCAATGACAGTTTACAGAAGGTAACTCTTGGGGATAATTTAGTAACAACCTTTAAATAGACAAGTTCTCATATGAAGGATCATAACTGTTTGACACTTAAAAGATCAAGAAGAAAAAAATTATACTGTAACACAGGAAGTGGACCAAGAATTCATATAAAATCTGTCTCAGCTGGACGCAGTGGTTGACGCCTGTAATCCCAGCACTTTGGGAGGCCGAGATGGGTGGATCACCTGAGGTCAGGAGTTTGAGACCAGCCTGGCCAACATGGCGAAACCCTGTCTCTACTAAAAATACAAATTAGCTGAGTGTGGTGGCACATGCCTGTGATCCCAGTTACTTGGGAGGTTGAGGCAGGAGAATTGCTTGAACCTGGGAGGCAGAGGTTGCAGAGAGCCAAGGTCACGCCATTGCATTCCAGCCTGGGCAACAAGAGCAAAACTCCTCAAAAAAAAAAAAAAAAAAAAAAAATCTGTCTCAACCGTCAATGTTCAGATTTTTCTTATAATAAAGCAAATTTAAATATAGTCTGTGTTTGAATATCATTAAGATCTTTATAAGTAGATCTCAGATCAGATGACTCCCTATTTAAACCTTGCATGTCTTCCCACTGAACTGAGAATAAAATTCAAATTCTCTAGCCTCAAGATCCTTTATCAATGGTTCTTAATCCTGACTGCACATGAAAACACCTGGGAAGCATTTTAAAAATACATCAGTTTCACAGTCTGAAGTGGGGCTCAGTCTGGCTATGTTTTAAGCTCCCATGTGATTCTCATGTGCAGCCAGAAATGACCCAAATGATCCGACCCCTCTACCTGTCTAATGTCACTCAGTATTCATTCTCTTTGCTCATTAACCTGAATTCAAGCTAGTTCCCATCTTCGGACTTGCTCCTTTCTCCACCTGGAGTGCTCTTTCCCACATTTCCACATGGCTCCTTCTCATCCTTTAGAACTGAGCTCAAATGCCACGTCCTCTGCGGCGTCTTCCCTGAACCTACTCTCCTCACTTGAACCTGTTGTTTTGTTTAATCACATCATCCTTATTAATGAGAAATTTATTGTTTATTTCCACTTGATTATTATCTAGCTCCCTCCATTAAGGTGTAAAATCCACGAAAGCAAGGACCTTACCTAGTCAATTCACTTCTTCACCTTTAGCCCTAGAATAACGCTGGCTCCTAGAAGTGCTTAATAAATGATTTTTGAATGAGTAACAGATTGAAGGAATGAATGACATAACTGAAGCACAAAACGCCAGGAAAATAACAAACGACATAAAAATATCTTTCTGGACCACACACCGCATGTTCTCACTCATAAGTGGGAGTTGAACAATGAGAACACATGGACACATGGAGGGGAACATGACACACTGGGGCCTGTCGGGAGTTAGGGGGCTAGGGGAGGGAGAGCGTTAGGAGAAATACCTAATGTAGATGACAGGATGATGGGTGCAGCACACCACCACGGCCCGTGTATACTGATGTAATAAACCTGCATGTTCTGCACATGTAGCCCAGCACTTAAAGTATGATAATAAAAAAATTAAAAAAACTTTCTTGTACTGTCTTCTTATTGAATATCAATAATATCATCAATGAATTAATTTAAAAGTCAATAATACAAAACACCAATTGCAGCAACAATAAATAATTGTATTGGCTGACAATTTAACCTTTTCCATGAGCTATGCATTCTTCTGAGCATTTGGCATATATAAACTTTTAATCCTCACAACCACCCTGCGTGGTAGGTACTATTATTACTTCCATTTGATAGGCGAAATACAGAGGCACAGAAGGCTGGGAACTGGATGGTGGTCAGCCAACTAGCAAGGTAGAACCTGAAATGAACCCAGACCCGCTGTTCTGCAGTCTATTTTCCTAGTCATTACACTGTCTCTCTAAAGCATGTGAAGCATTTTTCAGGTTTCCTATTTCCTCTTTAATTCCATTGCCTCTTCTTTGGGCTGAAGACTGAGACAGAGCTAGTGCTTTTCACATGTGCACTACCACTTTATGCTCTGTGGCCTTTGCCACGTTATTAACTTTCCTGAACCTCTGTTTCTTCATCTGAAAGGCAGAGAATCTAATTCAACAGAATTGTTGTGACTGACTAGATGAGCTGTGACCATAAAGTCCCTTGCACAGAGACTATGTATTAATACTTTACTGAGTATTTTCTTTCCAGTCTAGGTCCTTGTTACTTTGTGTCAAGGTCACTGCAACAGACTCCTATCTGATTATGGTAGAGTGAGTTGGGTAGGAGAAATGAGGACTGGCTGCTTGCTACAGAATTTGTAGGACAACTGGTTAGGTGGGCAGCATCTGTATTTGGCCAGAAGGGCAACTGATATGTACTGGAAAGGATGAGTGAAGGGATTCACTTGATCAAAAAACAAGAGTGCAAGGCCTATACAGAGACACCATGCAAGATACTGCAGACAGGTGTGTGGAAAATGACATAATAACTTCTGGAAGCTAAGAGTTCAGAGCAGTGATTTCTCCCTCCCTCCCTCCTTCCCCTCCTTCTTTCTCTCTCCTTCTCCTCCTCTTCCTCCTCCTCCTCCTTCTTCTCTCTCTTTCTTTCCAGACCGAGTCCTCACTGCAACCTCTGCCTCCCAGGTTCAAGCGATTCTCCTGCCTCAGCCTCCTGAGTAGAAGGGATTACAGGAACCTGCCACCATGCCCAGCTAATATTTGTATATTTAGTAGAGATGGGGTTTTACCATGTTGGCCAGGCTGGTCTCGAAATCCTGACCTCAAGGTGATCCACCCACCTAGGCCACCCAAAGTGCTGAGATTACAGGTGTGAGCCACCCTGCCTGCCTGGCCCAGATCAGTGATTTCTAACCAGTAACACATGACAATCACTTTGAGGATATTTTTAAACTAAACTTGCCCGGGCCCAACTCTCAGTGGACCTAGTATGGAAAACCCAGGATGTATGTTTTGAAGTTTCCCCAAATAACCTTGATGTGAAGCTACAATTGAAAAACAATATTTTTTTTAAAGAAAGACAGTTAAACCAATAACTAATGAAATAATATATTTTAAAAGTCTAAATTACAATACAATGGAATAAATACCAGCATAAAGTTACACATAATAAATTATAGGAGCACACAATAAAAGCTCACTTGCTGAATGCCCTCTATGAAACAGATATTGTGTATATTTTATAATGTTTTTGGTACTTATTTAATGTTTAATAGAAATGAATATATATCAGTGTTAGGAGATAACATAGCTTCAAGAGACAGATCACAAGCTGGAGCTTGCAGAGGGTTTCCCTGGTATACACCCTTGGCCGTTCTTGTTACCAGGGGGTCCTTGCTCCCAGAGCTCCCAAGATGGTGGCTGGCCGCTTCCAAGATGGTGGCAAGCCTCGTGTTCTCTGACCTGGGGTTCTTGGCCTCACAGATTCCAAGGAATGGAATCTTGGGCTGTGCGGTGAGTGTAACAGTTCTATTAGAAGCCATGGGTCACAGAAGAGAACCGTGGAACCCAGTGACTAGTGTTCAGCTTGATTAGGACGAACCCGGACACTTATCTGTGCAGGAGCAATGGCAAGCCTTTAGCCCGATCGGGGGCGGCAATAGGCCCCTTGGTGGATCAGGAGCACAGTGGACACCCTGCCGGATCTGGAGGGATGGAAGTCAGCGGTGGGTCTGCGATGGCAGCAAACAGCGGTAGTGGACAGCGAGCGAAAGCTCAGCTCGAGCCGTAGTAAACACAGAGCAGAAGAATGCAGTTGCAAGATTTAATAGAGTGAAAACAGAGCTCCCATACAAAGGGAGGGGACCCAAAGAGGGTAGCCGTTGCCGGCTCGAATGCCTGGGTTTATATCCTGATCATTGTCCCTCCTGCTGTGCTCTCAGGCAATAGATGATTGGCTATTTCTTTACCTCCTGTTTTTGCCTAATTAGCATTTTAGTGAGCTCTCTTTACTACCTGATTGGTCGGGTGTGAGCTAAGTTGCAAGCCCCCGTGTTTAAAGGTGGATGCAGTCACCTTCCCAGCAAGGCTTAGGGATTCTTAGTTGGCCAAGAAATCCAGCTAGTCCTGCCTCTCACTCTGAGGTTCAAAGTTAAGTTAGGTTGGCAAAAGCTCCAAGGCCAGCTCAAGGAGAGTCTCATTCCTATAGGACCCTGGCCTCTGGCTACACAGGAAACCTGAAGGGCTTCAGAAGCCACCAGAGTCCCTAGTGTCTAGTCTGTGCTATTTAGCACAGTGGGGCCAGTGAGATCATAAAACACCACTTCGATCATGTACTCCTTCTTACCAAGACCTATGAAAGCACTCTTTTACCTAATACAAGAAATTTCTCCTTTCCTGCCCATTTCTACCCAACCACACTGTCCACTCTAGTCACTGTGATTTCTCAACCTTTCTCCCACGCACCATGGTCGTCCATGCTGCTCCACTGCTTGCTCGTCCTGTTCAGTCTGGTAGAAATTTCCTCAATGAGCATACCGAGGGTCAACAAGCTGCCTAGCCCCGTGCCAGCTCTGATGTCTGCCATCAGCGAGTGCAGGCTTCTCCTCCTCTCACTCTTTCTTCATGTCCAGCATGAGTTCTAGCTCCTCTCTGAAGTTGTGAAAGGGGTGTGCTAAAGGTAACATGCTTATGTCTTAAATCAACTCAAACCAACTGAGCCTCTAACACTAGGGAAGAGGTTTTATTTGTATTCTCTGCCAGGCCCAACACAAGGCAGAGAGCCTCCTTATCCCCCACCTCCAAGAAAAAAAAATTGATTAATGAACTGATAGTAAATTGGAACAGAGAGAAACTTCCGAAAACTGCGATTTCCAATCTTTAAATTATTATTTTGGGACACATGAGCTGCTGGATGGATCTCAGGACAGAGGACAGGCAAGGGGAGGGAAGCACTCTGCTTGGAAGTAGGCAACTCATGGGCCAAGTGCCTGATTCCTAATGAGGAGCAGTACAGAATTCACAGCTGAGTTTCCCTTTAAGCCCCAAGGGGTGTGGATAATTAGGGAAAAGACTTCTAGCCCTCATTTCCCTGTTTAGGAAACCCCTCTTTATCCAAAGCATGTAACCTGACATTACCTGAGGCACAGTCTGTCTCTAGAGTGAGGTACTCATAGAAAGGTGATATGTTTTTCACCTTTCCTCAGATCTCTAAGCTCCCAGGAGCTGCCCAGGTTTTCATGGGAAGCTTGGAAAACAAGCCAACCCTCAGCAGAGGGCATTGTGAGTTTCTAGATTTGATGATTTCTCTGAAGGATATCTGCTGAGGATCACATGGGAGAAAATCAGAGTGCAACGTCTTCCTGCTCCCTTCCTCCTTCCCCAGTGTTATACCATTTTGGATCATTTGAATTGTATATGGCTTTCTATTTAAGTCAGTCATTTGCTGGCAGCAAAACTAGAACATTTCCTGTTTTTCCCCTCACTGTAATCAGGATTTGGCCGTCCAAATTAGGACTGCCCTAATTAGTCCTCAGCAGGTGCCAATCTGGGGGAGGGCAATAAATGGGAAGAGAGGAAGTAAGGACACTTTGCATCTTCAGAGTCATACAATAAGAAAACACTTTCTCCAGAAACCTGAATACGCTGATTAACCAGCAGCAACAGCACCGTGGGGGCATGTGTTGTGCCTTTGAGTGTGCATTGTTGTATAACAACCAGAAAGATGATTTTCTATTTATTCCCTTTCAAAGCCTCAAAGAATACTTTTCCCAATCCTGAGAAAAATTTAACCCAGGTCCATCATTCAGCAACTATGGTAGATCCCTCCCAGATAATCCCCTGAGATGTGACAGTGGGCACCAACAGGTGGACACCATTTCAGAGACTGTGGCTAGCAGAGATGCCACAGCAGTAGAGTTTCTTACGGGAAGGAATCAAAATGCTCCTGATGACCAGAATATGTCAAAAACCAAAGCAATGGCCATGTTCCAGAGTAGTAGTCCAAGAGAGATAGAGTTTGCTGTTTGGACAAAGCGGTAAAATATGAATGACAGAGAAATAACACAATTCCTATAGAACGGACAGACAGCGCAGGCAAAACTATCCATGTTCCCGCCTAAACCAATCACTCCAGTTGCACACCCCTCCTCCACCGCTACTTCCCTGGCCAAAAACATAATTTCAGGGATTTTCCCCTTTCTTTCTTACATCACCAAATTTTCATTCTTCCCAAGTCCTTTTCTTCAAATACAAATATGTACTTATTTCTTCGACTTAAAAAACACATAAAACAAAAAAACCTTCCTGTGACCTCATTTCTCCAGCCACTATGCCATTTCTCTGTTCGCCTTTGCTGCAAAACTCAGTGCAAAAGTTTTGCCTCTATTTACCCTTCCTCTACTCCCAGTCTCTTTTTTAAGGCCACACCCATCCAGTTTTCATCCCTACTACTCCACAAAAACATTTACATTTATCACTCAGTCCGTGCTACATTTATCACTCAGTCCGTGCTGAGTTCTAATGCTGGCAACACTACAACACTGTATTTTCTAGATTTTCCTCCTCCTTCACTGGCTGCTGCTTGTCAATGTCCTTTGATGGTTTCTCGTCATCTTGCAAACTTCATAAAAGTCCATGGTCCTCTTCTTTGCCATGAGTATACTCCCTCCTGTGAAGATTTCATCTAGTCCCATAGTTTTAAATTCCATTTAGCTATACTATTTATATGTTGATGGCTGCCAAATATCTATCTCCAGGCCAGACCTCTCTTGTTTTGATGCATATGTCCAACTCCCTCCCCCACATGGCTAAGAGACACTCTAAATTTAAGCACTGATCTGCTTGCCTAGACCTGCAGCATCCTCCGTCACAATAGCTGGCAACTCCATCCATCTTTTCACTGCTCAAATATAAAATCCTGAGAGTTATTTTTGACACCTTTCTTTCTCTCACACCCTATCTTCAATCTGGCAGGGAATTCAGCTGGCTGGTCCTTCAAATACATTCAGAGTTCACCCAGTTCCCTCCATCTCTGCTGCTACCAACAGTGCAAAGAGTCTTCATTTCTCACCTGGGTTACCACTGTGGCCTTTAGGTGGTCTCACTGCTTCCATCCTTGACTACCTAAAGCCTATTTTCAATACTTAAAATTTAAAATATATGTAAGATCATGCTGCTCCTACGCACAATCCTTGTAATGGCTTCTCATTTCACTCAGAGTAGTACTCAGCATCCCTAGAGTGGCTTACCAAGACCTCCATTCCCTCTTGGTGATCCTTCAATACCCTTCCTCCTCTCGCTCACTTTACTCCAACCATGCTGGCCTCCTTGCTGTTCCTTAAAAGTGTCCCGGAGCGTCCTGCCTCCTGGCCTTTGCCCTGTGCCAGTGCACTCTACCCAGATGGCTGGTCAAACTCTTTCAACTCCTTGGAGCCTTTCCTCTAAGCTCAACTCAACAGAGCCTCCCTGGGGCATCCTATTTAAAACTACAACCTGCTCCTCTCACACTCCTGAGTCTATCTACTTTACTCCATTTCTTTTCTCCACAGTACTTACTATCTTCGAAAATTCTTTTTTTTTTTGTTTTGTTTTTTTGAGACAGAGTCTCATTCTGTCGCCAGGCTGGAGTGCAGTGGCGCAATCTCGGCTCACTGCAACCTCTGCCTCCCGGGTTCAAGCGATTCTCCTGCCTCAGCCTCCTGAGTAGTTGGGACTACGGGCACCTGCCAACACACCTGGCTAATTTTTTGGCGTTTTTAGTAGAGACGGGGTTTCACCATGTTGGCCATGATGGTCTCAATCTGTTGACCTGGTGATCTGCCTGCCCTCGGCCTCCCAAAGTGCTGGAACTACAGGTGTGAGCCACTGCGCCCGGCCCTAAAATTCTTTATGTTTATGTATTACATTCATTTATTGTCTATCTCCCCTCTCCCATTCACAACAGAACATAAACCCCATGAAAGCAGATATTTAATCTGCTTAGTTCACTGTTATATCTACAAACTCTTGTACTAGCACTCAATAAATATTTGTTGAATAAATGGAATTCTAGAAACCAAGTGAATAAATTGTTTTAAAGATGCAGTGATCCACTGTGTTTGTTAATGGTTATTGAGATCAAAAAAATTCCTGAAAGGTTTAACAAATTTAGGGAAGGATCTTGTGATGCCGAAATAATTCAAAGCATGGAATCACAGAACCACTGCTGATCATTTTTGAAGGTATCCTGACACACAGGAGAAAATGCCTGGGAGCAAATCCCTGATGTTCATAAAAGAAAAGCAACGTAAATTACAGAAATGAGGTGAATTTGGAATTGTAGGCAAAATTCTGAACAGATAATTAAAACATAGTTCATGAATAATTAGAAAGTGGTACTCACTAGAAGCTAGGAGGATCTCACGAAGAATAGGTCACATGATCCTTTCCTAACTGACTGGGGCGGTGGTAAATTTGGCTCTTGGTTATCTTGATCTTGTTTCCAAAGGTAATTTGAAAGCTGCCCAAGAAGAGAGTTCTTAAGGAATGCTTCAGTTGGGAGAAGTGGGTCCTAACAGTAAAGGGATGGGAGGATTCTTGAACAAATATCTAGTATTGTCCATAACAGGCCTGCATGCCAACATGAGGAAGGGTTGGCTGCATTAAAAGAATCAGGCTGGGAAGACACCAGCAAGAAACCTGATCAATCTTTTATAGGGCAGATTATGAAATATGTGGAATAGTGTCATGGGAACTGGTAAAGGCAATCACTGTCATTACCATTATTATCATTATCAAAATAGCAGCAAATCATTTTTGGGGGAGCATATCACTTCGCTAAAACCAGTTATAAAAGATTGACAATTTTTGAAATAACGCTTTGAGGAAAGGACTATTATTACCTTTTTGCAGATGAGGAAATCAAGGCAGAGAGGCTGAGGAGCTTTTCAGTGTCATATAAATAGTAGGTAGAAAAGCTGGCATTTAAACTTAAGCTGTAGGGCCTGCTCTTGAGCTAAAGCCCAGGTTCCTAGTTAGAAAAACATATGAACTCCTGAGGCACTAAGTAATATACAGATGTCAACATACAAGGAAGTGTCAGGAGGTATAGCTCCCCAATTCTCAACTTAGTCTTATGCTGTTGGACATTTTTTCAATGACATGCATAAAAAAAAGATTGCTTATGTAATCAAGGAAGACAAGGAACTTACAGGAATAGCTAAGATTTTTTGACGACAGAATGAAGATTCAAAAATATCTCAATAGGCTGAAATGGTGACTTAAAAATAACATTAAATTTGGCCAGGCATGGTGGCTCATGCCTGTAATCCCAGGACTTTGGGAGGCCGAGGTGGGTGGATCACCTGAGGTCAGGAGTTTGAGACCAGCCTGGCCAACATGGTGAAACCCCATCTCTACTAAAACTACAAAAATTAGCCAGGTGTGTTGGTGGGCACCTGTAATCCCAGCCATTTGGGAGGCTGAGGCAGGAGAATCATGTGAATCTGGGAGGCGGAGGCTGCAGTGAGCTGAGATCGTGCCACCGCACTCCAGCCTGGGCAACAGAGTGAGAATCTCTCTAAATAAATAAATAACATTAAATTTAATGGATAAATGTGAGATCCTGAATTTGTGTTTTACAAAAATCACCATAAATACAGCATAGAAAAGATAATACTAATTTCAATCTGTATTTCTTCTTCTATAGCCAATCAGTGGCCAAAGTCTTATCAAGTTTACCTCTTTACTATCTCTTAATCTGTTCCTTCCTCTCCATTTTCCTTCCCTGTCCCCTGATTCAGGCACTTAATGTCTCTCTCCCCTCTATCTCTATACTCTTGCTTTTCAAATCCATCTTACACAAAACTCAGAAAAATTTCCCTAAAGCACAGGTGTGCACGTGGCACTCCATGCTTAACACCCACTCAGTGGCTCCTCGCTACCTAATTTAAAAAGGCAAAGTTCCTTGAGTCTGACATTCGCGATCCTCCAGTCTGACCCAAGCTTTCCTTTCCACATCCTAGACATTTATCACTTGTTCGTGCTCTTCTTCAAACCTATGTCTAATTCCTCTTCACTCTTCACAAAGCCTAGTTCATATACTTCACTAAGCCTTCCCTGTCCTCCTTCGTAATTTCTTCCTCCCACAGCAAGGCATTTTTACCTATCTTGCCATATTTTCTGTCATGAATTAATGCTGTGGATACATGCTTTCTATTTCTTTGTCCCATATTTCCCTTTCTATTCTTCACCAAGAATATGAGCACATGAAAGGTAGAATCTTGACTGATTAATTTCTTTATCCCCACACACCCTCACAGCATCTTGGTAAATGCTCAGTAAATACCTGACAAATGCAATGATAGGACACACTAAGAAGCATTGTGTCCAGCACTGGGTCCTGAACAAGGAAAGTGATGGTGCTGCTCAACACCCAGAGTGCATCTGGGCACTTGGTGAGGCCGAGGCGGTGGGAGAATCGCTTGAGGCCAGGAATTCGATCGAGACCAGCCTGGCCAACATGGTGAAACTCCATCTCTACTAAATAAATAAATAGACAGTTGGGCATGGTGGCTTGTGCCTGTAGTCCCAGCTACTCAGGAGGCTGAGGCAAGAGAATCACTTGAACCCGGGAGGCAGAGGCTGCAGTGAGCCAAGATTGCGCCACTGCACTCCAGCTCTGGCAAAAGACTCTGTCTCAAAAAAAAAAAAAAAAAAAAAAAAGAGTACATCTGGAACACTGGGTATACTCTGGGGCACTCCTTTTTAAGATGGACACTGCCAAGCTAATGGGTAATGGAGAAAGATGACTGAGATAGTTCATAGACCAGGGCATACCAGAAACTGGGAATGTTCAGTTTAAGGAGGGAAAGCAAGACTAAATGGACTATGATAGCTATCTTCATATATTTCAAGGGCATTCATAAAAGGATTAAACTGATTTGTTATCATTCAGAGAAAAGAACTATGTCCAATGGACAGGAGAGTATCACTTCAAACAAAGAGAAAACTTCCAGATGAAAACTATTCAACAATGATCAGTCTGCTTTGCAGATGCAGTGGCTTCCAGCCACTTGACATCTTGAGAGGCAGGAACATAAATGATTGGAAAAAAAATCACCCATGATGAATATGGTGCCAAGCTGCAAGAACTTAAAACATGTCTTTCAAGACAACAACATCAATAATACAATATAAACGGCTATCAGTGGGATTTACATTCTAGAGACAACTTGACCTTATCATGGTCAGGTTACGCAACATCTCCACTATAATTACTATTTATCAACATTATTATTTGTAAGAAAGTTATTGGGTGCCCATAATCAGACAACTTACTAGAAAAAGAGGGCATGCCCTACTTAAAAAAAAAAAGCTTTATATTTAATGGAGGTTCAACATAAATTTAAAATATAATATTATTAAAATGCAATTATTTTAAAAATTTTAAACTTTTTAATATTTAAGTTTTATTTTTATTTTTTATTTTTTGAGATGGAGTCTCACTCTGTCATCCAGTCTGGAGTGCAGGGGTGCAATCTCAACTCACTGCAACCTCCACCTCCCAGGTTCAAGCGATTCTCCTGCCTCAGCCTCCCGAGTAGCTGGGATTATAGGCATACACCACCACACCTGGCTAATTTTTGTACTTTTGGTAGAGATGGGCTTTCACCATGTTGGCCAGGCTGGTCTCGAACTCTTTTTTTTTTTTTTTTTTTTTTTTGAGACAGAGTCTTGCTCTGTCGCCCAGGCTGGAGTGCAGTGGCGCGATCTCTGCTCACTGCAAGCTCCGCCTCCCGGGTTCATGCCATTCTCCTGCCTCAGCCTCCCGAGTAGCTGGGACTACAGGCGCTGCCACCACGCCCGGCTAATTTTTTTTGTATTTTTAGTAGAGACGGGGTTTCACCGTGTTAACCAGGATGGTCTCGATCTCCTGACCTCGTGATCCGCCTGCCTCGGCCTCTCAAAGTGCTGAGATTACAGGCGTGAGCCACTGCATCGGGCCTAAGTTTTAATAGTTAAAATATTTTATTCCATTCTCTTTTGGTAGATGAGACGTTGGTACTACCACTTTGGAATCTGGTTTTGTAAAACTGAAAATCCAAGACTCTAATGGCCCAGAAATTCCAATCTCAGGCAATTAACCTAGAATAGTGGCTTTTACAATTGTTATTGGTGTATCCTTTAAAATAATTTTGAAAAACTATATTCTCCTTCCCTTTTTAAGTTGACATTTAATTTTTTTAGCCTGCATTTAAATAGATGCAACAGATATAAATTTTGGCATACCCTAAAGACTGACACTGTTAAAAATCACTATTTTAAATGTATCCAATGGCCAGGCACAGAAAGACAAATATTGCATGATTTCACTTATATGGGGACTCTAAAAGAGTTGAACTTATAGAAGTAGAGGGTAGAACAGCGGTTGCTGGAGGCTGGGGGCTGGGGGATTGGGGTGGGTGTGGGGTGAGGTGGGGAGATGTTGCTCAAACCATACAAAGTTTCAGTTAGAAGGAATGCCATTTTGAGACTGATTGAACATCATGGTCACTATAATTAACAATAATGTAATATATATTTCAAAATGCTGAGAGTAGATTTTAAATGTCTGCAGCACAAAGACACACAAAGAGAAGTATGAGAGGTAATGGATATGTGAATCAGATTGAATGTAATCATTTCATAATGTATTCATATATCAGAACATCCAATTGTAGCTCATTATATAATTATTATTTGTCAATTAAAAATTTTAAAAAAGCATCCAATAGAATCTCAATGCCATAGGGATTTGATACCCTCCATTATACATTTAAAATACATATGAACAAGCTCTTCTTTAACAGCTGGATATGTTTTGCTTTTCCTTTTTCTCTTTGAATTATTATTTCTATTTCATTTCCTCACTGGAATTTATCCTAATGAAATATATTTTTATGCTTGAAATTATTTTATTATTCCATTGTAGCTTTTTACAAAAGACTATCTGTATAAATTAAAATCCAAAAACTTTAAATTTTCTGTTACCACAAGGCTAAATTTTAACTTTCTTTTGTTTGAATTGCCATTATAATTATTATTTAGTACACAACCAATTGACATAATTGTTAAGTATATGTATGATTTTAACCTAAATATAAGTTTTGATAAATAATTATTGAACATAAAAGGTTATTGGGACTGCATCTCAATGAGATGGTTGTTGTTTAATTTGTCCATGTAACTGTGGATCATTCTTCTTGCTGGAATGAGGAAGGATAAGCATTAATCTATGTTGTATTCCTCTGCCAAATTCATCTTCCGTAAACACTGCTTCCTTGCTCACTTATAATGATTCCATATCTGCTATCCAACATCTACATTTTCAGAATGTTATTTTTTTATGACCCCTTTTTAGTTGGTCTTAATCTTCCTATTCAACATTATCTCCTACTAGATTCTAATAGGAACTCTGTTCCAGTCAAACTATCTCCTCATTGTCCCCTTTAAATAGTGGGCAACTGGGCCGGGTGTGGTGGCTCATGCCTGTAATCCCAGCACTTTGGGAGACCGAGGTGGGCGGATCATGAGGTTAGGAATTCGCGACCAGCCTGGCCAACATGGTGAAACCCCATCTCTACTAAAAATACAAAAATAGCCAGACATGGTGGCGCGCACCTGTAGTCCCAGCTACTCAGGGGGATGAGGCAGGAGAATCGCTTGAACCTGGGAGGCGGAGGTTGCAGTGAGCCAAGATTGTGCCATTGCACTCCAGCCTGGCAACAGAGCGAGACTCCTTCTCAAAAAATAAATGAATAAATAAATAAATAAAATAAATAAAATAAAATAGGGGGCAACTGTCTTATTGCTTCCTCCACCCCTGCCTTTATGTTTCTCTCCACCTCCGTAAATTTCATGAGTCCAGCACATACCTCACCTGCAAAACCATTCCCGACTACAACCCCTTTCTCTTTCTTGTTTTTTGTTCCTTCTGCCCTCACAGTCTATACTGTACAAGTAGCACCTGATTATGTACTGCACTTTACCTATCTATCCTTCATTATATATCACATATAATTTAGTATTTTATTATACATTCTTTTCTTCCCTAATTGTTTCATGTCTTGTGAACCAGATTATAATTTGTTCCCATTATTAGCTTTCTTAGAGAATTGCTATGATCTTTTCCACAAGCCCAGAGAGATTTTTTTGAACCTAAGGAAGGAAATCAGAGGGATAACTAATGGTTTTCAAGTTCATAACAATGGTTTTTCATTGCTACTGATGCTGAAAACAGGGGTAACTGTTCTTTTGTGACAGTAGGAATGCTACAAATTAAATATCAGGAAGAATATATTTTTAATTAAAAGGAAACACTATTAAAGATTATTAAGAGTTTCAAATTGCTCTACTTTAAGGATCTTTTTAACCACAAGATAGACTAACCAAGATCTGGAATTTCCTTGAGGAACATGATCTTATCATTCTAGGTTTTCATGAACATCAAGGCTGACACATAATCTGAGCCATGCATTGGTAGTCCTAGTGGCTGCGTCCCTTCATCACTTTCATTCTCTCTGTTGGTCTGACTACACAAAGGTCTAGGAGGCTATTTCCATGATGCATGTTCTCATCTCTTGACAAACTCAGAGATGATCCTTTTGGAAATTAGGCTATTGAAGCAATTTCACCAATTGGAACCACCATCAGGCTCAAACGTTACTTTGCTTAGCCCCTAACAGAAGCTCTACCTGTAAGCTGCAGTGCAGGTGTCCTTGTACTCCTGGAGCTTCACGCACACCATGTTGAGGAATTGATCTGAATATGCACTCAAGTCATGCATCAGGTTCAGGAGGTCTTGAACTGTCTTCTCCACAATGATTGTGCTCTGGAAATGAACAACAAAGAGAGGATATGAGATTTCTGTAGTCAATGTGTTGGACAAGGAAGGACAACTCCAAGTATGTCATAATTTAAGGTACCTGAGCTCTCCTGCAAGAATGTGACATTTTGAAATATGAACTCAAAACAGGGGGAGGAGCCAAGATGGCCGAATAGGAACAGCTCTGGTCTACAGCTCCCAGCGTGAGCGACGCAGAAGACGGGTGATTTCTGCATTTCCATCTGAGGTACTGGGTTCATCTCACTAGGGAGTGCCAGACAGTGGGCGCAGGCCAGTGGGTGCGCGCACCGTGCGCGAGCCGAAGCAGGGCGAGGCATTGCCTCACCTGGGAAGCTCAAGGGGTCAGGGAGTTCCCTCTCCGAGTCAAAGAAAGGGGTGACGGACGCACCTGGAAAATCGGGTCACTCCCACCCGAATATTGCGCTTTTCAGACCGGCTTAAAAAACGGCGCACCACGAGACTATATCCCACACCTGGCTCGGAGGGTCCTACACCCACGGAATCTCGCTGATTGCTAGCACAGCAGTCTGAGATCAAACTGCAAGGCGGCAGCGAGGCTGGGGGAGGGGCGCCCGCCATTGCCCAGGCTTGCTTAGGTAAACAAAGCAGCCGGGAAGCTCAAACTGGGTGGAGCCCACCACAGCTCAAGGAGGCCTACCTGCCTCTGTAGGCTCCACCTCTGGGGGCAGGGCACAGACAAACAAAAAGACAGCAGTAAACTCTGCAGACTTAAATGTCCCTGTCTGACAGCTTTGAAGAGAGCAGTGGTTCTCCCAGCACGCAGCTGGAGATCTGAGAACGGGCAGACTGCCTCCTCAAGTGGGTCCCTGACCCCTGACCCCCGAGCAGCCTAACTGGGAGTCACCCCCCAGCAGGGGCACACTGACACCTCACACGGCAGGGTATTCCAACAGACCTGCAGCTGAGGGTCCTGTCTGTTAGAAGGAAAACTAACAAACAGAAAGGACATCCACACCAAAAACCCATCTGTACATCACCATCATGAAAGACCAAAAGTAGATAAAACCACAAAGATGGGGAAAAAACAGAACAGAAAAACTGGAAACTCTAAAACGCAGAGCGCCTCTCCTCCTCCAAAGGAACGCAGTTCCTCACCAGCAACGGAACAAAGCTGGATGGAGAATGATTTTGACGAGCTGAGAGAGGAAGGCTTCAGACCATCAAATTACTCTGAGCTACGGGAGGACATTCAAACCAAAGGCAAAGAAGTTGAAAACTTTGAAAAAAATTTAGAAGAATGTATAACTAGAATAACCAATACAGAGAAGTGCTTAAAGGAGCTGATGGAGCTGAAAACCAAGGCTCGAGAACTACGTGAAGAATGCAGAAGCCTCAGGAGCCAATGCGATCAACTGGAAGAAAGGGTATCAGCAATGGAAGATGAAATGAATGAAATGAAGCGAGAAGGGAAGGTTAGAGAAAAAAGAATAAAAAGAAATGAGCAAAGCCTCCAAGAAATATGGGACTATGTGAAAAGACCAAATCTACGTCTGATTGGTGTACCTGAAAGTGATGCGGAGAATGGAACCAAGTTGGAAAACACTCTGCAGGATATATTATCCAGGAGAACTTCCCCAATCTAGCAAGGCAGGCCAACGTTCAGATTCAGGAAATACAGAGAACGCCACAAAGATACTCCTCGAGAAGAGCAACTCCAAGACACATAATTATCAGATTCACCAAAGTTGAAATGAAGGAAAAAATGTTAAGGGCAGCCAGAGAGAAAGGTCGGGTTACCCTCAAAGGGAAGCCCATCAGACTAACAGTGGATCTCTCGGCAGAAACCCTACAAGCCAGAAGAGAGTGGGGGCCAATATTCAACATTCTTAAAGAAAAGAATTTTCAACCCAGAATTTCATATCCAGCCAAACTAAGCTTCATAAGTGAAGGAGAAATAAAATACTTTACAGACAAGCAAATGCTGAGAGATTTTGTCACTACCAGGCCTGCCCTAAAAGAGCTCCTGAAGGAAGCACTAAACATGGAAAGGAACAACCGGTACCAGCCGCTGCAAAATCATGCCAAAATGTAAAGACCATCGAGACTAGGAAGAAACTGCATCAACTAACGAGCAAAATCACCAGCTAACATCATAATGACAGGATCAAATTCACACATAACAATATTAACTTTAAATGTAAATGGACTAAATTCTCCAATTAAAAGACACAGACTGGCAAGTTCGATAAAGAGTCAAGACCCATCAGTGTGCTATATTCAGGAAACCCATCTTACGTGCAGAGACACACATAGGCTCAAAATAAAAGGATGGAGGAAGATCTACCAAGCAAATGGAAAACAAAAAAAGGCAGGGGTTGCAATCCTAGTCTCTGATAAAGCAGACTTTAAACCAACAAAGATCAAAAGAGACAAAGAAGGCCATTACATAATGGTAAAGGGATCAATTCAACAAGAGGAGCTAACTATCCTAAATATACATGCACCCAATACAGGAGCACCCAGATTCATAAAGCAAGTCCTGAGTGACCTACAAAGAGACTTAGACTCCCACACATTAATAATGGGAGACTTTAACACCCCACTGTCAACATTAGACAGATCAATGAGACAGAAAGTCAACAAGGATACCCAGGAATTGAACTCAGCTCTGCACCAAGCAGACCTAATAGACATCTACAGAACTCTCCACCCCAAATCAACAGAATATACATTTTTTTCATTACCACACCACACCTATTCCAAAATTGACCACATAGTTGGAAGTAAAGCTCTCCTCAGCAAATGTAAAAGAACACAAATTATAACAAACTATCTCTCAGACCACAGTGCAATCAAACTAGAACTCAGGATTAAGACTCTCACTCAAAGCCGCTCAACTACATGGAAACTGAACAACCTGCTCCTGAATGACTACTGGGTACATAACGAAATGAAGGCAGAAATAAAGATGTTCTTTGAAACCAACGAGAACAAAGACACAACATACCAGAATCTCTGGGATGCATTCAAAGCAGTGTGTAGAGGGAAATTTATAGCACTAAATGCCCACAAGAGAAAGCAGGAAAGATCCAAAATTGACACCCTAACATCACAATTAAAAGAACTAGAAAAGCAAGAGCAAACACATTCAAAAGCTAGCAGAAGGCAAGAAATAACTAAAATCAGAGCAGAACTGAAGGAAACAGAGACACAAAAAACCCTTCAAAAAATCAATGAATCCAGGAGCTGGTTTTTTGAAAGGATCAACAAAATTGATAGACCGCTAGCAAGACTAATAAAGAAAAAAAGAGAGAAGAATCAAATAGACACAATAAAAAATGATAAAGGGGATATCACCACCGATCCCACAGAAATACAAACTACCATCAGAGAATACTACAAACACCTCTACGCAAATAAACTAGAAAATCTAGAAGAAATGGATACATTCCTTGACACATACACTCTCCCAAGACTAAACCAGGAAGAAGTTGAATCTCTGAATAGACCAATAACAGGAGCTGAAATTGTGGCAATAATCAATAGTTTACCAACCAAAAAGAGTCCAGGACCAGATGGATTCACAGCCGAATTCTACCAGAGGTACAAGGAGGAACTGGTACCATTCCTTCTGAAACTATTCCAATCAATAGAAAAAGAGGTAATCCTCCCTAACTCATTTTATGAGGCCAGCATCATTCTGATACCAAAGCCGGGCAGAGACACAACCAAAAAAGAGAATTTTAGACCAATATCCTTGATGAACATTGATGCAAAAATCCTCAATAAAATACTGGCAAAACGAATCCAGTAGCACATCAAAAAGCTTATCCACCATGATCAAGTGGGCTTCATCCCTGGGATGCAAGGCTGGTTCAATATACGCAAATCAATAAATGTAATCCAGCATATAAACAGAGCCAAAGACAAAAACCACATGATTATCTCAATACATGCAGAAAAAGCCTTTGACAAAATTCAACAACCCTTCATGCTAAAAACTCTCAATAAATTAGGTATTGATGGGACGTATTTCAAAATAATAAGAGCTATTTATGACAAACCCACAGCCAATATCATACTGAATGGGCAAAAACTGGAAGCATTCCCTTTGAAAACTGGCACAAGACAGGGATGCCCTCTCTCACCGCTCCTATTCAACATAGTGTTGGAAGTTCTGGCCAGGGCAATCAGGCAGGAGAAGGAAATAAAGGGTATTCAATTAGGAAAAGAGGAAGTCAAATTGTCCCTGTTTGCAGACGACATGATTGTTTATCTAGAAAACCCCATCGTCTCAGCCCAAAATCTCCTTAAGCTGATAAGCAACTTCAGCAAAGTCTCAGGATACAAAATCAATGTACAAAAATCACAAGCATTCCTATACACCAACAACAGACAAACAGAGAGCCAAATCATGAGTGAACTCCCATTCACTATTGCTTCAAAGAGAATAAAATACCTAGGAATCCAACTTACAAGGGATGTGAAGGACCTCTTCAAGGAGAACTACAAACCACTGCTCAAGGAAATAAAAGAGGATACAAACAAATGGAAGAACATTCCATGCTCATGGGTAGGAAGAATCAATATCGTGAAAATGGCCATACTGCCCAAGGCAATTTACAGATTCAATGCCATCCCCATCAAGCTACCAATGACTTTCTTCACAGAATTGGAAAAAACTACTTTAAAGTTCATATGGAACCAAAAAAGAGCCCGCATCACCAAGTCAATCCTAAGCCAAAAGAACAAAGCTGGAGGCATCACACTACCTGACTTCAAACTATACTACAAGGCTACAGTAACCAAAACAGCATGGTACTGGTACCAAAACAGAGATATAGATCAATGGAACAGAACAGAGCCCTCAGAAATAACGCCGCATACCTACAACTATCTGATCTTTGACAAACCTGAGAAAAACAAGCAATGGGGAAAGGATTCCCTATTTAATAAATGGTGCTGGGAAAACTGGCTAGCCATATGTAGAAAGCTGAAACTGGATCCCTTCCTTACACCTTATACAAAAATCAATTCAAGATGGATTAAAGATTTAAACGTTAGACCTAAAACCATAAAAACCCTAGAAGAAAACCTAGAAATTACCATTCAGGACATAGGCGTGGGCAAGGACTTCATGTCCAAAACACCAAAAGCAATGGCAACCAAAGCCAAAATTGACAAATGGGATCTAATTAAACTCAAGAGCTTCTGCACAGCAAAAGAAACTACCATCAGAGTGAACAGGCAACCTACAACATGGGAGAAAATTTTCGCAACCTACTCATCTGACAAAGGGCTAATATCCAGAATCTACAATGAACTCAAACAAATTTACAAGAAAAAAACAAACAACCCTATCAAAAAGTGGGCGAGGGACATGAACAGACACTTCTCAAAAGAAGACATTTATGCAGCCAAAAAACACATGAAAAAATGCTCATCATCACTGGCCATCAGAGAAATGCAAATCAAAACCACTATGAGATATCATCTCACACCAGTTAGAATGGCAATCATTAAAAAGTCAGGAAACAACACGTGCTGGAGAGGATGTGGAGAAATAGGAACACTTTTACACTGTTGGTGGGACTGTAAACTAGTTCAACCATTGTGGAAGTCAGTGTGGCGATTCCTCAGGGATCTAGAACTAGAAATACCATTTGACCCAGCCATCCCATTACTGGGTATATACCCAAATGACTATAAATCATGCTGCTATAAAGACACATGCACACGTATGTTTATTGCGGCATTATTCACAATAGCAAAGACTTGGAACCAACCCAAATGTCCAACAATGATAGACTGGATTAAGAAAATGTGGCACATATACACCATGGAATACTATGCAGCCATAAAAAATGATGAGTTCATGTCCTTTGTAGGGACATGGATGAAATTGGAAACCATCATTCTCAGTAAACTATCGCAAGAACAAAAAACCAAACACCGCATATTCTCACTCATAGGTGGGAACTGAACAATGAGATCACATGGACACAGGAAGGGGAATATCACACTCTGGGGACTGTGGTGGGGAGGGGGGAGGGGGGAGGGATAGCATTCGGAGATATACCTAATGCTAGATGACGAGTTAGTGGGTGCAGCGCACCAGCATGGCACATGTATACATATGTAACTAACCTGCACAATGTGCACATGTACCCTAAAACTTAAAGTATAATTAAAAAAAATAATAATAATAGTAATAATAATAAAATAGCTCTGTGGACTCTGAAAAAAAAAAAAGAAATATGAACTCAAAACAACAACCAAATAAGTATCTTACACAGCGCTGGTCTTCCCAAGACCTGAGCAAGTTTTTTCTCTGGAAGGACACAGAATAGGGATTTTCAAGTCGCTATCATGGAATTCTTGACACTCACAAGATAACTCTGGCTTTTAAGACAGAAAATGCATATTCAGTTGGAGCCTGATTTATCACTCCAAGGCTTTTTGAGATTAGGGACCTATGACAGGCAGCACAAAGAAAAAACCTTCCATGATTTATTTTAAAAGTTTCAAAACCATCAATCTATTCAGAATAACAACTAACATTTGTATTGTGTTTTACAGCTTGTAGAATGTTTTCACATACACAGCATATGTTATCTCACTTGAGACTCACATAATAATCATGATAATCATGAACATTTAAAGGGTTCTTACAAGTGCAAAGTACAATGATAAGCACTTTGGATATTTTATTTTGTTTAATCCTCTCAACACCCCTATCAGGTGTATCCTATAATCATCCCCAGTTTAAAGATGAGGAAACAAGCTTAGAAAGATGAAATAAATAAAGAAGGAGCTCCAGGCTTTGCTCCTCTAAGTATACCATTCTGCCTCAGAGCCAGACCGGAGTTCTGCTGCCCACAGTGCATTTTCTCACGAGATTACAGTGTTTCATATTGCTGTCACCACTGTAGGCGCAGGGTCCAAACACACTCAGACATATTTTAAAACTGAATTAAAAAAACTATCTGAAAGGAAAAATAAGCCCATCTTAAAGCTAGATGCCGACAGCACTGTGCAGCAAATCAGTGTTATATCTGAAAAAGACGCATAGTCAACAAATTCTAAATTTTTTATTAAGAAAAGACTGAGTTGTTTAAACCATTAGTTCATGCCTCTTTCAAAAGAAGCAGAAATACACTGGGGTAAATATTAATCACAGGCTGAGCAGCTTGGAATCCTTCGGTCAATAACTGGTTTGTTGATTTTGTATTTATATAAAATTACATAGGCTATGGTAAGCTTAGCCATAAAAGTATGCTTAAAAAATACTTTTCCAGTCTTGACAGTGAACTATGAATAAATCAAAGGCATTTTTATTATGCTTAAATACAGATTATGGGGTACAGGGTTTTGGCTAATTATTTTCTAAAAGAATAAACAAAGGTGTATAGCTCTTCTCAACACAATGGATTAGCTTGAATTACGAGTTACACTTGCATGCTTATTCAAGAAGATTTGGTGGTAGAAGTTTCTTGTCATCTTTCCCCTTCCCCTCATTTTTCCCACCCCAGTAAAATAATCAGAAGGTGAAAAGGAAGGAGCAGCTATATTCTATAAGGCAAACCTCATAGGAAGCCAAATTACAGTCTCTATAGAATCCCCAGAAGTTCAACTTCCTTTTCTGTATTGATTTTGAGATTAAAGCACTGCAGCTTCACCCTGATCCATAATCCCATTCCTCTGTATTTGTGTGTGAGTGACAGGAATTGATTCTGCCTGGCTACACGTCCCTACGCTAAGAAGAATTTAAAATCCTCATCCTGATTCAGAACACAGGATATCCTACAACATGTGGGCAGCAATTAATAAAGGAGACTGGAGTTCAGCCATCCTAACAAAGCCTGTTTAAAATCTAAAACATTGCAGGGAAGATGAGCATGAGGAGATGCCTCTGATTATTGGGAGAAAGGGCCTTGTTCTGGTCCCAAGTATGCTATTGATAACTATCTCTGGGGTAGGTTTGGGTAGCCCCTTCCTTTCTTATGACTCAATTTAGTTCTCTAATAAACAAGGATAATTGGATTGCTCCTTTACTCTGTTGGCCCCCATGACTCATGCATTAAATTTGTGTACTGGTACTTTCACACTGGGCGAATACTGTGTAACTGCTCTCAAGTCATCTCAGGTGTATTTCGTCTTTCTGAATAGATTATCAGCCTCTCAAGAGGGATCAGCATTCCTCTTTTCTTTTTGTCCATCTCCCATCCTTCCCTTCCCTCAGTTGTTTATAATCTCTCAGGATTCTCAGGACAATACGATTAATAAAAGAAACTAGATTAATGTTAATACACAGAATAAATCTCAGAATGTCATATATATGAGGGATTTTAGACACAGACACCTTGCATTTTGAAATCTCCTTGGGTGGTTTGGGTTTGGTTTGTATTTATTGCAGAGCTTTCAGCTGACGAGAATTGTGCTGATAGCATTTGGAGGGGAAGGGATGACTGCGAACACCTCTGCATACCCACTGGAGGTCAAGGTTTTGGGGATGAACAGGAAGTACCAGCAGGGAATGATTAGAATGCCATGGTTTAATTCTAATGGTTGTGCTCAGTGCAGAGCCTCTGTGATGCTATATGATTACACACAATTTTCCAGCTATTCAGTTGGTTTACCTTGTCATGGTAGCACTCTGGATAATCAATCACTACATTCTCTTCAAGAAAAATGACACTGTAGTTTGCCAAATGATGGGTATTTTTACAGGGAAAAAAGTTTCCATTTTTCAAGAATTTATAACAATTTCCAAATCAGTGGCTCTGACAGATAAATGTTGAAAATATCAAATTTCTAACAAGGTCAATCCTGTTTTTATTTATTTGATCTCTTTAGCAATGCAAATAATTTACTGACACATTATTAATTTTGAGATTTGCTAATGTTGACTATAATGACTTTATAATAAGCAAAACCCTGATTTTCTTCATTATAATTTCTATTAAACAAATCATAAATGATTGATATTTGCTTAGAAACAACTCAATTCACATTTCTTGCAACTTATTACCAGGTAATAAAGTCTGTGCATGACATGAAAAATGAGAAAAGAAAAAATAAATCCCAGGACAGTTGATGTAATAAAAAAAAACATTGCTGTGGAAAATAAATACCTAAAGTTTATTACAGGGATACGCTGTTAATCTAAAGTATAAAGTGAACCAGTTGTTTGGTTCTGCACTTAAAAAAATTTAATCAGTGAATGAATAAGGATGATTGTACCTTTGAGAACTAGTCCACTGTTTGCCAGAATGGGGCTCTGCCTCATGATACTAATATTCTGTTACAGAAAATTGGCTCCCGGTCCACATAATTTGGAAAATACTGAATCAAAGAAAACCGAAGTGGTGTTTTTACTGGAGGACTTCAGAAACCTTTAATATGCTGGAGTCTTGATGAGTCTTAAAGAGGCCAATGCAGTATTCAGTCTTCCCTTAACTATCAAAGTAATGAAACCATTGTTCATAGCCCATCTTTTCACATCTACTGGACAGTGTTTCATGGTTTGGGAACTTTCCCTAGTTCTCTGGTTATACTAACGAGGCCCAATGACATGCTTAAGGACACATGAGGAGTACCACTGTGAACAGGGTGAGCTTGAACAGGCCTCTTACTTCTCGATCCTTCCTACTTAGCCCCTTCCTGAGCACCAAGCCTCTTCAGTTCTGCCTCCTGCCTACCCCTCTCTAGGCTTCTCTCTCTCTTTTTAAAAGTTTTTTTCTCTATTAAAATTATTATTATTGTTATTTTCCTCTATGCTTCTCTCCAGTTCCTCTGAACATGCCCATCTCTTGCTCCAACCACACTAAATTACGAGTGACTCCTTGCCTGCACCAGGCTAATTTCTGCCTCTGTGCCTTTGTGCCTCCTCATCTTAGTGTCTGGAATACTATTCCTAGCTCATGACTCTCATCTTTGAAGAATCAGCTCAAGGGTTACCTGCTCTGATTTAAATGTCCCTTCTGTGCCACCAGAGGACCCTGGCATTTTGGCCCACACTCTCACTGGAGTGTGGTAATCACTGGTTCAATTGGCTATCTCTTCCACTAGGCTGCTAATTCCTGTTGATCAGTGACTGTGCCTTCCTATCTCTAACACCTTGCAAGGTATCTGGCATATTGCAGGTGCTCAATAAATATTTGTTAATTTAATGCACATGCACAGCACATTCAGAATAGGGTGAAAAGAGGGAGAGTATAATTGGAGTAGTGGATAAGAGCCTGATCTGGTAAGGTGAAATCAGACCACTAACTCCTTATTACTACACTGTATCTTTTTTTTTTTTTTTTGAGACGGGGTCTCACTCTGTCACCAGGCTGGAGTGCAGCAGCGCGATCTTGGCTCACTGCAACCTCCGTCTCCCGGGTTCAAGTGATTCTCCTGCCTCAGCCTCCCGAGTAGCTGGGACTACAGGCGCGTGCCACCACACCTGGCTAATTTTTGTATTTTTAGTAGAGACGGGGTTTCACCATGTTAGTCAGGCTGGTCTCGATCTCCTGACCTCATGATCCGCCTGTCTCGGCCTCCCAAAGTGCTGGGATTATAGGCGTGAGCCACTGCGCCTGGCCACTATGCTGTATCTTAATTCCCATGGTTCTAAGGACTGAACATTTATTGTGGCTGAAAGTCTTGGGTATTTCTACAATAGTACTCTTAACTTCACCTGATTGTATTATTTTCTATAATGGCAATTCATTATATATGTATATATAACTGAATATGCTCATTTTAACGTTTTAAGACATAAATTCTCAATTCAAAATGTGCTGATTTTAAAGTTTTAAGACATAAATAAATTCACAATTCAGAAACAAAACCAAAAGCAAAACAACTTTAGTTTGCCGAATGCTCTGTATCTGTACTGTTTTAGCTCCTGAGAGGACAGTTCAGAGATGCTGCTAAGAATCTAAGGTTCTATATGGTCAGAGAAATATGTCTATGACTTCAGACACACATCTCCAGCACCATCACACACGCGCGCACACACACACACACACACACACACACACACACACACACAGAGCATAGGGCAAGCACACCTGAGAGCAATAATTTAAGCATCTCCTTAGAATGATCCTGTGTGGCTGATGCACCTGAATGTGTGTTCTGAGCTAGGTAATTTGGGAGTGGCTAACCTGGAGATTCCTTCCTTATCTAGGATAAACATCTGAGGCCCTTGGCCGATTTCATGGAACACCAGCCATATGGGGGATTGAGGCCCCGAGTTTTGGGTTACATTAAGGTTGCCAGGTGGAGGTCGTTGGTGCGAGGGTGGTAAGTGGAAATGCTCTATAAACTGCATGATGTTTGTAGGTGGTTGCGGTTTTCCTGCCCAGCCCGCCCCCACTGGACTCTCTCCCCTGTATGTAAGCCCATAATAAAACGTCATGTCTTATCTGCTGGCTCTGGGTCTCTTCTTTGACCTCTTGAACCTGGTGCCTTTCCTATTGAGGTTAACAAGGGTTTGGCACAACAAGAAGCAATCGTGAAAACGGGGCTTCACAAATGTTTCATGACAATAATGGTTTTGTTTATTGGGGCATATTCAATGACAAGTCAGTAAAACTTGTCATATCATATTGTCTCTCCAGTTACTATCAGCTCTAAGCTGTAGCTGGCTGTAAACAATGATAATAACTATGAAAACGACAGTAATGATAGAAGCCAAAAGGAAATATGCTTTCCATTTTTTAATCTACGCTTTGATTTGTGTGATGTTTAAACTGTTATGAATGTGTCCTGTTTTTACTAAGATGACTTGCAAAAGGCTATACATCCAAGAGCTGGTGCCTGAGGAACTGCCACCTCTGCTCTCTTCCAAATCAGCCTCCACCCTGAACGCAGAGTAATCTTTTTGAAAATTCTACCTCCCACAGAAATGAGTGTTCATGTCAATCAAAAGACATGAACACAAATCTTCACAACAGTTTTATTTATTTATTGCAGCTCTAGCTTAATTTTTTTTTTCCCCCTGAGATGGGGTCAGACTGGAGTGCAGTAGTGTGATCATAGCTCATTGCAATCTCAAACTCCTGGGCTCAGGCAATCCTCCCACCTCAGACTCTCCAGTAGCTGAGACTACAGGCAGAGGCCACCATACCAGGCTATTTTTTTTTTTTTTTTGGTAGAGATGGAGTCTTGCTATGTTGCCCAGCCTGCTTAAAACTCCTGGCCTCAAATGATCCTCCCACCCCAGCCTCCCAAAATGCTGGTATTACAGACATGAGCCACTGTGCCTGGCCTAATCATTTTATTTACAAGAGCCAAAAAAAAAAAAAAAAGCAATTCTCATGTCAATCAATAAAGTGGGCAAAGTGGGCAAAGAAATTGTGGTATACTCATACAATGGAAGACTGCAGAATAATAAAAAAGACAAGCTACTGCTACATGCAACACGTGGATGAACTGTGCAGCTCTTAGGCTGAGTCAAAGTAGTCTGACCCAAAGGTGCACAACTGGATAATTTTGTTATTATTGTAGTTCAAAATCAGGGAAAAGTAACCTCTGGTGATAGAAGTCAGAATAGTGGCTACCCTTAGAGAGGGTATTGACTGGGAAGGAGAGGACATTCTAGGTGCTGGAATTTTACTGATGGAATAGCTGTTGTGTTAGTAAAAATGTATGGAAAAATTCTTTGTGCTTAAGATTTACGCACTTCAGAATTTGTAAGGTTAACATCAAAAGAAAAAAATTTAAAGTTATGTCCGTTCGTGGGATTAGAACTCTTTAATGGATGAGGACTCACATTGCTCAGATAACTCATAAGGCCCTTAATGACATGGCTTCTGTCTACCCTTCCAGCCCCATCTCCTACCATTTTCTACTTCCCTCTCTATGATTCAGCTACCTGGGGCTTCTTTCAATCTTCATTACCATTTCAGGACCTTGTACCTTCCTGCAATGGTGTTCCTTGTCTTCCTTCCCAACAGTACTTTTGTTTCTCTTTCGGGTCTTAGCTAGCATATCCTTTCTGTGGGAAGATTCTCCCTAACCCTCGTACCAGATTAGGTCTTCCTGTTATAAACACCTAGAACATCTTCTATTTCTTTGTTACAACATTTAGCATACTTATAATTGCTTGTTTAGGGTCTGCCTTCCCCAGTGGTCTGTGAGATTCCAGAAGGGAGGGACAATTACTCAGGACCTGGAACATAACAGGTACTCAATAAATATTTCTTAACTGAGTGAGTAAAGTTAAGTACATCCTATATTAAGATCAATTCATCACCTATCAGAAGGCAGAGAAAGGACAAAAAGCAGGTCTAATGCTATGCTCTGTAGTTTGGTTCTCAAACAAAACTTTATGTTCAAGGCCAAGTCTAGAAATAACCCAAATGTCCATCAACAGTAGAGCAGATAAATAAAACTGTGACATATTCATACAATGAGATACTACAGAGCAATGAAAAAGAGCAAACTAGCAGTTAACACAAGAATTCACATGGAAAAATATCACAGACATAATGCCGAATGAAAGTAGCCAGTCACAGAAAGATATATACTGTTTGGTCTCACTTATGTGAAGGTCAAGATCAGGCACAGCTAATACACGGTGAGACAAATCAGAATAGTGGTTATTTTTTTTTTAGAGCAGTGTGGGGAGGATATTGACTGGGAAAGGCATCTGGTTGGTGGTTACATGAATGCAGGTTAAGCCTCAATTTTAAACAATTTATTTCCAACCATTGTTACAAATAGGCACCTCTTTGAAAACCTTTAAGAATACAATCCTTAGATGTATTGCTATTCTAATACAATGGTTTTTACTTGTGATATATTTTTAAAATGTGAAGACATAGCAGTATTGTTGGCAATACTACTACTGACTACCAGATGAAAACTGTTCTGGAGAGGATAGGAAGTTGTTTGGGGAAACAGCAGGGAACTCAGCTAATTGATTAAATATATAAATAAGTAAGTACCTTCTCTATACCAAACACTAGACTAACTTCAGGAGATACAAAGCCAGATAAGATTCTTGCCCTCCAACAATCTTAGATACTAGCAAGATAAGAAAATAAGTTCACGAATAAGGACAATAAAATGTCCTAGGTGCTATGATGGGCATCTGCATATTGTACAGTAGAGGCACAGAAGAAGAAAGAGTTAATTGGACTGGGGTGAAAGGCAGAGAGACAGAGGTGAGAAGGAAGAATGTATAACTGAATTGAGTCCTGCAAGATAAATAATTGCAATTTGTAGAAAGAACAAAGATGGAAAAAGAGCACTTCAAGTAGATGCAGCATTATGAACATGAAACAGCATGGGATTCAGGGAACTGAGAGTGGTTGTTCATGGCTGGGGTGAAGGGGGTATGTGGGGGAGTGGGGTTGGGGGGGTATGTATGCGTGATCAGGTGGGAGGGCTCAGTGAGGCAGTCAGAAGCCAAGTCATGAATGTCCTTTTATGACATACATACATACACACACAGAGTACTTGAACATTTGGAATATCACTCATTTCCAGCAAGAAAATATAAATAATTAATTCAACCTGATGTCACTAATCACTAGATGATCCACTTCAAGTACAGAAGATAATTTCAAAAAGTTTCACTGTTCAGAAAAGATGAATATACTTATATAACAAACAAACTCTGAAGCTCTGTTTGTCAGGCTAAAGAGTTAGGCAGAATTTACAAACAGGCTTAAAGAAAAAATATGAGGTCAAATTTTAGACAATCAAAAAAACTATATGCCTTTAGAATTCACATAAGCTACTGTTAAACTTATTTGCCAATAAAAACATGGAAAATGTATATGATGTAAATTATCAATAATATATATTTTTAACATTTTGGGTAGAAATAAATTATCGTTGAATAAAATCTGTGACGAACATAATCTTATAAGCACAGCTGTCTCTTTATGAGGCTTATTTGGGGGTTTGTGATTTCATATCCACAACAAAACAAAACAAAACAAAACATAACAGCAGGAAAGGGAGAAAAAGTCTACAACAGTTGTGCTTAATTAGACCATATGATCCCAGGGGCCATCTTTCTTTCCCTAGCTAATATTACATAATAAGGTAGTAATTGTTGACTTACGTATTTTGAATCAATGCAACTCTACGGCTAAGTTGTCAATACCTCTTGATATGTAATGGAACTCATTACATATGGGTAGAAATAGATCAATGAATAGGAAAGCATTAGCATTTATAAGAAATATCCCCAACACCCTCCTTTCCCAACACATACCCATGCACACTTCAAAAGCACCTTAAGGCTGTTATTCAGCTAAATAGAAGATGCTACATGTTAGAGAAGATATAGAAATATAACAATGACATTAGCAGATACTGGCCTAGCAATGTTCTTGGTAAAAAGCATGGGCTTTTCTTTTCAGGGGTGATGGTAATCTACTTGGGAAAACATCAATTAGAACAGGAAACAGTGATAGTCCAAGAGAAGAGGGAAGTGAGTATAAAAGACAAGGTAAGGGAACAGGAATAAAAAGGTGGGGGAGCCTGAACTGGGATCTGGAGGACGGGGAGGTTTGGATACTTAGAGAGGCAGAGGCAAGGTATTCAGGCAAGGGAAAAGGTGTAAGTGAAGGCTGGGGATGAAGGATGAGCTGGTCATGTGTAGCAGTTAGGAGACAAGTGTGGCTGGAGAAGGGAATTTCTGTCAAGGAATCGAGAAAGGGTTGAATGGATGGGGGTGCCAGCTTGTGGAAGGCCTGAAAGACAGACAGGCTGAGGGTTTTCTGCAGCTGGACAGAAGCAGGGCAGTGTATTTGGTAGCAGAGCTCAGGATCCTAATTCTAGAGCTGAAAACAAACCTTATTATCTAGTCTAATTCTCTGGCTTAAAAAAGAACCATAACAAATATTAAAGGGCGTGTCAAAGATATTAAATATATAGATAGTCTATGATACTTCAAAATCTAGAATCCAGCTCTGTGAGTCCCTCTGGCCAAAGCTGATGATTAGCACATCAGAAAGAATAAATTATTACAGGTAATTACACGTAATGAAAAATATGAAAAATCAATGAAGAGAGAAAGTCAGACAAAACTCATTTGTCACCATTTAAGGTGGCTATTAAAACAAAATTGTCTTTGAAATTTGGTAAATAAAAAATTATGCATTTGTGCTATCTTTCAAGTAGGAATTATATTTCAGCATTACCAAATTCAAAAAGTCCTATTTTAAGGAAGAATACCAGCTAATAAATGTAGAAAAAATAACATAATTACAAAATAAGGCAGGATGTGGTGGCTCATACCCATAATCCCAGCACTTAGGGAGGCCGACACGGAGAGTTGCTTGAGCCCAGGAGTTTGAGACCAGCCTAGGCAACATGGCAAGACCCTGTCTCTACAAAAAACAGAAAAATTAGCTGGATGTGGTTGTGTGTACCTGTAACCCCTGCTACTCTGGAGGCTGATGTGGGAGAATCGCTTGAGTCCAGGTGTCCCAGGTAAGCTATGATTGCACCAATACTCAAGCCTGGCGACAGAGCGACACTCTGTCTCAAAAAAATAAATAAAAAATAACCATTTTGTGGCCCCTAATAAAACAACTGATTCAAGTAAAGGTTATCCATTGGTACTAAGACAAAATGAAAATTGAGGCCAGGCGCAGTGGCTCACCCCTGTAATCCGAGCACTTTGGGAGGCCAAGGCAGGTGGATGACCTGAGGTCAGGAGTTTGAGACCAGCCTGGCCAACATGATGAAACCCCATCTCTACTAAAAATACAAAAATTAGCCAGGCATGGTGGAGCACACCTGTAGTCCCCAGCTACTCAGGAGACTGACGCAGGAGAATCACTTGAACCTGGGAGGTGGAGGCTGCAGTGAGCCAAGATCGCGCCACTGCACTCCAGATTGGGCAACACAGCAAGACTTCGTCTCAAAAACAAACAAACAAACATAAAAAAAACAAAATGAAAGTTGACCAGGAAATTGCAGAAATGAACATCCACATAGGGTCAATGTTATAGAACATCAATTACTTCCCCACAACAAAAATCAAACTACACAATGGAGGGATTAGAAGGTCACAAGCCTCATCCAGGGGTCGAGCTTGGCCTAATTAATGTAAGGAAGCCAGCTCTTACAGGTCTATGGATGAGATAGAATATGAATATAACACCATCTATGATATATTCTCACTAAAAACATTTAACTTCAATCTAATCAAGCTTTCAGACCTAACTTCTAGTAACAGGAAATAGAGGAAGCAATCAGACAAATACAGAAGATGGAACATGCCACAGCATGGCTGGCTGGTTCCGTTCACTGTATCACTGTCATGAAAAATGTGACTGTTAGGGATTAAAGAGACTTAAGCCACATAACAATTATGGTCCTAGATGGAATCCTAGTTTGAACAAACCAGCTGAAAAGGACATTTCTGGGACAATGCATCTGGGAAAATGCAAAATTGACTACATATTAGAAATATGGAGATATTAGAAACTTTTTCTAATTGTGATAGTGATAATGCTATCTTGATAATGCATTAATGATAATGAAGAAAATGCTCTTGCTCTGCAGGGAAGTAAAATTAAAGTATTTCAGTATAAAATAGCTTGAAATCGTGCCTTAAGCAATTAGAAAACCAGACAAAATATAGGAAACAGTAGTTTCAGACACCAGAGATGAAAAACAAATGACGTGAGCCCTCTGAGTGCCCCAGCTGAAGAGTTTCTGGGCCATGATGCAGGAAGAAGGGACCTGGACAGAGCCTGGCAGTCTTCTTAGGTTGAGGAGACAGAATTTGGAGTTTTGGAAGACCAAGGCAGCTACAGTCTACTGTGGCAAAATACTGAAGAGTGGGGAGCTTCGCAAAGAGAGAGGAGGGTGGGGAGAGAAAGAGAGCACATGTGTGCAAACGGGAGCATGTGTGAGCACAAGATCTGTGTAGATCTTCCGTGTAGAACCTTCGGCCAAGTACTGTTCTGTGTGAAGGACACTACTGAGGCCAGAGAGGACTACCTCAATGGAGCAGGCAGAATAATCCCAGAGTTCACACAGGGCAATGAATGGTCCATGTTCCCACTAGCTACAGTGGAAGAACCTCCTAATAGATAGGGTGTCAGGTAGTGTTCAAAACAATATTGTCTCAGTAGCGGGGCCAAATTAGCCTTAGAGTAAAAGCTACTCTGGACCTGTCTGATAAAGCCTAGAAGCAAGGTTGACATGATGAAAATAATTCTAAATAGCTTAAATGTGTTCCCAAAGTTCAACAATATTTAAAGAACTATAACAACATCCAGCACTTAACAATGTAAAAAAAACCTCGCATGTCTAGCATCCAATAAAAACATTACCAGGCATATGGAAATAAGTTGGAAAATATATGAGGAGAAGTAAAATCAGTTAAGAGAAACAGACCCAGGGATGACACAGATAATAGACAAGGAGGTTAAAACAGCTATTAGGAATAGGGTCCTATGTCTAAAAACAGAATGGAAAATATAAACACGGCAGAAACAGGAATGGAAGACACAGCAATAGAAACTATTCCAAATAAAACACAGACAGAAAAAATGATTAAAAAAAAAATAGGAGAGTCAGCGAACTGCGAAACAATATCAGGCAGCTTAATATACACACAACTGGGGGTGGGGGGTGCAGAGAAAATATAAAAAGATATAGTGGCTGGAAATTTTCCAAATTTGATTTGAAGTATAAGCCCACAGATTCAAGCAGCTCAATAAATCTCAAATGGAAGATAACAAAAACTATAGAAAGTCACAAATAATCGAATTGCTGAAAATCATCGATAAGTAGAAAAATCTTAAAAACAGCCAGAAAAACAAAACAAAACAAAACAAAAAAGAAAGAAAGAAATGAGATTTGAAAGGAAAAAGAAGAATCTAGGCCTTTTGAGTCCCAATTTGATTTTCTCTTTACCACCCTATACTGTGCCCCCTCCCTGGGAAAATGGTACTCGATGAAGACTTGGCAGACACACTGGGGTGGCCTGGAGAAGTAAGAGTTCACAGTAAGGCATCTGACTAAAGCCCTGGCAGTAGTCTAGGGTGGCTTGCACTGTGGTACCATGAGAAAAAAGAAGATCCAACAGAGAAAAAAAGAAGTAGAACATAGATCAAAAAAAGAAAGAAGAAGAAAAATGAAGGAAGAAGAAGAAGACGATGAGTAAGCGTGATAAAAGCTAAGCTAAGAAACATAAGAGTTCCTTGGATCATGTATGGACATTTGGCCTTTAAGAAAGAAACCACCTACTCACATCCTCCAATGAAGAAAGAACAACCTGGGAAGACTCACTCGAGGTAATGATGTCCCCTGAAATTTTATTTCCCAGTTGTATATTTCCAAATATTATTTTCCTGCTCAAAGGGCCCAATATGATTCCCTGCTCTACAGTCTACACACACACACACACACACACACACACACACACACCTCTTCATTCTTTTCCTTAGCCTAAGCAATATGAGTTAATTTTTTAAATGTAACTTACTAAAGGAAAAATATTAATAGCAAGAAGCCATATAAAAGTTAAAAGACATGAAAAGCCACAAATATAGATGAGCTTATAGCAAACAGATATGCCTACCTACCTATCTGTGAATCCATCCAATATTTATTGATCACCTACTATGTGCCAGGCACTGCTACTATGCTATGCTCTCGAATACAACAGCAAAACAGTTTATACTGTTATGACTGAAACTCAGGCAGACTGAATCCAGAGCCCGTATCTTAACCACTATTTTTTGTTGTTTCCAGTAAAAACAAAAAGCAGTAACTTCAATCTTTTCAGGTAGTCCATGATGCCAGGTGTATCATGGTAGACATGAATGAAGACTGCTTGTGGAAGAAGGTTATTGTGACCTTCCTCAGATGACAGTTTCAATGGTGGGACTAGTGAGGCCAAAGCTAGGTTTACAGGAAGCTGTGAAGGTAGTGTGTGGTACAGGAAGAAAGACTGTCATTGGAGACATTCTTCAGTGAAAAAAAGGTGTGAAGTAACTCAGCAAGTGGATAGGATGGTGTCAGGACAGGAAGTGAAGACTGGACCCTCCTGATCATCAGTAGACCATTCTATGTGACCAGCCTCGGGAAGCACAGGCCACTCCAATGCCAGCAGCCAAGAGACAGTTCGTGGGCAGTTTTAGGCCAGCGAGATCTCTTCTCTCTTTCAACATTCCTCAAACCCTGCCCTCTAAATTCACTCAGAACTGATACCTAAGACAAAAGGATAGACCAGAAGGACATACGATTGTCATACAGGTACAGGCCAATAATCCAACCTGTCTTCAAACTTATCTTTCTGAAATTATTTTAGCATAGGTTTCCACGCCTGCTAAAAACAACACCATAGCATTTCCTAACACCCTTCTTCCTCAGAACTCAGAGTACTTGCAAATATCTCAATCAATACCCAAACAGACTGTGAGAAACTAGAGCAGTCATTATCATCCCTATTTTATCACAAGTCTCACACTTAAAGCCATTTCAAGGAACAAGTATAACACTAGAAAAAAGTTTTCAAAGAACTCCAGAATATCAAGCTGCCACCAGAGGTGGTCTGAAATGCTTTCATTTCTTCATGTATCTCAGATTCGCATTCCACACCAACTAGTTTGTCATGTCGCAAAGCATCTGTAGTTACAGAAGCTCCTCTTGATGTAGCAATGTTATTTAGACATTTTATGTGATTATTTTGTCCTTTTAAAGATTACATGTCCTCAGCCACTCCTTTAGAGCCAATAAACAGCCCCCAAAATTCACAGAGGAGAACCTTTACTATTCCTTTTGCTAGCAAAGGTGAGGTCTATTCAGCAGGAGGCTCCAATAACCCACAATGGGGCATGATTCATTAGGAAAGAGATACAAATGTATCAATCAACATGTCAGAGGAGGAAGTCTGGTTAGATGCAGTGGGAGATGCATACTACATATACATTTGTTCCGCTATGTGCAGGCTCACCTGTCTTTGGTGGTTCACACCACATAATAATCAATTTTGCTGACAAGTTTCCCTACAAATTGTTTCAGCCTCAGTTACGCGTGCACCTCAGAGGTGAGATCTGGAGCCCTCTAAGGGGGAGAATGGCAGGGAGCTTGGCTTCCAGTAAAATAGAACATATGGAACTGTTTGAGGGAGAGAGTGTGCAAGCAAGTGTGCCAGTGTACACACACAAGGGAAAATTTGTTCAGGAGTGGAGATTCAACTTGGATATGCCTCCTACTGGGAGGGACAATAACACTTGAGAAGAACTAATGAACTTTCAAAGCAGTTCTTGTTTTTAACAAAACTGGTTGTTGCGAACCCAGCATTCTAGCTCATTCCAAAAATAAATTTAACTGCTTTATATGACTTTTCCATGCAGAGCAAAACAAAATGCACCACTGGGCAAAAATCAAATAGCTAGCCAACAGGAGACCTGGGCTCCAAACATAATTTTAACATTGACTTTGAGATATTGAACAAGTTGCTCTCCTTTTCTTCATTTGCAAGGGTTATGATATTCTTTATGAACCATGGTGATATCTCCAGCCTTCCCACCATAAAGTAACCTTAGGCTTTAACATAACTGTCTCCCTGAGTTTAGGAGATGAGTCATATTTCCTAGATTTTAGTTATCAAAGCACATAATTTGTCAAGAGATAGGCCAATATGATACTGGAAATCACTAGAATGCATTCTGATTAACTAAACTCAGTGGCATCCTGCCCAAGTTTATATGAAAGGAACAGTAACAGTACCACCCATGTACTGCCCAGGGAAGCAGCTTTTCTCCCAAGTCCAAGAACAGTTAGTGGTTAAAAATCAGAATATCAAAGCTTTGCTAAGTTTCCCTTTGAGACAATCTCTTCACACAGGAAACACCTACACCCTGGGAAGGAGACAACCAACACTTAGAATGTACGATAGTTTTCAAACTTTCAGATTTCACCAACCAGGAAAAAAATATGGACGAATATAGCTCCAATTTTTCATTTTATCAAGTTAGAATGTTTAAAACAAAACAAAGCAAAGGGAGATTATCTATATTACCACTGTTTTCATAAAATAATGGCGACGTTTTAACACCAAAAACAGGAGGAAAATAACATCAGCAAAAAGGACAGCCTCTTCTAAGAAAATAAACTTAACATCTTCACACTTACCCTGCCTCACACACATCCACACTACCCACTACTTTGACGTCACTTTCCCCATTTTCTGAGGATCACATGCTGGACTGGCTGCCCCAGGTAAGTGAACAGGCTTTTGTGAACCATCCTCTAGGAGGGAGGTGTGAGGTATCATTAACAGAGTACACATTTCACAGATGACTATGCCTGATGAGACATATGCCGAAAAACAACGTTTGACCGTTGTGATTGTTTTCAACTTGGGGTGAGGCAGAGGAACTTTTGCTTTTATTTGTATTTATTTACTTTTAGAGACAGGGTCTGACTCTGCCACCTAGGCCAGAGTGCAGTAGTACAATCAGGTGCACACCACCACAACTGGCTAAATTTTTTTGTAGAGATGGGGTCTCACTATGTTGCCCAGGCTGATCTCAAACTCCTGCCTCAAATAATCCTCATACCTGGGCCCTCCAAAATGCTGGGATCATAGGCGTGAGCCACTGTGCCCAACTGAGCTTTTGCTTTTAACTGAAAAGTCATTCTACCAAACCAGGCTTTCTATTTTCTCAAGTCTGTCACTAGACTGCGGAGGAGAACAGAGATAGGGTCATATGTTTTAAAAAGCAGAGGAAAGAAAACATACAAAGACTCGGTTATCATGATTTTATCTTTAGGCTATTAAGTATGCATTTCTTAAAATATAAAATTAATATGAGATCCAAAAGTGTTAAATGAAATTGTTCAACAGCCTCTTACTGTGGGTTACTTAGGAGGGATTTTAAGAACATGCAGTTATAATTTGGAAACACATTCTAATGATTCATAAAATTACCACAGTTCCCATGTAACTGAAAACAATAGAGCTCACCGCAAAATATAGACAGAGCATTCAAATCATTTTAATGGTTTCTCATTTTTTTCTTTTAAACTCTCTGCTCCTTTTATCACTAAGATTTTTTTTAAATGAAAAGTAAAATGTCCCTGCTGCCCATTTTCTTCTTTTATTGTTTCCCTTTTGTTCTAGCAATGAGGGTAAAATTAAGTGCCTAGACCACTAGAGATTTCCAGATGGTCAGACAAATGAGTACTTCAGCTCCCGGCTTGCGTTTTTGATAGATATGGACACACATCTCTCACTCTGTCCCCATGGCTCTTGTTCAATACACAGTTGATTTAGCCTAAGTACCTTAAATATGTGGCTACCACATTTCTGCCTTGGATGAAGACCAAAATTGAATTAACTGCTAACATCAAAATGGGAACTTTCTATGCATTTATAAAAAATATCCCTTTATTTTCCTGGGGTTTATATTTGAAATAAAATACTAAAAGCTAATATTATATATATTTTAATCTTTGCAGATTATTTTGAAATGTAATTTTCTTCTTATTTGTCTCCCTTCCTGATCCCCACCTTTCCTCCAGTTCCTTTCATTGACTCTTTTCCTAGTTCCCGAGAACTGTCACACCATTGCTGTGATACAACCCCAGGCCATTTTGCCTCTTCTTTTATTCTCATGTGTTCTGTTGCTGTTCTCCTTCTGGCCTTGAACATTAGCACATAAGGAAGGGCTGGATGACAAATATAAGTGTTTATTTTATTAAGTAAATATGTACATATTGCTTACTATAAGCCACCCATTATTGTAGGTGCTTTTAAAATTATTAACTCATTTGGTCCTCATAACTATGCTAGGTGGATACTGTTATTATCTCCACTTTACAGATAATAAAACTGAGGCACAAAAAGTTCAGTAACAACCCCAAGGTAACATAACCAGTAGATCATGAAGCCCAGATTCAAAGCCAGTCAGTCTGTCTCCAGAGCCCTTGCTCTTAACCACTGGTAGAGGAAGAATGTGAAGCAGGAGGAAGGAGAAGAGGATGGGAAGTGGAAACAGAGGGAGAAAGAGAGAAATTAATGACTGAATCATTGGGGATGAGAAAGATGGAGGGAGAGGCAGCCTAGGAGTAACCATGGATCCAGAGTAAAAATCTGGGCTGGGTGTTCATAAGGCTGTGGGGGGAAAACGTGTAAGGTTGGTGTAACCACCTTGGAGGAAGACTTTTGCCATCTTTAAGATGAATGGTAATTGGTGTGGCTCACAATCACTCATGACTGGCAGGAACAGAAGAAGAGCATGACTAGCGGTGTGCTGGTAAATGTTTTGACAAGCAGCTCTCCAGGGAAATGGAGGGGTCCTGGTTTGTGGTGTTTGGTGGTTTTTGTGGTGATTTTTTTGGTTGTGTGGCTGGTTTCAAGCTACCACCGAGATGTCACTGAACTTAAAAATGTTGCTGAACTCAGAGTTGGGAAGAGATGAAAAGCAACACAAACAGTAATAAGGTATAATAACTCTGCTATCAGCAACAATAGATGCATGCAGATACCCTGAAGAACATAGATAATCCTGAAATGTTAAAAAATAATTAAGAAGTGATGAGTCTTGGTATTTATTACCTTTGTCATATTACAGAATTTGCTTTTTAATAATGGCTGTATTTAACAACCAGCTCACAAAATTTCAGAAAATTTGACAACTAGCTCCCTGGAGCACAGCGAATGTGAGTACGACTACCGAGTACCTCTATTCTCAAGTAAGTGGATGGAGAGTGAACTGAGACTTGATCTTCACAACATCCCAAATTTACCATGGCTAGGAAATAAATGCAGAAAGAGGGAAAACAAAAATGACAGAGCTTATGAAAAACCGAATACCCACTCTAACTTGAAGAATGGCGAAAGAGGTCAAGTGTGAAAGAGTTTGAGAAGGCAAGTCTAGAGAAGGGCTGAGTCTGTGTTCTCTACCAGGCTATAGGCCATGAGTGGTAAACAAAACAACCTTGCCACCTACCCTCAACTCTCTAAGCGAGGTCTTGTGTCTTCTTTCTCTGTTCTACTGAGATTTGTACTCACAGGAAACAGAGGTCAAGAAGGAGTACAGACATTTCATAAAATGACCCTCTTTAGATGAGCCACAATAATCAACTGTGTAAAAAGAAAATACAACTCAAGAGTTTAATGAAAACCAATTATGCAAAAAGCTGGATGTAGCACTGAGAAAAATTTGCACAGACAGCTCTGGTAGAGAAGAAAAAGTCAAATATCAAAGGCAACTAGAAATCTTTGGAGGGCAACCATCTGTCTCACTCAAGTTTTCCCCAGAATCAAGCACGGAGTCTAGTAAAATCATACTCAGGAAGAATTTTCCACTAAATGGATTTCCATGATATCTGTTCCATGAGGTAACTATTTTAAAAATTTTTGTCACTTGAGTACAAATGGAGGTAGGGAGATGTGTGTGAGAAAAAAATGTTTTTAATGGAAAACCTGCTGCCTTTTTCTTTATTGCTTAAGATATTTGAAAATTCATGAGCTCATAAAGGGATGCACACTTAACAATCTTTTACCTCCAGCTCTTCCTGCAACCTTCACTAGATATAGCACAGTATAGAATTTTACTTATAAAGTACTTATCAAACACTTGCTGAATTGAAAGATTAGCGCAAGATCCATCTCATTACTCCAAACTGCCAAATAATAGGATGTTCTGCTAATTGACATTTGAACATATAATTACAACTGGCAACCCTACCTAGCAGAGCACCTTGGATCAAAAAATCAGCTAGCTTCCAGATCCCAAGTGGCAAGCTGTGGATTGAACTGGGAGTTAGCTAACACAGTACTCACTTATAATTGGAAAGAGAAGGCACAGCTGAAAGCCTCAGGTTGGCTTTGGTGAAGCCAACACTGAGACTGAGGCCCTTTCAGTTTTATTGAACACTGTGTTTCTGTTCCCTCGTGCCCCTTAAGTGATAAGAACTTCCTGCCACATGATTCCAGTTTAGAGAAGGGATTCTACTTTCCTGCCATAGTTGATGTGGTACAGCTGGATACAAATAGAGTAAGTCTAATGAAGAACTTCTACCAAATTCTTTTTCCAGAACAATCATTTAGTGAATATTTCTTGAGCACCTACTACAAGGAATGCACTATGCTATGGAGATGTGTGGATAGAAAGGGCAGGAGACTAATTTTTATTAAATACCTCCTCCATGCCAGGGATTATGCTAAGCAGGGACAAGACTTCATCTCATTTAGTCCTCACATGCCTCATTTTACAGATGAAGACAGGGAGCTACAGAAAGGCTAAGTTCTTTGCCCAAGAGAACACAACTAGTAAGTGGAGGAGCCCAGAGCTGCCCCCAGGCTGGTCCTACCCCAAGGCCTGCTCTTTCTATTATACCACGTTGCAATGTATTTCAAGAATTATCAGGCAAGGCATTGGCATGAGAGCAAATGCAATCTGGTTGATCTAGTTTGAGTCTTCTTGAAGAGGACAGAAAAGATGCATACACAGGAATTCAGCTGCCCACAGGAGGTATATATGAGTGCCGTTCATCATGACCCTGAGTGCTCTAGAATGGCTTTCTAGACAAGTTACACTCTCAGTTGGGCCTTCAGGGAGGGTAACTAGAAAGGCTGGACGTGCAGTGCATGCATATGAAGAAAAGAAGGGCGGGGGCGGGTGTTCCATATTCCTCCAGGTGCCTGCTGGGAGAGGCAGGGCAGGGTCTTTTAAGTCAGGGCACAGGGAGCAGGAAGGAGAGATGTTATCGAGGGGAGAATTTACTTCTAGGTAAAGAAAGCAGATACAAAATACACATTTATTCTCCCTCCCTCTTGAAACCCCATTGAAATGATGATAAAGAGATTATTTTTTCCCAAGACATCAACCTACAAGGGTAAGGAGAACAGAAGGGAGAAAACAAAAGCAATGTAATTTTGGAAGCTGGAAGTCAGATTAGAGAGGTCAGTTCCTCTAATAGACTCAAGAAAATGGAATCCTGTGTGAATAGGAGGGAAGGCTGAGAAACAACCTAATCTCTATTTTGAATTCCCGACAGCCCCAGGTACATCTGGACGTGGGGGCAAAAGGGAGGGAGTGGTTCATAAAAGAATTACTTGAAAGTCTATTTAAGAAGTAGTCAGATCTCTAGATCCCTCAGGCCCTCACTGGACAACTGTCTCTTCACCCTAGCAAAAACCTGAAGGCTTATTTTCTGGAAGGAATAAAATAGAGGGTCTCTGGACTGGCAGATTGCATGAACGATCAAGGGTGGAAGAAAACAGAAATATTAAGTGAATTCACATATACTGGATGCCAAAAATTCCCACCTCTCTTCTACCCTCTTCTCATTTGGTTTCCTGCATATTGACAGCCAGACCTTCAATCTCCAGAAGGCAGATTAGAGAATCATTCTCTGTGGAGTCTGGTCTAAGACAAAAGACCTAAACATACTGACATTGGAGGTTTTGCAAATAAATGGCCCAGCCAAATCTTCATGGTTCTATGACCCTAGCTCAAGCCAAGAGGTAAGATGAGAAGAATAAATAAAAGGTAAAGAACTCCTTTCGTTAATATTTGAAAAATAAAAAGGATCTCTTTGAACCAAACTCCATATAAAACTATTACTAAAAAACAGCTTAAAGTATTATAATTTATTTACAGAAGAAAATGCTTTTTACCTTCTGTGTTCTTGGCAATCATTTGCTTACCACATTAATGAAATAACCTCAGATTCACGCTGGTTTAAAAGAGAAGGCCATTAGCACATATGCTTTAAAGATCCCTTAAACCATACAGTAAGATAACACACAGTGCAGTGCACAAGTCATAATCTTCCTTTAATTAAGTTAATCAATACACATTTGCTCAGGGTTCTACAGAAAGGACCTGGTCTCTTTTAATATGCACACCCACCTCTGAGACTTCTAAAAATTAGTCTGTGGCAGGTTTAAGTAACTGATTAGGGTTTTCCACTGTTATCCTACAGGTCATACTATGCATCACATTTAAGTCAATGTGGCAGGATAATCTTCTGAGAGACTAATTTCTGTTCTAACTGCTGCAGGAAACTGGACGGGGTTGGGGGTGGGGAGAGAAACACCCCAAAGGTATTTTTCTCCTTCTCTGCCCTCACTTGAAAAGAATGGTTCCCCAGGAAAGGATTAACAGCTTCCTTTGCTCCAAGAAATGCCCCCCTAAAAATCCACCAGCCAGGTGTTTGAGAGAGGAAGCTGAGACTGCCCTCAATGGGAAGGGGTAAGAGGTTTTATACACTTCGTAAGGATTGATGCCATAATGGTAATGAGAACAAACTTGAACATTTACTGAGTACTGACTACTGTGTTTAAAAGTGTTCATAGTAATATGCAAGTTACAAATTTACATACTAATTTATTTAATCCTTGCAACAATCCTGTGAAGAAGGTACTATTACTGCCATTTTGCAAAAGAGAAAACTGAGGCACAGGGAAGATAAATAATGTGCCTAATGCCATACAGCTAGTGAATGGGAGGGCCAGGGCTTGAACCCTGACAATCTGGCTGCAGAGCCCACTGGCTCATTTACTCATAGTAGATCCTTGGCCTGGGAATGCCTGGACTGAGGAGCACTAGTTTCCATACAGGCTCCAGTGGTTGAGTTTGACTGGCATGAGTGGAGAGATCACAGGGCACAGCAGAGCCAAAAGTTTTCAAATCTCCTGAAGGGACTTGCAAGTGATCCTCTCAGCAAAGACGACGATGGACAGAATCCATTTCAGGAGAGAGGGCATGCGCATTTCTCTCTTCAGGAGAGAAAGCTGCACAACTCTTATAAAGCTCTCCAAATAAGGTTTTAAATGGGATGTGTTAGTTAGCTTGATTGTCAGCATCACTTCACAATGGATGCATAGATCAAGTTGGCACATTGTACACCTTATATATAAGTAATTTTTATTTTTATTATCTCAGTAAAGCTGGCACTTTTTTTCAAAACTCAAAGCTTTAGAGCACATAGGCTCTTGGATCCAGCGATGAATCAAAATGAGTTTACTTTGGAAGAAGGAAAGTAGATAAATAAATTAAAAGGTACTTGTTAGAGCTGAGATTTAGTGGAAGAAGAAAGTGGCAATGCCTCAAATTAACCAATCCCATTGCCCAGCCTACAATGACTAGCTACCCCTTATCCAAAACAGGACAGCAGCCTCACCAGTAGAGCCTCTCTAGCTACATTATCTCTTGCTACCTCCCCCATATTCCACAGCTGTAGTGAAGAGCACACCTGTGCCCCTATTCCTTAGTTCCCTGCCCCCAAACATCTCATACCAACTAGGCCTTGAGACACACAAGGCCCAGGGCATCCTGAGCATCTAGTCAATGTCTGGTACCGAGTAAGCCAAGTAGCTGAGCCATGCAGTGTGTAGTAGGGACAGAAGAGCTGGGATGCACCTCCACCTGTCAGTGACTCATTCTGTGACTTGAGAAGTCGCTCGATTTCCCTTAATCTCATATTTAAAGTATTTGTAGTATAGTATTGTTGCAAAGATTAAATGAGATTATATATATATGAAAAGCATGTTACTCAATAGTAATGTGCCTACTATTAGTAATTGTTAGTTATTAATAGTTTCCCATCATAAATGTTAGCTGTCAGTCCCAGAGTTATTATATGTCCCCCTTCATAAATATTAGTTGAAAGAAGGTAATTTCTCTGAGAAAATATTGATAAATGACTATAATCTTTATTAAGAAAATATGCATAGCAAAACAGATGTCTCCAAGTTCACAATGATTGATGATATGATTTGGCTCTGTGTCCCTACTCAAATTTCATATTGAATTACGATCTTCAGTGTTGGAAGAGGGGCTTGGTGAGAGGTGATTGGATCATGCAGGTGGATTTCCCCCTTGATGTTCTCGTGATAGTTAGTGAGTTCTCACAAGATCTGGTTGTTTAAAAGTGGTAGCACTTCCCTCTTTGCTCTCTCTCTCCTGCTCTGCAATGGTAAGATGTGCCTGCTTCCCCTTCGCCTTCTGTCATGGTTGTAAGTTTCCTGAGGCCTCCCAGACATGCTTCCTGTACAGCCTATGGAACTGTGAGTCAATTAAACCTCATTTCTTCACAAATTATCTAGACTTAGGTAGTCCTTTATAGCAGTGTGAGAACAGACTAACACAACTGATCATTAGTAGAGATATCTTAAAAGAGCAACTAAGATACAAGTGTTTCTACGGAGGAATAAATAAAAATAACCACAAAAATTCTAGAGATGGGAAAATAATGTAGTATAATTGTATGTTCAGAATATTACCATGATTTAAAAGAACTGTTGGCATACGCTGAATTTATATGTCATTTCTAGGTAAAATACTTGAGAGGACCCTGGAGGTTTTCATTATAAACAAACTATATTTATGTATTCATCTGTTTGTTTCAATGCACTGCCAATGAATTTCTTATTCTTCATTTCTACTGATACACAGTGGTTTTTTTTAAGGAAATGAAAATCAGTAAAATAAAAATCTTAGAATCCACCTTAAATCTGATAAAATTAGAGAAAGATAACATCCCTGTCCCATGAAATTTATATAAGAAAAAGAAAAAAGTAATATAAAACAGTAAATATCTTTTAAATTACATGTATAATAATCCTTCACTTTTCATTTTTCAGACAAGGATTTCCTAAATAAAATCCCAATTCCTAACAGGTAGTTTAGTAAGTAAGAAAATCAGTAAAACTAAAAATCTTAGAAACCACCTTAAATCTGATTGGGCAAATAAAATTAGTTAAGATAACATCCCTATCCCATGAAATTTATCAAGTGTTATCAGGGCTCATGGGGACAAAGGTGTCCATGCCTGGAGTTTCAGCCCTCAGACTCCTGCTCTGAGGAATCTGATATCTGGCCTCACTACTGCATTTTTTCACTTCTTACCATTAAAGACTGCTAAATCCAGATGAACCGCACATGACAATGCTTGTTTCCCTTTCTGGCACATATACTCACAAAATCCAAAGTTTTAGTGACAGAAGATCTAACTCTTGTTCCATAATTATCTATAGTCACCAAATCTCCCTGCTTTCCCTAATTTGAATGTAAATGTCGTAAAAGTCAGAAGGAAAGGATTTGGCAATTTACTGCTTACCAATATGCCATGGAATGATAATTTGTAAGTTATTAAATACTAACAGATATAGGAAAAGTTTGAGGGCTAGTGAAAACATCTAATAATTTCTACCAGCTTTTTGTAAATTAATGAGACTCCCTGAAAGCCTTCCTGATCCAAAAGAGGAGGTGTAGTAGAGTGAGAAGAACACAAAATCAGAGTTAGTCAAGATCTGGATATTAGATCCTGGGCTACCACTTGCTAGCTGTGCTATATTAACTAAGTCATATAATTTTCCTCTCTACCAAATAGAAGAAATAACCTATCTCACAGAGTTGTTGTACACATGATACACACAAAGGCATTAAGTAAAATGCTATCCAGACATTCATTAACATCAATTTCCACATACAAACAAGTGGGCCTAGTCAAATCAAGTTTCAGAACCTGTAGACAAAAACTACAGTGGACACACAAAGCTCTGTACTATTTTATTTTAGCACGGTTATTTATGCAAATTAGCCATCAGAGATTACAGCAGAGACATGGTCAGCAATCAACAAAAGAAGAACTGATGATGATGATGAGAATAAGTCAACAAATAACAAATTCCAGAATCAACATCAGAAGATATACCTATTACTGCTGCTAATACCACCCTAAGCAGATACAAGCAGAAAACAAACAACTCAATGGCCACCCACTGCCTTTTGTGAAATCTGTTTGCTCAAAGCTCTATTTGGTCAGTAGATTGTAATAGAACTGCTGAATGTCACAACTGTCAGTCACCAGTGCAGAGCTGCAAAGCAGGAAGTTTTTCTAAGCAAGAAAGCCATTCCAAACTAGATAGCATCCTCTAATACAGCCTTGATTTTCTTGGCAATATGTTTAAGTGAAAGAAAATATATAAACAGAAAAGTGCAAAGTGCATAAATTGTAAGTACAGAGCACAATAAACTTTTACAAAGTGAAATCACCCATATAACCACCACCTAAATCAAGATAGAGAACACTGCCAGCACTCCAGAAGCCTCTCTTGCTGGACTCTGCCAGTCACTATCCCTGTCCAAAGGTAATCCCTGCTCTGACTTCTATCCCTGTGATTCCTTTGACCTGTTTTTGAACTTTATATAATGAAATACCACAGTATATGGTTACTGTGTCTCGATGTTTTTTGGTTTATTATTACATCTAGGAGATTTTTCCACATTGTGGCATTTAGTCAGAGTGTATTATTTTTCATTGTTATAATATTCCATTGTATCTTTGCCTAATTGCAAGTCATAAAGATATTCTCCTATTTTATCTTTCCAAATTTTTAAAATTCATTTGGATATCTAGGTGATCCAGCACCAGTATGGAAGGACTACCCTTCCCCCATAGCCCTGCAATGGCAGTGTTGATAGCCAGAGGTTGGTCTGGTTTTGATTTTCTATTATGCTCCACTGATTTCTTTTTAAAGAAAAAAATTGTGCAGATCTCCCCATGATGGCACCTGTATGTTCAATATTCATTGATAAAGAATATATTTAATTACCCAAAGATATTATAACTTCAGCAATGTTTATTATTATTTTATAGTTATCATTATAGCTTTTACCCATGAAAACAAATAGTACACTTACATATGAACCCTAATAATTCTGATTAATGGATCTGTGTGACAACTCAGAGATTCTCACACTGATAACTATACTTTAGATGTTAATTTTCAAATAGTTTTACTCACATATATTTGCTCTGGTATAATTTCTCACTGTTGACATAAATCTGTCACATTGCCAAATGTAAACATAACAAAAAAATTTTAGAAAAATGCTTTCCCTACATAATAACTACCTCAGTTTTTAAAAAGAAATATGTATGTATGCATGTATATGTATATAGTATATATGTATCTATAGCTTAAAGAGCAAATTTGACTTCTTGTAGACATCCTAAAAACCTTAGCAACAGCCATCAGTTTCATAGCAGGAAAGCAATGATTTTGTTTAACTAAAGGCCATCCTTTCTGTTGTAACTAGTACTTTAGTCAGTCAATCAATCAATCAAACCCCAAAATAAATGCCTTAATTAATGAAGCCTCTGGGAATGAGGCTCTTTTTTTTTCCCCGCCCCCTGAGACGAAGTCTTGCTCTGTAGCTGAGGCTGGAGTGCAACGGTGTGATCTCAGCTCACTGCAACCTCTGCCTCCTGGGTTCAAGCGATTCTCCTGCCTCAGCCTTCTGAGTAGCTGGGAGGCATGCGCCACCACCTTGGCTAATTTTTTTGTATTTTTAGTAGAGATGGGATTTCACCATGTTGGCCAGGCTAGTCTTGAACTCCTGGTGTGATCCACCTGCCTCAGCCTCCCAAAGTGCTAGAATTACAGGCGTGAACCACCACGCCCGACCTAGAATAAAGCTCTTTTTAATGAAGCACATAAAATTAAAAAAAAAAAAAAAGAAAGAAAACTAAAGACATGAACCATATGAGCCAGTGCTGATATAAATCTTACGGCTTTATGGGAATGCTCCCAAAGCTAGGTACACAGCAACTGCTGACCAAGTAGGTTGTCTCATGACTTTTATGTGTAATCATCAGAGAAAAATCAGCTTGATCTCACATGAAACTGAAAGCATCCCTTTGACATTCCCAACTTTACCTTCTGTATCATGCCTTACCTTGATATGAAAGGTACCTGTCCTCTAAACCAGTGTTTCTCAAAGCAGGTCCAGGAAACACCTTCAACAGAATCACCCTGGGTGCTTGTTAAAATTGGGGATTCCTTGCCAGACGAGGTGGCTCACGCCTATAATCCCAGCATTCTGGGAGGCCCAGACAGGTGAATCACTTGAGTTCAGGAGTTCGAGACCAGCCTGGCCAGCATGGTGAAACCCCATCTCTACTAAAAATACAAAAATTAGCCAGGCATGGTGGCGGGCTCCTGTAACCCCAGCTACTTGGGAGGCTGAGGCAGGAGAATCACTTAACCCAGAAGGCAGAGGTTGCAGTGAGCCGAGATCACGCCACTGCACTCCAGCCTGGATGAAAGAGGGAGACTCTGTCACAAAAAAACAAAACAAAACAAAACAAAAAAACAGTGGATTCCTGATCCCCTCTCCAGATGCAGAGAATCAGAATCTGTGGGGTGGTGCCCAGGAGTTTCCGTTTTTGTTTCTGTTTTTAAATTGTATTTATTTCTTAAACGTTTATTCTAGGTTCAGGGGCACATGTGCAGGTTTGTCATGTAGATAAATTGCATGTCACAGGGGTTTGGTGTACAGATTATTTTGCCACCCAGGTAACTAGCATAGTACCTAATAGGTAGTTTTTCCATTTTTAAACAAGGTCCACAGGCAATTCTCATGCACCCAAATTTAAGAACCATTGTTTCTGGGCCTATTGTAGCTTCTCATTTCCTGAAAACCCTTTGGGGTTCTCTTCTATGACTTAGTGCTGACTGTGAAAGCACAGGTCAGCATTGAAGGAATCTTCTCTTCACATGCCTCTCTTCCCTTTTTGACTTGAGGACTGCTTAGTTACTTTCAGCTGATGAGGTTGTTTTGTTAAGGAGGTGGCAGCTGAGTCAGTAGTATTTGGATATCTTTGGATGGGTCCAAGGGCATTCTTAATAAAGAAAAGTGAAGGGTAACAAAGTAAAAGCAAGAATTCTCTCAGAATGTGAGGGGAAAGGAAGCAGCTGTGTTTGGCTTAAGTGCTTGGATTATTTCTAGTCATACATAGAGAAATAAACACATACATGTTGAGATCATACATATTAATGGATTTAGGTAGATCATGACATCATGCATGTATGTGGAATTGCTTTTAAAGTTTTAGAGGGCTTTGCAAAGGGTAATATTATTATTAGTTCATAGGTTTAAATTAAAGCATTTAAATCCCATGTTTGAAAACAAAGTAAAGAGGAAAAAGAAGTAACATCTATTAAGCAGTTTTGTGTGTGTTGGCTCTATACGGGATATTTAGCTATTTGATTCTCTTCAATTCAACAACATTTCTCTAAAATAAATAAAAACTAGTAGATATGAAAATATTTGCCCAAAGTCACAAAGCAGCTGTAAGGGGGGAAAGATTTCTTTTTCTTTTCCATAGTCCTTTCTTCACTTTCACACACTGCCATCTCTGGAGTCACCAGTAGTAAAGTTTTTCATTGTCAGTGGCACTTTTTAGGCATGAGGAATTGCTTGCACTTGTACTTTCTTGCTCAGAACTTTTAGTTTGATGTTCTCTCATGCTCTGTTAGCTTGACAGTGTAATATGTAGAAATGCTGTGGAAAACGAGGCGGAGAAAGGGAGAGCGAGCTGTCCGACATTAGCCAGTCTGTGTGACCAGATGTTCTCCTAGCATAGCAATTCTGAGGCACATTTCAGATTCACACAGTTAACAGCTTAGAATTGGGCTCCTCTCAAGGACAAACAGGCATTGGCCTACAGGCTTTGGATTTTTTTCAGAGGCAGGAAACATACCTATGGTGCTCTCTTGGCCTTCAGAATTCTATCTAAAAACAAAACTGCATAGGTTGAATAGTAGGAAATTGCCAACATTTGACCTTGTTTGACCTACAAAAGTGGCAATTTCATAATGAATAGAAACAAACATTCCAGATGTTCTACGGGTTGGAGTTTTCTAGTCTACAGCTGGCTCTGCTTTATAGAAGACAGCACAAATCTTTGTAACGAAATTTCCTGCACTTTAAAGAGCTTGGGCATACCAAACAATAGCAACATCGACTATTACACTTAAAAGTGCTCAGAGCAATTTTCAACCAGCATCTTATTTTATCTTCACCATTCTGTACATTGAAGACATTAAAAAAATACTGTTTTTTTCTAACTCTTAAAAGTCAGAAATAAACCTTTTATGTTAGGCCTTTTGTTCTATCTCTAGAAGGATTTTGTGAATTTGCTCTCTAAAAAAGCCAAAACCAATCAACCAACCAACCAAACTGTCCTAAGTGTTCAAGGATGGCATGAAAGCAGCTCTCTAGTCCTTGTCTTCAATATGATTTCCTCCCAGTGCTAATGACTGTAAACCACTATTCCGTGAATAAACCCATTTAGGTCTCCTAACACCAGCTGCAAGTAGGAAATTAAAGCAAATGGAAAGCCAGGCGCTGCAGCAGTTCCAGTGTGGGTACCAGGATCCAAGAGACACTCATCCATTAACAAACAGCAGTACTTTCAAGCCCAGCGGGAACCAGTGGCTCCCTGCTGAGAAACAGAAATTAACTTTGCAAGGAGATAATTCGTCTTTAGATGGTTGTCATATTCAGAAAAGCTCTCTGGGTGAGGTAGTGGGAAGAGAGGGCGTGAAGCTCCTGACAACATAGCCACACATGAAACAAAAGCTTATCAGAGAGCCAGGTGGCACTGAAGATTGATGTTCTGTCTTGCCACCTCTGGGACATAAGCTTGAAATGTAGCAGGAGCTGTGGTGCCATTTGCCTCTAATGGCTGCTTGGAAAAATGAAGATGCACAAGCAGTGGTTGTAGATTTAACTCAACCGAAAAGAGAAACAACGAGACAAGTAGAATAAGGTTTTTGAAGAACAAATTGGTGCCACTGGGTGGGGTTCTGCAAAGTTTTGAGGCAGGGGAGAAGAGTCAAATACCCAGAGGATGCTACAAAAGATGGCAACAAAGAGACCTGCCAGGGTGGAAGGCTGTCACAGAACAGGCGCCTGGAATTTGAAATGCATCTTGGGACTGGATAGCAAGCTGCAACAAGATGCCACTTGCTGTTCAGAACAGATGAAGCATAGAGGTACCTAAGACTGTAACATTGATTTGACTAATTTGAAAATAATTTAATTCTATAGGTTTTGGATTAACCGCCATGGGGTAAAAGTACAGGAAGACTCTGATGTTTGTGAACTGAACAGAACACCATCCCATTTCCGAATCAACATTTGATGAGCACCTGCGCATACCAGGTCTCCATCCTCAAGAAGTTTCCAATAAAATTATGTCTGTTTAGTCGTAGGTTATTAATGATAGCAGCAGGAGGCAAATTCCTAGGCAAGAAGAGGCAGGTCCCTGGTGATACCTGACCTTCAAGCCAAATACAGCAGGAAGCCTGAAAACCAGGCTGTCAGTCTCCGGGAGAATCCACTACCCACAGTGAGAACTTCCTTAATGCCTTTGGGTCAGTCAAGTGGTGCTTTTTCCAGGTCCACCCATGGACCAATCAGCACACACTTCCTCCCAACCATGAACCAATCAGCACACACTTCCTCCATTTTTGAGTCCATAAAAACCCCCAGACTCAACCACATGGTACGACTGCCCGTCTGCAGGTAGTAGCTACCCACTTTGGGTCTCCTCTCTGCTGAGAGCTGTTCTGTGGCTCAATAAAACTCTTCCCTGCCTTGCTTACCCTCCAGTTGTTTGTGGAAACTCATTCTTCCTGGATGCTGGACAAGAATTCAGAACACACCGAATGGTGGGTGCGAAAAGGGCTGTAACACTTTCCTGGCCAGCTCCTTGAGCTGCGGACGATGACATGCTCCTGTTCATCAGACTGTGGCAGTGAACACTGGTGACGCTTCTGTGGGCCCAGACCTCAGGATTCCCCAAGCCAGAGCTGTAGCACTATAGCCCTCCTGCCCTCCGCTGGTGTTGGGCGGCTACCCCATGTGACGGGAAGCAGCAATGGGGCCAGGGCAGCCTGGGAGCTGTACGCCAGAGTGAGGCGGTGGGACTGAATGAGGCAAAGACATGCCTCCCCCCACGCCCGATCCGCCGAGCTGTGGGTGGTGGAAATGAGAGAGCTGCAGAGCGCCTCCACACCCACCCCTTGGGGCTCTGTGGTTGCTGGCATCTCCGAGTTTTCAGATGTCACCACATTCCCCTCATCCAGATGCTGGCACCCACAAGAGAAGCTGCTTGTGGTATGCCTAGTCCAGCTGTAGGCTTGCACGGAGCCTGGAGCTGCCTGCCCTGCCGCAGCAGCTGGGGTGTCTGGCTGTGTGCACTGGCTGGACCCCATGCTTAGTGGCGCACACACCCCTCGCTGCTCCATGCCTGGCTTGCCCTCAGTGGGCATGGGTCTGGGTCTGTAGCATGAGCCGAGCAGCACAGCCTGGCAGCCCAGGGGACAGAACAAGCCCAACGGGCATGAGTGAAACTCAAGCAGAGGCGCCGCCAGCCACAGAGGGTTCTGGCTGGTGAAGTGACACCCGAAGGATCCTGTGACACTAAGACAATCATCCAGGGAGGTTAAGTAGAGGTAAAATATATATATATATATATATATATATATATATATATATATACGTGTATATATATATATATATATACGTGTATATATATATATATATATACGTGTATATATATATATATATATATATATATATGTGACACTAAGACAATCATCCAGGGAGGTTAAGTAGAGGTAAAATATATATATATATATATATATATATATATATATATATATATATATATATATACGTGTATGTGTATATATATATACATATATATATACACATATATATATATATAAAGACGGAGTCTCTCTCTGTTGCCCAGGCTGGAGTGCAGTGGCGTGATCTCGGCTCACTGCAACCTCTGCCTCCCGGGTTCGAGCGATTCTCCTGCCTCAGACTCCCAAGTAGCTGGGACTACAGGCATGTGCCACCAGGCCTAATTTTTTTGTATTTTTAGTAGAGACGGGGTTTCACCGTGTTAGCCAGGATGGTCTCGATCTCCTGACCTCGTGATCCGCCTGCCTTGGCCTCCCAAAGTGCTGAGCTAACACACCCGGCCTTTAGTGGAGGTAATATTTTTTAAAGTGTTCTGTTTCTCTATTGCATTTATGGCTTTAGATAAGAACCTATCAAGTAGGGCCCAAGAGGCATCAAGAAGCCTAGAGATGCAGAATGAAGCATCTGGATCTCCTATGAGCTACATTAATTGGCCACTGCCCTACCCATTCCAATTCATAGTTATTATTATAAATGTAAATGATATCTAAGAGGTACCATAGTATAAAATGTATGGAAGATGATAAAAATCACACATTTATTCATTCAACACATTTTCTCTCTCTACTACATGTTGGATACTCCACTAGGAGCTGCACACACAGTGAGAAGACAATCTCTCCATACTCAAGGAATTCAGACTTGTGAGTGAGAGAAGTAAACAGGCAATTACAAAAAATGTGACACCACAATGTTAGTAAATGGCAGTGTCAGGGATCAGGCCCAGGCAGTGTGCTCCAGGTGCTTAGGCATTTGGATGCTCTCTCACAACTCACTAAAGCATCACACATATTATTTTCCCACTTACAATGGCACCAATAACCTAAATCTATGTAGCACTGACCTTCTTTTAAACACATTACTGATTGAATTCCCATATAGGTGCTGTAGATTGGTATTACTTCCGTTTTATAGCTAAGGCTCGAGGAAGTTAGGCTTCCTGTGAAAGGCCACATAGCTAGTGAGAAGCAGGTCTGGAATCTGTTCCTGTGTCTCATTCCAAAGCCCATGCTCTTTTAATGACACAGGGCAGTTTCTTACAATTAATAAGCATGTAGGGTTTGATAAAGTACTTTTACGTGTTCCAGATCTTTTAACCTTCCTGGCAATTCTGTGAGGTAACTATCTCAAATGACAGGTAAGAAAATCAAGGCTCAGGATGGTGAGGGATAGGACCTATTTATATGGGTGACAACCTACGTACATGGTTGATAAAGCCAAAGGCTTAAAACTAGGTGCCAAAGCAGGCTTAAAATCAGCGCCTTCTCTGTAGACAGATGCAGTCTACATCTGTAGATATAACGCTTACAGATAATTATTGCAGCCATGTAATAACTGTTCACTAACTTTCTTGAGTGGGAAGGGGTATATAAGATTAACTGCTTTGACTGGCAGATGGATCGTGGGGAGCTGGCTAAGGCTTACTTTCTTATCAGTAGTTGCTTTTACCCTCCTCCCAAAGAGAAAGGTACACACTATGTTTTTCAAAATCATTGATCATTCTATTATGGTTAACAGTGCTATTACATCACTACACAGGCACTTAGGGTGGAGAAAAATGAATGTGGAGATTTGAAGGTTATAGGCTAAAATGTGAATCCCAGGGTCCTAGAATAAAAGCCACATATCTCCAAATGTGCTGATATCTTTAGAATTGAGATAATCAATTCTCCCTGCCTGATAAATGGAAGACATACAGACATGGGCGTGTGTACATCTTTTCATTTCTCGATAGAAGAAATCTGACAGGGTACCTGCTGTAATATAGAGGTACAGTTGAAATCTGCTGTGGAACTAAGTTCGTTTTCTGGTTTAGATTAGTAGATTATTCCAGGAAGGTTGGTTCAGGAGGACTGAGAGAGTATAAAGCAGCAGAGGTGCTCTACTGATTGTCTGGGGTAAGCCGTACATGAAAAACAACTGTCCACTTCTCTTTGCTGATAAAAAAAATATATATATTTATATATATATTTATATATATATATATTTATATATATATATTTATATATATTTATATATATATTTATATATATTTAGATATATTTAGATATATTTAGATATATTTAGATATATATATATTTAGATATATATATAGCCTTAGGAATAGAGAAGCCATTATAATCCAATAATCAGCTAGAGGGCAGCACTGTGTCATCTACTTGCTGCAAATGAGAAAGACATGAAGACAATATGAGAATCATAAAAAGTAGGGATGATATACTGCACAAGTCTCTAGCTGATGATCTAGATCATAAAGTGTCTTCCTTTTTTTAATTAATGCCAACAGGCAAGTTTTTTTTTTTATTGGCTTCTAGGGAATAAGGAAAAGGGATGGTGAGGAGGATACACCCAAGCAGATGAAATGGCTAAGAGGGACTATTTGAAGGTAGGGCTGGAGTGGGAGTTAGGAGGGCTCAAAAGTTTAAAGTGCCTTGGGGTCCCACACAGCCTCTCAATTTTGCTGATGGCTGTGCTTGTGTTTTAAAAATAAAATATCTGCTGAGTGGATTAAAGGAGTGAATTGAATTCCCGAGGCTCCGATTACTTTTCCCTTTGCCAGTTTTTATCAGCAACGATCAGTAAGACTGTCAGATCTGATGTAAGCTGCCTTCCTCTTGCACTCTTCTTTAGCTTCACAGCATGTGAAGCACAGGATTAAAATGTATGTGTGTGTGTGTGTGTGTGTGTGTGTGTGTGTGTGTGTGTGCTCTTTCAACAACTGAGCCCAGTTGAGAAGAATGCTAAAGAAAATTCCCTAGGAATCGGAGGACCAATAAGAGGTGGCAAGCATGTGCAAGAGAACACCATCCTTGGTCTCGAAGGTATGGCCCTCCATCAGTCCCCAGAGTCCGTCATTCCCAGCTCTACCCCAGCCTCACCCTGAGGAACAGGGAGCTGGACAGCTCGTGTCTGCAGAGGCATGTGTAAAGTGATGCTACTGATGTGTTATTATAAGGCCTCTCCCCACAGCCAAATGGGCTGGACCTTTTGACACACTCCCTCTCTCCCTGTGCACACTGATGCCCTGATGAGGCAGGTGCCTGCCAGTTCCTGGTTGAGGTTGTTTCCTCTGGGCACCACATCCACTTGGAGGTTAAACACTGCCTCCAGAGGGCAAATGGAAACAGTCAATGTTTTTGACTCACCCCGCCCCCTAGGGACTATAAACTGCTGAAACCTTGTTCGTGAATACTCTGTGCCCACAAATATGCCAGCCAAAGAATGCACCTAGAATGAGGGCACAGCACAAACAGGCTGCTCGGCTTACAGGAACCAGCAAGTTCTTCTCGGGTTTAATCTGTCCAGAAGAGGGGGGAAATGTCTCTAGAATAGGATCACTATAGAGACATTCCTCAGAGATGAATACAAACATGAGCATGGGGAAGGGCTCAATAAACACTGGCTAACTGTATCACACTGAAGCAGGACGTCTCCCCACTGGCAATGGTTGGGAATGGTTTCCCAGTTCTCAGGTGTGCCTAAGCTACTTAGATATTAGGGCAAAGAAAGATTTTCTTTCCCTATAAAATAGATAGAGGTGGCGATAGTCAAAAACTGATGAGATACTGACAATACGAATATTGAAACCAGGTGCAGTGGTGCATGCCTGTAGTCTCAGCTACTCAAGAAGTTGAGGTGGGAGGATTGCTTGAGCCTACAAGTTCAAGACCAGCCTGGGCAACATAATGAGACCCTCTCTCCATGACTCTAAAAAGTTGTGTGTGTGTGTGTGTGTGTGTGTGTGTGTGTGTGTGTGTGTGTGTGTGTGTTAAAGAGAGAGAGAGAGAGAGACAGAAAGAGAGGGAGAGAGAAAGAGAGGGCGAGGGACAGACAAACAGAAAGAAACAAAGAAAGAAACAGATGGTAACAGAGCCCAGCCAACTACATGAAGCAGGTATTCCATCTAGTGAATAAGCACATAGTTACCCTCCATGTCATGCTAAAGAATGGCATTGTTCCAAAGAAGCTGGAGACGACCTCGATTGCTTAAACCACAGTCAAAATGCACTTAACTGGTACTTCTCTACCTTAGGCTACAGCCATTTACTGGATTCTGAACATTAGGAGCAAAAAGACAGGTAATTGACTAAATCCGGCTTCCAGTAACTTACTCCATGTCAGATTCTGCCAGGCCTTCAAGGAATACTTGACAGCAGAGATGCCCGATTGTGCATTTATTTATTGTTTTGTTTTTTGTTACTCTTTGGTCCCTAGATCATTGTGAAAGTAAGCAATAAATGTGCTTTGTGTGAATTTTAAGGATGGATTTTAAGTGGCAGCAAATGTTGCTATTCCTTTCCCTTAGAAAAAAATGTTTTTTATCAAACAAGACTCTATAAGCTTTTACTTGTTCCCCAATCTCCACCCCAAGGACAGGAGTCAGGAAAATGCTATGCTTATTTTTTTAAAAGCGGGGGAAAGGATTTTAGAAACTATTGATTAAACTTCAATCATCCCTTGGGTTATGAATATTTAGACAAAGAAATGTTAACTAAGAGCCATTATACATTCACCTAGATATTATGCTAATTTTCTTTTCTTTTCCTACAGGATTAGCAGACTAAGAGACCTATATGTGTTGAATTATCTCATGGGCTATCCTTGCAGTAAAAATATGAGGAAATGAAAATTCATGTAGTCAAATATTAGCAGGTGGTTGAAAAGCTATCCTGAGAAAAGGTCGCTTAATGGATTCTTTCAACTAAAGGGATACTTGTAACAGACTATAGTCCTTAGAAATGACCTATATATGTAATCCCAGCTACTCGGGAGGCTGAGGCAGGAGAATGGCTTGAACCCGGGAGGCAGAGGTTGAGGTGAGCAGAGATTGCACCACTGCATTCCAGCCTGGGTGACAGAGCAAGACTCCGTCTCAAAAAAAAAAAAAAATGCTCTATACAATGACTTTATTGCCAACTTTGAATAAAAAATTTATTTATTAAACTTAAAACCCAAAAGCTGAGACTGCTTTAGTATTACTAACGACAAAGTCAGGATTCAACATTATTCTAATAAGGCTTGAGAACAAAATTATAAAATTTAAGAGCAACAAATGTTTTTCACTGAGATTCCAAATTACTGGTTTTGTCAAGATTATAAGAAAATTTTAAAAGATCTGGGTATTTTAATTTGCCAAAAATAAGTTTGTATGAGAAGTTTGACTAGGTTCTTAGAAAAACAATGGCGACAACCAAAAATCCTGGGCTGGACTAACAGCAGTATAATGTAGTATGATGACTCGTGGGAAGATCAAATCAACTGGAATGAACTGTTGAAGTTTGTGACACTCTCCTGCTTAAAATCTTCCAATGGCCACCTACTATGCTTACAAACTATACTTACCTGAGCCATGGTAACACAGCTATGATGCCTTAAATACGCTGGCTGCTGCCTTCCTCTCTGATATTGCTGAAGTGACTCTCCTCTTCTCTTGCTCTACTTTCCACATGACCTCTCTTTCTTTTGACAAGACTCATGTTCACCATAGAGCCTGCCATGCACCACTCCCTCTGGCTGTAATGTGCTGCCCACAGATCTTCATTCACTCCCTGGCTCCTCTGTATTATTCAGGAACAGCTCAAATGGCACCTTCTGAGATGCTTTCCCCATCACTGATCAAAACATGCCACCCTGGCAGGGCCAGTGGCTCACACCTGTAGTCCCAGCACTTTGGGAGGCCAAGACAGGAAGACGGGTTGAGCTCAGGAGTTCGAGACCAGCTGGGGTAACATAGCAAGGCCCTGTCTCTATTTATAAACAAAATAAAAAACATACCACCTCTCTGCAAATATTTTCTATCATATTATCTGATCTTATTTTCTTTGTAACATTTTTGACTACTAGAGACCATCTTGCTTATTTATGTGTTTCCTGGTTTACTTGATTTTTCCACTACAAGACTAGAAGCTCCATGAAATATCCGACTTTGCCTGCCTTCTTGTCTGCTGTATCCCCAGCCTCCAGAATAGTGCCCAAAGGAGAACAGTGGCTCCAGAAGTATTTGTTGAATAAAAAGTTAAACATGTGTGCTTGACAGATCACAGCTGACTGTGTTTAATTCTAGTTATCTTATTTTGAGAGGGACACTGGACATTTTCCAGGGGAAAGTAACCAGGATGTTGAGAATTCTAGAAACTTCCTCATATGAGGAAGAATTGAATAAGCTAGGAAGAGTCAATCTAAAGAAGAGAAGGTGAACAGGAAACATGATAGTCATCTTGCAGAAAAGAAAGCAAACTTGTTTTGCCAATATTCCAGATGGCAAAACTAGAAGGAATGAGTAAATTACAGGGAAACAGATTTTTGGTTCAATTATAAGGAAAATCTTTGTTAAAAAAGGAAAGGAGGCCAGTCATGGAGTGGAATGACTTTTGGAATGGGAAGTTTCCTGCTAAGGTCTGTATTCAGCAGAGGCCGGATGACCATCTGTTGGAGTGATATAAAATGGATTTTGACATGGGTGTGTGTGTGTGTGGGGGGGTAACCTAGATAACCTTTAAGCCCTCTCATGTCTGAACGTATGATTCTATAAGACTGTTCATACATAAATACGGCATTTCCCAAAGAGAAATGGAATATTAGGTCCCTGTGACATTCTCGTGGAAAAAAAATCATTTGGGAAATACTATATACTATATCCTGTTTGGTGATGTGCTACCACTAAAAAAAAAGAAAAAACAAAAAACAAACTTATTTAATACTGAACCAATTTTTTCCAAACCTACTTGGAAATGAATCAGTTTTCATACAGCACCTATTAACATCCCACAGAGCTGGATCCCAAGGAATATATTTTGGGAAATGGTAGCCTATACTAGAGGGAGAGAATTCTTTTCTCCTTAGAATGCCCTAAAATGCAAAAATACTAGAATTCCTAATTCTACATTCTGGTCAGTGCCAAAGCTCTAGGCTAAAAATGTGGAAAAGATACAGTACCCAGAGAAAAATTTTCAATTTTCTGCAATTTTATAAAGACAAATAATCTACATATCACAGGAATTGGCAGTGTTTTGTTGGTTTAGAAGAACACACGCAGCTCAAAGAAATTGACATTCTACTGAAAAATAGTTCCTGAACATATTTACATTGAGAGTTGTTTCTGTGAACATTATGGCCATGAATAACTCAGATACACTTACTTGGATGATATTGAAAACAGTAATATTTCATATGCTGAAGTGCTTAGTGATGAATGTTTATAGCATATTGTTAAAGCTGACCAAAAGAAAGAAAATGAAATGTGACTTTTAGACAAGAGACCTTTTTCCTTTGTTTTAAGTTGTATTAATTTGGTAAGAATGCAGAAGATTGGATTGATTCATTCAGTCATCTAATACTTGAGTACCTACTACGTGTTAGGCATTAGAGATACAATGGTGAGCAAACAGACGTTATCGCTTCTTTCAGGAAGTTCATTATTTAGGGAAAGAGAGAGAAAATGAAATCAGCCACTATAATAAATTGTGATAAGAATAGTGATGTGCTGGAGCTGGCTCTTTTGGCTCATAAGCGTGGACTTAAATTTTTAGGACTTTCACGAGTCAGTTATTAAACACAGCCATCATTAAAACCTATGTAAACGTACAATTAAATAAAATTTATTAAAAACAATGGTAATACTCAAAATGTTTCACTTCCCAGTTATCTTATTATATATTTTACTACTCCTTAAGCTCTTTTTTTATTTTTTAATTTAAGAGACAGGATCTTGATCTATCACCAGGCTGGAGCACAATGGCACAATCACAGCTCACTGTAATCTCAAACTCCTGGGCTCAAACAATCCTCCCACCTCAACCTCCCAAGTAGCTCAGACTATAGGCATGTGCCACCATGCCCAGCTAATTGAATTTCTTTGTAGAAATGGAGGTCTTGCTATGCTGCCCAGGCTGGTCTCAAACTCCTGCCCTCAAGCAATCCTACCACCTCCCATTGCACTGGGATTACAGAGGTGACTCACTGCACCTGGTCTCTATGCTCTTGGGGTTATTTGCATCTGTTATATCCGTATGATGAAAATTCTGTATAATGGTGTGCTACTGTACATTTCTTCCAGAGTCTCAAGGCTTCAGGTTAAAACAGATGAGGCCTCCATTAACATGTAAAAGCTATCAAACAAGATTTTTGTATTCCGGTATTTTTGATTAAGAAGGGCTCTCCTATAACAAAACTGTATTTACTTTTACTTAAACATATTTTTACTCAATAAATATGTACTGAACGACCTACCACATGCGAGGTTCTGAGAGAGCTGCAGAACTGAACTAGAAATGTCCTGATGCTCCCAAATTTCGAATCTCATTGAGAAGATGTGAAAAGACAATAATAAAATGAGTAAACTGTAACTTTTAAATGATGGTCCAGACAAACTGATATTAAAATTTAGAAAATGAGAACATTTTAGATCCCAGAGAAGGGATGAGGTGTATTTATGGATAAGATCTGACAGCTGAAGGAAAGTATGAAAGATATTTCAGGTAGAGGGGGAAAGTCGTGGAATAATAAGGGGTCAAGAAAATGCCATGTGTGCATTCAGGGACAATAACTAGACCAATGAGAAGGTCTGTGTTATACAGAATATACCATTCTATCTAAGATACAATTACCTTCCACAGTTGTCCTTTTAGACATGTTTGCCTGCTAGCTTCATTAGTGTTAAAGATTCAGAGGCTGGGAAAGTCATAATATGATGTCCCTTGAGTGTATCAAATCTTGGCAAGTTGAACATTTTCACATGGGAACACTTAGATGGGAGGGAAACCAGCTATAATACCTATAATACCCATCACCTCATTGACTGCCGGAGTTGATATAAAAATATCACAGACCCTGGGGGCATCCTCCTCTTCTCCTCTGCATTCTTCCTGAAGCTGTACACGCAGGCAAAAAGGCTCCTTTCACATTTGTTCCCTTTGCTAGGTGATCTGTTGCTGGGGTTTCAGATTAGAATCACATTCACACGCACATTTCCAGGTGCAGTGTACCGCCCAGTGTGGGGCTCTCATATGGCTTGTTGTGGTTCTGTCACTAAATCCTGTGTTCAAAGACATTCTGGGATAGCTGTGAGGAATTAGAAGTGACTCCTGGGCCAGGCGCGGTGGCTCATGCCTGTAATCCCAGCACTTTGAGAGGCCGAGGCGGGTAGATCACCTGAGGTCAGGAGTTTGAGACCAGCCTGGCCAACATGGTGAAACTGTGTCTCTACTAAAAATACAAAAAAAAAAAAAAAAAAAAAAAAAATTAGCTGGGCATGGTGGCAGGTGCCTGTAATCCCAGCTACTCAGGAGGCTGAGGCAGGAGAATTGCTTGAACCTGGGAGGAGAAGGTTGCAGTGAGCCGAGATCATGCCATTGCACTTCAACCTGGGCGACAAGAGCGAGACTCCGTCCCCCACCCTCTCCCCACCACAAATAAAGAAAGAATCCTAACCGGGCCGGGCACAGTGACTCACACCTGTAATCCCAACACTTTGGGAGCCCGAGGTGGGCTGATAACCTGAGGTCAGGAGTTTGAGACCAGCCTGGCTAACATGGTGAAACTCCATCTTTACTAAAAATACAAAAAAAAAAAAAAAAAAATAGCTGGTGTAGTGGCACAGGCCTGTAATCTCAGCTACTTGAGAGGCAGGACAATCGCTTGAACCCAGGAGGTGGAAGTTGCAGTCAGCAGAGACCGCGCCACTGCACTCCAGTTTGGGGGCAGAGCGAGACTCAGTCTCCAAAAAAAAAAAAAATTAAAAAAATAAAAGAAGTGAATCCTAATCCTCTCCCCCTCTAGAAAAATTGCCCTTGCTGCTGCTAATAATACTTATTAGGGAAAAAGGCTATGTTTACATAGTATATCATAGTGAACACATCTTATTTATCTAAATTATGCTCTTTATTCTATTGCACAGTAGGGTGACTATGGTTAACAGTAAGGTATTATATATGGCAAAATAGCCAGAAGAGAAGCTTTTGAATATTCTCACCACAGAGAAGTGATAAATATGTGAGGTGATGGGTATGCTAACTACCTTAATCATTATGTAGCAAACACATGTACCTAAGTATCAAATTGCACTCCATCAATATGTATAATGTGTTAAATAAAAATTTTTTTAAGTCTATAGAATGTTAACAAAAATTAAAAATTAAATTATCCCATGTAACTTTCTAAGGAAGGCATGGCAAGTGCTATTACCGTGAACTTTACAAATACATACAAAAGTATGAGACCCATTTGAGACCACTCTGTGATTATATGGGTCTCAAGCCCCATGTGAAACCTCAGCTCGAAACCCAGCAATCTTGTCCAGATACCAGGAGTCAGCAAAGTACGGCCTGAGGGCCAAATGTGGCCTGCCACCCACTTTTGTAAATACAGTTTACTGGAACACAGCCACATGCATTCACTTATATATATGTTGTCTATGGCTACTTCCCCACCACAAAGGCAGAGCCGCATAGCTGCAACACAGACAGCATAGCCCAAAAAGAAAAAGATTGTTGGTCCCTGCATTATACCGTATTATCTTAGTTGAATGGTCCTGAATTCCTAGAAACAAAAGTATGGAATCTTTCAGCCCAGCATATAAAGAACAATGTATATCTGATTGGGTACTGGAAAGGGACTCCCTAAACCCGTAGGAACACTACAGGATGAACGCCACCCACATAGCATGCAAGGACTCTCTAAGCCCAGAGTACCAACCGTGGGATGCAAGCCACCCACACACAGCTCAGTTAAGGGTGGTAAAAGGCTGTGGTTACAAGGTACTGGATTAACTTCAGGTTGGCCTGTGATTTCTATTGTTAGCATTTTTGAAGGTTACAAGAAACTGAAGAAAAATAACTGAGTAGAAAGATTGAACTAAAGACTTAAAAGATTATATGAAAGTCTAAGGTAATGAGGCAGGCAGCTGACAGGGCTAGAAATGGATTTTATGAAATTCTAGTCTCAGCTTGCTTCTTGCAGGATCTTTTCTCAAATTTCCTTTCACTTTATCCCTTATTTTTTTGCTTGATTGAAGACCAACTTCAGAGATATAAAATAAAGTAAGTGTGACGTTTAACTTTTTTTTGGGGGGTATAAAGTTCTCGTGTGTGTGTGTGGGGGACTGTGAGGATTAAAAGGCAGTTATTACAGAATTCATTGCAAAGTCTATTGTTTTATTATAGTAAATAAATGCCTGCCTTTTATGTTCTTTCAAATCCTATAAGACTGAAGAGTTTATCCAGTCAACCAGACACACAACATTCTCCCTGAAAAAGGAGAGTGTGCTATCAGTGCTCTAATGCCACTGCAGCAAAGAATCAGATTACTCTGACTTGTGTTCATGGCATGATTATAAAATAAACCTGTAATCTGTGAAAGTAAGCAAAGCTTCCTTTAGCTCACTGCATGCAACATGAAGTATATAGAGTTTTGTTTATACCAAGTTCTGAGCAGGTATCAAGATAGGCTGCACTAGCTGAGAGTGAGATGCCCATGGCTGAGATATGTGGCAGGAATGACATGCTAGAGAGTAGGCATATGTGAAATGCTTCTGTCAGGGAGAAAGCCCACCAAGTTACATGAAAAGCTTTTGGACTTTCTAAGAGAAGCAAATACTGGACAGTTTGGGATGAGCCTAACTCACAAGTATCTTCAGTTAGTATAATGGGCAAACGTTGTATTTCTTTTATATATATCTTATATATCTAGTATATATAAGATATATATAAAATATAGTATAATATGTATATTATATATAATATTGTATTTTACACACACACACACACACACACACACACACACACTACTAACCTGCCTATCATGCTAGTTGGCCCATGCTGGGTGCTCAGTACATCTTAACTGAAGGGAATATTCCCAGTGGGCCATTTGTAGTAAAACAAAACAGGCAACAGGATGTGCATGCATCATGAAACTGCAGCTCTTGCACTAGAAAAGCAACATAAAGCACATGTCTACCTAGTCAGAGTAGGCCTCCATATCATCTTTCTAAATAGGCAATAGTTTATTCACTCTATTTCATACAAAGAGAAAACACATAAGCAATACAACCCAAAGTTCCCAGGATGTAGAGTCTACTTATACATACAAATTTCAATGTTAAGATACAACTTTGGATTTTCAGGCTCGAGTTAATCAAAGGCCCTTTCAAATAAAATTCATATTTGATACAATGAAATTTGCTATAAAGTAGAAAATCTAGTGTGGTTTTAATGTGGACATGGGTTTTTTTAGGTCATGTTTCAGAGAGTGCCTGAAATGACCTCCTTTTTAGTCAGAAATGGGCCAGTGAAGGGGATTCTAAGCTTGGTTACAAACACCTGAGTTGAGTTTGAGGCATATGATACTTTGATGTTGTTCTACCTATAGAAGCATGGTAGGGAGGTATGGCCAATGAGAAGAACAATGAGCAGTAGGTACTCCATTTGTCAAGCTGGTAAGAATAGAATGTGTGGCTTGTAATCCCAGAGCTTTGTGAGGCCGAGGCAGGCAGATCACAAGATCAAGAGATCGAGACCATCCTGGCCAACACGGTGAAACCACGTCTCTACTAAACATACAAAAATTAGCTGGGTGTGGTGGTGCATGCCTGTAGTCCCAGCTACTTGGGAGGCTGAGGCAGGAGAATCCCTTGAACCTGGGAAGCAGAGGTTTCTGTGAGCCAAGATCGCGCCACTGTACTCCAGTCTGGCGACAGAGCAAGACTCCATCTCAAAAAAAAAAAAAAAAAAAAAAAAAAAAAAGGAATATGTGGGAATCCAAGAAATTAAATTGGTTGGGTAAAAATGTAAAAGAGATTAGAAATAGTTTGAGGTAGTCATTGGATTTCAACACAGGCAATTGACAGAAATTGACAGAGCTGAATTCTACCAGATGTATAAAGAAGAGCCGGTACCACTCTATTCCAAAAAATTGAGAAGGAGGGACTCCTCCCTAACTCATTCTGTGAGGCCAGAATCATTCTGATACCAAAACCTGGCAGAGACACAACAACAAAAAAACTTAAGGCCAATATCCTTAATAAAATATAGATGCCAAGGTCCTCAACAAAATACTAGCAAACTGAATCCAGCAGCACATCAAAAAGCTACTCCACCATGATCAAGCAGGCTTTATCCCTGGGATGCAAGATTGGTTCAACATACACAAATAAATAAATGTGAGTTCATCACATAAACAGAACTAAAAACAAAAACCACATGATTAGCTCAATGGATGCAGAAAAGGCTGTCCATAAAATTCAACATCTCTTCAGGTTAAAAACCCTCAAGAAAGTAGGCACTGAAGGAACATAACTCAAAATAATATGAACCATCTATGACAAACCCACAGCCAACATCATACTGAATGAGCAAAGCTGGAAGCCTTCCCCTTGAAAACTGGAGCAAGAAAAGAACGCCTTCTCTCACCACTCCAATTCAACATATTACTGGAAGTCCTGGACACAGCAATCAGACAAAAAAAAAGAAAAGGCATCCAAATAGGAAGAGAGGAAGTCAAACTATTCCTGTTTTCAGATGTTATGATTCTATTCCTAGAAAATTCCAGTCTCTGCCCAAAAGCTCCTTGATCTGATAAGCAACTTTGGCAAAGTTTCAGGATACAAAATCAATGTACAAAAATCAGTAGTATTCCTATACACCAACAACATCCAAGGTGACAGCCAAATCAAGAATGCAATTCCATTCACAATAGCCACAAAAAGAATACAATACTAGGAATACAGCTAACCAGGGAGGTAAAGGATCTCTACGATGAAAGTCACAAAACACTGCACAAAGAAATCAGAGATGACATAACAAATAGAAAAACATTCCATGCTCATGGATAGGAAAAAACAATATTGTTGAAAGGGCCATACTGCCCAAAGCAATTTACAGATTCAGTGCTATTCCTATCAAACTACCAATGACGTTTTCCACAGAATTAGAAAAAAAAACTATTTAAAAATTCATATGAAACCAAAAAAGAGCCCAAATAGTCAAGGCAATCCTAAGCAAAAAGAACGAAGCTGGAGGCATCACAATACCCAACTTCAAACTATACTACAAGACTATGGTAACCAAAACAGCATGGTACTGGTACCAAAACAGACACACAGATCAATGGAACAGAATAGAGAGCCCTATTAGAGAGCAGAAATAATGCTGCACATCTACAACCATCTGACTGACAAAATCCACAAAAATGAGCAATGAAGAAATTTGTTCATTTATTGAATGGACTCCCTATTCGATAAATGGTGCTGGGATAACTGGCTAGCCATGTGCATTAGATTGAAACTGGACCCCTTCGTTATTTATACCATACACAAAAATCAACTCAAGATGGATTAAAGACTTAAATATAAAACCTAAAACTATAAAAACCCTGGAAAATAACCTAGGAAATACCATTCTGGACATAGGACCTGGAAAAGATTTCATAACGAAGCAATTGCAATGAAAACAAAAATCAATAAATGGAACCTAATTAAACTAAAGAGCTTCTGCATAGCAAAAGAAACTATCAACAGAGTAAACAGACAACCTACATTATGGGAAAAATATTTTCAAACTATGCATTCAACAAAGGTCTAATATCTAGCATCTATTAGGAACTGAAACAAATTTACAAGCAATAATCAACCCCATTAAGAAGTGGGCAAAGGACATGAACAGATACTTTTTGAAAGTACACATACATGTGGCCAAGAAGCATATGAAAAAATGCTAAGCACAACTGATCATTAAAGAAAAGCAAATCAAAATCACAGTGAGATACTATTTCACATCAGTCAGAATGGCTACTACTAAAAAGTCAATAACAGATGCTGGTGAGGTTGTGGAGAAAAGGGAAAACTTACACACTGCTGATGAAAATGTAAAATAGTTCTTCCATTATGGAAAACAGTTTGAGGATTTCTCAAAGAACTTAAAACAGAATTACCATTTGACCCAGCAGTCCCGTTACTGAGTATATACCCAAAGGAATATAAATCATTCTAACATAAAGACACATGCAAACATATGTGCATTGCAGCACTGTTCACAATAGCAAAGACATGGAATCAACCTAAATGTCCATCAATGGTAAACTGGATAAAGAAAATGTGGTACATATACACCGTGGAATACTAAAAAAGAATGAACTCACGTTCTTTGCAGCAACATGGATGGAGCCAGAGGCCATCATCCTAAGCAACCTCATTCAGAAACAGAAAATCAAAACTGCATGTTCTCACTTATAAGTGAGAGCTAAACATGGAGCACATATGAACACAAAGAAGGGAAAAACAGACACCGGGACCTACTTGAGGGTGGTGGGTGGGAAGAGGGTGAGGACTGAGAAACTACCTATTGGGTACTATGCTTATTATGTGGGTGATGAAATAATCTGTATATCAAACCCCTGCAACATGCAATTTACCTATATAACAAACCTGCACATGTACCCCTGAACCTAAAATAACAGTTTAAAAAGAACTTTCTGGAAATAAATACATAAAGATGGGGAACTGAGTAGTTTTCTTGGCAGGACTGTGGTGGAAATGGTACTGATTTGTACCTATCTGAGGAAGGAGGCAGGAAAAATAACCTCTTTGTAGAATAAGAATGGACCTAAAAGGAAAAAAAAGCTGCAGCAGAAAAAGCCTTGCCCATTGTGGATACTATATTCTCCATCTCAGCACATGCCATCTTCCTAGTCAACAAATTAAAAAACCTGGGAACCATGGTAGACTCTGGCTTCCCAGCTCCTATCAGTGGCCAGGTGATTCTAATGCTTACCACCCTTCACATCTTCAGTGTACTGAATGTTTATGAACCACTTCCCAAATTCATATGTTGAAATCCTAACCCCCAAGGTGACAGTATGAGGAGGTGGGGACTTTGGGAGGTGATTAGGTTATAAAAGCAGAGCCCTTGTGAATGGGATTAGTGCCCTCATGAAATGGGATTAGTGCCCTCAGAGAGATCCCTCACCCCTTCCGCCCTGTGAGGTTCCAGAGAAAAGGCAGCCAACTATGAATGAGAATATAGGCCCTCATCAGACACCAAATCTGCCAGCACTTTGATCTTGGACTTCCCCACCTCCAGAACAGTGAGAATTAAGTTTCTGTTGTTTATGAGCTACCCATTTTGTGGTATTTTGTTACGGCAGCCCGAATGGCCTATGACAATACCCATTCTTCCATTTCCTACTGCCTTATTCAGGCCCTCACTGTCTTTTAAAAAATCTCTTTTATTGTGAAATACAACATAACACATTTAAGACAAAGTTTATAGTAATAATGCACATCTTAATAATCATAAAGGTAACACCCAATGGAACCACAAACTTGGTAAGGAAATGAAAGTTTCCAGCCAGGCGTAGTGGCTCACGCCTGTAATCCCAGCACTTTGGGAGGCTGAGGCAGGTGGATCGCGAGGCCAGGAGATGGAGACCATCCTGTCCAACATGGTGAAACTCCGTCTCTACTAAAAATACAAAAAATAGCCAGGTGTGGTGGAGCGTGCCTGTAGTCCCAGCTACTCAAGAGGCTGAGGCAGGAGAATCGTGCAGTGAGCTGAGATTGCGCCACTGCACTCCAGCCTGGGGGACAGAGCGAGACTCCATCTCAAAATAAATAAATAAATAAATAAATAAAATACAATAAAAAATAATAAATAAAACTTTCCATTATCCCAAGTGCTCTCCTGCCCAATCAAAATCTTCTCCCTTCCTATCTGAGGTAACCTTTGTAATAGATTTTTGTTGTTGTTGCTATCCTTTATGATTTTACCACTTAGATATGCATCCCTATACTATATAGCTTAATTTTGCCTGTTACGAATAGAATCAAATTTTACATATTCTTTTGTGTCTTGCTTCTTTCAACACTGTTAGATTCATGCAAGCTATGTATAACATGCAGTACATCCATTCACTCTCACTGCTGTATCAGATTCGATTATAGGTATATATGAAAATGTATCTATTCCCCTCAATAAGGTATGCCACTATATCTTTGTTAATACTTTTTCCTTTATTTGGAATCTATCTACCTTTCTAGATTCAGCTTAAGCATCATCTTCTTTATGGAATCTTTTTAAAATGACCTTCAAGGTAGAACTGACCACTGTCTCCTGAACTCCCAATGTGTCATATACATGTGTAGATCATGGCAGATATAACATTGATTTATTAGTATATCTGCCCTTCTCTAATAAACTTGAGGGCAGGACTCAGGTCTCCTTCACCTCTGTTGCCCCAGTGTCTGAGACTGTGCTATGGATTGAATATATACACATGATACATGTTGGCTAAATAAGTGCATGAACTGTTAGAAACTTTCAAGTGTAATACTTAGAACTTCAAAGAAAGGAAATACATGTGATCTGCAGTAATGAACAAATTAAAAAGATGAAACTAACATAGTGGTCTGAGGTTCTGGATTTTAATATTCCTATAAAGCACCTGTCACTACAGGATTCCGGTCTTGGTACAAGTCCTCCATGGCTGATACCTTAAAGCTCAAAAGAATTCTTACTTGAGTATCAACTTTGGTCTTCATTCTTTATTGACTACCAACTCCTATGACCATTTCCCTATTACTGGTAGGCAAATAGGCAAATGCTAAACAACTTTGTTGAGGAAAATACAGTGAAAATGAATTTATTAAGAGCATACATTTTTCACCAGAGCACAATCTTCAAAGCAATATGCTACACTGTCATTATCTCATTACAGTAATTTCAAGACTTGCTCCTGTTAACTTATTAAAAAACATTTAAAATCATTTTCTTCATTGCAGGCACAACAAACTATCTCATTATCCAAATAGGATCAGAGCCAAATGATATGGCAAGGGATGGGATAAAAGAAATGCACATATGCAGGAAAAAGTCAGAGTTCGGGGAAAGGCAGGCACACAGCAATATACAAGTATAAACGACTGTTTGCCAAAGAAGTGATTTTTCAAAACGCTGGCACTATTATGCCACAATAGAGCTAAGCCATTATGCCTCTCACCTTATTCTAAGTTCTCTAGAGGAAAAAAGGTATCTTGTTAATTGACTTAAAATTTTTCTTGCATAATACCTAGGTATACCATGAATGAAACTCTACTCATTGTATGTATGCCTAACACCATTATAAAACAATCCCATGTAGACATATGGATGACAACCTTTACATTAAAAATAACAACAAATCACTTCAAATACATTGCCTAAGCAGGGGTTGGCAAACTACAGCCTGCAAGCCAAATCCAGCTGCCACATTGTTTTGTAAATAAAATTGTACTGAAATGCAGCCATGCTCATTCATTTACATATTATCTATGATTGCTCTTATACTACGATGGCACAATCAAACAGAGACGATATAAACCACAAGGCTGAAAATATTAACTTTCTGGCTCTATTCAGAAAAACTTTGCTGACTCCTGGTCTACAGCCTTGCTACTGTAAAGTAGTACCATGGACTTGCAGCATAGCTATTACCTGAGTGCTTGTTCAAAATGCAAAACATGAGGCTGCAACCAGACTGACTGGATCAGAATGTGCATTTTAAGATGTGCCTGGTGATGAAAGTGAATATTAAAACTTTAGAAGCACTGGTATAAAGAGAAATAAACTCACCAAAAAGGGGGTGAGATTATTACTAGACTCACAATATTTTATTATTAGGCAGCAGAGAAGAGGGCTGCTTGCAAAGATTTTTATAAAGATGAGAGAAAAGGAAGTGGATTACAAATTAGGGAACACATTAATATTGCAGATGAAGGGGAGAGATTTCTATTAAACAGCATCAATTTATACCCCTAGAGACTACAGGACATGTGAAAACTACTTTAACTCAGATGGCTAGGTATTTTGTTTTCTTTCTTTCATAAAAGAACCATTACCGCTGAGAGATGGTCTGGGCCCCATATCATTCTCTCTAGTACAAAAACAACGAGTAAATAAGAAACAAATTTGCTGATTTCAATCAAGTCCATTTGGTTGTCATATTCATTTCCTTTTTAAATACTCCATTCTCCCTGTGTAACAGGAAAATTGTTTTTCCAATAAGGCAAATGGGTTATGATTTGCTCCCTGAAAATAAACATGTTATAAAATCCACTCTAAATCTCTATTTTATCATGTGTTATTTGTGTTCCATTTGTAACAGGCTATATGCTGTCATTTGGGGTTTACTTTATCCAGCGCTGTAAGGGTCTGACAGAGATGAACAGCATTTCCTCTTAAAGTTGCAAAGCCTGCTCTACTGTATTTACATTCAATATCCTTAAGTTTTCTAAGTTTTTGAGTTAGGAAGTTTTACCTTATCCAACTTAGACACCTCCAAAGAGAAAACCATAACATACAAAGAAGAACAAAACCCATTTTTGTGACTCTCTCTTCTAACCAATAAACAGTGAAACTTAGGCTTGTGAAAACCACGTTAGAATTAGAATCCTCACTGGAAAAACAGCTTCACGAGCTAAGAAGATGTCAGGCAATAATCTGAAAGAGAAAGTTTTGTTGCTTTGATAACTTTCAGTTACTCAGAGATTGTTACCTTCTGCCTCCAAAGACACCCTGTTTTGGGCATGGAGGACTTAGCAGGAAGAAAATGCATTCAAGATAAAGGAATCATTTGTCAAAGAGCTGAAATCACAGATGACAAAATGACTTCTGCCACAGAAAATTTAAACCTTTTACCACTCCCTATTCTTCCAATTAAATCTGACAAAGAAGCAATGTGGCTGCTATTTTATGGTCTTTTTTGGAGCACTGCCAAATGTTAGAGCTAGGAGAAAATGCAGAAGAGGTCCAATACCCTCTGCTTAGAGATGAGAAAATTGAGGCCCAGACAGATTAAGTGTACTGTGCAAAGACATGTCACAAGTTAGTAGGAGATCACCAGGATGAACCCTCCTAGAGGACAGTCCTTTTCTTTAAATTTTCGCACTTCCTAATTTTTAGTACTGTCCCTGGCACATAGTAGGCATTCAAAAATTGTTAGTTCAATTGAATTCCAGGCCAAAGTTTTTTCCATTGTACCATGCTTATTCATGTTTAACAATGGATTAATCTTTTTTATCTTCCAAAAGAATAATAAGTCAGATTTCAAATTATGCTTTTACACAGGTATAATTAAATCTTTAAAAGGTGGGATGGCAAAAAAATTAGAGGCTAGAGTGTAACAGACATTTTACAACCTGCAGATGCCAGCAGCAGGCAGCTCCCACCCTACTTCACTCCCACATCCCCCACAGTATAACGGCAATTATATTCCAGGGTGAATAATATAATTATCTAAATGAAACCAGGAAGGGAAAAATAAAGCATCCAACATAAAAGGATTAGCTGCTCAAGGACTTGCGGTTGAGGGAGGCAGGAGGATGGATCCAGGCTGACGATTTCATAAAGTAGCCATCAATTATTTAAATCATTGTGACTTTTCAGACAGCATTCTGGACAGCAAGGGGAAAAAAAAACACTCTGAAATTTTGAAAACCATAAATTAGGAGAGAAATGTGCGTTATTTGGTTTTGGAGTGAAACGTGTTCTGCCTTTAGAGAGAGGAGCAAAAGGAAAGGCAAAGTCACCCTAAGTAGGAGGTGGTTTAAGATGTTACTTTTCGGGAACTTCAGCAGAACAAAATATTTATTTTACAGTACAAGTGTCGGTGCTGTTAAAATCCAATATAAATAAACCATCCAGCACATGAAAGGTTAACAGGTAGAACAAAAATAGAATTGGCCAGAAGGAGAAGGGCCTAGATTCTACTATTGGATCTGCTATTTACCAGATATGTCATCTTAGACAAAGCACTTAATGTGTTGAACTTGACTCCAGCGAAGAAATTAATTTCCAAGGTATACCTTCCAGCCTTAACATTCTATTGAAGTCTAGCCTTTATATGATAGAGAATACCAATGCTAGCTGGGGAAAATTAATAATGTAGGCTAACTATACACAATCAGGCTTTTATTAAAAAGATTTATGACTTAGAATAATTATCCCATGTGTATGAGTTTGGTTAAAACATTGCCTGTCTGCTATATTATATTTCCATCATGTAAGTAAACTAGCCTGTGCCTACATGTCCAGAACCTGAAAGAAATAAGGAAACAGAATTGAAATAAGCATAGAATTTTTGCTACTAATTGAGGTATTTGCATTTGCTAAGCTAGCACTAAGGCAATTAATTATTTCTACCCAGGCACAAGGTCTATAATTGGGTTAGTAATCATGAAGTTAATCTGGTCAATAGTTTCATGAGCCAGTTAGCTTGGTTTTCCCTAGATAAAGCTGGTTGAGAAAGAGTAAAGATAGCTTCCATTCCATTCATTTATGATGATTTCTATAAAATGACTCCATAAAAAGCCGACAATATAAATATATAATCACATAAATATTTAACTAATGCACTTTAGACAAATATATGAACTATAGCATGATTTTTAAAAATATACTTACCCAGGGACTAATTAAAAACATTCACCAACTAAACTATGTGAAAGGAAAATAAATCTTGGGACCCCCAATTCACTAATCTAAAGGGAGAAAGCGAAGCTGGAAACTGCTCAGGGCAAACCTGCCTCCCATTCTATTCAAAGTCATCCCTCTGCTCACTGAGATAGATGCATATCTGACTGCCTCCTTTGGAAAGGCTAATCAGAAACTCAAAAGAATGCAACCCTTTGTCTCTTATCTACCTATGAACACAAAGCCCCGTCCCACTTCGAACTGTCCCACCTTTCTGGACCAAACCAATGTACATCTTACATGTATTGACGTTGCATGTGTCCTTAATGTATAAAACAAGGCTGCACCCCGACCACCTTGGGCACATGTTGTCAGAATCTCCTGAGGCTGCGTCATGGGCACACATTCTTAAATTTGGCAAAATAAACTTCCTAGATTTACTGAGACCTGTCTCAGATATTTGGGCTTCATGACTATAACATAAATTATAACTTATCTCTGACTTTTTTATTTTTCGCTGTATTAGTTCATTTTCACACTGCTGATAAAGGCATACCCAAGACTGGGAAATTCATACAGGAAAGAGGTTTAATGGATTTACAGTTCCACATGGCTGGGGAGGCCTCACAATCATGGCAGAAGGCAAGGAGGTGCAAGTCACATCTTACATGGATGGCAGCAGGCAAAAAAAGAGAGCTTGTGCAGGGAGATTCCCATTTCTAAAACCATCAGATCTCGTGAGACTCATTCACTATCATGAGTACAGTGCAGGAAAGACCCCCCCAACCCATAATTCAATCACCTCCCACTGGTTTCCTTCCACAACAGGTGGGAATTGTGGGAGTTACAATTCAAGATGAGATTTGGGTGGGGACACGGCCAAACTATATCATTCACTTAAAGAGAAATCTTAAATTTCCTATTATTTATGTTCTATGTATCAAAACACTTCTATCACTTGCTGTTTACAAATTTCTTGTCATGCTGGCTGTTGGAGAAAGTTCTTTCTGCACTTATACTTTGGCGCCTCTGCTCATACTCCTTCCACCCTATTAATTCTTGTTAGGAATAACGCTCAAAATCCTAACGAAATTGAACACTGGAACAAAGGATTCTTAGAAAAACAATTTTACTTCTGCGCAGAGGGGTGCCTCCTTGGCCAGTTGCCATGAGAGCACACCTGAACAAAGGGGTACGAGAGTCTTTATTCCTGATGCAAGTCCTGCCCCATACCCTTTCCTCATTGGCCAGGGTAAGGTTGTACAATCTAAACTAATCCCGGTTGGCTAAACATTTGATTTTTTTAAGATAAGGTGGGCACTTAAAAGGAAGTGGAGAGGAAGGGGAAGGGGTGTCTGTAATGAGCTAGAAAATTAGTCCTCTTTCCAAATAAGGTAAGGAATGTGAGCCAGTACTGATAATGTCTGGTACTGTGGCATGCCTGGGTATCTAACAAAGGCAAAAAGGAAAAAAAGGAGAAAAAGGGAAAAGGGGTGGAGAGTATTATGAATTAAAGAATAAAAGATTGATCAGATTATTTGAAGAGAAACCTCATCATATCCCACAATTCTGCTTCAAATAAGGACAGCTTTTTAATCTAGTCAAGCCTCTGAGATTATATTATATCTTACTAATATGCAGGGGTCACTGTGCATTCAAGGGGGGTGTGCTTGGTACCCCTTCCTGTGTGTTCCATCTGCTAGGCGGTAAACATACTTCTCTTTCTCTATTCTACCTTCTTCACCAATAACTGGTATATAAGTGAGGTTCTAACTGGCCCAGCTGAATCAGCCACCTAATATTGAAAGTTGTGCAAGGGCCAGGTACGGTGACTTGCATCTATAAATCCAACATGTTGGGAGGCCGAGGCAAGCTGATCGCTTGAGCCCAGGAGTTTGAGACCAGCATGGCCAACATGGCAAAACCCTGTCTCTACAAAAAATACAAAAAAATTAGGTGGGTGTGGTAGCACATGCCTGTGGTCCCAGCTACCTGGGAGGCTGAGTTGGGAGGATCATCTGAGTCCAGAAGATCAAGGCTGCAGTGAGCCATGACTGTACTACTGCTCTCCAGCCTGGGTGACAGAGTGAGACCCTGTTTCAAAAACCAACCAACCAACCAAACAAAAGTGTGCAAGCTGGAAGCAAGAGGCCTCTAAAAGGCCACCTGGTCAAAGCCATCTCTTCCCAGAAGCTTAACAAAAACAACTCCTAGTTAGCTCTTGACAAAGGAAGATTTCATTTACTATTTGGTACACTCCTTCGGGTTTAGCTCCCTCTATAAGAAATATCTGGGAGGAACCCCAAATCCCAGAAAAAAATGACTTGTTGCTATCTCTAAATGACTTGGTAAAATAACTATATTTGTTCTTTTGTCTTATTAATCAATTCCAGGTTTCCAGATACCTAAACATCCCTAGGCCTTTTTTTTTTTTCCTTCTCAGGGACTGATTATTCACCTTTACGTGAAATTTCTCTCCTATTATTTGAGTTGGAAGAAGAAAAATCATTGTGTTAAGTTTTGCAGAGTCTACCACCTGCCTTGTGGTCTTTGCTAGAGCTTTAACAGTGTGTCTACAGCAAGTTAGGTTGGTTTGGGGTGTGTATGTGTGTGTGCATGTGTGTGCATATGTGTGTGTTAAGGGAGTGTTTTTCCTGGAAAGAACTGCTAAATATTATATTTTCTATAGGAGAGCCTAAGAATGATTTAAGTATTTTTACTTTTGCCTTTTTCTTATGTAGATTCAACAGTTTACATGTTATATTTATAGTTTTATGAAAGCACTTACCATTGTGATATACTTGTTTACTTGTAAATCTGCCCCTACCACCACCACAAGCCCACTGACCCCTACAATTTCAATACATAAAAAAACCAACTGATTTGAAAGCTTATATCCTCACAAAACTAAACATAAGTGTTTATAACAGCTTTATTCATAATAACTCTAAATGGAAGCAACCAAGATGTCCTTCAATATGTGAATGTATTTTAGAAACAGTGGTTTATCAATACAATGGAATATTATTCAATGATAAGAAGAAATGAGTTATCAAGTCGTGAAAAGCCATGAATGAATCTTAAGCATATTGCTGAGTGTAAGAAGCCAGTCTGAAAAAGCTACTTCTTGTATGATTCCAATGATACAAATTCTGGAAAAGGTAAAACTATAGAGACAGTTAAAAAATCAGTGACAGCCAGAGTCTTAAAAAGAGAGAAATGTTGAATAGGTGAAGCATGGGAATTTTTTAGGGTAGTAAAAACCATTCTGTGTGATATCATCATGGTAGACACACAACATTTTGCATTGTCAAAACTCACAGAACTTTAAAGCACAAAGAATGAACATTAATGTATGCAAATTAAAAACATCATTTGGGATATCATGGAATCCTAGGATTTAGTGCAGAATGTGACAAAACCGTCTAACTATTACAAATGTGTAAAACAATGTCTTTGAAGGGTGTAGGGAGAAAAGGTACTGACCTAAGTAACACTAGAAATGAGTATAGTCCATAAGACTAAAGGCAAAATAAACTATAAAAGCACTGTATACTAGCTGATAAAGTTGTTTCCCACAAGGGTATGGGTTAACTATTCTGACACTGCTATACGTATATACTGTAATTGAATGACTGTGTTATTGCTACACATGTATACTAGACTCCATGTATACAGTTAAGTAAATTAATGGGAGATGGTGGGAGCCAGGTTTCTCACTGAGGGAAAGGTAGGTCACACCTAACCGAGAGGAGGCTAGAATGCTCCATGTAGTTATAGATTAGTGTTGGAGACATCAGTATGAACTCGTTTTTAGCTTAATACAGACGTAAATGGTTACATATAGAAATATATACGGATATGAATATATTCAAGGGTTAGTATATACACATATATGTTTCCTTTCAGTGTCAACTGAGTGGGCCTAGAAATAATGATACTCAAGTTACAAGAAACATTCTAAAACTCCAGATCTTGTTTTCCAATGCTAGTCTCTAATAAAAGGAACTAGGATTCCTAGAAAAATGGCTGATTCTAGGGCTGGGGCAGGCAATATACAAGATGAGCCAGGAGCACCTTGTAGTGCCAGAAAGTAAGGAGATGCTTAAAAAAAAAAAAATCACAAAGATGGAGACTTAGGAAATAACAGAAGCCAGTCAAAGAAGTTACTGATGTCCAAAGCTAGAACGATTTCAGCAGCAAAATAAAGTGGATTATAACTCCAAGTATAAAATACAAATCTATAAGTCTATACTGACAAATAAATAACCAAATAATTACAAAAATGAAGGAGAACAGCCAGCTCTCTCATGTAGAAGCATTCTAAATCATTTATACTGATACTCCATCGTTAAGGAAGTAGAGCATAACTACATTCTACTACATACCTAACCAGCACTCCTCAAAACTGTCAAGGTCGGCCAGGTGTGGTGGCTCACACCTGTAATCCCAGCACTTTGGGAGGCCAAGGCAGGTGGATCACGAAGTCAGGGGTTCGAGACCAGCCTGACCAACATGGTGAAACCCCGTCTCTACTAAAAATACAAAAATTAGCTAGGCGTGGTGGCGGGTGCCTGTAATCCCAGCTACTCAGGAGGCTGAGGCAGGAGAATTGCTTGAACCCGGGAGGCGGAGGTTGCAGTGAGCCGAGATCGCGCCACCACACTCCAGCCTGGGCGATAGAGCGAGACTCTGTCTCAAAACAAACAAACAAACAAAAAAACTGTCAAGGTCATCAGAAGAAAGGAAAGTGAGAAAACTATCACATTTAAGAGAGCCTAAGAAGCCATAACAACAAAATGTATTGTGGTATCCCGAACAGCAAGAGGGCATTAAGTTTAAAAAATACACACACACATATACGCAAAATAAGGCAGTATGAATAAGGTATAGGTTTTAGTTAATAATAATGTGTCAATATTGGCTCATTAATTGTAACAAATGCACCACAGTAATATAGGTGTAAGATATTAATATAATAGGGAAAGTGGGGGTATATGGGAACTCTTTGTACTGTCTTTGCAATTTTGATAAATCTATAACTTCTCTGAAATAAACAGTTTATTTTTTACAAACACAAATATTTGATACTCCTTTCCTTGGCAAACAACAGAGGTTTGCTTTTACGTACCCTACCCCTAAACACGTAAGCTAGAGGCCACACTTTAACATAGCTGTTGGCAATTTTCATTTTATTCATTTAGCAAGTAAGTGCCTACTATGTGTTGAAGATTTCTTTTGGCTCTAAAGCAACATTTTGAAAGGCTGGAAGAAAAGTGTACTCCTCCTCTTCACGAGGCAAGAAATTAACTGGCAGGCCAGCCTACTCTCTGCTCGGGCAGGCTGCTCACTCTGGTAAAGCGTCAGAAGCCATGGGCAAACACAGCAAGCAAGGTCACCGGAGCACTTCTGCGAGTGCCTGATAGGCAGCCTTGACCTTGAAATGACCAAGGGGACAACAAATTCCGAAATGTTTGTGGAAAAAAAAGGAAGAAGCAATTAAGCTCCTGTGGTTGAAATGGGGCAAAGAGAAGTAGTGTGTGTGCAGTGAGGAGAGGTAGAGAATAGCTCTCATTTAAGTGTAGTTATCTGTATTTGACTTTGTAGCTATTTGCAAGTGAATACTCAGGGTATTCTGGACTCTACAGATATGACCATCCATCAGGGGAATAGCTGTAACTATAAAGGGGAAAAAAGGAGATAAAAATGAAGAAGAAAAAGAAAGGGAAACTAGAAGCCTAGATGGCTTTTTTTTTCCTCCTCAAAAGACTGTATTTCCAATATGCACAATCCAAAAAGGACATAATGACATAGATAACCTGTTAATGAACTGGCTGCATGCTGCCTTTTCCCCAAAGCAGGACTTTAACTGACAGAGCTCCTGTGTGTCTAAAAAAGCAATGAATGAGAAATGTACAGCTTCATCTTTAAACAAACGTGAGTGTGCTAAAGCCAAGATGGCTGCTCCTGTGGACACAGAGGTGAGGATGAACCCCATTTGGTCATGCCTTTGAGGGCTCAGCAGGGAACACCCTCACAGAGATTCAGAAGTGCAATATTTATCCGAGAAAGTCAGACTGTTGGGGTAGTGTGGTCAACTAGGACAATAATTCAAAAGACTGATGACAAATGCTAAGCTCAGCACACCGTTGTGGCTCACTGAATCTCAGGCAGCCATGATGTCATCACCCAAAACTTTGGTCTGGAGAGAAACACATAAAACTTTCTGTCTCCCCTTCAGAGCGGAACTAGTGGATCCCTGCCTTAGCTGCCTCTGGGACCCCAGGCTCTCTGCCTCCTAATCCTGTCTGAACTGCCAAGGCCCAGTGCTCCTTAAAAGTGCATCCATTTGAACATGCACCTTCTCTAAAAACTTTCACCATTCTGTATCATTTTCACTTCAAAAGTAAACTGGTGTGTTCAGTTTGAGACCTCCCTGGTAGAGTTTTGTGCCCCCGTTAACCTTATTTCTCATTCTCCTTTCATTCCTTCACTCATTTAGACTCTCACTGTCTCAAGAACACGCGATGGTCAGTTTTACCTTTTGTGTCTTTGCTTACATTGTGACTGTTGTTCAGGTCACTTTTCTCCTCTGCCTTCTTCGTTTCTACACATCCTACAGTGACTCAGGGCCCACTTCTTGCCTAAGGTCTCTCTTGAATCCTCCAGCCTTCTGTGTCTCTCTCCTCAGCTCTTATAGTGAAAATCTTCTAAACCATCACATTCAGTACTCAATTATAAAGTGTCCTTTACTGTTCTTGGATTTGTAGGTGTGAGGAATTCCGGTTTCCTAATTAATTGATCCCTACTAAATTCCTGAGAAGAAGAAGTCTTGCTTTAAGTTTATTCTGTATCCCCACATCACCTTGTCTAGCAATAGCACAAAGCAGGTGTCGAATAAATATTAATCATTTCATTTTATTAAAATTTCAATGGTGGAAATTCTTTCACTGTGTCATGTCACTCTTGTTATAAGAGATGTATCAGGTTTCACCAGCCCATCTGAGATTGTCTATGCTAAGATTAAGTACACACAAGTTTTTGAGTAGGGCAGGATCCTTGAAAAGCATGAAGAAAAGCAGCTGCTTTACTTGAAATGTTAATCTTAAATGGCCATTAAACTTTGAAGCTGAGATAGTCTTGTTTCTCTCTCTTCATTTTCTCACTGGAGCATCCTAAGCCAGAGCTGCAACATCCACATAGGGCAAAAACTGCTTAGGATAAGAACCTCAAAAATTTCCTAAGTACAGCAGTTCTCTGTCTACACTCATCTGGCTCCTACTAGTAATCTCGCACGATCAGCAATTCTGCTGCTCCCAAGAATGCTAACTATCATTTGCTTGGGCTGTCGAGCCAGGCTTTTCTCTTCCCAGTATCTTTCAATGGGACGCTCTTCCTCTTCTCTAACATTTAAGGAAAAGAAATAAATCTGAAGATGCCTTTGTTAGCAAGTAAAGTCAAATATATTTCAGGCAAAGGCAGCCCTCTAAAGATCTGAGTGACAGAGTGTTAATGTATTTCAGTTCCTGTCAGCAGATCTGTCATAAGGCATTACCTTCTCTCCTGCTTATCCACCAAGGAGTGGGCTGAGACAAGATCAAAATGGACAGTAGCCAATCAAAACCTCAAAATGCTTACCCCAAATAAGCCCTGTTTCATAGAACAGTCTAGGTGACAACTAAGACGACCATCAGTGGGGCTCCTTTACTCATGATAGAAAGTAATCTCAGAGACTTCCTTTAAAACCCAGGGGTTATCCCTATATTGATGTCATTCTGAAACAGCCTCGTGCTCAGACAAGTTTCTTGGCACCAAGCAAAACTGGTAAACAAGTGTCACTGACTATAATTACTTTCTCATTCAGTAGTCCCTCATGACTCCTCTACCCAAGGAGATAAAGTCCTCCAGTTCATTCTTTTTAAACTGACCTCGTAACCCAGATGTAGTAGATGAATTCTTTAAAAGTTGCATCTAAACTAAAATCTGTTCCAAATACATTATGAGAGATGATAGATTGTTGAAGAAAACATTCAGAATAATGGTTGACCTCAAAAATAAAAAATGCTGAGATCATTAAGGATCCTTATAAAATGTGTAAGGTTGGTGGCAGATGATTTTCTGAAGACAAATGAAAATAATGTTTATCTCTAGTCCCTCTGTTATTATTCCAAAACCCTAGCTGGCTATATTATATAGAAGCTAGTTTAAATATAGTTAAATAATTTTTTTCTGTCATTGCTTTGCAGAAAGTTACTTACAGAAGTCTAGTTAACTAGGAACTTCTCTAAGAAAACCAGCTAGTCAGATGAGATCCTGTTTCTTTTTCATTCAAAGGTAAGACAATAAGTTAATGATATTTATGGAAATTCAATTTGATCATATAATGGGCCTGTTCTGCCGGTATATTAAAAAATCATCTCTCAGTGGCTCAACTCACAGCCTTCTTCATCAACAGTTACGAGGACAAGTTCCTTTGTAATATTATATCAATAAAGGCACTACTTATAGATTAATCATAAGAATGAGCTGGTCAATTTCCTATTCCATGACACTATGTGAAGGAAATGTGTGGATGAGTACTTTTAGAAAATAAATACTCTTTTGAAGCAACTACTTTCTTACCTAATGTATCTCTTTGTATGTTCAGATTTTCTAAGATTAAAATACTGGGAACAGCACCATGGTAAGGTACTCAGGGAATGACGCAGAATTCATTTCTGTGAAGGCTGAAGAGGAATCAAAATGACCAGGTTTGGTTATGCTATAAAACAAATATAGAAGAATGTTAATGTTAGAATCCGGGTGGTGAGTATGTGGGTGTTCACTGGACATTTTTTTCTTGATTTTTTGTATATTTAAAACATCTTTGTGATAAACTGGGGAAAAAATATTGCCAGGTTCTTATACTGGTTGTCTAATCATATATGAAACAAACCAGTAAATATCAGTGAGGCTTTCTACTTGGTAGAAAATATTTTTATTCATGTAGGTGTTTTCTTAGCACCACTCCTGTTAACACTGTTGGATTTTTTTTCTGAATGGAGCAATCATGTGGGTATGTGGACCACTAATAATAATTATGAAACAGATCAATATGTAGAAGACTTCATAAAGCCCTACTGAATCCATGATACCATAGTACTTCTCATCCTAGTCTTTGGAGGAAGTCTGGGCAAGTGTCATTCTCATTTTATACATGAGAGAGGGGAAGCTCAGACAAGACAAGTAGCTTGGACTTGTCTAAGGTCACTGAGCTGATGATTATGGAGACCAAATCTATGTTTTATATGCATTTCCCACCTCACCATGATGAAATGTAGCAGTAAGCACTTTCAAAGATGGCTATGAAGAATCACAACAAAACTACAAAATTAAAATGTACTAAATAAGTAATAGAATTAACAATACATAAGTAACACAACTTGATAAAAATGATCTGAAAACATGGACGAATGTTATCAGATCCCAAAAGTCTCTATTAGCAATAAAAAATTTAATTTGCTCTGGTATCTTGGAAGTGAACAGGTGAGTGCTGGACAATCTAAACAAAGACAAGAACACAGGCATCTTCCACTCCATCTTCCTCAATAAAGTCTTAGGTAGCCACAAGTCATTATTCTTGACATGAAGAGGCAAAATAATACTGTTAGTGAATAAATAAAATAACAAGAGTAAAATGCAAAGAAAATCAAAACTATGAGTGATAAGTTAATGTTTCTTTAGGTATCGATAAATACTGAAGAATCAGATTAGACCCCAAGGCATCTTGGTTCTAAGACTTATTTTAGCACAGTGAGACCATTAGCACCATCTCTCAGAGCTTACAGGGGGAAAAAAAATCAATTGATCAGTTCTCTTTTCAACCTAATGATTTTCATAATGACTTCCAGCAGACCTTAAATGGGACTAATCTATTTACACTAATAAAAGCTGAATCTATTCTCTACCAGAGTGGAAGGGCAACAACTGGCTGTGATGCAAATGCCACTCAAATGCAACATTCTTCATATGAACATAATGTGATATGATGAAAACAATACGCTACTGCTGCTGGCCACACTTCCTCGGGAAACCAGAAGAAGTTACTGGCAGTGCCTTAGCTTGGCTGGGGAGATAATAGGTTTGGGCAGCAGTATAATTATCTCTAGCAAATTATTATACTGTAAGTAGCTGTGTCCACCAACTTTCAGTAAGAGCTCCAGCAATCACTCAGCCTACCAAAAACTTTCACTTTGAACCTTGTTGACATCTAGAATTTAGACCATCCTGGGCCTACTGCCTTAACAGAATACCTATTTATTTATTTATTTATTTTTAGAGACAGAGTCTCACTCTATCATTCAGGCTGCAGTGCAGTGGCATGATCATTGCTCACTGCAACCTGAAACTCCTGAGCTTAAGTGATCCAACCCTCCTGCCTCAGCCTCCCGAGTAGCTGGGACTACAGGCATACATCATGAAACCTGGCTTTTTTTCTTTCTTTCTTTTTTTTTTTTTAGAGACAGTTGCTTGCTATGTTGCCTAGGCTGGTCTCGAATTCCTGGCCTCAAGCAATACCCCCACCTTGGCCTCCCAAAGTATTGAGATTACAGGTGTGTACCACCCAGACTAGCCAATGGCAATACTTCCACACTGCTTCCTGCCAGAGAGTCGTCAAGGAAAACATAGCAAACTGAATCGATTGCATTCTAGTTATGAGTTGTAGTGGACTGAATAGTGTCTCCCTCCAAAATTCTACACGGAACTTCAGAATGTGACTTAACTTGGAAATCTTTTTAGATGTAATTAAGGTAAGGATTGAGATGAGATCGTCCTGGATTAAGACAAACCCTAAATCCAATGAAAGTATCCTTACAAGAGCCAGAAAAGAAAACATAGGAGACACACGGGAGAACGCCACGTTACGATAGAGACAGAGATTGCAGTTACGCTGCCAGAGCCAAAAATCCACGGGAGCCACCAGAAGCTGAAAGAGTCAAGGAAGGATCGTCCTCCAGAGCTTTGGAGGGAATGTGGCTCCTGGCCTCCAAAACTATGCAAGAGTACATTTGTGTTGTTTTAAGGCACTAAGTTTACGGTAATTTATCATGGCAGCCCTAGGAAACTAATCCCCTAGCTTTAATGGACAAAAATACTGCACGCTGCTTCTGCTGCTAATAAATGGCCAGCTGACAAACTCCAGGAAAAGGAGAAAGCAGGTGAAACAATATCATCTCTTGCTGTCACACCAGGGTAGTAGAAGGCAGGAAAGGGAAGTTACCAGCTGGGTGCTAGAGTAGAAAGAACAGAAGGTGCGTAAACAGCAAGCTGGTGATGAGAAGAAGACGCAGGTTGAAAATGTGGGCAGAGAGGGCAGGGGTTGGGGCGCAGTCAGTAGAGTTCAGGAAGGAAGGCAGGCGTTAAGGGCCAGGCAGGTAACACATCAAAGCAGTCAACGCAGAGACCTGCTCACAGGTGACCCGGGGTAGGAAGGAGAGGGCATGTTTTACACCCATTACTCCATTTAATCACTGGAGTGTTGCTGTGACACAGATTCTATGATTCCCATTTTATAGGGGAAGAAATAGGTACAGAGAAGTTAAGCAATTTGGTGACAGCCACAAAGCTATCAAATGAAATGGCTGAGATTTAAATCCATTTGTGTCTGATTCCAAGGCTTATGTACAAGGCTTGGTTCAAAGTATCCAACACAGCAGTCTTTTACAAACCTGGCTGCATTAAATAAAGCCTCAACTATATATATAATATATATATAATTTATATATATATTTATATATATATATATAAAATATATATATATATATATATAATATATATATATATATATATATATATATAATATATATATATATATATGTATGTATTTTTGAGACAGTCTTGCTTTACTGCCCAGGCTAGAGTGCAGTGGCGCTATCTTGGCTCACTACAACCTCCAGCTCCCGGGTTCAAGCCATTCTCCTGCCTCAGTCTCTCAAGTAGCTGAGACTACAGGTACTTACCACCACACCTGGCTAATTTTTGTATTTTTAGTTATAGACAGGGTTTCACCATGTTGGCCAGGCTGCTCTTGAACTGCTGACCTCAAGTGATCCATCCGCCTCGGCCTCCCAAAGTGATGGGATTACAGGTGTGAGCCACCATGCCCAGCCTTCAACAATAATTTTTGATGTACTCTCTCTGCCAGCAATAACTGATACGATGGAGTAGAAAGATCAAGGACAGAGGTACAAATTCTGGCTGCATGTTGGGATCATCTGGGCATCATACCAAACACTGATGCCCAAGCACGCCCCACCCCTGAGCAACCAATGGGACCTGGGAAGTGGTATTTTTAGGAAGTTCCTGGGTGATTCTAATGGGTAGCGTTGGTGAGAATCACTGCTCTAAGTCTGCAGATATAAGTGGAAAGTGCAGCTGGCAGAGGAAGAGATGACAGTGTGGTGTTTGCAGGCGGATTCTAGCCATTTCACTTCTCAAAAGTTACTCTGACAAATACTGGGGCAGAGAGGAAAATGAAAATATGCTCTAAACATTTCAAGATTGCCCAGAATTTGTACTTGCACAGCTTATGTTTGTTCCTCCAGTGATGTGGGAGTTTAAGCCTGAGCATTAGAAAAGCTGCCTCTGTCTCACATTGCCCTGCATGAGCCAGAAAATGTAGGCTCATCCTGTACTTGGAAACAACTTTGCAAAATCAATGTGCTAGACTAGGAAGCAGCTTCTGCTGCTGCAGCAAATATTGTTTTTACAATTCCTGGGCCTGCATGAAACAAAGCTGAATACTTTTTAAAAAATGACTACTGTTGTTCACCACAAAGCTAAAACCCCACAACATTAGATCCCGTTTCCTAACTTCACGCTGGGTATCATGACGACGTTATGTTAAGAGTATGCTTCTTAAACTTTAGCGAGTACCAAAATCACTTAGAGGGCTGGTGTGAACAGAGATTTCCAGAGTGGAGTGAGGTTCAGGAATCTGCATTTCTCATAAGCTCCCAGGCCACACTGATGCTCCCGGTCCATGGGCCACACTTGCTTTTGCACTGGTATAAGGCAATGCTGCTCAAACTCTAATGTATATACAAATCATCTGGAGATTCTATACAAATGCAGACTCATCAGAGGTTGATGCTCTTGGCCACAGAACACTCTCTAAGTAGCAAGGGTATGGCATATTCCATTGGTGATAGAGGAAGAAAGTTTGCTTGTACCATTTGTTCACATAGATAGTTGCCTATTCAGCAATTTGATGGGTAAGGGGTCAAAAACCTTAAGCATTAGTCCCCTCGCTCTTTTTTTCAGATGGAGACACCAAAGAAGAAATAAATTAAATGGCATCTCCAAATCAATGGTAAACCAGGGAAATGAACTGAATCAGTTCCGTCTGTCTCCTCATGTTTAAGGAATGAATAATTTGTACTCTGGGAGATATATAAAGCATGAGATGGTATCCACTTCAATGGACTGTTTCCAGAACTCCGTGTTCAGAATCTGACTCAGGAGAAATGAATAATTTCTCTTCAGGTATTTCCTTAGTTTGAATCAACATGCTTTCCTTGCAACAGGTGGAGGCCATTCTGCAGAAAAAGTGATGGCAACAGAGGGATCTCAAATGGTAAGACCATGAGATGTATCCAATCCTGCTGTCATCCTGGGAGCATTAGAGGCATAAGAACTGTGACATTTTAATTTTAGCACCATTAACTATCTTAAACCCAAGACCATGAGTTTTATACCATGCGCAGAAAACACAGCCATGTCCTGGTACTAAGGAAGTCATCATTCATTCATTCATTTTCATTCACTCATTCATTCATCCATTTATTAAATATTGAGTGTTTCCTCTATGGCAGACACTATTCTAGGAGCTGGGGATTTAGGAGAGACCCAACTGTAACACATATCTGCACTTTTCTATCTATCTATTGAAAAATGCTTTAGGCACTGGGGTAAAAGTGATGGTTCTGTGCTTTACCTCTCTGTGAGGCAGTACCGAAAAGTAAGGGATTTAGACAGTTCTTCTCTAACTATGGAGAGCCCAGTTTTTATCCCCAATCAGTTGCACATTGATACTTTTATAAAACATAAAAATGAATTGCTAGAAAAAAGAAATGTTAAAACCCACAAAGATATACAAAACATGAGGCCCAATTTTTTATTACTGGATTCAACAGACAATGTCAAAATGCTAAAAAAAATTGTCTAAATGCTCACTCCTAAATTCTCTACGTCTCATAGCAGACTGGTGACAAACAGCTTGCAGACAAGCATAATCCTCAGAATCCACTTTGGGTAGAACTGGCTGGGAGCACTGACTCCAGGGTTGCATCGCCTGGGTTTGCATTACAGTTCTACTACTTGGCAGCTATGTGACTGTGGGCAAGTTATTTAATTTCATTGTTTCTCAGTTTCTTCCTCATAAAAAGAATACCACTCAGAGTTGCCATACATTTTAAACACTTGCAATCAATACAGACAAAGCACCCAGAATAGTGTCTGACTCACAGTAAATGCTACTAAAGTGTTAGCTGCTATCATTACTACTATCTACTATTATAACTGCTATCATTACTGTTTTTACTTCTTCTATTATTACCACTAGTGTTACTCTGCTGTATCAGCTTGGGCTAACACTTGCACAGTGTTTTAGGTATAAAATGCTGATTGTCATCTCTTCCTTCCTACTGACTTCCTTCCTTCCCTCCTATGGAACCTGTGCCTAGAAAGTGAAATCACTGAGAACACATGTTGGCACCCATGGAAATGCCTCTAATAATCCAAGTGTCTGTACTGCCCAGATGCCACTTCAGAGGGACAAGGACAAAGTGTCCTGGGGTTCTCTTCACAGGGCTCCTAGGCACCGTGTCTGTCCGTTATCAAACAACTGGAAGCATCACTGAGACAGCTGTCCTCCCACCCTCCCTGGAGAATCCGGCTGGGCTGATGCTGTGTGACACTGGGTGTTGCCACAGGGAAAGGCATGTCCTCTCTTCTACTCTGTGACCAAACAACAGTTTAGCAAAGGGAAGAATTTTAAAGGACATTTTTATACTTCCTGTAATTGAATATTTAACCCACATGCATCTTTCACGCACACACATATTTCTCCAAGCTCCTTCTTAACATTTGTTTTGGATTCTCAGCTAAAATTTTTGAGAATTATTTCTTATTCTTTTTTCAGATTAGCCACCTACAATTAGCTGGGAATAAAATATTAAGGAAACATAGAAAAAATTCAAGAATAAAATTCACCCTGTGCTTGTAGAGGAAGACAAAAAAAGAATGAAGCTTGAGTATGGGGAATTATTAGAAAACAATTTACAATCACTATAATGCAGGAAAATACCAAAGATAGGAAAAAAAAATAACCATCTCCTTGTTTGCTTTTTAAACTGCATAACTCTCTCTGAGAATATTAAACAAACTTAGTGATATGGTTTAAATAATTTGCATTTTCATAAAATAAATTTTTTTAATGAAAAAAAGGAGAGCAACATAATCACCAAAAAAAAAAAAAAAAAAAAAAATGAAGCAGGTGTGTTAACTCTAGAAAAAAAAATTTGCAGGTTAATAGCTTGAATGGTCTTAGCCTCAAGACTTATTCACTTATATATAATTATATGTTGACAAGGTCAAAGAGAGAACAGGTAAAGCTGGAGTTCTTACCTAGCCTCACGGTGACTTAAAGGACAAGAGGCACAGTAACATGTACAAAATGGCGGTGATGAGGTTGGGAGTGATCTGACAGGCACATGGACAGACTGCCCAGATATGTCATTTTGTTGGTAGCATATGGCCTTGACATGGCCCAGATCAATGAGTTATGATTTTAATGCATCTTTGCTACTGAAGCTGCAAATTATCACATTTAATAAGCCAGTATTATTGGTTCACAGACTCACTCTGTAATGTACTGATGCCTTTTTTTTCCTTTTAAATTCAGTGCACTAAACATGTTCAAGTTGCTCTGTATGGCATATAGCGTGACACTTCAGAGAAATAAATACTGAAAGGCTTTCTGATGGAAATGAGGCTAATGATATGGTCAGACAACACATAAAAGTAAACATATTTTTGTTACTCTCTATTTCTCATCTCCTTATTCTGACTCTGTGGGTACTTATGACTCTCGAAACTTATTCACTGTATCCATCCATCCATCCATCCATCCATCCATGCAACATGCATTCATCCAGTAAGTTATTCATTGAGCACCTTCCTGCTGCCTGACATTATAATATGTGTTTGGAACTTACCTTCTAGTGGGAAAGGATAGAAAATATACAAGTTAGCAAAATTAATTAATAATTAGGGTTGTGATAAGTGTTAGGAAGAAAAAACCAAAGTGTTAAAATCCTGATTAACTGGGGAGATCTATCTGGGATCTTGACAAAAAAAAAAAAAGTATTCCATTTAGATAATTCAAATAAAGAAATATGAATGAAGAAATAACTTACAGAGGTATGGGCAGGGTTGAAAGCAGGAACAAGGGATACTGAGGCATCCAGAGGTTGTAACAGCAGAAAGCTGAAATCAAGAGGCAAGGAGAAGAAATGACATTGCCAGAGTCCAGTGAGAGCTGGAGCTATGGAGGATGTGTCACCTGGCAGGATCTCCTGTTATGGAGGGAGGCACTCACAGCCAGGGCCATGATCCAAAGTGAAGAGGAAGGGGAGAAGAAATCACCCACCCTCTTTCTCCTCCCACTTTCCAATCTTCTACTTGTGCTGCCTATCGGCAGAACCTGATCAGAAGCTACCTGGCAAGGGGGCCTCCATGACACAGTCCACAGACACAGTCCATAGGGTTTGGCCTCAGTATTGACAATGGATGGGGCTGGTGGTAAGGAAAAATGGGAGAATGGAGAATAACCAGGAAAGGGGACCTAATTAGGTAGGACAGTCAGGAAAAGCCTTCCAGTGGACATGACATTTTAAGTGACACCCAGAGAGGAGAAGACCCCAGCCATGCAAAGAGCCGGAAGAGATATCCAGCAGAAGGAAGAGCAAGCACGTTCCTTTGGCATTCCCCCTTCTCTGCACCCAACACTCAGTACAGATCCCTCACCAGGCACATGGCTAACAGAGACCCAGACCATCCAAATGAACATCTTCCTATTCTATTTTATCAATATCATAAAAGAGCTTGCTCATAAAAAAGAATGCTCATAACTAGGACGCTTCTCTAAGAAAGGTCCAGCACTTCTGTAAATTCTAACATACAAAGAAAAATCAAGGGAAACATATGTAAAGGCAGGTAAGGGCAGGCAACTGGAACAAGTAAAACTCCCTTCCATATATACAACTTCTCTTTGAAAAGCTCAAGCCTTCCACATGTTGAATAGTCTCATATTGTACAATTTAGGTAAAAGTGTGAGACTGTGCCCATCCTACTCTTAAATGAAGAAACACAATAAGGATTCAATTCCAACGTAATAATAGTTAATGTATACCTATAATTTAAACTCCTACTAATTTTGTTTTAGTTTTATATATACCTCCAAGTCACCAGCTAAAATGTATATAAAATATATGCCTCAAGCCTATTAATCAAAAAATCTACTGACAGATTATTTTATTTTTTCTGATGCTAAGAAACCATTTTTTTATATAAAGTAAAATTTTCAGTACTAACAAGATCATCATGTGAATTCAGTGATTTGACTTTTAAAGGTCAGTTTACTGGTTCAAATTCCCTGTGAGGTAGCCAAGTCATTGAAAGGTAAGTCTGCCCCTAAAAGGTATAGAGGGTTTCCTGCTGGTAATTGAAGTTGGGCATCATAGCTTCCTTCCTGTTAATCCTTCATACTCAGGGATGCATTCACCAATGGAAAAATAGTTCCTTTCAAGGACCAATTCCAGGCATAATAATGAGGAACTGCCTGCATGTTAATGAGATTCACCATCTCTCATATCCAAAGCTAACCGTTTTTTTTTTTAATTTTCCTTAAAGATCTTAAGGAACTTCCATTATCCAACTACATTAAATCTAAATTTCCCTAGTGCCTATTTATTTTCTTTTGTTTTGTCCCTGATGAATATGGAAACAGATGGTAATTCTTCTTTTTTAAATTTATGACACTTGCCAAGTCAATGAAAATTGCTGATAAAAATAGTAAGTTCAAAGTGTATTATTACCTGTAGGAGAGGCCGCTGCACTCCCAGCACCTTCATGGTGTCTGCGTTGGCCAGAATCTTCAAAGGGTCAGATGTTTTAGTGACTCCTTCAATCTCCTTGTTGATCTCAGCCAAGACTTGATTGAGAAAGATGTTTTTGATGTACACGGTGAGAAACTCTCGAAGAGGACACTGTTTGGCTGGGCCAAGACCCAGAGCATGCTCAATCTCCTGAATAAATCTGGAGGACAAACAGTAAGAAGGTTATTAAATTTATGAGGAAAATGTTATATAAATACGACATGAGGACATGAGTATATCTAGTGTTGGCTATTTCTGTGAAGAGGGCAGGTCATCAATAATACTCATCTCTATATAATTTTTAATCTTGTAAAAATCTAAATTACTCCACTAATTGAATAGAAATAGGATGAAACAGAAAACATGACTTCTAAAAATGGGGGGAAAAGGAGAAGACAAAAATTATTTTTAATTCCAGAAGGAGATAAGACTACAAGAAACAATGGGAAAATGTGAAAAACAAAAAACACAAATTATTGTGAAATTAAAAAGCACATCCCCGAAGAGTACATATTTCCCACCGAAACCTTTACATCAGGGGTCCCCCTACCCCCACACCGGGCGATGAACCAGTACGGGTCTGTGGCCTGTTAGGAACCAGACCGCACAGCAGGTGGTGAGCAGCCAGCTGGGCGAGCATTACCACCTGAGCTCCGCCTCCTGTCAGATCAGCAATCACATTAGATTGTCATAGAAGCATGAACCCTACCGTGAGCTGTGCATGTGAGGGATCTAGGTTGCATGTTCCTTATGAGAGTCTAATATCTGACCTGTGGTGGAAATTTCATTCCGAAACCATCTTTCCCCCAACCCTTGTCCGTGGAAACATTGTCTTCCATGAAGCCAGTGCTTGTGCCAAAAAAGGTTGGGGATTGCTGCTTTACATGTATATATATAAATGTCAAAAAGAGAGAAACAGAGAGAGAATGAAGGATACTCTAAAATTCATGATGATATGTGAGTTCAGAGGTTAAGAAAGGGAATGGGATGGGAGTTGGAGGACAAAGGAGAACTTCAACCTTACTTGCAATGATCTACTTCCTCTATTAAAAACCCTTAAAGAATACATAACAGAATGTTAATGATTGTCAAGTCTCAGAGATGAGTATAGATTTATTAAAATTCTTATTTTAATAACAAAATAAATTTATTATTAAATTCTTTTTAATTTTCTATACAGGCAGCCCTGATTTGTGTGGTTTAATATGAACAAATTGAAGTTACTACTGTTTTTTAGTTAAATAACATCAGTCCATCAATTACATAGTTTAAATACCTCAATACCACAGTGTAGTCACCACAGTACATTAAACTTAAGTAACTAAAGTATAAACTTTGTTGGTAGCTCCTCTGAAATCCCTGTGTAAATAACTGATGTGTGTTCATCATGATTAGTGACCAATCACATCCCTTCTTCCAATGTCTATTAGCAACTGGTCACTGTGCATTTGTTATTCACTTCATGGACAGGGAGCAAAGCAAGCAGCTGTGGTGCCTCCCTGTCCCCCACTGATAAATCCATGTGGCATTTTATAAAAATGGATCAATGAAAGAGGGAATTGGCCAACAAAGATAAAAGTACCGCAAAGTGATAACACTGGAAGTGAAATTTGAACTGAATGTAAACGGAGTTACAGGAGAAAGAGCTGACCCTGGGAATGTTGACACTGCTGCCATTGGAGAGGCATAGCCAGACTGAAGGCCAGCACAAATGAGGAAGGTGGTTGTGACCAAAGGGATGCAGAGGATGAAGAGAGATGAGAAGCCAGAGGAAGTGATGTTGGCAACAAATTTCACACTTAAAAAAACTCTTGGAGATATTTCACAACACAGAAAAAATAAAGGATAAAATGCTGGCAACCGAGCCAAACTCAGAAGTATGATAGTTCACCCAGAAAAGATGCTTGCTGTATATTGCAAAGCATATAAGACAGCGGCAAGCACTGCTATACTACTCTTGATAAGATTTTAACAAAAAATAAAACACTTTGTCAATGTTTCTAATGTTACAGTGTACTAAATACATATCAGTTTTCTTATTTTTCATTTCTGTATATATTTATAAATGCCAGGAATAGAGTTTTTTGTTTTTGTCTTTTTTTTTTTTTTTTTGAAGCAGTCTTACTCCGTCACCCAGGATGGAGTACAGTGGTACGATCTCGGCTCACCTCCACCTCCTGGGTTCAAGTGATTCTCCTGCCTCAGCCTCCCTAGTATCTGGGATTACAGGTGTGCACCACCACGCCCAGCTAATTTTTTTCTATTTTTAGTAGGGATGGAGTTTTGCCATGTTGGCCAGGCTGGTCTTGAACTGCTGGCCTCATGTGATCTGCCCGCTTCGGCCTCCCAAAAGTTTTTAACGTTTTGATAAAAAATTTTAAAGTCATGAAATAATTGTGACTATCCTCATTGATTAAGATTGCTTTGCATGGTTTCAGCTTGCATGGTCATTTTTACAGTTCCACAATGCTATGGAAAGGAAGAGCTGTATTGTACTTCAATTTCTTCTCAAAAAAGAGGAGAAGAATATCAATGAAAACATAAAATGAATAACCAACTGGGAAGATATATTTACAATTTATATCACAGATGATGGCTAGAACTCAACAAGAAAAAAAACCAAATGACTTAGTAAAAAAATTTATCAAAACACATGAAAAGACTATTTGTAGTCAATACAATGACCATTAAACATTAGAAGAAATTTTTCATTCATAAGAAAAATGCAAAGTAAACTATACTAAGATACCAATTTTTACAACAATGCAATTGGCCAAGTTCCAAAAGTTTGAAAACACACTCTGTTGCTATAAGTGTGAAGAAAGAGGCATTCTCATATATTACTGACATGAGTGAAAAATAGTACAACCCTTATGGAAGGCAGGTTGGCACTATTATTCAAAAAGCCAGATGAATTTCTTTATCGCCCAGAAATCTCACTCCTGGGAAATTCTTCTGAGAGCTATATCTAAATATGGATGTGATCATCTACATACAGAGTATATAGATCATTACAGCATTGTTTTTAGGCAAAAGACTGGGAATAACCTAAAAGTTCATCAATTAGGGAATAAATAAACTGTGGGATATTTACATTTTGGAATACTGTACAGCTCCCTCTACCCCCAAATGTGGAAACTTTTGATGTACTAATGTGAAAAGACCTCCAGGATATATTGTTACAAGGAAAAAAAGCAAGCTCAGATCAATCTACGGTTAGCAGTATTTACTACACTAACCTCTATATAACAATTATATACCCATTTGTTTATTTTAGCATAAAGACATCCTGGGAAGTCTCAAAAAAACGACTAAGTACCCATAGGAGGCAGGGGTGGGGGTCAGGTCTGGGAGAGGAGTAGAAATTAGACTTTTGAATTATAACTTTTAATAATCATTTGATTGTTAAAAACTGTTAATGTATTAGCTACTCAAATAACATTAAATTAGAAAATTTTAAAATTGCCTACACATATCAAAGACTATATTTAATAAATTGCTGTATAATAGTTCCTTAAGTTTAGCTGTTTAACCTAGTAAAGAGTTTTCTTTACTTACTAAACCAATACATTGCAGTTAACCTTACATATTACCAGTTAAACGCTCTATTAACCCCTGGGGTGTATGTGTGGTGGGGGGATGAAGATGGTGTATATATAGGATTATCACAATGAAAAAAGTAGCTTTCCTTCAAAGAAAGATGAAATTGAGAAGGCACAAGAAAGAGCATTGAGGCTTCTTAACTGATGTTATCAATGTGAAAGAAAAATAAAATAGGACCAAAACCAAAATATAATGGATCTTTAAAGAGAGGGTGAGTGAAAGAAGGCAGGGAAAAATGAAATAAAAGTAGATGGTTAAGCATGGCCACAATTTGAAGATCTCCAAATACCACATCCTGCTGCGATGACCCCTTCTGTTCTCATCTAACTCCCAAAAAGATACTCTACCCAGGTGCATCCTAGTCTACTTGGTTGCCTTCCAAAAGAAAACCACTGTTATTAATTTGCTAATGAGTAAATACACCGAAACTCTTTTTATTATTTTTTAATATTATGAGAATTAATCATCAGAATCTCTATTTTCTTCAAAGGGACTTTGGAAAAGAGTTTTCTGAGTATACTTCTGACATTTTCAAAATATTTAACATTTATCAGAACAAAACTTTTACTAGTCAATCTGCTCATAAACAGATGGGCAGAAGACTCTAAATTAGCCTCATTTTCTTTCTTTCTAGTCCCATATTTGCCTTTCGTGTACCTAAAATATGAACTGTGCTGAGCAGCACAGACAAAGGGGCCCCCATCGCTTTTGGCTGAGTGATTTCTTTCAAATTCAAATCATTTTTTCCTTAAAGCATACACATCCATCTCACATGACACATACAGGTTGACGTTGTCAGCCCTAACTGGAGGGGACTCATTCAACATGTTTCCAAATCTGCTTTCAGAGCGGCAAGGGACCTCCCTGTACAGAAGCACAAAACATGTGGGTGAGAATGAAAGAGAAATATTAAGGCTGTTTCGCCAGTCCCTTAGTGTTTCTTTACCTCAGTGAAAAATGGATAGAACGGGGGCTAAGGGATGGGGGAGGGGAGGAGATGTTGGTCAAAGGTTACAAAATTTCCGGGAGGGGTAAATTCAAGAGATCAAGAGATCTAATACACGGCATGGTGACTATAGTTAGTAACAATGTGTGGATACTAGAAATCACTAAGAGAGCAGAGTTTATGTGTTCTCATCACAAAAAATAAATATGTGAAGTAATACATGTTACTTAGCTCAATGTAGCCATCCCACAACGTATATGTATTTCAAAACATGTATATCATAAATGAATATAATTTCTATTTTTCAATTAAAAATAAATAAAAATGAAAAATGAAAAAAAGTAGTTACATTAAATGGGCAACCTACCCTTCATGGGCAGGAAGGACACAGAAAATGAGCCTTCCTAGCCATCCAGGAGATGAACCTCACTCAGTGTCACTCTGCAGAGGGGAGGGACTTAGAGAAGGAGAGTGGTCAAGAGAGGAACACTTACAGTAGGGCTTCCAGAGTTTGGACCTGGAATGCACAGTCTCGAGCAGGTTACTTAGCCTCTCTTGGCTTTACTTGTGTCTTCTGTAAAATGGCTACAATAACACTACCTACCTCACAAGATTGTTTTGATGGTTTAATGAGGAAATGAAAATTAAGCACTCAAAACAGAGACCGGCACACAGTAACTGCTTAGTAAATGGTGCTGCTGCGGTTTTTAGAATTACTATCTTACATAAACTCTGATGAGGCTGGAGATTAGAGGAAAGTGTGAAATATTGTATGATTTTTTTTTTCACTTTTCACTTTGCTCCCTTATTTTCATATCTAATCATCCCTAGTTGACAATTCTGAACATTAGGTTAATACTTGGAATATTTCACTAATAAATGGATGTAGGAATGAGCAAAAAACCCCACGTGGCCAGGCGCAAAGTGTAAATTGCTAACTGCTGAATCCTTCATGCCTAGTAGTGCTACTCTATGACTGGCACACAGTAGACTTGTAGGAAATATTTATTGAATAAAATATTGGATAAAATAATTAAAAGGTCCTTTGATCATAATCCATAGTTCCTGAAACTAGGACATAATCTATCTGGCATGTAATGCCCTTCTCCTAAGAGTTTGGACTACAGATTTCAATACAAAATTTTTAAAAAATCATCCCATATCTCCACCATTCGAATGTAAACCAGTAATTCTTATTGACAGAGGATCCTCTCATTCTTATCCACATCCCACACTGTTTTATATTTTGTGCAATATGGCTGTTCACACTACTTTGTATTCTGTTCTTTGACAGAATATTACAGATTCATTCTACCAAGCTAATGAACAGTTTTATTAACCAAACAGCTACTAGGGAACATCTTCATTTTGCTTCTGTTGAATTATTTCCACAAATTAAAATATTGCAAGCAGCTCTTCAACATTTTTGGTGAGTCTTTATTTTATTTTCCCCAATTTACCACAGTGTACTGGATGGATCCTTTCACCTAGTAAGCATTTAAAAATGATCTGTTGAATGGGAGACAGGAGTGAGAGTCAAGGGTATAGAAGAGAATAATCAAAAAGCCCAATTTTCCCAACAATGCTCCTCATTAGCTCTATGGAAGTATGAAAACATTGAATTTTTAACAGTGAAAAGAATCTCATTAGAAAAGAAAATACTTCACTTCAAAGTTAAGTTAGAACACAGATGGAGCCCTGTCAAAAGAGTATTATTTAATCTCGTGAAGTACTTTTATACCAGGGGTTTCCTATCCCCTGTAAATGATGAGCAGGGAAACACAACATACAGGTATATCTGTGTATATGGAAAAAGAGACTATGAGAGTAAAGAAAAGGGTATACATAATGCTGTATGGGGAGCGTCTCATCACAGGATTTTGAGGACCCTTATTCAGATCAGCCTCCTAAACTTAAGGTTGTAAAGTAGGAGAAACAAAAAAACAAAAAATGCGAGTACGCAACTGACTCTCATTGCTTTCAAATGTTTAAAGCATGGATCTGGCCGGGCGCGGTAGCTCATACCTGTAATCCCAGCACTTTGAGAGGCCAAGGCAGGCAGATCACGAGGTCAGGAGATCGAGACCATCCTGGCTAACATGGTAAAACCCTGTCTCCACTAAAAACACAAAAAATTAGCCCCAGGGCATGGTGGCGGGTGCCTGTAGACCCAGCTACTCGGGAAACAAGCAGGAGAATTGCTTGAACCTGGGAGGCGGAGGTTGCAGTGAGCCAAGATTGTGCCACTGCACTCCAGCCTGGGCAACACAGCAAGACTCCATCTAAAAAATAAAATAAAATAAAATAAAATAAAATAAAATAAAATAAAATAAAATAAAGCAAAGCATGGATCTTATCGTCTAAATTCTAACATTTATAAATATTTAATTGAAGCTTTCCTTTTCAGATTCTCAACTAAAGGCCCTCTAAATGTATGTACATATGCAATACCTGTGTTGTTGAATTTACTTTCTTGCAGCAAGTTATGTGTCCTTTGGAATGCACACATGAGGACACACTATGAACATTTCACCCAATATTTTCAAAATTTTAATCTTGATTTGATTGCTATCAAGGGAAATTATAAACTAATTAAAATTTCACTCAAGCATCCCTCACTTAGCCCAGCCTTATCACAAATTCTGTTTCACTGTACAGCTCCATTTCTTCCATTTCATCTCAGCCAAGAATTGTGGCTGCTACCAGCTGGAAATATCCTTTAACAGAGAGGTCCTATATCGTATTGTAGAAGCTGCAATGACAGCAGTGATGTTTTATTTATTTGAATAAAAATAATTGCTTATTAAATAAGTATTCCTTACATTCATATCCTAAAAAGCTTTTAAAATTCGACGGCCAGCATCACTAATAATGGGACAAAATGGACATCATGTGCCTTCTGATATGATATAAAGAAGAACACAGTATTGTTTTCTGTTACTCTTGCTAAAAATGCGCAACTTGAGTCTAATCATGAGAGCACATCATTCATTTTTCATGAAACCAAAATACAAAATCAAAGGTACAAATTTCAGAATATTCAAATTCAGGATTCTGGTTTTAGAGCACAAGTAATTCATGCATGACTCTTTCACAAACAGTGAATCACTGTTTATTGCTAATTATGTCTTTTAATGTGTACATTTATATATGCTCTGTATCATACAACATAAACTTTTCACTTTGCTATCTCCTGACTTTGCTGTATATCATTACATATAATTTGGTAGTTTAGGATGAATAACGTACACATTAATATAGATATTTGGGAGGTCTTGGAATTTTCCTGCTGATTCCATGTATCACAACCAATAGAAACGCGTGATTTATCCTTTATGACTTCTGCATTTTGCAGGATCTCTCAACATATCATTTCCTCTTACATGTTTTCTAATCTAGTCTTGACTCTGCAGAGATGTACCATCCTTACTGAGAAGCTCTGAATCTCTCCTATTAATAAAGACTAAAAAAATGAATCTGAACTCTTTCATCTCCATTTTAGTCCAAGATTTCTATGTGAAAAGTTGCATGACATTTACAGGTCTGCGGAAGCTTTGCATGATCAAAAGTAAGTCCACACGGTCCCATCCTCATTGTGCCAATCCTCTACTGTCACATTTAATATTGTTATATGACACAGATTGTGTATAAAAGCATGCATTAAAATTTTAATTGGCAATAAACGGTGACATACTGTTTGTGACACCATCATGAATGAATTACGTGTGCTACAAAAGCCACAGATCTGCATCAGAATTCTGTACCTTTGATTTTGAGTTTTGGTTTTATGTAAAGAATGCAAACAACAGTAAAAACAAGCCTGTAGCATGAATGATACATGAGTTACAAAGAGAAAATAAAATGCACATTCCCCCTAAATCCAGCAAACTGAAATAATCTTTGGACCCAGAATGAGAATGAAACACCCTAAATCCAGCAAACTGAAATAATCTTTGGACCCAGAATGAGAATGAAACACTAACTGTCAAATGCAGAACTTTTCAGGAGAGATATGGGCCCATGTACAAAGATGGCAAACAGCACTAATAACAGAGTCCTGCATTCTGATGACACTTTCTGCACACCACTCTAAGGGAAATCATGGACTATTTATGAGAACACAGTATATTCAAAATCCCTACCATGGTAGATTTATATGTAAAAAAAAAAATCAACCTACAACTCATAATAAAATCCACCCCCAGACATGGGCCCATCCTTGTACAAAGAACTATGACCCGTTAGCTATACTCAGATGACAATTGGGCTTTGGGAATCAAACCCAAGTGAGGCCATGCAAAAGGCTGGAAACAACTCAGTCTGCAGAAAGAAGGCGCCCCCAGCAAACAGGGCTCCTTTAAGATATATTTCTTACTTTCTCAACTGCTCTCAGGTATGACTTTTAAGACACAGAGCAAACTGGAAAACAACTTAGGCAAAGAAGGAAAGAAGCCTCAGAGGAATTGATTTGAGATATATTCAACTCACTAGTATTATCTGAGTCGAAAAAGATCATTTAGAAATGATTTACAAGGGACTCATTCAGAAACAGCAGCAACAGGCATATTTAAGACCATAAATCAGTGGAACATGAAAACCGAAAAAAAATCCATAAAGGTTAATGCACTTTGGAGCACGTTTGCCTCTTAATTCATGGGAGTAAGCCATTGGCACATCAGGAAGAGGTTCTCTCCCAACAAGCTGTAATTGTTCATGCTGAGTGTAACTACTATCTGTGCCTTTTGTATATAAAGATTTTCTGTGTAAAAGTACAAAATAAGCTCATCACTGCAGAGCCCAATCATGTCCTCAGCCCATACCCGTAGGAGACAATTTGCTGAACTAATCAAATAAAAAGGGATTTGGGTGCTCTTATTTGTAATGTGTGCAATTCATGTCTGGAAGTAGAGGAGAAAAGAGGTAAAAATCATTAAATAAAGGGAGAAAGAATATTATCTACAAAATTTGGACGCTGCAGGCTTATAAACAAATTTAACTTAAAAAAATCTTACCATGAGTATATTGCAAGTGATTTGTGACTACAGTTAAGTGTTCCCTCTAGACTGAAAAGCACTTTAGGTAAAATGAAGTAAGCCTCTCTAAAAACGACAGCTGTTAAATTTTTTAAGCATATAATTTGGAAATTGAAGTGACTTAAACTCTAACCCTTCATATCAAACAATCTTTTTAAACCAAAGATTGCATAAATAAATAAGGGATGCTGACATAAAACTCAGAGAACAAAATAATAATCCTGCTTTTCCAAGAGGTCTGGAATTCTGGTTTTATCCTTTCAATTTATCTTACGGTAAATACCCTCTTCTTTCTTTCTTTATTTTTTTTTCAGAAGATAAAGCTGTCAGAAAAATTTCCAAGAAAAACTGCAATTTATTCAAAATATCCATCATACACCTGGAAACTTATGTGTCACGTATTAAATATACTCTGTTTTAGGTGCCCCATATCAGTTTGACCTTCAGAGACTCTAATGCAAGACACAGGAGAATCTGGCAAATTTTCTACCTGTTGCTATTCCAGTAGGAGCTGTATTAATAATTGCTTAAACCCATGGAGCGCTTACCACGTCCTGATCAAAGAGCTTTATATGGATTCTTTTTTATGTGACTTTCACAGACACTCTATGAGGACTGTGCTTTTACTATCTCCATTTTACATGTGATAAAACTGGGCAGCTGAAAAAATGGCAGTAACATTAACAGCTGACAGTTCTTATTGTTCTTATTGTAGTCATCTTTCAGTATCCCTGGGGGACTGGTTCCAAGACCATCTGGGTCTGTGCACACTCCAGTCCGGCAGTCAGCCCTGCAGAACCTGCGTATATGAAAAGTCGGCCCACCATATCTTCCGATTTCACATGCTGTGAATGCTGTATTTTCGATCTGCATTTGGTTGTGGATGCAGAGCCCTGCGATATGAGGGCCGACCGTATTTATTTAAGAAAATCAGCATAGAAGTGGACCTGCACAGTTCAAACCAGTGTTTTCTGAGGGCCAACTGTATAGGCCAGCATTGTTTTAAGTAATCACCATGCTTTGCTTCACATATTCCTTATAACACTATGAAGTTAGGTACTTTTATAATTGCCATTTGGAAGCAGACACGAAGGCACAGAAAGGCAAAGTTACTTTCCCAAGGTCATACAGCTAGCAAGGGATGGGGCCAAAATTTGACCTTGGACAGTTTGTCTCCAGAGACCATGCCAGACTTCATCACGCTATCCAACATACTTTAATATCAAAGCCTCTCAAAGGTTCACCCGTAAGGTTAGAACTCCAGAGGTGGGCAGGCAAGGGGATGACAATCAATAGACTTAAGTCCATGCTGAAAACCCTAAAGTGTGTGCTGAGGTACTGGGACATTGTGTGGATGGAGAGGACCATAATATTACTAAATATAAGCATTTGAATATATCAAAGACTGAATTATTTCTCTAAAAATACAACAAATATTATCTCCAGCCCTGACTTCTTGCTCCTGACCTGCATTTCCAATCACTTGATAGATACTTTCAAATGATGTCCTCCTGATAACTCAAACTATGTCCAACATGGAGCTCTTCGCTGCTGCACTCCCATTATCATTTCAATTCTCTCCTCCTGTGTTCTCTATTTTTGTGTCATCATCATTCCAGTTACCTAAGCTCAAGCTTAAAAATCATCTTTCACTTTTTCTTCAGCCTTGCTACTCATGCAAGAAGCTTCTAGATGTATAGACATTCTCTTTATATTAAATCTTAAGTTCATACATTTATCTACTTGTTTACCCCTTCACTATTTATTACTCCTTATGCTGAAAGGTAGGCACTATGTTAGTGTTCCAGGTCTAAGGCACCCCCAGTGAAAGAATTATGCCCCAGGAGCTATCACCCACTTAGCACATGCTATGAATAGTGTTCAAGTAGTTTAATGCTTGAACTCAGACAGACATTCCTGTGCCTCCATTTGTAACACTCACATACTAATTCAGGTTCTTACAAAATGAGATGACGCAGGTGAATAGACAGAATTAAAATAGGGCAAAACTTTTTCCCAGGCCTCCCTAAAATAATCTCCTAACTGATTTTTCCTTCTTCCATCCCTTCTTCCTTCAACTTATAAAATATATGACTATTTGGTTAATCTCATTAAAGCAAAGAATCTAGAACTCCTTGCAGTTTCATAAAACATGCCTTGCTCTCTCTTGCCTCCAGCATAGTCTCTGTACAAGCTGGTTCGTTTATTTAGAACACTGTCCCCCTATCTCCTTCCTGACTGTCACTTGTCCTGTGGCCACTAGCTTAGATGTCACTTCCTCCAGAGGCCCTTCTCCCTTACGTGTATGGTGAATGCCCTTTTACTATGTCACCACACCACCCTGAGTCCACAGAATTCTGCTATGGAGGTATCTGTCTTCCCTACTAGTTTTAAAATATCTTGAAAAGAGGGAACATGTCTTTTTCATGTAGACATTGTTTGGTATCCAGTAGGTAAGAAACTCAAGAAATAAGTCTAACATTATTTCTACTTCTACTCATTAGCAAACTTTGAGTTCCATGTACTCTCTGTATTTTTTTAAGTTCATGCCTTTTCTTATAATGATCATGTGGTCTATTTCTACTGTTCCCTTGCATTTTCTAAATTGTGGCAAATCAGCTAAAGAGGAGTTTTGAAAATTTATCATTTTCACAATAGCCTTTCTTCAAGGACCACTTCAAAACTAAGTCACTCACAAAGTTTTCCCAGATGCCTTTAAAACCGCTTTATGTATTTGAACTATTTAACTTCATAGCATTAGTCTTTTTTTCTACCTGTTTTTCTCTTTTAGAATTAAGTTCCTTCTGAGCAGCAACTGCGTTTTGTACATCTTTGATTTATACCTGAAACACCTAACACTACATCAAGTACAGTGGACACAGTTAATAAATGTTTTAATAAATAATATTAAGTTATTTTTACAGCTTGTTTAGGCTGGTCTTTAAAGGCTAGTCCTTCTTAAAGCGGATACAATATACAGATTATTTTAAGGCTATGTTTTAGGAAAGAAATACGGCTGGCTAAGCAAGATAAGGAAGAAAGATGGTGAAAGGAAAAAAAGAAAGTTGTGAAGTTAAGGATGCATGTACTATGTTAAACATATCAATGAGGAATTTTTAAGGCAAACTATCAGCAAATCAAAACCTAGTCCTTTTCTCAAACGTGAAATTTAGTGAAGCTGGCCTAAGCTGAACATTACTCAGGTATGAATAACAGAAGTCAAAGACTGGAAGTATTTCATATGTCAAAAATGTGACTGGCTTATGTACCTGCTGAAATAAAATTATAGTATATATTGTCTGGAAGAAACAAACTGGCTCCATGGTTATTCCACTCTTTTTCAACAGGATGGATTTCATTACATTTAATATATGAATACTTTGGAAAACTCAGTTTGAATGATCTCTAATGGGCCTATCTGGCAACCACCCTTATTGCTGAACTTAGTTTATGATTATTTCTTATCACACTCTTAAGTTTACTATCACTTGATTAACTGGCAAAGTGTTCTGAATGCACAGTGCCCTAAGAAAAAAGTAGCCACTAATGATATGAGTCACAGACAGGCAAAGACAGTTATGATATTAGTCTTGTCCCTTAAACTTTTCTATTTTTGTTTTCCTGTATTCACACACTTGATCATTAATTCAGGTAAGCCAGGATAATCTCATATCACTGTTGGTATCTTTCTCTGTTCACACATCTACACTTTGCCTGAACAGTATCTACAATTATCTTGCAACGGTATTCACAAAGTTATTTTTCTACAGTGGTTCAAAGTTCTCAAAGTTACCTCCTCTGGAGCCCTTTCCTACTTGGAAGACAGTATTGCCTTTTAGAGTCTCACTTTGGGTCATCTATTGATATATCACATTATCAGGATTTCGACATAACAAAATGGGTTGGAGTAACATCAAATTCACATCAAAAGTGAACTAACAGTAAACCAAACTAAATATTTTAAGCCATCTGAGCTACCATTCCATTCCTACAGTTCTTTGTTCCTTCAAGAGGCATCTGTGTTAAATTCTTTATAGTTAATTTCATAAATAGGTCCACTTATTACATAGGAATTAAAGACTTTTAGTATTTCCACCTTTCTATTTTATTTATGTTTTCATATCCCCTGTAAGGCTAAATCAGAGTTAAAAATTCTGCTCACAAATCTGAGATATAGAAAAGTATAGATTATTACATTTGTACACAGGATAATAAAGAAAAGGTGTCTTCCTGTCTAACTGATTACTTGCAAGTGAATATCTATCAGTTGTATAGACATTAAAATGATACAATATGCATCATTTTCTAAGAAAAACTAGACTCTGTAGAAGAATTTCGATTACAATATTATCAGTTCCTGCAGAACTGATATTCTTTTGGATTATGTTGATGACAAATTCCTAAAACTCACAGAAGATAAAACAGCTGTCCAAGCAAGAGTCAATGTCTGCAATCAGGTGACTCTGCCCAGTATGTTATACTCAGCTGAATATGCAAGCAAGAGACAGAAAAAGCCTGTAGAAATGGTTTGTACATTTAAAAAAATAAAACAACAAAACTCCAGTATAAGCCCTGGTTTCATCTGAGAAATGTTTCCTGTTTTCAAAGTAATGGAAAAATTCAAGAAATACATGCTTTATCATAACACAAATACAAAATACATCTTAATGGAAAAAATTATTTCAGAAAACTACTCTGGCTCAGATAAAACTTGCGAAAAAATTTCCAGCCATCATGTTGGCAGCCAGTTCTAACACAGTTTATTTTAAATATGATAGTATTCATAAAATTGCTCATTGTCATAAGGCTGACAATAAAAAATTATGGCAACAGGCATGATAACCACAAGCACAAAAGTTAGTTTTGCATTTACCATTTATGTATTCAGTTCATTACTTCAATGCATTCACACTTATTAATGTCTTTAGAAGTGTTTTTTTTTCTGTCATTTCCCACATGCATATCTTGTTTTGGAAGCAATATAATAAGTTCTTCTTGGACAGGAGGTATTCACTGTATTTTCTCTCTCTCTCCTTTTTTTTTTTTTTTTTTTGTGGAGACAGAGTTTCGCTCGTCGCCCAGGCTGGAGTGCAGTGGCATGATCTTGGCTCACTGCAACTCTCCGCCTCCCGGGTCCAAGCAATACTCCTGCCTCAGCCTCCCAAGTAGCTGGGATTACAGGCTTCCACCACCACATCTGGCTAATTTTTTGTATTTTTAGTAGCCATGTTGGGCAGGCTGCTCTTGAACTCCTGAACTTGGGTGATCCGCCTGCCTCAGCCTCCCAAAGTGCTGAAATTACAGGTGTGAGCCACTGCGCCCGGCCTATTAAAAAATATGGAGCAGCATCCATTTCACTGTTTGGTTTTGACAAATTCTCAGCAATAGTTATTCATGTAAGATTCCAGCAACAACCTGAAACATGACAGTAAGCCTACCAAATATCTAAGCAATTAATTCAATTAACATTTACTGACCATATGTAAGCTGTGCCCTAGAAGCTAGGAATGCCAAGTCTTATAAGTCAAGTGGATGCATGATTATTGTTCATATCTATAGTGCATGTTAGCACTTACAAAAGACTTTCACATACTTGAACCTCATTCTGCTTTGGGGGCTGTTTTGACAGTGATAATTATTTCCATTTTACATGTGAGGAAATTACAGTTCAGAAAAGGTAAGTAATTTGCTGAAGGTCACACTATTCTCAAGCTTTCAGACTGTATCTTGAAGCCAGATCTGGTTCCTAATTAGTCCACCATGCTTTCTTCTATACCACATCCTAAAAATGGCAAAGCCCACAATGCCTGTAAATCCAGAGGAATGTAAAATACATGGTCCACAGGTTCAAAGATTCTAGAAAATTTCCCAAGGAGCAGAAATATGGAAAGGCTTATTTTTTATAACTAAGTTTTATATATTTTGGTAGTTTTAGAACTTTCTGATGCAATACTATATCCTGAACAGTTTTAAAACACTAGCAAAGTCCAACCTTGTTGGAAAAGTGGGTGGGCAAAATGCACATATAAAAAGGAGCAACATGACAGGAGCTTGTATTATTGGTGTGTTAATTTATACAGGAAAGGATCCCAGAATGGGTAGGACATGATCAATGCCATACACAGGTTCTGGCAACTGTGAAAGGTCTGAGATTTTTCTAAGACTTAACCACGATAGTAGGCTGAGCATCTTTTGCCTCTGAGTTCTTCAGTGACAGAAGTCGAAGAATAATTAGACTATGTGGGTTTCTCTGTAACCTGGTTGGCCATTTCCCCTAACAGCACAATTACCCTGCTAATGAGATTAAATTTGGTTTAACTAGAGGATTATTTCACTGCAGAGCCCCCCGCCAACTCAGGTTCCCACAGGATCCATCCCTGTGTTGATGCACCCATCTAACATTCATTTGCCTTAATGAAGGCCAGACACGAGAATTAGGCCTGCACAGTAGCGAAAAACACAAGGGCTTTCGTTTATATTGAAGAAGAGCCTCATTTAGTCAATCTGAATCTTCCTAATACCCAGTGAAATATTTATTAATGAGTATCAGCACAGCAAGCCAGAAAGTCTTATTTGCATTCATTTAAACCATAAATAATTGAAGGTAGATTTCATTCCTTCTGTCATGGTATCAGGAAAATCCTCAATAGCATGCTGAATAAAAAGAGACCATTAGTGAGAGAAAATGAATTAAAAGTTGAGGGTTGTAGATGTTTTGCCTACCCTTAGACTACATGGCTCGTTTCCCGATAATATATAATTCATTATCCTGTAATAGGCACCTCAGTGGAGGTGACAGAATGAGATACTAACAATTTTTTTCTTATTTCTTTAGGCCACGATTATAGAGGACGTATCTGTGCTATTCATAAGGTCGGACCAAAGATGGTTCTGAGCAGACATGGGTATCCCTTTATTCATTTACTCATCAAAAGAAGGGCTTGATCAACTTCAACCACAAGCTTGAGCCACTGTATTCCCTAAGATAATTTATGTAAGTTAAAACATTGGAATGGAACAAAAGCATGAGATTATCTTAAAAATTTTGTATCTCATGCTCAGATTTGAGAATTTATGTATGCTTGACACTTTATAGTATCGTTATTGGAGAACAGAAGATGCCTGCCTACCCACACTGAAGTTATGACTAGACGTCAACACTGTCTGTTACTTGGGTCATCTAAACTTTGAAAGCAATGACCAGGGGATCTTTGTGAAATGTTTCCCTAAATGAATTCTTTTTGACTATTGTTCCTAAGATTGCTTCAACTTTTGAAACAAAAGAAAGAAAATCCTATCATCAGAGGACTGAAAATTCAGTGCAGAAATATTACTTAATAATGTGATATTACTTAATACTACTTTATGAGGACAAAAAAAGGAATGTTATTAAAACAAAACTGGAAAACTTTTATTCCTAAAGTTGTGAATTTTTCATTCAGAGCATCATAAATGAACCAAAATGATTATTTTAGGTCTTAAGAAATAGAACGACTCCCTTTATTTTTGGTCAACTAATTCTCTAGAAGAAGACGATATCATAAAAACACAGAAGGAATCAGAATAGTTAAAAACTATTAGAATGATTGAAGGATATATTTATTTTCAAAAGTACAAGTAATATATAAATCTACCTACTTTAAATGTGACTTTAAGAGAATCCAAAGGAATGACAACTGGATAATAACATTTCAAATTTGTTTTCAGAATTTTTTAGTCACTTTCACATTCATTACCTAACTTAATGCCACCAGCATTTTAGAGTGCTAAGCTGAGACTCTCATCTGGGGAAGTGATATGTTTGACTGTAAGTATAAATGTAGAGAGGGAGGAAAGAAAATATGATGGGTGGGTGGGTGGGTGGATGGATGGATGGATGGATGGATGGATGAAAGGATGGATGAAAAAGTGCCTTCTATAAAGCTACAGCTACCTGACTCACTAAGTTCTTGGTATTTAACCTGCTCCTTTGAGTGTGCATTATTTCCTTTAAATCACATTAATGAGATTAAGTAAGGTGAAAAGTAATCTCCAAACAAGTCCCATCTCTAGAAATGATCTAACTCTAGTCCATACCTTCTTCTGGATTATAACTGTCTCTGGTCTGGTCTTTTCCATTCCTACTTCACTACCCACCCTATATTTCACCACTAGACTAATCTGCATCAAACTTTCACAGTATATTTCATTTCTCAAAAACTTTCAATGGCTTTTACTTCCATCTCATGAATCTTTAATTTTCCCTCTGGTTTGCATGGTCCTCTTAGGATCAGGCTGCGTTACATTCCCATATCTCTGCATAATGGCCATTTGATGATTTCATGAGAATCCAAAATTATTTCTGTCCTTGTCCTTTTGCTTATGTTTTTCTGCTTATTTAGAACATACTCCACTTCAGTGAGGTTTTAGAATACCCATATTTAATATACATGAAATCAGCGGTGTATGGGCTGAGAGGGACAGGGGCAATGCAAACACATCAAGGTATTTGGCCTGCCATTCCACTCGATGAGAATGTGTCCCACAGTATGCAGGACAGGGAGGCACCAATCCAGGCCCCTCAGTCAGACTCAGCTCCTGGATGTCTTTCATGGTATCAGACTCTAGTCATTCTGAGTGTGACTGTGTGATCTAGTACTTAAAATGTGTACTTTTTATGTGACATAATTATTCACAGGGGGGATACCTCTTTTGGAGTTTAACCAAAGGGGTATAAAATTGGAGGAAAATGTAGCTGGGTTATATTTACCATGTTGAGAGACAGTAGTTCATCTCTAACTTGCTAAGCAATTTTCATAGGTAATCATGATGATATCTGATTTTCACCCTAGGTACAGGAGTAGATTCTAACATCAATATATGACTGGAACTCTATGACAGAGATCACCTGAATTTTACCTGTCTCTCAAAATCGCAGCTTCAGCCTTATTGTCTGTAGTCTACATTAATCTCTCTCTGTTCCTTAGCTTTCATAGTCCAAGGAACACAATGATGTGTTTATACCTCATCTTTTACTGTCCTCTGTTATTTCTCATAAAATTATCTCTCCCCAACTATATTTTCATGTCTCTGAGTAGAGGGATTGTGCTTTTATTTTATTTTATTTTTTTTTGTCTTTCTCATGGTTCCTAACACAGTGTGCCACTCATATTAAGAACTCAATGGTATGATCTTTTGAGCAACATAATATACAGGAGAGGCCACAGGGTCTGAGGTCAGACAGGCCTGGGTTGGAATTTCAGCTTTCCCAGATATTTAACTGTGGCACTTTTCTGACCACTCAGGCTCCTAATCTGTAAAATGAGGAAATAATATCTGCCTTGCAGGGTTATTATAAGGTTGGCAGTGATGTATGTATTGCAGTAGTATCTTAAATTCACCTCGTGTCTATAAACAGTGTCTGAAATATGGTAGCACTCATTATGTGGCAGGTAATATTACTAACAAGTAATTCCTTTGTTTATTTCTTTGTAAATATGCCAAGAAAATTACTGATAAAGGTTTGTGTGATAAAAGTGATATCACCACAGACTTGGTCTCTTTAAGTGGGAATTCCCTCAAAGCTTTTAAATGACTCAGATTATAATGATGGAGATCTCTAAAGCTTATTTGGAGCTTACTCACAATATCCTATGTTTATGTATTCTTTATAGATTACAGTACCTTTGCATGCATATTTTCAGTATTCCCTAACTTACAAATAAGAAATGTTGAGGACTAACTCTAATATTATCAGGCAAAGGAATCTGAAAGCAGCTGGTTTCTTGGTGGTAGGACTGGCAAAAATACTCATAATTTGCTTGGGCCTCTGAAAGTCCTGGTCCCTCTGCCTGGGCTGCTCTTCCTCCAGACAGTTACACAACTCACTTGCTGACTTCAGTAGGGTGCCAGCACATACATCACCTTCTTAAGATCATTCTCCATCTCCCTTCACTGCCTCTTTTTTTCTTTACAGCACTTATAATCTGATACCACAAGCATTGACTTTGTTTACTTTTCATTTGCCTTACTGGAAAGCAGGCCCCACGAGGGCAGGGTCTTAGACGGCTTCATAGCTGTATACCTAGAACCTAGGAAAGTGCCTAGCACATTGCAAGTGCTATTTAGGAACTTGCTGAATAAATGTAAGCTTGTGGAACTGTCTAGCTCTTTGCATAAACTCCAGGGACTAGAGACTTCAGGAATCCTATGGAGGAGGGCTGTGACTCTCACTGAATCAACAGTGAATGAATAGAGATGATGTCTTTACTACTTCTTCCCCACCAGACACATGCAGCCACCGTTTTCCAAAGGACAATAAAGCTCATAACCCAGTTCTGCTTCCAAACCCTTATATTTAGCCCATGCATTGTGTTCCCTGACCTCTAGCGGTCCCAGGAAATAAAACTAGAATCTGTGAATTTAAAAAAGTAGTTATGTAGCACTGCTCTAGACCTTGTCACCTGTCCTTAATGCCTCATTAAGATTGATCTTTGATAATCACACCTGAAAAGGGAAGAGTACCAGTCTAATGATACTACTTGGGCAGAATCGCTTTAATTTTTTTTTGAATTATCATCAGTAGCACACTCTTCCACGTTCAAATCCTGCAGCTCTCAATCTGGCCCCCTGTAAAAAGTAACATATGCTCACAATAAATCTTTAAAATGGCTCTATTAATAGAGTGGCTGTGGTGACAGTTTTATAAATGGGCCCCATCTTTATGCAAACTGTGTTTTATTCTATTGCATTATAATGATTTGTAATAAGAATACAGAGATGAATTCTGAGAAGGAACTCCAAACGTTCCTAAGCCGGTCAGGGATTTCAAAGCCCATGCATTCTGTGTGGTGGTTTCTGCATTCCCAGAACAACAGACATCATCAGATTAGTTTTTGCTATAGCTGTATGCTTCTCTGGCTGCTTTTTTCCAATCAGATAATAACAGTCTAATAACTGGCTTTGTGTCTGTCAATCCAATTACTTCCTATTTGGGATATGCTGACACTCCATTAAGTCGGCAGACAGATGGCAGCGTCTTTCATTACCCTCCGACTGAATAATTAGCTTCCCAGGCACGTAACTGGGGAAGGAGCCTTCGATGAAGTCAGGTGTCTTCTAAATAAACCCAAAGACATAGATTACTATGAATAATCTTTTTTATTTTGAAATGGAGTCTTGCTCTGTCACTAGGCTGGAATGCAGTGGCGCGATCTCGGCTCACTGCAACCTCCGCCTCTCAGGTTCAAGCGATTCTCCTGCCTCAGCCTCCAGAGTATCTGGGACTACAGGTGCATGCCACCACGCCCAGCTAATTTTTATATTTTTTGTAGAGATGGGGTTTCACCATGTTGGCCAGGATGGTCTCGATCTCTTGACCTTGTGATCCGCCCACCTCGGCCTCCCAAAGTGCTGGGATTACAGGGGTGAGCCACCACCGCGCCCGGCCAAAATAATATTGTTAACTCAATATTACATCAATGCCATGCCTGTAATAGGCAAAGCTATCCAGTTCATCCTTCTGAACTGAGGAATCTTTCTGGGCAGCCTTGATCAGGAGGAGTGGTTCTCTGGCCCTATTTCCACCAGAGCCTTTCCCCCACAACCTGTATATCAGATTGGTATTCACTCAAGGAAAAAGGCAACCTCAGTCTGGGATCCAAATGATGTCACCTTGGGATAGAAAAACAGTTCTTTCATCTGATCTGAGCTTATTAAGAATTTAAAGAAGTACCACACTGACTAAAAGAAGTTGCCTATGGAGAAAGTTATGTAGAATTTAACTGAAAACTTTTAAGGCTTGAATGTCTATAGGAAATTAAGACCCAATCATAAGAATTTTAATGAAATTACCTTGATTTCATAAGATGTTTATAATACAATTAGGAAAAAAGAAATAAAAGGAAGCATCATCATACATCTTCCTTATTCTCAACTGTATCTACCATAGTGATCAATTTTTATTGTTCTAAGAAGAGTAAATATGATTTAGCAGGTGTTTCATAGACTCTCTGAATAAGCTTAAGGATGTTTTTAAAACGTGAATAATAATGGTAATTTTTAAAAAGAAAAATGTGATATAGTTGGTGAAATTAATACCCCCAAATATAACTAGAGTTTACTTCTAAGAAACTACACGGTTGATAGAGATGCTTTTCTACTCCTCTGCCCTCCCTGAATAACTTTGTCACATAAGTTCCACCATCATGGTCAAATTCTAATTTTAGATACTTGGTGTTTTATCTTTTTCATGGGTTAGAACCTCAGGAATGGAAAAGGCAAATTCATATAGAGATAATATGATGTCACAGAAAGAATCTGGACTGTGAATTGAAAGACCTGGATTCTGGCCTGGCTGTGCTATTCATAACTGGGTAGCCCTAGGCTTCAGTTTCCTCACCAGGTCCTTTGCATACAGCCCCGTGTTCCATGATTCAGTATGGGATGCTGGCATGATTTGCCTTTTTCTCAGTTTTCCTAGTTGCTCAGAGTAATACTCTTGGGGCCTTAAAAAGGATCTGAAACATCACTGCTATCTCATTATGAATATTCATTCCCAAAGGCCACAAAGACTAATAAACTCCCAGCTGCAGGGAACAGAGGGTCAACATACTAAAACAGCACTAAAAGCAAGGAGACATTAGTGTGCTGAACCTTGAAAGCAGACAACTTTATAGCCCTTTAATGAGGATTATATTTTCATGGTTGTGGTTAGAGGGAAAAGCAGACCCATTAACTATTGTTCTCTCTTTTCCAAGTGTCATCATTTCTTATTTATTGAGGGTAATAGTTCTATTCAACAATGGTTATATATGAGCTGGCTGCGTAATACTTGATTTTTTAAAAAAAGTTCTTTGTATAGTCTCTTCAACGTACCATTTAAGAACACATGCATAATGGGTAGTTGCTTTGAAAACTATCCATTGTGTGGACACAGGAAGGGGAACATCACACACCGGGGCCTGTTGTGGGGTGGGGGGAAGGGGGAGGGATAGCATTAGGAGATATACCTAATGTTTAATGAAGAGTTAATGGGTGCAGCACACCAATATGGCACATGCATACATATGTAACAAACCTGCACTTTGTGCACATGTACCCTAAAACTTAAAGTATAATTAAAAAAAAAAAAGACAACTATCCATTGTGATTTGATTGGGAGATGCTCACTCAATAGGGCAAGAGTTCTGCTACTGAAGAGAAAGTGGTAAGTGCCAGTGGGTTGTGACACACTCAAGCTATTTTCAGCAGCCTGGATAGCTTCCAAGGGAACTAACGTAATGACAGAAGGAACATCTGGGCTGAAGAAATTGAAACCTGAATAAATTGAACTGAGGGTAGTGCCTCTTAGGTGCTAAGAGAAAAGATGGAATAGCCTAGTAACTAAAGTTCAAAATCAGGAAAACAGGTAACTTAATTTTGAGATTTCGCAAATGCTGAAAATAAAGTAAGAACTCCAAATAGAAGAATAAGGTTCTTCTCCTGGGCTCACTAAGGAGGCCAGGTAGCCTCCATGTTACTGGGACAGTCACCAAGGGGCTAGTCGGCCAGTGGCTTTCTGAAGGAATTCACCACTTAAACCAGGAGAGAGACACTTACTCTATGACTCATCTAGACCGTAAAGATGAAAATATCACCTAAATTACTGATGTCTCCCGAATGTACATGAAAAAGTATCTTCAAAGAGTTATTTCTCCAACTAGGGATAAAGAACACGAGAAGCATCACAGAGGATTCAAAGCTGATTATAGTAACTGGAAAGGGTACCAAAAAAGCCCAAACCACTTAGTAGCAAAAAAATGAACTAGACATATGAGGAGAAGCTCAAGGTCCTTGAACCTACCTCTTCAATCAGTTCTCACTGTATCAGGACTGCATATGGAGGGAAAGACCTAGCAAATGTAAGGGGGACATTTTTATTGTTCTTAGAAGGGTAATGTAAGGCTGAAAGTCCTCTTGGAGTTGTATATTTGAGACCCACAGTTCAAAAGTTATGTGAGGTACCTGATAAATACAGTCAAGATAAACTTTATCCAGCTGTTTTAGGGCATTTTATTTATTTTTATTTATTTTTTGTGTGTGTGACAGAGTCTCCCTCTGTCCCCAGGTTGTAGTGCAGAGGCGCGATTTTGGCTCACTGCAGCCTCTGCTTCCTGGTACCAGAGACTCTCCTGCCTCAGCCTCCTGGGTAGCTGGGATTACAGGCGTGTGCCACCACACCCCACTAATTTTTGTATTTTTAGTAGAGATGGGGTTTCACCATGTTGGCCAGGCTGGTCTAGAATTCCTGACCTCAGGTGATCCGTCCACCTTGGCCTCCCAAAGTGTTAGGGTTACAGGTGTGAGCCACCGCACCTGGCCTTGTTTTACAGCATTTAAAATGATGAAACAGTGTGAGCTGTTTAATCTGAGTTGAAACAAATGTGAAAGCTCATCAAGTCTGAAAGGAACATACAAACCAAAAGAGCCAAACAGAATGGTGGCAGATCCCCCAAATCAAGATCCTCACCGTGGGGTCTGTGAACTGCCCGACGCCATGAGTAAACTGCCTGGGTCTGGGCACACAAGTGTTAGTCCACAGTCCACAGCTGTCATCAGATTCTCAAATGTAGCTGTAGCCCCCCAAACTTCCCTAATCTCGTATTAATATAGTCAAGATTAACAGAGTACTATTGCCTCTATTAATATCTCTTCAAATCACCAGAATTAAAAGTATTGATGAAGATAAAAGGAGTTGAAAGTGCTCCCTGTTCACTCTGCCCTTTCAAGATTCTGAGGCTTCATTTTTACTAAATGTCTTAATTTGCTAATTGGATACATTGAGCTTGCTTTTCTAGTAATTGGCTTATTTTCACAGGTAACGAAAATGGGCGGGGTTACCAGGAGAATGGCAAAAAAAAGCCAAGGTGATTGTCCACGTGCATCTTCCTTTCCTCACTAGGGTCTTGCTGATGTTCTGAAGGTAAGGAGAGCAGCCTGGGAGGATGACTCACCATTTGGTTCTCTCTATACTAATGAGCCTCCAAATCCACCTAGAATAGACAACCTGCCATTGACTATTCTATTATTTGGTACCTTTTCTTGAAGAACGATAAATGCATGCTATTTTTATACACTTTTTCAGAACATTAAAATTGTCTCCATTTTTACAGTGCCATTTCCATTTTGGGATAAAAATGCATATTTTACAATAGCTCCACTTAAGGCTTCAACATAGCATAGTGATTTAGATTTTTGTTCATTGTGAACAATTTTCTTCTACAACAGGTTTTTTATTCCATATTTTTCAAAAATGAAAATGCCTTAGTTGTAGTCACCTTCTACGGACAATGTAAAAAGTACCTTTTAGGTTTTTTTTTTTTTTTTTTTTGGAGACAGGGTCTCACTCTGTTACCCAGGCTGGAGTGCAGTGGTGTGATCTCAGCTCACTGCAGCCTCAACCTTCCGGGCTCAAGCAATCCTCCCACTTCAGCTTTCTGAGTAGCTGGGTCTACAGGTGCGTGCCACACCACTCGACTAATTTTTCAATTTTTGGTAGAGACGAGGTCTCACTACATTGCTCAGGCTGATCTCGAACTCCTGGACTCAAGTGATCCTCTCACCTTGGCCTCCCGAAGTGCTGAGATTACAGGTGTGAGCCATCTCATTTTAAGGCATTTTTAAATGATGAAACAATATGAGCTGTTTAATCGGAGTAGAAGCAAATGTGAAAGCTCATCAATTCTGAAAGGAACATCCAAACCAAAAGAGGGCCAAACAGAATGGTGGCAGAGCCTCCAAATCAGGATCCTCATGATGGGGTCTGTGAACTGCCCGATGCCACGAGTAAAACTGCTGGGTCTGGGCATACACGTGTTTGTCCATGGTCCACAGCTGTCATCAGATTCTCAAAGGTACCTGTAACCCCCTAAACCCCTAAACCACAAAACTCCCTTCAACAGAGTCTCATCTGCGTGTGAAAAACAATGTTCAATGATGTTTCCACACCCTTTAGACGTAAGAATAAAAGTGAGAAGTAACTGTAGAGGTAAGTTTTATTTAGAGCTATAAATGTTTGATTTCCAAATATTAGGCAGCATTTTCACTCATAAAGGTTATTAAACATCTAAAGGAACCTGATCTATTTTCAATAACATAGTTTGTGGTGGGAAGACCATGGGCCAATAGCTCTGGATTCTAATCCTGGTTTTGCCATCACCGCCCCCTGCTCAACTTGGAGCAAGACACTTAAGTTTTCGGGAACCTAGTTTACAAGTGTGCAAAGTCGTTTTCACACCAAGAACTTATATTACTAATTTGCTCTCATGGACATTTTGTTTTGAAATATTTTTACTAACCAAACTATGCTTATTAAACAGTAATGGATTTCTTCTTTAAGAAAATTAATCCAAGTTTCTATAACTGCCAAAAGAACTTCTGAATAGTTCTTCTTCCACTCATTTGTTCAACCATCCAACCAACAAATATTAAAGTTCCTATCATGTGTGAAGTCCTATTCATGAGCGCTATGGACACAGAACTAAATTAGGCAGATCCAGCCCCTATTTCTATGGAGCATACAATACATGCTACACTTTGAGTTGATATAACTCCAACCTAAGTATAAATAAATTGATTCATAGTTTTGTGGCCATATCATGCATGCATTCATATTCATAAATACACTAAAAATAACTCGTAAACCCTATCACCAATTTCTCAGACTTCTAGGGGTTGGGTAGCCTAAACAGGCAGCTGCTGAATGAGATCAGTTGCCCGCTTCCTGTTAGTTCTAAAATGTGAAGATTCCACCATTCTCAGTGGAAAAGAGTGGATCCATTGTTCAATATCAGTCCCTAATATCCAGCTGTAATAAAAATGGTATTCCAGTGATTAAAACCTTCCACATCCCCCCAATCTACATAAATGTCTTCTTTCACTAAAACCTAATTACGTCTACAACTAAAGTAGATATTTGTAATGACAATTCAATCGATGTAATGTACATCTCCTTCCATGCTTCAGAGAGTTGAGTTTAAATGCCTTTTTTTGATTACTAGTTATTTTCTAAGTGAGTTTAATGCTTGTGAAAGCTATTGGGACCACATGCCTGAGAATGAATGTTCTCTGTTTATTTGACAAGCAGGTTCCAGAGAGCCCCCAGCTGCGTGCAGCATGAAACTCTACCTGCAAATCTCAATCTGGAAAGGTTTGTTTCATGGAACTTAAGAATATTTCAGTCACATGTTGCCTTCAGGTACTGGCTAGTTGTAAATCTTAAATAGAAGGACAACCTAGCTCTAGTAACAGGAAATGAATTATATGACGAATTTGCCTAATTATTTCAAATGAAATGCATGTGGTCACCCACAAAATACAAATTGGGTGAAATAATGTTAACATGTGAACTTGTGATAGCAGCAAATTACTTCCACATATTTCCAGCCAGTTGTCTAAGTTCTATCACTTTGATGCAACTTGAGGTGTTATGGTCATCACCCCCACAGCTCCAGGAAATGGAAGCATGATTTTCCATGATTTGTTTCAGCCTACTCAGTGCTTAGCAACATGTAAGTGCCCCCAGTGGGTTGGACAGAGACTCATTAGCAGCTTAAAGCTTTAGGACTATTAAGCAATCTCAGGTGAAGAATCTCTGAGACTTTTCCAGTGAAAATCAATTCATCAGATTCCTTTCCCATCTACATCCTATTGCATGCTCTATCGCTCCTAAAAAAGCTTGTTTCTCCTCCAGCTGGGGGAAGTGCAGTTCACTCAGCAACCACTGATTCATTGACCATATTGCATACTGTGAAGGAGGCTGACTTATTTCTGCTGGGAAGATCAGGTTCTGTTAGTTATGTGCTCATTATTTACGAGGCTGGAAGCAGCTTCTGACTCCCTTAGGAGCTGCCTAACACTACTGGCGTCAGGTTTGTTACATGAGAATATATATTTCATCTAATTATGTGGTCAACAGGTTGAAGATCTCCCTATCCAGAAAGAGGGGCAAGTCCTTGGATACTTTAAAACCTATGATCAATATGTTGACTACATCTAAGATGGAGAGTTAGAAAGTAAGTCAGTATAATATGGCTGTGATGGTTAAAATGCACACCTTGTATATAAAGTTTATCACTACTTTTAGCAACAGTGTATTCTTAGAAACTGAAATTGAACAGAGAAAGTCTTTCCCCATCATACCCTGCAATTGACACCAAAATAACAATTTCCCTTTGAAATGGATAGACAGGTTGATTAGTAAACCTGCAATTATTATAACAGTAACACAACCTTATAACCAAATACAGTCACTGAGGTAGACATACAGTCATCGAAGTAGACCAAAAATATACCTAGGATCAGCAACGGGCCTAGAATCCACAGCTTTCAAATCCTCACCCAGTCTTCTTTCCAATACATCATACTGCTTTTATTCTACCATCAAATGGTAATCCTATATCATCAGTGTGAAACTACAGTCAGAAGCTTGCTGGAAATCAACAACTGCACAAGTCATCGAAAGCAAAATATATGCCCTTTGGTCCTGGGGGAGGAGAGAGAGTAGTGGCATAGAACTCAAGAAACATCAGCAAAATGCAAAGTCGCACTAAATGGAGAGCTTCTGTGTGGCTGTAATCTTTTCCTCAAGTATTTTCTGGAGAGAACTTTTTAGATAAAGAATAAACTAAGGCTTTCATCACATTTCCGGAATAGATGCTGGTCCAGAAAATGCTCTGGCCCCTAGTTTTCCTTTCCTCCTTCCTTTCTTGCTTTATAGGGCATGGTGAAGAATTGGAACTTTACCCTGACGAAGTGCCATAATCTACCCTGTGTTTTAACAGGATCACTCTGGCTGCCATGTGAAAACCAGACTATATGGCAAGAAAATTAGTAAAAAGTGTCCGATAGGAGACATTGCAAAATAATGGAGATGAGACATTATGGTGGCCTGATTCAGAGGGGCAGCAGTAGAGACAGTGTAGGGTATCAAGCTTGTTTTATGAGAATACATGTATTTCATGTATTATATGGTGAACGAGCTGAAGATCTTGCCATCTAGAAAAAGTCAGATTCTCCATACAGCCTGAAGGTAGAGCACACAAGGTTTGTTGAGGGCCTATTGCATGTAGGGTATAAAAGAAAGAGAAGTGTTTCTGGGTGTGGTGGCTCACGCCCATAATCCCAGCACTTTGGGAGGCCGAGGCAGGTGGATCACCTGAGGTCAGGAGTTCGAGACCAGCCTGGCCAACTTGGTGAAAACCCGTTTCTACTAAAAACATAAAAATTAGCCAGGCGTGGTGGCGGGCACCTGTAATCCCAGCTACTAGGGAGGCTGAGGCAGGAGAATTGCTTGAACCCGGGAGGTGGAGGTTGCAATGAGCCAAGATCACACCACTGTACTCTCCAGCCTGGGTGACAGACCAATACTCTGTCTCAAAAAAAAAGAGAGAAGTTTTGAGCATGACATAAAGAGCTTTTGTCAGAGCAAACAGGAGGGTGAAGCATTTACTGAGATGACCAAGACAATAGGAGGAGTAGTTTTGGGAAAAAAAAAATTCATGAGTTTTGTTTTGGAAAGTGGAGTTTAAGATACTGATTAGACATCTAAGTGGAGACATGAAATGGGCAGTAGATATATGAACTGAGAGTTGAGAGGAGAGATTGGCACTGCAATAAAAGTTTAGATGCTATTCTTGTACAGCTGTTATTTAAAGCTGTAAGACTAGGGAGTGGATCTGATGGAATAGAGGAAAGGAGAGGTCTAAAACTGAGCCCTGAGATACTCCAATTAAGAGGTAGAGAAGATGAGTAGGGGCCAGCAAAGGAAAAGCAACAGCATGTAAAGCAGAAGAACCAACCAAGAACCCAGCAAGTGCAGTGTTTAGAAGCTATATGAACCTTATTCAAGCTCCCTTTCCTCTAGAAAATTCCATATATATATATATATATATATATATATATATATATATATATATATATAAATATATAAATATATGCACAGGGAAGAAGTATCTAGGTTGCTACCTGTGTGACCTTGAATAAGTTATTTAACCTTTACAAGTGCTATGGATTGAACTGGGTCTCCCCATCCTCACAAATTCGTATGTTGAAACTCAAACCCCCAGTGTGAGAGTATACGGAGGTGGGGTATCTGGGAGTTAATTAGGTTTATATAAGATTATGAGGATGGAGCCCTCATAACAGGATGAGTGCCCTTATGAGAACAAACAGCAGGGAACTTGCTCTTGCTCTCTCCCTGCACCCTATGTGAAGACACAGCAAGGAGGAGGCCGTCTGTAAGCCACCAAGAGCCTCTGCCAGAACTTGACCACACTGACATCCTGATCTTGAATGTCCAGCCTCCAGAACTGTCTGTTGTTTAAGCCACCCAATCTACAGTATTTTATTATAGAAGGTCAAAGTGACTAAGACAGTAAGCCTGTCTCTTTAACTATAAAGCACTACCACCTATATGTTGAGGGATTAAATGATTTAACCCATAAAAAGTGCTTTGACACTTGACACAGCCTGGGCAATATAGGGAGACCTCATCTCACACACACACACACACACACACACACACACACACACACACACACACACACACAAATTAGCCTATTGTGGTGGTGCACGCTTGTGGTGCCAGCTACTTGGGAGGCTGAGGTGGGAGGATCACTTCAGCCCAGGAGTTAGAGGCTGCAGTGAGCTATGATCCTGCCACTGCACTCCATCCTTGGCAACAGGGCAAGACACTGACTCAAAAAAAAAAAGAAAAGAAAAAAAAAAGAAAAGAAAAAACAAGAAAAAAAAAGTACCTTACAGAAAATGCTCAATAAATATTGCTTATCATTATTGTTGTTATTCATGAATCTTTTACGCCTAAAGCACTTTGCATCTACAGACTGATCATGTGGAATTTACTTAAAACCTTTAAGAATAGTTGCAACTACTTCTCTGTTTATATCTTATATTGATAACTGAAGTATAAGTGATTTGAATTCAGAAACTGGTTCAACTTCCTTATGTTTTCTACAATTCTAGCACAATACTCTGAGCATAGCAGATGCTGAACATACATTAGTGGACTAATACATTCTGACTTTGTTTGCCTGGATGATTAGGAGGAAACATTTAATATGAGATACTTAAACCATAAGTCTTCTAATAGCCAGGATGGTGAAATCATCACTGTTGGATCTTACATGGCCTTCAGTTAGATGGAGGAGAAGAGGCAAACAGTTGAATAAAGGTCAGTAAAATGTAAAGTGACACAAAGTGCAGACCTTCTATGTGGCCTTAAGCCTGAGGAAAAATGCTTCTCTTGATCTGGAGTTCCAAACTTCTCAGGTACTGAACATGCTTTGAGAGCTTTCCTCACATTTCTGGAACAGATGCTGGTCTGGAAAACTCTTTGACACCTGTTTCGTAATATTCTAAGTTACGTTCTGGGCCGTGCTTTAACCCTGGATCCACCAACATGGATAGTTTTTGGGTGGCATATCCAGTCTCCTTTCTCAGAGAAGGATCCACAGCATCCAGCAGGGTGGACTCTGAAACCATGTTTTCTGTCTCATGGCCTTGCCTTTGCTCTAGGTGATGTGCACAGTATCAGCAGACCCCTGGCCAAAGTGAGAGACCTGGGGCTTGGGAGTTAGCGATAACTGGGTCTTGTAATGACTGGGTCTCCGTAATGACCCAGAGAGAAGATTTGCAGACGACTCCTGCTGAGGCCCCCAGTGCTGCCCTGGTTTTTGTCCTTCCAAAGGGTTAGATTCTACGAGACATTCTAGTGTCCTCCAAAAATGTACCTCTTTTGCTTAAAAGTTCTGCTTTTTTGTATTGGTTTATTTTATTTACCAAATAGAACCCTTTATTGATATAGTTGGTATACTGGAAAGAAGTTGAAGTATGAAGTAAGAATATTTTTCAAAGTTTCTAAAGTGAAACCAAGGAAATAAAACATGTGTCCATTTCTGGCCAGACACAGTGGCTCACGCCTGTGATCCCAGCACTTTGGGAGGCCAAGGCAGGTGGATCATGAGGTCAGGAGATCAAGACCATCCTGGTTATGGTGAAACCCCATCTCTATTAAAAATACAAAAAATTAGCCGGGCATGGTGGCGGGCACCTGTAGTCCCAGCTACTTGGGAGGCTGAGGCAGGAGAATGGCATGAACCCGGGAGACAGAGCTTGCAGTGAGCTGAGATAGCACCACTGCACTCCAGCCTGGGCAAAAGAACGAGACTCCGTCTCAAAAAAAACAAAAACAAAAACAAAACATGTGCCCATTTCTGTCTTCCATCTCTTCCTCTGGCCTCAGTTTGGTGACTGGAAATAATGGCATTCTTGGGGGCTGATGATGAAAGAAGCCAGGCAATTTAGAGAAAGTAAGTATGTGCTTAGTGAAAAAGGAGGGAATATGTGGTAGTTTTTGTCCAAGTCACCTCACTTCCTCCTTGTCTTTTCACTCTATCCCTATATTACAAAGTCATCAAAAGATAAAACTCCTAAGTTATGATACAGTACAGTAAATGAGACACACATGGGAAGAAAAAATCAATTAAAAACATTTCTGAATTCTATGGAAGTGTCAAAGAAAATGAGTATTGAAAATACTCAGATTTGATCAAATACCGATTTTTTTTTTAATATTTAAAAGGGGGCATCACAACTGGCAACTGAAAAATTAATAGTGCTTTAATTCTAGAAATTACCCATGTAGGCAAACAGACCCGAAGAACATAATTGTCAGGTATTATTCCAATGGCAGGGGCACTTGGGCTGATAAATAGAAGTTCCTTTCTCCAGACGCCTTTTGCTATGAGGCAGTAATCTGGAAGACGGGTAAGTAAGGCTGGGGATATATTAACTGGTGATTTAACTTAGAGAAGTTAGCCCTATGGAAACTAAACTCATGGCCTTGGTCTCATGCAAACCATGCTCTAATTAACTACAATACACTATTCTGTGGTCATGTAGCTGCAGATATCTTCTGGAGGGCCCGAAACAGCACAGCTGTTAGGAATAAAAACCAGCAGCCAAGCAGTTAATTGCATTTGGGAAAGCAAAAGAAATTTTTTAATGGCTTCTTTTTTTAAACTTTAGCCTGAGTGCAGCTGTGATTCTTGAACAGCCTGTTCTGAACCACATGGCCTTCCAGCCTCCCAATCTTCCCACTATGTTCCATGCTCAACTGGCTTTCAATAGCCTTCCCGAAGCAACTCCTCAGCATAATAAACTTGGGATTCTGTAATACCAAGTAACACTTTTCTCTCTTTAATGGGATAATTTAGCCTTCTGACTTTCACAGCAGATGCATTTAAGACTCAGTGATGTCATTTAATTACAGACTCTTTAGAAATCTGAAAGCATCATTATGACTAGCCTGGACTGTCAGCTCCCTGATGGAGCTCACCAGCAACGCCACACACAAGAAGAACGGACCCCAGAGAGGAAGAAAGGCCTGTGCTCTATCCCCTGAATACTGATGTCCAGGGTGCTCCATATATCACCTAGCTAAATGGAGATAGAAGGGCCAAGACCAAGGGTCCAAATTAGAAGGCAAATGAATGATCAGGTCAATATACCTACTGAATAATTATTAAGGTGTATTTTCTCAATTAGAGTGATCAGATTAAGATATCAAAGGTGCATTTTTCTGTCCTCTTAATGAACTCTTGAAGTCTTAATCACAAGAGTTCAATAACTGTTATGCACTATTACAAGCATTTCTACTTCGCCATTGCCTAGTAAGAGATGATGATAAAGAAAAAAAAATATGAGCAAAGAGAAGCCTATATGTTAATCAAATGATAAAGCTCTTTTAAAAAATTAAGCGGCATTTTTAATTGATTAGAATTATTAACATAATTAGTAATATTATCATTGAAAATGGAAAGATAGTTAAAACAGACGTTTTTAAACTAATGATTCCTATTCTTTAAGAGCAGAAGGATGGGGGTATGAGGAATATAATATATTACATGCATAAGTTGTCCCAAGAAAGGAAACCAAACCACATCAAAAATAAACATGCATTTCATCTACTGTATAAAACTTTTTCTTCATGCCATCAACTAAGGGCCTGTGCAATTAAATTGTATGAAAGAGTCTGGCAAAGTTTGAAAGCATCACAGCCCCAAATCTGTACTACCTCCTGTTACTGAGAACATGTATCTCTGGAATATTGTACATAAAGTAAGAAAGAACTGATCTATCTTTGTGAGTCTGTCAAAGTCTAAACCTTCTTCCTTTCCAAATCATCTACAGTTTTTAAAACTACCAACAAGCAATGATCCCATACACTAACTCTCCACACAGTTCACCGAATACACACTTTCTTACACTACCTAAATGTAACAGAGTTCAAGAAAATATAGATGGATGAGTAATTCTGCATGGCAAGGGATATGAACATTCTGGCCCTCTGCCACTAGGAATCATATTAAATTCATTGTCCATAAAAGCAGTTATGTCCTAAGGGAACCACAAATAGGATGATGGCTGGGCCATGACTTGATATCATGATGTCACACATAGCAGTGCTTCATATGTAAGCATCAAAGTCCATATGGGTTATGAGATGATGATCTACTCTTTCAACAACCAACCCCTGATCCCAGGACATGTCCAACTACAGCTGGCCTTGGCAACACGGGCAACAATGAAACTTAAGGATGCTATGAAGACATCTTCATATACTTAGGTCTCCTGTGACAGGGAAGGGACTAAAAAAGTAAAGTTTTCAAGGGATGCAAAGGCTTATATTCACAGTAGCAGATATAAGTTGTAAATGGTTCCTTAAAAAATAACGTATTAATGCTACCATATATCAGGCATTATATGAATTGCTATATACATTATATTACCAATCTTCAAAATACTCCCATTTTCCCCATTTTAAAGATGAGGCACGGCGATGTTAAGTAACTTGTCCAAAATCACTACGCAAATATATGGCATAGCTGAGATTCAGACCCTAGTCTGTCTTGACATTTGGGTCTTCCCACTCTGACACCCTGCTTTCCAATGGCCTGGGCGAGTGACCATACAGAATCCACCAGTGGGTGGTGTTGAAGCCAGAGGGAAGGTCTATGGAGACTAATTTTGTCTTTCCATACATGCCTCACAATACCATTCGCCTTTGCTATTGTGCCCCTCTCTCCACGTGCACAGCATAATTGTAGTTAAGTACCCGGGTCCGAGGAACATTTAATCTAAGGTGACAGTCATTCCTGGCATTCATTTAACCAGATTTTATCTACAAAAGGATGTGTTTCAGGGGACCTGTTAAGAGTGTGATTTGCTCCAGGCTCCACTCCTACTATGAATGAATGTGAAGAAGGCTCCCATGTCGGGTTCATTTTTCTGCCCTTATTTGAAACTTATCCTTTGACAGCTTTCAGCCTGCCTGATCTGAGTTTCATCTGTTCAAGCAGATTATTGCAAAAGAGACTCCTTGCCTAGTAAAATCAACATGCAGGGAGCATCGATAATTTCTAATTGAATTTTGCCTCACTTTGATTAATGTTAATGCCCTCAAGTCCCCAAGGATGGGTACATTTGTGTGATGTGAAATAATCCAAGAACTTTATAAAACCAAGGAGGGATACTTGCTTATTTGTAAGCCTAGAGACCCAAGTATCTAGCTACTTTGGATCCCTGAATGACTGCATGCCCTCAGAGGTTACATTTATTTTAGTAAACCTATGGATATGGATAAATACAACATTTCCTAATGTAGCACTTTGATAAATAACTACCAATGTCTGGATTTTTTACTTCCTCTGAGCTAAGGAAGCCAATATGGTCTTAACAAAAGCTTCAAAGATACTAGTTGCAGACAATACTGCAACCCAAGCAGCAGTGACACTTGGCAGCCTTTTGACACTGACCCCACTTGGTTGTATTCATCTCACAAAACGATTCACATAGGCTAGGATTACAAAGAAATGATTATTAAAATTAGAAGCCACAAAGTAATAATTAAAATTAGAAGAGATTGGTTCTGACACAATAAAAACTTTTTTGTGTTATCACTGATTATGCGGCAGGTCTGGAAGTACACATTATTTGTGTTTCACAGCTGGTGAAACTAAAGATAAGTTAGACAACTTGGCCAAAGGCATTAAGAGTTGTAAGTCCAGAACACAATTGGGAGTTGAGGGTCTGAGCCCCCTACCACTCCAGTGATCATGATGAGTCACTGCTGAGCCTCGCATGGGAGACTCGAAGAGGTGAAGAAGGCCCAGTGCAAGGCAGACTCTCTGGGGACATATCAATCTCTCCCACGAGCTTTAAGTACGTGGGCAGCTGGGCTTCGAGGACTGCAATCATCTAGAATTACTTAGCCCTGACACTGACAGAATTACTAAGTTTTAGGATTGTACAGGGTCTGTGCATTCACTGCCATTCCAATTCTTGCACTCTGCAAACAAAGAAACAAACCCAGAGACTAACTGATATCTTCAAGGAAACACAACTAGTAAGTGGCGGAGCCAGATTCCAAACTCAGGTCTACAAAATCCAGGCCCACTGTTCTTTTAATGGCACCTCAGTGTGGACAAACCAGCTTTAGATTTTATAGCCTACAGAAAGCCAATTTATTTTTTATGGTGACTCCAGGAACCCCAAGAGATCTGGTCTGATCTTGAGTTTCATGGCCACCCTAGGGTGTGAAGAAATGGACGAGAAAACCCAGAATGGCCTTCAAAAGTTTTCTGCTTCCAAAAGCCTTCTTCACAAATGGTTTTGAATTCAACACTTAGAAGGGAATTTTGCTTCTTGATACTTTTTATCTCCATTATATAGAAAGACATAATATCCAAGAGTCAGCATTTTCTTTCAGAACCAAAGTGTTGGCAGGAACACAGACAGCATATTCTACTCCTGTTGGGGTTGCTGACTCAGTGGCCAGTGCCTCTTGCTTCCAAAGGCTAATAAAAGGTTATCTACCCAGTTTTGTGATGTCATAGTGGAGTCACCATGAAGCGCAACATATCACAAAAGGGATCCTTAGATGGTCAAATACTCACTTAGCATTTCAGGAGATAAAAATTCACAGTTCTTCATTTGAAAAATACCAACATGCTAACAGGGGTGTGGCAGCCATGGAAGTGCCCCCTTTAGATCTCCCTTCAAGAGAATCCGCTTTGGGGAGCACAGCTGTTGGTTGGTCTACAGGCGCCACCTGTTTGGATTCTCATGGAGTTCCTGCCCTTCCCCCAGGTTGCTCCTAGCCAGTGATTAAGCATGACAGGCCAACCTGAACTGGCCCACTCCTGCCCAATGTGGGATTCTTTATGACACTGTAATGCTCTAGAATGAAAAAAACACATCTCTCCCAGGAATCATTTGTACAAACAATAATTCCTGTAGACTCCTAGTGAATTTGGGAAAGTTATTAAGTCCAAACAAGATCCCGTCTCTATCAATATAAAAAGGCAGTTAAAAAAAATAGTGCAAGAATCAGGCTGTTTAATGACAAGCTCTTAACACAGTTTTTGAGCTCCCAAATCTAACACATCTCTGAAGCTGCTAATATCATTAATTTTCTGGATTTACAAAAACAAAACAAAAAGCCTCATATTAACTTGGTAATACTTTCAAAAAACGCTAAAAGTATGGCTTTTTTTTTTTTTAGATTCTTCAAAAGCAATTACAGGAAGAAAATTATTTCAAATACAAAGAAAAGGAAGGTTTTTTTTTTGGGAAGCATATTAACTATGCTTACTAAAGCATTTAGGGCACTGCTTCATGACTAGAAATAAAAACATAGCTAGTTGTAAAAAACTATTAGTGACCACTAGTTTTTTGATAATATGACTTGTCAAGCAAAATCCCTCCAGCATCTAACCCCTGCTCTTCCAACTCCCCAGAACACACTGCTTTTATCGCCAGCACACCATCAGGGTGTGTCCCGAGTTTGTTCCTTCCGGTGGGTACACAGTCTCGCTGACTTAAAGAATGGAGCTGCCAACCTTCGTGGTGAGTGTTACAGCTCTTAAAGACAGCAGGGACCCAAAGAGTGAGAAGCAGCATTCCCTCTTCACAATAAATGTTGCTGCTGCTGGCTGGGGTGGCCAGGTTTATTCCCTTATTTGTCCCCGCCCATGTCCTGCTGATTGGTCCATTTTACAGAGAGCTGATTGGTCCATTTTACAGTGTGCTGATTGGTCCATTTTACAGGCTGCTGATTGGTCTATTTTACAAATCTCTAGCTAGCTACAGAGCGCTGATTGGTGCGTTTTTACAGAGCACTGATTGGTGCATTTTACAAACCCCTAGATAGCCACAGAGCACCGATTGGAGCATTTTTACAGAGCACTGATTGGTGCATTTTACAAACCTCTAGCTAGCTACAGAAAATTTCTCCAAGTCCTCACTGACCCAGCAAGTCCCACCTCTCAAGGATAAGTCCTCTGACCTAAATATCAAGAACTCAATAATTGAAATGTCCAAAATGATCCAAAGGCCTACTTGAAGTAAGAAAAGTTTCAAGGAACAGAGCTTCTGTGATATTTGAAGTGTTCCTTCTTTCCACCCTATTCTTTGCATTTTATAGTATCATAAATCCGTACTTCTCAACACTGCGGCAAAAATAAGAGTTAGTAGTATTGAGAAAGCCATTAAAAAAAAATCCTCATTTTTATAGACAGGGGCATTAAATACATAGCATTTAAACCTCTCACTTATATGATGAAAATGGCAAGTAGATATAAATTTTACAGTATCAGAAAGCAAAACCCTGTGGCCTACCAAAACAAAATTACCTTTCCAATACAACTTTGCAATGACATTTAAACTCCAAAGGTAATTTTGCAACCAAGGTACTCACTGATGTATAAATGATACTCACCAAGGTGAATCAATAGATTTTGTATGATTGCTTCATCATCCCTCCATTATCTCAAATCTTCTAAGGCAGCAGGAGAGATCATAAGGATGTTTGAGGACTGCTTATTTGAAGATACAGAGAAGGCCAAATCATATCGTATCTATTAAAGGAATGGAGCCTGACCATGAAATCCTAATTAACACTGTAACAATTTATTTAAAAATCTCTGATGCAGCCCATGTGAGGCTAAATCAGAAGGAAAACAATGTTAGCATTTTAGTAGAACTAAATTAAAAGAAAAAAAATGACATAACAGAGACCACATTATAGACTAATAAGGGATTCGATAAAGCAATTATTGCTTGAGCATTGTTTCTTCTGTATGATAGAATGAAGAGGATGCACCTCTGAAACTTTGGTTAGACGATGCTAACTTTCTGAATGAGTAATCGTGGGATACAGTCAGTGGTCACAACCTTCTGACCTATCTGCATCTTAGAATAGTAGAGAAGTCTTTGTTTTTTGAGACAGAGTCTCACTCTCTTGCCCAGGCTGGAGTGCAGTGGTGTGATCACGGCTCACTGCAACCTCCACCTCCTGGGCCCAAGCCATCCTCCCGCCTCAACCTTCCCAGTAGCTGAGACTGCAGGCACACGCCAAGCCCAGCTAATTTTTTATTATCTGTAGAGAGAGTCTCCGTATGTTGCCTAGGCTGGTCTCGAACTCCTGGGCTCAAGTGATCCTCCTGTCTCTCTTCTGGTCTTCGATTATAGGTGTGACCCACCATGCCTGACCCGAGAAGTCTTAAATGAGATAATATCTCAGACTGAGTCCTGTTCAAAGTTAATAAGGGATTCATGAGGAACTTGCTTTACATTTTTCTTTTCTCACTAATTACCCCCCCTAAGATAAGCATCAAGAGATGGAGTAGGATGGATGGCAACTTGGGTCAAAACTCGTAATACTTTGGACCTTTCCTTTGTCTTAATCATGGCACAGTCCTGGTTAAAATGTAAATATTCTTGGGAGAATGCCTGTAATTCTCAATCAAGTATATTTTTATAAACCTTTCAGAGACATTTTTTTAAAAAATGGAAGACGGAGAATGAATGTTACTAGACATGTAGGCTTTAATTAGCACAGAGATGCAGAGATGATGTAATTCCAGAAAGCACAGACTATTACCTGGGTAAAGTATGCACCAAGACAAACTTCATAACGACTCATGATAATAGTCATTCATATATACTAGCTATACGCCAGAGGATTTTCTAATAACTTTACATGTATTAACAAGCTTAATCCTTACAACAACCTTATAAAAGGTGGTACTGATCATTATCATCCCCATATATCACATGAGGAAACCAAAGTACAGAGAGGTTTAGCGACTTGCTCAAGGTCACAAAGCTAATTAGTGACTGGGTCAGAATTTGAACCCAGATAGTCTGCATTCCCAACTATGTGCTGCCATCTCGCATCTATGTTACTCATCCACTTTCTACTACAATTCCAAATCAGTGCATCCTCATTCCACCAATAATCATAACACTGTCCTGTTTCTTAGAATAAATGCCCTAAGAATGTGAAAGCCCTTTTCAGCTCTAGAGTAGCAACTTCTCACATAACCCTCTGCAGGAAGTATTTTTCTATACATTGTGGTCCAAAAGGTGATCCTCAGATTGTCTGAATCAGACCTGGATATAGAATTCAGTAACAACGTTTCCTGATAATTTCTTCTGAAAATGTCTAGTACAATCACATTTAATTGATATATATATATATTCTCTCTCTCTCTCTCTCTCTCTCTCTCTCTCTCTCTCTCTCTTTCTCTCTCTCTTAGACTAAGCACAGGCCTAGAAGAAAGTATACATGATCTTCAATCTCAGGAGAAGTTCTGATAAATACTGTGCTCAAAGAATTCTGCTTGATAGGCAACAAGAATCATTAAAGATCCTGGTAAAACTCACCATTTTAAATCTATAATCTTAGCAGACTAAATATAAAAAATCAACAACAAAATATATTTATAAAATAATGTTTAAAAATATAAATTAATTCTCTTGGCTCTCAAATGGTCCTGTATTTAGAACAAATTTAAAGCTCCTGCTCCTTTTTGTTTTCATTTTTGTTACTTTTCAGAAGGCTAAATGGACCTTCTTGTTACAGGACAGCTTTGTTTCGTATTTTTAATATGGCAGTGAATTACAGATAAGTATTCTTAGATATCAAGCAATTAGGAGGACATCAGTAAAGCAGGGAACAAATTCATGGCCCATAACATGCAATAAAGAAACACAGAGAATCATACTTTGTTAAGATCATCCATTTGAAGACCCAAAGCAATAGGTTTCTGTACTTCTTCCAAATTATTTGGCATATGAATAGGCTTACTCTAAGCCAAATGTTAGCTCTTGAACACTTGATAACTCTTAAAAAATAATATGTTGATGATTTAAGAGGGTACAAATCAAACATGAATTGAATTTTTCATAAATTACCCATGATCTAAAAAATTAGACAGAAGAGTAAATGACTCGTGTCCACACTGACAATGGATCCCAACCCATCATTCACATTCTGGAGTCCTTCATTCACAAGAAGGTAAATTAGCCTTCTTTGGCAGACCCTTTTTCCACATAAAGGAATTGGGCTTGGGGCAACACGTGCCAAATGTCTGGAACAAGAGACAAGATGTTCAATTAACTCCTGAAAAATGACTGAATAAATTAATATGGAACCGAAACTAACATACAAACCATGTCATCTCAGTTGGCAGGATCAGAAAAGGAGAGAGAGTAGACTTTAAGGAGGATGCTGCATTGTTGCTTTATTTTGCAACAACATAAAGACAACACCATTTGTATTCATAGAACCGACGGGTGGAATTAGAAAATAGACTCGTGACAATAAAGAGATGGTGGAAAAAGAAACTGAAAAACTCAGTATCTTTAAGTTGCTAACCTATTCTTTAAAATCATGCTTGCAACTTGAAGTCCCTACTTGCTTTAGCTTTCTAGCCCAGCTAGAAATAGATATCCAACTTATTTTGCTTTATTTCTTTAAGAGTGCTTTTTATCTACAGAATGCCCAATAATGCCCAATAAATCTTAAGTCTATTAAGACTATAAGTAAAAAGAAGATAGATGCAATTCCTTCTAGATAACTGATGATGTGGTTTCCTTCTAGCATCGAGCCTAATCTTATATCTCCTAGAAATCCTTTCCTGAAGTGAAGAAAAGTAGAGAACATCAAAGTTCAATTCTTCTAATGTAGACAGAAGAACATCCCACATGGTCTATAAGCCATGACTTTCTTCACTGAAAGTGCGAAATCAGTCCAACTGTCTCTTAGGATGTGCAATAGAAAAGTGAATGAAAGGCTTACGGATGCCCCACAGGAGACATGGATAGGGAAAAAATCCTGTACATTTTCTTAGACATTTTGATGCTTTAACTGTGCAACAGTTCTCCCTCTGTACTTAATACAAAGAAAAACTATAGGGAGAATACATCCCAGATAGCCTTAGTATAGTTATAGACATGCCTGCTGATGCACCTGTTATATATTTGGCAGATAAAACTAATTTATCCTCTTGCTAACTTTATTAAAGACAATAAACTAAAAGACAAGAATATATAAACAGAGCTACATTGTGTACCCAGATTAAGAAGGTCACGTGTTCGCAGATCACCCTGTGAGATTGTCAAACTGACTGCTTAAATGAATGGCTTCACAGGTGGCTTGACGTCATTTCTCCATGCTACAAGCTACAAATGATCCATGTACACTCGTCTAACTGAGACAAAGCCTAACACATGAAGGCTGTGCATTTCATGCATGTTGATTTCTACTCCTTTTCCCCCAAAGATTAGGCACATTACAGATTAAAGACATTAAGAAATCCTGGCACATGGCACAACCTAGTAAAGAGTTTAGGAGGGAAATGCAATTCCTCACTTCTGACAAGACAAACTAAGAACAAAAAAATCATGTAAAATGCTGTCTACCTTTTTGAAAAACTGCCATAATTATAGCTCCATAGAGTTAACTCTTTTTAAAATCTGCAGACCTGGAGTCCCAGGGGTAAAGACAGTGCTCTATTCCACTGCCCTACATCTGGGCCACTGCTAGAGAGAATAGACTTTCGTCAGGTTAGCCATGTTTTCATCCTTATTTATTCAACTAATAAAGTGGTGGGGGAGGGGCGGGGGAGCAAGCTGGGTGGAGGATTAAGAGTCTTTAGGGAAAAATAATCATAAACTTTGAATTGACAATGTGAATTATCCATAAGCCTCAGTGATTCTTGAAATTACTCCAGAGATGAGCTTCATACAGCCCATTTAGTTCACCTAAAACATCCAATGCACTAAACCCAATGGAAATATGAATTCAGAACTAATGTCCATAAGTTAAGGACCATATACTATAATATGCACAAATAGGGTAAGAAGTTAGGCTTGAAAAAAGTAGATTGTTTAAACTGCTGTTTTCTAGAAAATCAAGTTAAATGTCTTGAACTTTCTATGCTTCACATCCATAGTCAATATGCCACTGATGATCAGTAATAATTTGAGTTAAACGACGATGGCACAAGAATAATAGTAATAACCTCAACTGGAGTTAACATTTATTGAAAGCTTATTATGTGCTGGGCTCTGGCTAAACTAACTTTAATATATACTATCTCGTCATCTTTGGTTGCATTCTTTTTTTCAACATCTTTATTCAATGTCATTCTACTTCCTACTGGGGCATCTTTAAACCTTTACAAACACTAAGAGTCCACAGCTGGTAAGGAGGCTGCATTCATTTAGAAAGCAAGTGAACCATTATAGTAACATATGGAACTGGCTATTGCATACACTCTCTGCTCATGCCTGAGAATAATACAAGAGATCAGCCTGGCTCTTCGGGGATGTTAATGGCCTACAATCCTGTAGCCTTCCCAACTCTGCCCTGGCTGGTTAGCTCATTGGGTAGAGAATCATACAAGGTCAGGCCTTGTTTTATGGCTTAATATGCTTTCTGATCCCAGTTTATTTTGCACAGAGAATAACCAGTACCACACACCATATCCTTAATCCCAGCTACGTGTTTTGAAAATCTGTATCTTTGATTATGAGGAAACCAGATGTAAGAAAGAACGGCCTAATACAAAACCAGCCATATTATTTGGATGGTGGGTATGAGGGGATTAAAACCACTACCACCATAAAATAAAACGAAACAAATCTCAAACATGTCTTCTACTGGTAGCAGACAGCAGGCTTATCTTCACAGACAATAGCAGCTATCTACTATATAATCCATTTAGATTAGAAGGGTTGTAGCCCGGGTGGTGACAGTGGGTGCTGGATAGCTTTGTGCATGAATGAGTACATAAGTGCAAGGAAAGAAGTGCCAGTGCATCCAAAAATTTATATTATCAGTTCACTGATGATATTTCAACCCCCAACATGTGAAAGTTAATTAGAACCCACAAAAAGTACCCAGATATTTTAGCAGCTGTTAAAGCTAGCATATTTTGGGTATGGTATGATCTGCTCTGATAGAGCCAGGCACTCTAAAACCTGGCTGTTTTTCACAATTGTCCAGGGAGCTCAAAAAGAAAAATAATAATAATAATAATAATAATAATAAAAACCTAGTAAATACACAGATTAACAGACTCTTCTCCACACTTCTTGTACTAAAGGTTTTCTTTCAAGGGGAATTGACAGAAGGGCATTAAGTGGGTCAGGGAGCGAGAATCTGTACTTTTAAAACATTCTCCAGGTAATTCTTCCTCTGGCATGTTTGGGAAGCATGTTTGGGAAGCACTGTCCTAGAGACACCAGTTATGATAACTTGGGTTGAAAAAGCTTGAATTTCAGCACATGGCTTGAGTGGGCATGTCTCTAAAATAAGAAACAAATGTACTGGGTGGCCCATAAAATAGTATGGTTTTCAATCACAAAGGCACTGAGAGCCTTCTTATGTCCCTTAGGAGGCACTTACAAGCTCCAGGCATGCTCTGGGATGAAAGCAATGACCTAGGGACACCTAAGGATAAAAGCAATCAGAAGGCAACGTAAGGTTGCTTGGAGTCTTACTGAAGGCTTTGGAGTGGCTTCCCCACTGACGCTCACTGTAATTCTATGAGGTACATATTATTCCTATGTCCATTTTACAGACTAGGACTCTCAAGCTCAGAAACATCCAGGGCTTAGCCCAAAGTTACTCAGGTAATGTCACTAGGTAGTGCTCTTAAGGGGAAAGAGTAACAGCGTAGAACTCAGGAGAATGGAATTGCAAGTCAGGCTTGCCCAGAAACTGCACAATCTTGGCAAATTACTTTAGCATTCTGAGACTCAAATGTCCTTGTTTGCAGACCAAAATGATTGGACTAGAGAATTTCTGAGAATGCTTAAAATGTTAACATCTATGATTTCAACATGGTTTCTACCTCATGGCTTAGTTTTTAAGAAATATTATACTTTATGGTCATGTTATAATGATGTTTGATAAAAGGAAGCATGAAAAATTTAGGTTAAGTACTACTGCAGGAATTATTCAAATTTAAGGTTTTTTTTTTTTTTATACTTTAAGTTTTAGGGTACATGTGCACATTGTGCAGGTTAGTTACATATGTATACATGTGCCGTGCTGGTGCACATGTGAGAATAGATGACTTTAGTTAATGCATTGCAAGTTCTATTTTAGAAAAGAGGGAAGCCTGCTAGTTTGAATTTAATGGTGTGAAAGATTCTTTGTGTTCTAATGCATAAGTTGCAATGACAAGTGGCATCTTCCACTTAAGACCAGGTGTTAGACTGCTGTGTGAGATGTTCCTAAATATTACCAGGGCTGCAGTAACATCTCTGTCTGCAAAATGCATGCCCAGACCAGCCTGGAATGCAGAGTACATACTAAGTAGGAAACATAAATGTGCAGAACGGCTGTATAATTGTTGAACTCGTGCCTCATATATTCACAGTTAATTTTGGCAACCGATTTCAGTTACGGGAAGGGGGAATATGAGGAGGGGGTGACTTCTCCTGTCCTTCAACTTCCCAGAAATGTATTAGAAATGACAGCCTATGATTGCTGCAGACAGTATCTAATTAACTGTCATTATAAAACACATGTCAGAGCCTGGGGCCTATGAGGGATCTGATGTCTAATTTCTTTCCAGAATAATAAGAGTCTCCTTTGAAACAAGCTGGTGAATGAATTTTGTTGTCTTATTAATCAACTGATTTCAATCTGACCCCCTGTTTCCCTCCCATACCTCATTCTTTCCTGCTGCATACCCTCCCCTAACTACTTTGGAACTCATATTTTAGACAAGTGATGGATTTAAAACAACTTCTTGTCATCTTCTGCCGAGGCAATCTCAATAAAGAGCGACTGTAGCAATATGATATGGAAATGGAAGCTGTTTGTAAAAACTATTAACTCAATAATGAAACAATTATTCCTAAACAACCATGAAAATTACTTACAAGCCTTATTTTCTCTCATTTTGCCATACCACGGATTGCAATTCTATTTTCATTCCTATTAATTAGAACAAAGAATTTAATCCTTTTCTCCTTCTATTATGCAAAAACAAGCATGGTTATTAGAGAGCTATCTACTTTCCAATTAATTTTATTTAGGAATGAGTTGCAGAGACTGAATCATTACTGATGTCCTCTAACTAGGGGGTTAAGATGAAATGAGGCCTGAATCAACACAGAAAGTAAGCAATGTCCTTCAATTCATTTTTTCTTTCACAAGATGACTCATCAGCTTCTCCAAATGGATCCATGACACACTGCAACAAAGCAAGGTACAACAGCAAATGAGGCTGAAGGAAATCAGAAAAGAGCCTGTCAGTTGATAGAAAAAGAATGCATTCTCCTGTGACATGGGAGGCCTTCCATAATCTGGTGCCAACTTGCCTTTCCAGTCCTGTCTTCCATGTATACCCTCCCCAGATTCTCTATAAGTCTATATCTTTGGCTGTAACTTCAGTTCTGCCTAGGCTGCCAAAACAACTTTGGTAAATTCCAGTTTCACTGCCTGCAGCCTCTTCTGTGAATCTTTAACTCAATCATGGGAAGTAAATCATTCCTTTTGCTGGGCTACAACATGTCCATTCATGTATGGCCACAATCCCTTCTGCTAAACTCTTAGGACCAGATATATTTCAGAATTCAAAAAGTTCAGATTTTAGAAAGGTTTTCAGGGCATTTACTATGTATTATGCAACAATGCCAGGAGAGCTTAGGGTAGCACCTCATAATCAAACACATGTATGAAAAATTATATTAAGAGGTACAAACAAAGGCTATATATAATGTGGCCTCATATGAATTCAGGAATTAGGCTAAATGAGTCTACATATTTTAAAAATTTCATTTCTCAGAGCATTTTGGAATTTGGAATTGTGGATAATGGATTATGTACAATTTGTAAGTTTCCCCAGCTAGATATGACCTCCTCAAGGTCGGGACATATACATATGTATATGTATGTTTACCCTGATGCCTGATACAATGTCTGGCTTACTATTAGCAAAAGCACACTTGCTGAATACAAATCTGATTAAGTGTGCATTGGCTAAAGCTTACTTTCAATGTTTACAAACAAAACCACCAATAAGCTAGTTAAGTGTTATCATAAGACATCAAATTATGGTTTACAGCAACAACTGTCATGTCTTTTTTAACGATCACAGAAGGATAAAAAGAAGGAGGTGTAGCCTAGCATTTAAGAGCATGGGCTCTGGAATCACACAGGCCTGGGTATGAATCCAGGACTGTTAGCTGTAGGCTAATGGGCAAGTTGCTTAATTTCTTGTGCCTTAGCTTCCTCACAATAACCTGGATAACACTCTAGCATCTACCTGAGAGAACTATTGTACAGGTAAAGTGGGTAATACAAGCTAAATGCTTAGCACGAGTTAAGTGATAAAATGTAATAGTTAACTAATATTATGATTATAAAATGATTATGAGAACATTTATGACATTACTGAAATAGCTATGGGGGATCAAAGTGACATTCCACATGTATAGATGGCTACACATGTTGATTTTGGCAAGTTTATTGAAGCAATGATCTACTCTTTCCTAATACATAATTTGATTACTTTCATGATGTTTCAGCTTGGCAGAGGCTGACATTTAAAAACAGCAGATGAGGCTAGCAAAACCGAGGCACTTGCTATAACTACACAGAAAATGATTCTGATTCAGGAAAAAGGATGGGAAATAGAACTGGAGTGTGAGGCTCCCTGTGGTGATTGCTAATAGCCTCCAAACCTGGAAGCTAATTCTCAACAAAAATTGGCTCCTTTGGATATTAAACATTCATGATAAAGGGAATAAGGAAAAAAGTTCAAAACTGTTTTAGATTTGCTTTGTTATCTAGGAAACAAGATTGACATACTGCATTTAGAGCTTTTTTTCCCTCACTAGAAAATAACCAAAAGTTTCTCTCAAGTCAGTCTTTTTTTTTCTTAAATGTTAACTATTCCCTTCAATTGTTAATAAAAAGAATAATAAGAAGAAATCATTTGTCCTTCTGTGTGCTACATGGCTCAAGGCACAGCGTGTTCAGACAGACCTTAGAATTGGAATAAAAACCAAACACAACCCCAGGACAGAAAGATTTGATGGATCAAAAACATGTCTGTTCAAAGTCTCTGAGAAAAATGGTGCATTAATTGGGAATGAAACTTTCCACTTTAGTAGCCTAACCACTGGGTAGGTGGTTGGCAAATTCAGCTGCTATGAAACACCAACATTTGCCTTCTTTGGCAATGAAAGCCCAGCTTTCAACACTTAAAAAAAAAACAATCTATGTATTTTTATTTTTTATTTTACTTTAAGTTCCGGATACAAGTACAGAATGTGTGGGTTTGTTACACAGGCATACGTGTGCCATGGTGGAAACCAACTTATTTGTAAATGACTATGCACCAGGATTGAGTAGCCTCTTTACCTGCATTTGCACGTGCAATTCTCACAATGTTTTGTGATAAACACTCAATGAAGATATGGAAAGTCATGTTCAGAGAAGTTAACCGGCCCAAGTATCAGACATCCAAGCGTATGTGATTTGCACGTTAACGGCACATAGGACATCCTTCCCTCTGTCTTCATCTGCCTAATTTCTCATTCATTCTGAAAGACTCAGTTTAAGTGTCGTGGCCTCTGATGTGACATCCTCTTTTCTATAACCTGTTCTTTAGATTTCTTCCATAGCACTTACCACAATATTTCATAATTATCTACTTACTCATCTGACTCCTTCACTAGACCATGGGCTCTCTGAGAAGAAGGGCCATGCCTTTTTACTCTTGCACTTAATACAGTGCCTGATACATGATAGTCAATCTCAAAGAGTGTTGAATTGAACTGAACATCTCTCCTAAATTCAGCAACAAATTTTAGGGAATTCATTAAAGTGTGGCTAATAAATAACACTTTACTATGAACCAGATACAAATTTCATATGATAACTAAGAATCCTTCTCAAAAAATAACGCAGCATTTTCATTTTGCCAATTAAGGTTCATTAACTAATCTTGGTGACAGTTTGAACTTGAAAAGAAGTTTTGACTATTTTTAGGTTCCTAGAGAACCAGTTGCTGTTGTAGACACAGTAGATTTCTCTGCAGTATTTTACATACCCTAGGGCCTCTCTCTCCTGGACAGCAGCCTGATTGCCCATTCGCAGTTGACACTGGGGAAGAGTTGTGGGGGAGACAATAAAGACTTCAAGATGGACAATAGCATTCTTTCTGAATTGCACTTTTTCTTAATTAAAAAAATCTATATTCCTCATAATAAAAAATGTTTATTTCAAATCATCAAACAACTGGTCCTTTCTCTTTCCTTCTACCTCATTTCCAGCTTCCTAGTTCCGTCTTTCCCATTTAAGAGGATAAATGTGATAAGCAATATGTTTGTTGTTTCCTACCAGGGTTTCTTAGTCTTCTGTCTTAGTCCTTGATAGTCTTGCAGAGGTTTTTGTTTACACGAGGATTCATTTCCGCTCCTGACAATCAAGGCTCAAACTGTTCAAATCATCACCAAAGAAAGCCTTCTCAGATGAGTTCATGGATAAGCACAACTTTCTATCCCCTAGGTACTTACACATTCCATTTATGCCATGCATATTGCCCTAAAACTACTTTAACCGAATCTAGAATTGCTGAATCTAAGAGTTCAAAGAGGTTGTCTACCAGACTATGAACTCCTTCACGGGAAGGACTATGCCTTGTCTTTGTGTCTAGTCCTAGCACAGTTCCTACCATGTAGTGGGCACTCATTAATGTGAGTGAATTCAAAATAATGGTTCAGTAGCTTTTAAATTATATACCTCAGAACTATCTGATTTTGCAGGGTCTGACTTAGAACACAAAAGGACCTTGTATTTCATGGACAGCAGTTACCCCTTTCTCTGTTTCACATAAGTTTCATATGTTTTCATGTAAGATTGCAGTTGAAAAGACTTTTCACTGCTAAGAAAGCTTGAAAAGCACTTTTAGTAGCTTCTGTCTCATTTGTTGGTATATTTTGTCTCTTGAAATAAGAGTGTGAGAATATGACAAAAGGAACTCAGTGGTGTGTACATGGTACATATAAAACATCACATATATAAGGGGTGTGTGTGTATGTGTGTGTGTGTATATAAAAGGCCACTGTTTAATTGGAGCCTACTATGAATTAGATGCTTTACATATGTTACGTCATTTCACCTTCTGTCTAGCCCTAGATGGCTGTCATCATTGAGCACCCCATTTTATAAATAAGGACTCTGAGGCTCAGAAAATTAGCAACTTACCTGAAGAGGCATGTTTTAAACTCGTTTCTGTCTGGAGCCAAAGATCCAGCTCTTGTGATAGAAAAGAAAGTTTTTGATGTAAATTAGGGAGAGTGACTAGGTAGAAGAAATTGCAAATTTTCTTAGATTGGCATTTCAGAGAGAGGAAGTAGTTTTAAATTGAAGGAAAAAAAAACCAGGTAAGAGTCAAACTCTCTGAAAAGATGCAAGTATGCATGCAAAAAGAAGGAGCAGCTATGGAAATCAGAGTTCCCCGCTTATCACTAGGATAAGTAAGGGAAATTTAAAAATATCTAGCGTCTGACAAAGGGTGAGAGGAAGAAGATATCTGTAGAGGTAGAAGAATTTTGAAACAGAGAGGATGAAGTGAATGAAATGGGAAAGACTCAACTCCACTGGGAGTTCAATTTTAACTCGAATAGGTTTGCAACCCTGAAAAAGCTTACACATATACTAAGTATCTGGGTGAGTGATCATAACCAAGTGACCTGGGCAATTTGACTTTTAAACAAATGCTTCAGAGAATATATTAGACCCACTTCTAATTAGGTCTTTGAGAATCATTGTCAAGTATAATTTCCTCCCTCTCTCTTCTATAGTAGGTGATCAGGAAGTTTGGAAGGGCAGGCAAGGTTTTCCTTAAAGGATGAAAATGTTTCCTTCAGCAGATGAACCATGTGCAGCATCAGCTGGTGGTTTGGCCATGTTAACCATTTTACTCTAACTTTAAGATCCCTAATTACAATCTGATATTAAAACAACTCTGTTAAATTTTAGCCAGTCCAAATTCCACTGAGGTAGATAAAGATTTTTCAACTACCATTCTAATGAAATGTCACTATTATTATTTTAGGAAGCATATTAAATTGAAGTTTAATTTAAATAGAAAGCGAGTTGCTTTCCTTTAAAGAATTACACTGTTACCAGTGTTAGGTAAATAATAATTAACACAAGCACATACAGTTATAATTAGCAGGGAATTTAATTAAACAAATATGCCAACATAACCAGATGCATGACAAAGTAATTGTAATATGTCTTGCCAATGTATTCTTTCCCACTTCATAGTTCTTACATAGTAATTATAAAGCTATCTCTTTTTTCATAAGCACAGAAACTCTAAATACAAGCCTCCTAAAAGCCATATTCAAGTAAAAGAAAACAAATAACAGAAATCTTATTGAAGGAGGGGCGTTGGAGAATGCAATCAATTACTTCACTAAGGACTCCTGGTAAAAGTTCAGTTGATTTTGATTCTTTAGCTCCATCTGAACTTTACCAGATATCATCCTCACTTTCGTTTTATGGAGCTCTATCTCTAAGCTAGGAGGGACAAAGTCATATTTTTAAAAGACTGATTTTACATGAGCTCCTAGTAGTAAGTAATCTGTCCTTCGAAAGGAAAGCAAGTCATCTAGAAGTCATATACTACTTTGAGTACAAAAAGAGAGAGTAGGGAAATAAATTACCAAAGAGACAGGAATATGATTCACAGGTAAAGTTTAAAATATGTATTCTTATTTAACACTGAGGAAAGAAAAATGATGGGTCAGTCTGCTAGCTTCCTTATAGGAAAGATCATAATACAAAGGAAGGCGATTAATGCAGAAAAAAGGAAGACTTAATTAGGTCATTTCTAAAATGAGCCCAAGTATAAACTTTAACATCACAATGCTATGCTACACAAAGATCTTAAAATACCACACTCCCTTTTTATTTTTATCCTAAACATACAAAAACTATGATGGTTTTAGTGATCAAGAAATAAACGATTTGTCCATGTTAACAGGGCACATCTGGAGACACACATAGAGCTTTCAATTCCCAAGCCTACCATCCTTATAGGTATTCTATTCGCCTTGGGTTTTTTAAATGAGAACAAGCCATTTGAAAATATGATCTACTCTGCATTCAAAAAGAATCAGCTATTCAGCTTTTTAAATTTTGTGTCATACATGTTATTCTAAACCAGTGATAAATTCAATCCAAAGGCAGGCAGGGATCACTTTCATTTAAATGTTAAATCCTGAAATCAAGGAGAAAAAAACAGCAATCCTCATTAGATGCAATATCCAGTTCAATGAAAGTGTAAACCCTCCCTAAGGAATAAAGGTATGCTTACTTTACAGAAAAGAAAACTTATTTTCATAAACAGTATAACATAAAGATAGCAGCAACAGCCTACCTCTATAGAGGACTAGAGGTCCTATCTACCTCTATGTAGGACTTCATTGGTTGTAGAAATTTTCTCACATTTTAACTTAGCTGATGGTCACAACTGTAGTTACCTAGCGATTCATATCTGTATTTAATGATGTGGTAATTGAGATTGCAGAGGTTAAGTAACTTGTTTGGGATCACCTAACTAATAAGTGGCACAACTGGGGCTTAAAACCAGTCTTTGTATTTTGAATTTGCTCCTTCCCACCACCTTCCAGATGTCAAAGAGAACAAAGATCTGTACATATGTATAACAGACATCATCATTCTCCAGATGAGCAAAAGCTTGATCAATCTTAAGCACCTCCCAGCTGGGTTAGCTGATGGCAAAACAACTTATCTAGAAATGTTACCCAATATACTTAAAACTACAAACTTTCTCAGTATTTCAAATATTACCTAAAAAGAAAATTAAATGGCAACTGTGCATATATGAGATATAAAGTTTGTTTCCTAATCCTCACAGGAAATTAATTCACTCTTCTGGGATTAGAAAGTTTTTGAACTGAACGCCTCAAACCAAACAATTTCCAGTGTCACCTTTGCCTCAGTAAAACACCACACTCCTGGGCTAAGTCCTGGCAGCCCACAGCATGCTGGAACTCTCCTAGGAGGGGAATGGATTCATCCCTCAACAGAGACGCCATCATAAAATATTCATGAAGCCTTCTCGTCCTGGAAGAGAAAGGAGGACTTCATATTTTGACGATTTGGATTAACTCTTAGAGCATAGGTTTTTTTAATGGTGGGAGTATCAGAAAAATTATTAGACTGTGAACTTTTACAGCACTTCTTGAAAAAGTTTGCCAATCCTAGTGACAACACAGTTTTCACTTCTGTACGTTTGAAAATGACGGGAATGTGGGCTGCAGGATGAGCAGAAGGCAAAGTGGGGAGGAAAAATAAAATGAATTAACATTGAAACTGAATCAGCTGTGTGCCTGGCACCTTGCTAATTCCTCACCTCATCTTCACAACTAACCTATAAGGGAGTGAGTATTGTCACCATTCACAAAGAGACAAGGACAAAGTCACAAGGTTAAAGAATTCTACTGAGGCCAAAGAGAAAACTTTCATGCTTCTTTGTGGTTTATTTTTTATGGCTACAAAAATCAAAACAAGACTAAGACACTTTCATATGCTTTTGAGAGGTCTCCTAGTTGGTAAATCCTGGGACTGTTAGAGCCACTAAAAGCAGAAATGTCCAGTAAAACCTGCCATATTACTTTCAGAGAATTCTATTTTCTTTGTAGTCCTTTCCGCAAGTTTCCCTAGTAAATTAAAAAAACAAAAACAAAACAAAACAAAAACTATAATTTCCCCCTCTTGAAAGTGTTTGCTGTTGCAATCTTTTTTTTTTTTCCTTTTTGGCTAGGTGTTCAAATAACTCTTCTTTTTTGAAAAAGATTAAAAATGCAAGCAATCCTATATGACAGTAACAACAGCTGCTAACATTTACTAAGTGCTATTCAAAAACTTGTGTATTAACTCATTTACTTCTTCCAACAACCTCATGAAGTTATTTTACAGATGAGCAAACTCGGGGAGCAAGAGGTTACATAATCTGGCCAACATCACATCAGGGTAAGTTTATGGAGCCAAGATTCCAATTCATTTTTTATGATTTCAAAACTGTACTCTTTACCACTTAATCCATTCCATAAACCAACCAACACAACTGAACATTTTTTTCCTAAGTCATGGACTGTGCTAGGTGAAAGGGATACAGACAGGAATTTTAATTTGTTACAGCCTGGTGACTTCGAGACAGCATTTATACTTGGTACTCAGCCCTGTTTTAAAGAAATCCAACGACCATTGGTAAGAGTTTCTGACCCTGGAAGCAGAGGCTGTGGCAGGGGGGAGTAGCAATGGATACATGTTGACACCAGGAACTTGTTTTACTCACTGGGATATATATCCCCATATGGTGATTCTCTACATTAGTAATTCTCAAAGTGTGGTCCCCAGACTTATAGCATCAACACTATTTGGGAACTTGTTAGAAACGCATTATGTGCATGTTTTCATGTGAACATGCTAACCTTTTGGCCAGGGAGCATATTGACTTTATAAATCGGTATACAACACTTGTAAATATGTAATTATTAATATATACATGATATAAAAATAGATGTTAATTGCATAACAAAATTAAAACAGCAAAGAAAAAATATTTCTTAAAAGTCAAAACATTATCAATGTCTTGGTGTATTTTCTTGTTCTTTTCTATGTTTACAGCTTTTTACACAATTATCATATTGTACATACTATTCGGAAATTATTCACTTCTTATATTCTACATGTTTTCCAGTGTCATTAAAAACACTTGGTAAATATCATTTTAATAAATTATGTAATTTTAATTATATAACACTACGTAATATGGATACAGCATGATTAACTTACGTTCCCTATTGCTATTTAGTTTGTTTTCCATTTTCTGCTGTTATAAACAAATTGTGAACATATTTGTGCAAAAATATTTATATGCATATCAATCTAGCACCTTGATATAAATATCTATCAGTGAAAAACACTGAGTTTAAATATTTGCATACTTACTGGTTGTATTAATCAATGCTCAAACCAGGAAAGTATAGGACTAATTGTTGGTTTACTATTTGATGAAGTAAAAAAAAGGTTTCTTATTTTAATTTTCAATTTTTGGCTCTTAGTAATGTTGAACTTCTTATATATTCACCAGCCATTTATGACATTTTTGCACATACCTGATGTCATTTGATTTTTACTTTTTAGGTTAAGCTATATGAACTTGCCCTTTTGTAGATATAATATAGTTGCAAACCAGCAATTTCATATTGTTCAAACCTAATAGCTTAGCCTTCAGGATTCTGAAGCTGTATCACTCACAGTGATAGAATTCTCAATTGGGGATATAAGACATACATACATGAAAAGAAAAAAATACATATCTCTGGTCTCAGGACCATCATGGATTCCACTCAGAGCTCTGCCTCCTCCTATAACCAAGTACCCAATGACATTTAAACATTTAAACATTTATATTAAAGGACACAGACAGAACAGATCAAGCACGTGAGAGCTGAGCTTGAGGCAGAGAAGAGCATCCACATGACTCTCCACGTGCCATCTTCTCATTTCTTCTTGGCAAGTCACTTCAGTGAAGTCTCATGTCAGGAGGGAGAAGCACCACTTCACTGGCATAAGCCAGCCTAAGTTGTTCACTTGGTCAGTACAGGTAAAAATCATTGGGCCCAGGTGAAAGTATTTGCTTATGATTAGTATTGTTCGTAAACTGCACAGGGACATGGTTAGAAATGAACACAATCATAAAGATAATTCACTTATAAGTTACTAGCTCAATCAACAACTTGACCGCACATTGAAAAGCTGATCAAACACTAGCCAGGCAATACAGTGGGATGGGAAGAGCAGTGAATGCTTCTTTATCTTCCAGGCAACATAGTCTAGCCCTAGGTCTGTTGCCAAAGCCAGCCGTGGGAACTTCACTGAGTCAACAGCCAACGCATCAGTTCACTGTTTTGTAAAGAGTCAGATATGAAGAGTTCTAAAGTCTCTTTCCAGTTCTAAATTCCATGATGACACTGACAATTGGAGAATACTATAGATTGACTCTTTTCCATATAATCCGGCAATAATTTTTACCGAGAGATTCAGCAAACCTTTCAAAGCAGGCTCTTAAGCACCCTTAAACTCTCACATATGGTAGAAAATACAAGGCTTTTTATGAGTTTCATGAGTCTGTTTCAGATACTTTAGAAGAAATAGTGTTATCCAAGCTAATTGAATCATCTCATCTGTGTCGCTCTATGCACTTGTTGGGATTTTTCCAAAAATGCTCCTTAGGGCATCTTCTGCTTACAATGCTTTGTTCAAAATTTCAAAGGTAAACATCAACAGAGAATGCTAATCTCCCTCTAAGACTTCTTAATTAGGGAAGGCTGAAGCCCCAGTAGATTTATTGTTAATACTAAATTCTTAATTTATCGGTTTGTTTGCCCTCTCACTTATCATCAATAGGCTGAACACATGATAATTTTGCTGCAGGGTTGTGAATTTGCCATCTTGTTTTTTTGCCATCAAGCTGTAAAACTGGGTGTTATGGGTCAAATAATGATAAACAGAAATACAAAAGGTGATATGTATCTGTTTATTTGCTTAGAATGTTGTTGTATCAAATATTGCTTGAAATAAGAGCATTTCCTAAGCCTTGGAAATACTTTTGTTACACAGAACTTTCTGTTGTCCAGATAAAAGGCCCCTTTTAAATCAACCTGATAGGACATTAAGCATGCTAGGCTACATTTAAACTTTTTTTTTTTTTTAAGTAAAGAAGGTTTTATAATATAGTGAAAACAATACGGAGATGAAAACCAGGAGACCTGGGTCCTGCCTTTGTTACAAATGCCTTTCCTAAAAGCTCCAGAATGGTGCGAGGTCAAAACAGATGGGCAGAAAGGAAGTGGTCATCAGAGCAAGAGAAAGAGCAGGTGCCAGGCACTCACGTGTGCGGTCATATCAGGTAGAGATGATGAGTAGAGATCTGCCCTAGAAGACACTGAATTCTGAGATTCAAAGGGGAAAAGTTGATTTTATAGCCAGTGATTTTATAGCCCACTTTCCTGCCCCACCCCTACTCTAAGAATTGACATTCTGTTGGGGGAAAATATTAAGACGGTGTCTATCCTTCCATATCACATCCTATGAACCAAGACAATATTTTGGAAAAGTTTCTGGGTTTATTGAAAGCATTACACATTATATTCCAATATAGTCACTATACATAAACACTACATTCAAAACGTTACTTTCTTCATTAAAAGAACAAAAAATGGACAGGGTCTTCTGAATGGCTCTGTTAAACAAATTGGCTTTGACTCTATACAACTTGCTATATCCTTATCAGGAAGGCAGTGTTTACAATGGCTGTCCCAAGAGAGTAGCCTGATTACACGGAACTAAGCAGCACAACAGCACCCCTAAAAACAGAATTTACTTTCTGGTGATTTTGCCAGTAAGGGATTTTCACTCATTACGCCATTTCATCATTGGCCAAACTCGTGCTGACGTGGAGAGTCAAAACTGAATTCTCACCTGCACACTGTTCCTTCTCAGTTCTTTTCTGTAGCCCTTTCATGTTCTTTTCTCATACCTGAGACTGCTTCTAGCCCAAACTGGAAAGCAGGTGAGTAGGCCAATGCCTTCCCATCTTACTTTTCTTCTACTGTACTCCTTCCTAAACTCTGACCACCCCCACGCCCCCAACATCCAAGGACTGATAACCTTTCTCCTTCTTCTTTTCCCTCAACCTCCATCAGAATTCCAACTAAGCAGGGACCTTCTCTCAGTTTGCTGTCATAGAGGATACAGGAAAGGAGTCAATTCATGATTCCAGGTGGCAAGTATCTAATGACAACTTTATATGCAGTGGGGGTAAGAGTCATACTATCAGGGTTTGAATCCTGGCTCTGCCATTTACTAGTCATGTAACCATGAAAAAGTTATGTAAATCTATTAAGCCAAAATCTCTTCATCTGCAAAATGAGGACACTCATAGGACAGCTGTTTTTAAGTGAGATAATACTTGTACTTGGAAAGCCACTGTAGATCTGTGCCTGAGACACAGTGCAGCTATGTACTATTTTAAAACATCATAATGTTACCATCATCATCTCATCATCATTTAGTAGCCTCTCCCAGATCCACTTGAGTTTTAAAAGATGACTGCTCAGAGAAATAATATCTTAGTTTAATATTCCATGAGAAAAAGGATTCTGGACAGGTGCAGTGGCTCATCCTTGTAATCCCAAAACTTCGGGAGATAAAAGCAGGAGGACTGCTTGAAGCCAGTAGTTCAAGACCAGTCTGGGCAACAAAGTGAGATACCATCTCTAACAAAAAAAAAAAAAAAAAATTCTTTTGTTGGTTTGTTTGTTTGTTTTAAATTAGCTGGGCTAGGAGGTGTGCCCGTAGGGGTTTTTTGGCATGGGGAGCAATCCCTAAATCCAAAAAAATTCATCACATTTAAAACTGTCTACTCTGTCCACATGATAGTGGTCCCTCTCCTTATTCCTCTTTACCCTCTAGAGACACCTCAAAATTTCAGCATTTTTTTCCTTAAGCACTTGAAACTGCCAAAGCACTTGAATTCTTGATTTCCCCTTATGAATAACATGATCTTTGTCCTCTGTAGTCTACAGACTAAAAAGGCATGCTGTATCTCTGGGGGGCAGGGGGAAGAGCTATATCTTAGTAAGGTTATTAAACTTCAAAGATTAATAAAGAATCATCTGGTTGTCTGGCAAGAAAAATTAATGAAACTATGATGTACACATACACACTTTCAGTGTATAACTATATAGCATGTGTCTATTTTACTTATCAAAAATATATATGCATTCTCGAAATATAAGTGAAACAAAGAACACGTGTTCATCCCCAGTGCCCTCATGGCATCTGTATATGTGACTCTGTGTACCTGTTGATTTGTATATCTGCTTCTCCCAGACAGAGAGCTCCTCAGGGATTGAGACCTAGCCTTTAATCATCTTTCTGTCCCTAGGGCCTGGGATATCATAAGCATTCAATAAGTAACCATTCAATTCAAGGAATAAACTATGGGCCGGGCACGGTGGCTCATGCCTGTAATCCCAGCACTTTGGGAAGCAGAGGTGGGAGAATCACTTGCGGTCTGGAATTCGACACCACTCTGGCCAACATGGTGAAACCCCATCTCTATTAAAAATACAAAAATTAGCCGGGCATGGTGGCACGTGCCTCTAACTACTCAGGAAGCTGAGGCAGGAGAATCGCTTGAACTCGGGAGGCAGATGTTGCAGTGAGCCGAGACACGCCACTGCACTCCAGCCTGGGCAACAGAGCGAGACTCCATCTCAAAAACAAAAATAAAATAAATAAACTATGCACTGATTTCATTATTTCATATTAGCTTCATGACTTTCTGCCTGGATCACACTTACTAATAATCCCAATAAAGATGTTTTCCTAAATAGTCTAGCAATTCAAAATTCCCCCAACTGAACAAAAAATAAAAGCAACCATTAATGTGATCCTTCTTCAACCCCTCTGGATAAGAAAGCAGGTTCTGCAGCTCGACATCCTGAGTTCAAAGCTCTGTTTTCCCATTTACTTGTGTCAACTTAAGCAAATTGTGTTAAAAATTTTAAGATAGTCTCCTTATCTGTTTAAAAATGAGGGATAATAATAGTAAGGTAACTATCTCATAGGCGTGTTAAGGGGATTAAATGAGTTTATAAACACAGAAGCACCCACACAGTATTTGTCATATGAATAGCACTCAGGGCTGACGAGGAGCCAATGGGGTCACTGAACAAACACATATTTAGGTGAATCCAGATATACGAATACCTTGTCTTTATCCAGTCCTGCAGTATTGCAAGAATGTTAATATAGAAGGGTTTTGCACGGACAATGGAAGATATCCCACTGTGGGATTATTGTCCTTTTTTCACCATAATTTAATCCAACTTGGGATTCCACGGCATAGGCCTCTCTCAGAAGAATCCACCAAGTAGTTTTGACTTCAGAATCCCTCAGGAAAAGGGCTGTCTAACATTCCTCTCTCTCATCTCAACCTGGACACTTCCAAAGCTGAAGCATACTCATGACACTCCTTTAAACATCAAAATCACAAAGCAAACACAATCTGCATTTTTTTAAAAGTAAGATGCTTCATATTTTTTTCCTAAAACTACTTCCTCCCACCTCCCTTAACTCAGCAGAACAATCCTGAGCCATTTAACTATAGCCATAAAATGCAATTTGTGTTCAATGGCTCACATTCAACATTATATTATTTCCCCACTATAATCGCATTTTAAAGTAGGATCCACTATCTTCCCATGTAAGAAGAGGGCCCTGGAAAAAAGGATGGCATCTTCGGTATTAAGACAGCATGTAAGCATCTGAACAGCCACTTACGCACAGAAAACGAAATCTCGAACAACCAATTTCACAGATAGATTTTCTAATAATATACAGTGAAGCTAGGAAACATATTCAATCCCTTAATACATATTTTTAAAAAGCAGCTAGACCATCGTGACCTTGCCCATTTTCCCCTTCTCATTCTAGAAGCCTGAGTTTAGCATTTCCAGAGTCACCATCTTTGACAACAGCGATTCTCCTAAACTAAATAATCAGATCAGATCCAGATATATTGAACTCATTTTTGTCACTATTTTATGTAACCTTGCAATGTGTTTTATACATGCTTTTCAGAATATCTTCCAATTTTC